>NC_000020.11:61249763-61866644 GCF_000001405.40 Homo sapiens | reverse complement strand
CTCTTGCCAAAGGGTCTGGATCGTACATCTTTAACACAGATGGGCTTTCTGCTGCTTCTCCTTCTTTTTAAAACCAACTTTATTATTGATCAAAGAAATGAAAGGAAGACATTTTCCACATGTCAAATGTGCAAAAGCTACTTTAAAATAATGATGGTACCTAATCGTGATGGCACAGAGGGCAGCTGGCCCCTTCCATGGCCTCCGGGGGGAGGGGGAGGCCTCAGCTTCTCAGAGGCGGTTTAGCTGTGCATACACAAAACCCTTCAAAATGTGCCCACTCAGCAAATTCACTGCTAGGAGTTTATCCTAAGGAAAAAATCGCAGGTGTGGAAAACCCTGGCTGTCCAAGCTGACATCGTTTCTGAGAGCAGAGTAGGGCCTGGAACAAATATTTACTGAACATCCCTCTGTGCCAAGCATTGAGACCTATGTTGTGTATACCCCAGGGGCTGAAGCTCATAAACAAAATCCCCCATGCCAGGGGGTGGCACCGAGGGTCCTCTGGGCAAAATCCCCCATGCCAGGGGGTGGTGTGGCCACTACAGAACAACTGAGGGTCCTCCAGGTAGGAAACTTCGGTCCCTTGATGACCTCAGTGCCAGGATGCTGGTGGTGACAGGGTACCGTATGATCCCAGGTGCTGCTAAGATGTTCAATATAAACACGAGCAATGACCAGATCAAATATAAAAATAGAATTCTGACCACACCTGCAGTAAGCAGCCCAGGAAACTAAGCCATTACCTACACTAACCAGCCAGGAAGCCAGCTATCATCTACACTAACCAAGGAAACTAACCCATTATATACACAAACCAGCCAGGAAGCCAGCTATCATCTACACTAACTAGCTCAGGAAACTAACCCATTACATACACTAACCAGTCAGGAAGCCAGCTATCATCTACACTAACCTGTCCAGGAAACTAACCCATTACATACACAAACCAGCCAGGAAGACAGCTATCATCTACACTAACCAGCCAGGAAGCCAGGTATCATCTACACTAACCAGTCTAGGAACCTAACCCATTACATACACTAATGAGCCAGGAAGCGACCTATCATCTACACTAACCAGCCAGGAAGCCAGCTATAATCTACACTAACTAGCCCAGGAACTAACCCATTACATACACTAACCACCCAGGATGCCAGGTATCATCTACACTAACCAGTACAGGAAACTAACCCATTACATACACAAACCAGCCAGGAAGCAACCTATCATCTACACTAATCAGCCAGGAAGCCAACCATTATCTATACTAACCATTCAGGAAGCCAGCCCATTATCTACACTAACCAGCCAGGAAGTCAGTTATCACCTGCATAAACCATTCCAAGAAGTCAGTCCATCATCTACACTAACCATCCCCAGAAGCCAGCTCATCACCTACACTAATCAGCCAGGAAGTCAGTTCATCACCTACATTAACTAGCCAGGAAGTCAGCTCACTGCCTCCTGCCGGATGCAGCGAGGGATGCAGGGTGGCAGGAGGGGTACCTGGCAGAGCTGTTGGGGGGCAGGGGCAGGGGTGGGAGCACAGGGAGAGGCCAGGCAGGGGTCGGGGCATGAGGTCTGGGCGCACACAGATTGAAGTTCACGAGGCTGCCTCGAATCCACTCAGGGGTGGATTTAGGCAGAAAATGCCCCAGGTGTGGCACAGAGCCCTGGAGGCTCTGCTGCACAGCAGACTGGAGAGAAAGCCAGGACCCGGGGGGGTGACAGGGCAGGAGAGTGGCCCCGTGCAGCCCCAGAGAGGACCACAGCCAGGGGTCAAGGGCAACAGGACAACTGCTGCACTTGGCCTTGCCCTGGGAGGCCCCAGCGAACTCACCAGGGCTGGTTTGTCAGTGGATTCAGGAGGGAATGATGGGTGGAGATAATCGGGTTTGTCTCATAAGGGTCTGCCCGGGAAGCTGGGGCCACCTCCCCCTCGGTCCTCTCATGGGCGCCGTCCGCGCTGGCAAGGGCTTGGCTCTGGGAGTTGAGTGAGTGTGTCCTGGAGAGGGAGCTGCGGTGCCTCTGACCTCACTGGATCCACGGCCCCTTGTGTCTGGAGTCCCTGAGCCACAGTGGCCGCTCCAGGATCCTGGGATCAGCAGACGTGGTCTCTGTGGCTTGGGTCACACAGCCCTCTCCCAGCAATGTGTTTTCTTGTGTTTCTGGGGGCATGTGCTGCGTTCCCCACAGGCTCCAAGTGGCAGGATGTTCGATGGACAGGGTTTCTGGCTGCATGGGGAGGGAAGTGGGCGAAACCAGGGGGTTCCCCAGGCTTCTCCCCAAAGGGGACTGCACTGGTCTCCTGGGCTGCTGTGCCAAAGCACCGCAGATGGGGAGCTTGAAGCAACAGAACTGGCCCCGTCAGCTCCAGAGGCCAGGAGGCAGCACCAGCACACAGGGCTCAACGCCAGCAGCCCTGCCCTGGCCCTTCCAGCTCCTGGGGTTGGGGCACCGTCCAACTTGGGTGCTCCTGGGCTTGTGGCCACGTCACTCCAGCCTCTGCCTCCACCGTCTTAGGCCCTGCCCTGTGTCTTGTCCTCTTGTTAGAAGGAAAACAGTCATTGGATTCAGGGCCCACCCTACTGGCCTCATCTTAACAAAATGTCTGCAAAGAACTATTTTTGAATAAGGTCACATTCTGAAGTGCTGGATGGATGTGAATTGTGGGGCAGGGCTCCAGTCCACCCGCCCAAGGGCTAAGCTGAAGCTGAGGCAGGCAGTGTCTGGAAACCCATGCTGGTAAGGCTGGGAGGAGACGGGGGCCTCTTTCCATCCGCAGGAGCCTCTGTGGCCCTGGGTGACTTTGGAGGCCAGGTGGGGCTTGGCACTAGAGCAGCCATCCCAGCCTCATGGCTCTGCACCCTCGCTTCACCTCCGGGAGCCTCGGCTCCTCCTCTGCACCTAGAGCTGCTCTGTCCCTCTGGCCTCCTTCCTGTGCTGTAAGCAGTGCTGGCTCTGGTGTCTGGGAAGTGGGAACCTGGATCCCCGTGTCCCCACTGGCCCTCTCGCTTCTCCAGTGACGCAGGATCTGGGCCATGCTCAAGTGCGAGCCCTGCAGGGCTCCGTTCCACAGAGGCTGTAAATCCTGAAACTGGGCTCCCTGCAGGAAAGATGTGGCCAGCAGTCCCTCACCTGTGCCCTCTGCCGAGGAACGGTCACCCAGTGGCATCTGCGCTAACCTGGGGTGCCCAGGTGAGTTCTCCTGCCCCGTGGGCTTTGAGAATGAGAAGGAAACCATCTTTCTAGGGCTTTCTCTGGAGGCCTCTTTCCACCTCCTTCTCCCCCAGCAGACAGACCTGAGTATTTCCCCATCAAGGAAGCAGCGAGTTGGGACAGCATCCCCCGCCCCGGCTGCAGGTGAGGAACAGCCTCGTCTTTCACGTGGGAGATGCTGGACACCTCCTTACGGATCGTGCTAACAGGTAAAGGGGGAGACAGCGGAGGCTGCCAGGCTCGGCTCTTTCTCGGAATTCATGTACCAACGCTGCCATGCGCCTTAAAGGATTAATTTCACAAGCCTTCAATTGCAGTTTAATTTGAAAACTAATTCAGCCCCATAATTGGCTTTCTGTTCAAATCACTGAGGCTAGAGATTTAAATTCTTAATATTCAGACGACTTTCAAGTATCTAGTGCCATCTGTGCATTAACCTCAGGGGGACTTCTGCCGGCAAAGAAAGAAAATAAATAAATAAACGGGGCCCACTAATAGAATAATCTGTTTAAGCAAAAACTCGGTGCTGTATAGATGAAGGTCTCTTTGACTTCATTTGCAGCACGCAGATTTCCCTGCTTTTTAATATTTTAAAATGACATTAATTTCAAAACTTATAATATAGGCCCCACACAGTTACGAGGGGTTAGAGGAAGTAGCACATCCCGATTAGAGCCCTTTTTAGTTAAAAAATCATCAATACGGAGGTGTCTTTCCCTGGGCACTTTGAGAAATGCTGAGAGCCTGGGTGAGTTCCCGAGCCCTGAGAGCTCGTTCTCTGATGCTGCGGGGGACAGCGGTGGAAAACAGTCACTGGTCAGTGATGGGGAGCGAGGGGTCCAGGGGACCAGGCAGTACGGATGGCAGGCTGGCTGTCCACTGCCCTCCTGCCCTGGACGAGACGCCTGGCCTCACAGTGGGCCTGGCAGACATCTGCCTCCCTCTGCACCTGTGTGGACCCCACCTGTCCATCAAGGACCGCCCCCGCCAAGGAGGTCCTCATGGACTCCTGCCCATCTTGCAGAATGAGTCCACCTTGGGAGAACCAGGAGCTAGTGCTGGGACACGTCTGAGGTGTCATCAAGGCTTGAGAGCTGCCCCCGGGGTCAGGCTGAGGCTGGGCTCTCCCTGCAGCCTCCACGGCAAGGGTGAAGGAGGAGATGGGGTCTCTGTGCTCAGAACTGGAACCCGGTGGTGGAGACCAACAGCCACCTGAGTGACTCTCCGGGTGTCAAGGGAGTCGCCCAGGGCATGGAGGGGGCTGCCTGGGGGAGAGGCCAGGGCAAGACATCTGTGCAGAAGTGGCTGTGAGCTGCAGGAGGAAAGGAGCTGGCGCAGAGCGTGGGGGACAGCGCCCTGGGCTGAGGGCACAGCCTTTGCCAGGGCCCGGGGACAGGGAAAGGCGCTTCCCGTTCACAGTGGCCTGGGACGTTTGCTTCCCTGCCTTTCCCCAGGTGTGAGGCCTGCACCTTGAGGAGCGGATGTATCTCTGGGTTTCTCAACGGGACAGTGCGCTTCTGGAGGGTGGGGTTCCTGCGTTCCCACCTGGTGCCCTCCGCAGCACCCAGCTAAGATGCCCACCTTACCCACAGGACAACACAGCCACCTGGGACTTCTTCCTACAGGAAACTGCCCATGCTACACATTGCCCCCTCCTCCCTCCTGCCTGATGGTGTACGTGACGCTTGGGGGCGCCGCAGCCACCTCGTGACAACGTGGTGAGAACTGAGAAGCGGGGTGACCACCACACAGGCCTCGGCCCGACGCCTTGAGCTCTCACCCCAGCCTCCACTTGTTCAAGCTGCTGTGGTTGGGTTTTCTGTGGTTGGGTTCTCTGTGGTTGGGTTTTCTGTGACTTTCAGCCAAAGGCATTCCTAACGCACAGGCGGGGAAGGGGAGGCGGTTTGCAGAGTGGTTAGCAGGGGCGTTCAGGAGACCATCCATTGGCCTCTAAGTCTTGCCTTTCCCTCCCAGCTGCTGTGGGTCTTTACTGTTACAGAACGGTGCCTTCACTTCCTCATGTTGTATGCGGGGGAAATAAAACTAGCCGTTTCCTGGGGCTGTCGTGGCATTTAGTGAGCTGATTTGTATGGAGAACTTAAGAGTGGTGCCTGGCACCTGGCCGAGTGGATGAATGCCGCCGGCCGCATTTCTGTGATGACCGCATGATCGCATCTTCAGCGGAAGGTGTGTCCTTCCCACGTGGAACCTCACTAGGCCTCATTGCTGGCCCTGCCCCTGGGTGCAGAGAAGCAGGGATCGTCGGTGGAGACCAGCGGAGCCCACGTCCAGTGCGGTTCTTGGGACTAGGCAGAGTGGACAGCTGAGGCAGGTGCGGGTGCGTGAGCTTCAGGTCAGGGTGGTGGCCACAGCTATTTTTCATCTGTTGCTTGCTCTTCTCAAAAGGTCCAGTTCAAAGGAATAGAACACACCTTTTTAGACCCAAAGGCACCCTGGGGGGCTGCATGCTGATCTGCAGGCAGACAGCCAGAGGGTCCCCCGGGTACTTCTCTGCCCTGGGGACAAGGGTGGCTGTTTCTCAGCACAGGTCTCCATGGGTCTCAGAGTCCTCCTGCAGATATAAATGCCAGGATCCTGCAGGAGGAGCCCTTGGGAAACACAGCCTGTGGGCCATTACTCTAGACGGGAGGGGGAAACCAGCTGTGGCTTGTAGCCAACCCTGCAGGGGCCTGGATGCCACCTGGACAGACGCCTTCAGTGGTCACTGTCATTTTCAGTGATGCCTCTTCCCCTCCTGAGAACCTGCTGGGGCCCTGCACAGAACCCAGCAACCTTGCCTTGCATTGGGGCCCTTCTGAGGTGCTGTTTCTGCTTGTCAGGGCATCCTGCACCTCCTCCTCCCTCCCAGACATCTCCTGGGAGCAGGCAGGTCCTTCATAAATCACCTGCACCCAAGTCCTCCTGGCAGGCCAGCGTCTGGGAACCAGACCTCAGGCATGGCCATGGTTGGCCCATCCCAGGCCAGAAAACTGCATCGTTCAGACATGGCTGATTTGGAATTTGTGATCATTCACAAATATGCATATCCGAGGTGTAGCTCAGCCCTCAGGGAAGACAGGGATTGCCAGGCAGACCAGCAGGGTGACCAGGCAAGGACCCCGTGGACCTCGGTGCTCTGAGGAATCTGGAACATAGGTGGTTTTCAAAGTTGTCTTGTATTTATTAAGAGAGGTTTGAGTTGACAGAATTACCTTGGTGGAGTCAGGAAAATGAACTGATATTTTGAGCCAGAATGTATTATTAAGTTGCTGTTAATATGAAGGAGTTACAGCTGCAGATAATAAGGACACTGTCAATGACAGCGTCACTGCCGGGAGCCACATAGACGCCTGCCCCTGACCTTCCCCGCCCATGAGGCAGGCACTGTCCTTGTTCTTTTACTGAAGATGTGTGAAGCAGTGGGAAGGAGCTTGCCTGGGGCCACCCCAGGGCCATGCTGTGGTCACGCGGCAGTGCCGTGGACAGCATGGCAGAACCCCTGCCTGCTGAGGAGGGGGCTGAGTACGGGCAGTGCTGTGTGCATGTTCCCACCCTGGTGGAGGGACACAGGTGAAGGCCAGGGCATGACCACCTCACACTGTCCACGAAGCCATCCCTCCACCCGGCAGCGAAGCTGGCCGTGAGGCTACGGTCATCCTGCAGTGTTGGCAGGAGACACACAGACCAATAAACCTAGGAACAGACCCACACAAATGTGCCCAATGGATGTCCTGCAAAGATGTCAAAGCAATTCACCGGAGGGAGGACAGCCTTTCAATGTATGGCGCTGGGGCAGTCATGGAAAATATGGAGATGAGCAAAAAATACACCTGGATCTACATCTCACATGTTATATAAAAATTAACTCAAAATGAATCATGGACCTAACGTAAACTACAAACCTAAACAACTGTTAGAAAACCCAGAGAAGAGCATTTTCAGAACCTAGGGCTTGATGAAGAGCTCTCAGACTTGATGCTGAAGCCTGCTCCGTAAGAGGAAGCATGGATAAACTGGACTTCCTCCAAATTAAACACTTTCGCTCGCAAAGACCCTGGGGGGAGGATGGAAGACAAGTTACTGAGTGGGAGAAATATTTGCAAACCACATATCCGACAAAGGACTTGTATCTAGAATACGTAAAGAATTCCGAAAACTCAACAGTAAAAGAATAACGTAGTAGGAAATGGACGAAAGCCATGAAGAGTCGTTTCCTTGAAGAGGACACGCAGATGCCAATAAACACAGGAAAAGACACTCAGCACCATTTGCCAGAGGGAAAACACATTAAAACCACGAGGGGCCACCATGCACCTCTTAGAATGGCTAACGTTGAAAGTGATGACAACGTCAGATGCTGGTGAGGATGCCGAGAATCCGGGACTCTCAGGAGGGCGGGATGAGTGTGCGATGGGGCAGCCCCTCTGGCAGAGAACATGGAAGTTCCCCACAAAACAAACGCCTGCTCCCGAGATGACCCCACAATTGCATTCTCGGGCATTCATTCTAGAGAAATGGAAACTTATGTTCACACGAGACCCCATGCAGGAATGGGTGCTCAGAGCAGCTCAGTTCATCATGGCCCAGAGTTGAAACTGCCCAGCGTCCATCAGTTGGGGATGGCTCATAAGCCGCGGTACACCCAGGCCACGGAATTCTACGCCACAGAAAGGAACGAGCTATGGATACGACCTGGCTGTACATCCAGAGAACGATGCTGCAGGAAAACAGCCAATCCCAAAAGGGAACACACGGCTGTGATTCCATTTCTATAGTATCCTTGGAATGACAACACTACAGATGAAAATAGAGTCGTGGTTGCCACAGGTTAGGGTTGATGGGAGGCACACAGACAGACACACATGCAGACACAGACACACACACAGACGCAGACACACAGACACAGATACACAGACACAGACACACACATACAGACACAGAGACACAGACACAGAGACACACACAGATACAGACACAGAGACACACATAGACACAGACACACACACAGACGCAGACACACAGACACAGAGACACAGATACACATACAGACACAGAGACACGCACAGAGAGACACATACGCAGATACAGACACAGACAGACACAGACACACATACAGACACAGAGACACACACACAGACACAGACACACATAGACACAGACACACAGACGCAGACACACAGACACAGACACACAGACACAGAGACACAGACACACATATAGACACAGAGACACACACAGAGACACACACAGACACACAGAGACACACAGACACAGACACACACACAGATGCAGACACCCAGACACAGACACACAGAAACAGAGACACAGACACAGAGACACACACAGAGACATATACAGACACACACACAGAGACACACAGACACAGACACACACACAGATGCAGACACAGACACAGAGACACACAGAGACACACACACTCAGACACAGAGACACACAGAGACACACACAGACACAGAGACACACAGACAGACACACACTGACACACACACAGATGCACACAGAGACACACACACACACAGACACACCAATGAATGCAGGTCAAACGGGTGGGATCCTAGTAGGGGCTGTGGCCGGTACGAAGGTCAGTTTCCTGGCTGTGACCTGCACTGCGGTTCTGCAAGATATCACCCTTGGGGGAGGCTGGCTGAAGGGCTTACAGGATCTGTCTGTCTTATTTCCTACAACTGCATGTGACTCTACAATTATCTCAAAATAAAAAGATTTTTTGAGAAGTCATTTCTTCCAGTGAAATCCCATCGGGAAGCCCAACGCAGCAGACGAAAGTGGCGAAGCTTGGGTGGACGGAGTGAGGGCTGCGAAGCCAGGCCCCAGCTCCCTCCACATGGGGGGCCCCTAGTCACCTCCGTGGGCCTCAGGCCTCGCTGGAAACTGGGCAAAAATCCTCGGCCCTCCCGTCATTTCAGGTGGACCTTGTTTTTTTTTGGAGGGAACCCTGATTTTGGTTCCACTTTCTGGGGAACTTGAAATAAACCAACGTTGATTTCTTTGTGGAAAACGTCTGTGGTACGGGTCTGCGGGTCACCCAGCAGGGCCTTCTCCCACCATCGGAACTCACCAGCCTTAGGGTCACATACGCAGCCCGGGCCGAAGGCCTCGGTGGGAACGCCCACTTCCTGGAGCCCCGTCTTACTCCATGGCGAACGCACACGCGCCGCCCACCATCCCAGACAGCGCGGAACGCATGAAGATGGAGGGTGTCCCCCGGTTGTGTGCCACAGGCTGTCACCCTCTGCCCCGGGGAGGGGTATGGGGGCAGGGGCAGGGCAGTGAGACCCACGAGAACCTGCCTTGGGACTTTTGCGGGGACTCTTGGGAAAGACACGCTCCCCTCACCCCCAGGGCTGTCCAGCTGCTTAGGAACAAGCTTTTGGCCTCCAAGGCCATGGTGGCTGCAGCAGAGAGGATCTCTTGGAGGAGAAAGGAGGGTGGGGTTGAAAACCGGCCGGGGAGACTCTGGAAACACATCTCAGCCAGGGGCGCTGCCACACCTGGCACTGCCAGCCCTGCCTGCACTTCCCAGTCATGGTCCCCTTGCTCGGGGAGCCCCTGGGGTGGGGTCTGCCTCCTGCTCACTAACAAGACATCTCACTCTGTGCCTCAACCACAAAAGAGCCGGCCACGGTGCCTGCCACACCCTCTGAGCCCAGCAGGGCAGGTCAGTAGTGCCCCAGGGGATTTCATGAATTCAGGAGGGCTGGATAAGAGTGTGGGGTGCACACAGGACCCTCGTGGATTCTAGGGGGCTGGGGAAGAATGTGGGGGTACACACAGGACCCTCATGGATTCTAGGGGGCTGGGGAAGAATGTGGGGTGCACGCAGAACCCTTGTGGATCCCGGCGGGGGGAGGTGGGGAAGAGTGTGGGATGCATGCAGGGCCCTCGTGGATCCTGGGGGGCTGGGGAAGAGTGTGGGGTGCATGAAGGATTCTCGTGGATCCCAGGGTGGTTGGGGAAGAGTGTGGGGGGCACGCAGGACTCTTGTGAATCCCGGGGGGCTGGAGAAGAGTGTGGGGGGCACACAGGACCCTCATGGATCCCGGGCCTGTACTGGCATGCTCATGTCCCCAGATGAACTCCCCAAGCCTTCGAAGTTCCTCTGGAGCTGAGTCAATATTTAACCCATCTTTCCATTTGTTTTCCATTAGAACACGCATCTGAAACCCTTCATTACCCTGTCCTTCCAGAGAATAATGACTAATTTCTGGCGGTAGTTTTTCCTTATCCCACAAAGGCACTGTGTAGAACCCTTCTATTATTGTAATTTACTGATGGAAGAGAAGAAATTGTAGAGATGATTTCCAAGTCCTGGGAAGACCGCCACTGAGAGAAGCAAGCCACACTTTGCATGGACACCATCTCTCCCTGCCCTTGTCTGGGGTGGGTGAAGGGTGACCGAGGTGGGCTTGACAGTGGCACCTCCAGCTCCGTCCTGGCCTTTGCACAAAGACAGCTTGTTGTGGGACCAGAGACAGACTCCCGATCCCCCAGGGGCTCTGAGAGTCCATGGACGTTTCACTCAACATAGTCCTGGAAAAGCTCAGGAATGGTGGGAAGAAGGGCTGACTCCGGGGTCCCGGCATCAACATGTCCTCTGGCTGCCAGGCCGTGCCCAGCTCTGCAAATGGCCGGGCAGCCGGGCTCTCCAGGCTTGGCTTACGTGGACTTACGGGGCCACGTCTCCGCAATTTGCTCTTTGTTATCCTAATGAGCAAAGCCAATTGCGCTTTTGGGAAGACTTTTGCTATTGATTTTTTAAAAAGTAAGACACGGGAGGTTTGATTTGTGATAGAAAGGCCAGGAAAATCCAGGCGCCTTTAAATAGCATCCTGGGTCTCCGGGAGAGAGGCCAGTGGTATCTGTGTGAGGAGTGTGCCTGGCCTGCCGCCCACTCCTCCACATCTGCACCCTTGCGAGGGGCTCCTGTGTCCTCATCCGTTTTCTTTGGCTGCCTGGAGCTAATCTGCTCACCCCCTGCCTGCCCCTTAAGGGATGGCTGAGGACCAGCTGCCCATGGTTCCAGTGAAATAATGTCACATTCATTCCCTTCAGTGACACTGGATGCACCCGTGTGTCATAATCCTGAAAGACAACCAATCAAGGGTGCAATTCACCCTGTTCACGCTGCAGCCCTGGGGGCAGACCAAAGGCGCAATTCACCCTGTTCACACTGCAGCCCTGGGGGTGGGCCAAGGGCACAATTCACCCTGTTCACACTGCAGCCCTGGGGGTGGGCCAAGGGCACAATTCACCCTGTTCACACTGCACCCCTGGGGGTGGGCCAAAGGCGCAATTCACCCTGTTCACACTGCAGCCCTGGGGGTGGGCCAAGGGCACAATTCACCCTGTTCACACTGCAGCCCTGGGGGTGGGCCAAGGGCACAATTCACCCTGTTCACACTGCACCCCTGGGGGTGGGCCAAAGGCGCAATTCACCCTGTTCACACTGCACCCCTGGGGGTGGGCCAAAGGCGCAATTCACCCTGTTGACATTACAGCCCTGGGGCAGGCTAAGGGCACAATTCACCCTGTTCACACTGCAGCCCTGGGGGTGGACCAAGGGCGCAATTCACCCTGTTCACACTGCAGCCCTGGGGGTGGACCAAGGGCACAATTCACCCTGTTCACACTACAGCCCTGGGGACGGACCAAGGGCACAATTCACCCTGTTCACACTGCAGCCCTGGGGGTGGGCCAAAGGCACAATTCACCCTGTTCACACTGCAGCCCTGGGGGTGGACCAAAGGTGCAATTCACCCTGTTCACACTGCAGCCCTGGGGGCGGACCAAGGGCACAATTCACCCTGTTCACACTGCAGCCCTGGGGGTGGGCCAAAGGCACAATTCACCCTGTTCACACTGCACCCCTGGGGGTGGACCAAGGGCACAATTCACCCTGTTCACACTGCAGCCCTGGGGGTGGGCCAAAGGCACAATTCATCCTGTTCACACTGCAGCCCTGGGGCAGGCCAAGAGTGCAATTCACCCTGTTCACACTGCAGCCCTGGGGGCGGACCGAGGGTATAATTCACCTTGTTCACACTATAGCCCAGGGACCGCCCACGCAGCCACCTCCACGAGCAGGTGTGATAAAGGCCTGCCTTCCAGTCCCAGAGCTGGGATGCTGCTGACCCCTCTCTGGGGGCCTGCAGGGGCGTGTGGTGCCCCTGGGAGCTGGCCCTGGCTCTGGGCTCCATGTGCTGCAGATTTCAATGCAGAAACAGCCTCCCATTTGCCCAGGACTGCCAACTTCTGTAAAGCCTGGAAGCCGTCACTTGCTGGGCACTGGCCAGGGGTGTGGTTGCTGGTGAAAATACAGGACACCCCATTAAACTCGAAGTTCAGATCAGCAAGGATTACTCTCTTAGTGTAAGTCCGTCCTAAATGGTGCTTAGGCCACACTTTAAAGTGCTTTGCTGACTCTCTGAACTTCACATTTACTTGGTGTCTTGTACTTTAGGGGTGGCCCAAGCAGAGGTCTCCTCAGTGACCTCACCTCCCCCGACCCAACCCAAGCCGGGCAAAGGTTTGTCCCAAAGAGGACCCCTCTCCACCCCCCATGCAGGAGGCAGCCACAGTGGGGAGCTGCTCCCCTCACACAGAAGCCCCCTGGGGTTTGTTAACCCACAGCCCCAGGCCACCTGCAGCATCTGGATGAGCAGGTGGGGGCTGTGCCAGCCCTGTGGGGATGTGGACACCCAGGTTCTAACCCATGTGCGCCCTGAGGGTCTGCAACTGCTTCACCTCCCCGGCCTGAGCCTCCTCACTGCTGGTGGGGGTCGTCCACTTCTTGGCAGTCACAGACGGCAGAGATGCAAGACATGACACGCTCAGCTAGGGCCCCACACATGAAAAAGCAGGCGCCACCACCGGTGCCAGAGTGAAGTCTCGGGGGACAGGCTCTTGGGTCAGCTCTGAGGGGAGCAGACAGCCTCAGTCACATGGGATCGCCTCTGTGGGGGGAGTCCGGGCCTCTCTCGCTTCCCGTTTTGCTTGGAACCAAATCTTACGTTTAGCTGGGAGGCCTCCAGTGGCCTCAGCCCTCTGACTTCGTTGCCTCCCCAGGCCCTGGCATGGGCACCTTGCTCCCCTAGCCTCTCCGCCTGCCCGGGAGCCCACCCCAGTCCCACTCCGGGAGCTGCTCCACCTCAGGCTTCAGCTCCCAGCCCACACGCCAGCTGCACAGAGGGGCCTGCCCAGGCCCACCGCTGTCCCCAGGACTCCCAGTGCCCGGGTTTTCTTCCCAGCCCGTTGGCCCTGCTGTGGCTGCAATCGCTTCTCACCTGTGGTCTGCAACCCCCTTGACCCCAAGGCCTGTGAGAGCAGGGGCTTTGGTGGACGTCTGCTGCATGCTGTGTGTCTGCGCCCAAGTCCCGTGGCACCATCCTGGTAGCGGGGACTAAGCAGCCCTCCCCTGCCCTCAGGGCCTGTGCTGCACCCGCAGAGCCCACAGGGTCTCCAGCAAGCAAACGCTAAAGGCCTCACCTGGCTTGGAGCCCTCGTCCACGGAGCCGTTGTAGACCTGGTTGATGAACTCAGGGCGGTTGTCATTCATGTCGATGACGTAGATGTACAGGTCGATGGGGTTCTCCACCTTGTTGCCATTCATGTCCACAGCGTGGGCTCGGAGCTGGAAAAGCAGCAGAGACAGGGCCCAGTGGCGGGTGGGCACCCCCACTCAGCTGAGAGCGGCCTGGGACCCGCGGTGCTGGGGTAGGAGACTGATGGCAGAAGCAGGTTGGCTATAGGGGCCGGGGGGCTTTGGACACGTCATGGAATTCTCTGAGCCTCAGCTCTCTCCTCTGCAGAAACGGGGGTCAGGAGAGTGCAGAGTGGGGCGACGCACAGAGCTGGAAGCCAGCATAACCCCCCAACACCCCATGGTCAGGCCCAGGCCCACCCAGGACCTCCCATGCCTGCCCGACTGTTCCGTGAGCCACCGACTGTTCTGATCAGATGTCTGGAGCAGGACAGGTGCCCCTTGGATGGGGTGATGTCCACCCAAAGTGGCAACAGAAAAGACATTTGTGCCTAATTGGGCGGGGGCTTAACTCCTGCCACTGTAAGGTTAGTCCCCAGGGGAGATGGGGAGGAGACAGGTCGGGGTGTGCAAGGGCCAGAGCTGGGCTGGGAATTGGGCCCATTTGGGCGTCCACTGAGAGTCCAGCCTGGACAAGTTCCAGGCTCCTCTGCGTCTGTGTGCCCTGTCAGCTCTTGGGCACAGCAGGGGAATATGGGTGGTGGGGTGGGGGGATCCGTGGAGAGGCAGGGCCGGGAGGCCTGTGTGGAGCTCCTGGGAACGTCACAGGAACCATCTTCGAGGTGAAAAGGGAAGAGCTGAATCTGGGCTGGAAGGTTCCGCAGGAGCTTCTCAGAGTCACCCCTTAAGTTCTGGATTTGTTCTTTCACTCATTCATTTGTTCTGCAGATGCCCATCAAGGGCCTGCAATGGCAGGTGCTGGGCTGGACCCTAGATTACTGTGCACTGAAGGCAGTGTGGCTGCCCTGGAGCTTCCATCCAAGGGACAATGGACACCGGGAAGAGAAGAAGCCATCAGTGGGTGTGGTGGCCGCCAGGGAGGCCTCTCGGAGGAGGGGCTGCTTGAGCTGAGACCTCAAGAACAGGCCAAGGCAGAGGACACAGAGAGGCTGGGCGCTGCCGGCAGGCGAGGGGGCTGCTGAGGGGCTGTCGGGGAGTGGAAAGGGCACATCCGAGGCCTCTCCACCCAGAGCTGGATGGTCAGCCAGAGGTGTCCTCAGCTCACATCTTTCTGCCAAAACTCCACATCACCCTCGAAGTTGGACACAACAGACCTCACTCAAGGTATTTGCAGCAAAACATCACCCAGCCCAGGGTGGCCGTGAGAGAAGCCCCATGCCAGACGGGTCTCCACATCATCCCCTTGGTGGCCTGCCTCACATGGCCGCTGCCACTCCCCCGAACTCAGGGGATCAGGGGGGCCCTGAATTCCACGCCTGCCCCAGGGAAACCCAGGAGCTAACTGTGTCCATGCCTATACCAGTGTTTTGGTTTGGCTCCAACCATCCAGAGTGGAATTTTACCCCCTACATTGTGTGTTTACGGAAGATCTAGAGGCTGGCTTTACCCAAAGAGGCAATCTGTGCTGTAGTAAGGAGACAAGCTAGCACTGACTCCTGGAGGAACTGCAGACTGCCACGCGAGATGTGGCTGCACGCACGCCAGGTCAGCTTTACATATCATGTTTAAACAGCCTGAAGTGCTGTGGGGTTGCTGGAACCGGCTGTCCCCGCCCCGTCGCGGGCAGACTCCCCCATCCCCGACCCATCTGCAGCTCCGTCCTGCTATGGATGTGTTTCCCACACGCCCAGAGGTCACAGGGCCTCGGGGGAAAAGTAATTCTGAGCTAAAATTAAAGTTATTATCTCCTAACTAAAGCAGTTTCAGGCGCTATCTGTAGCAGCGGGAGCAGCGCGAGTGCGGATAACGAGGAAATACCGCCTCTGCCCGTGGCCTGTGTCCTCCTTGTCCCACTCCCTGCCTCACCCCCAAAAGATTCAAATACATTTGACAGCTCCTGTAGAAATCTCCCCTGCCCATCTCTCAGGCTGGGCACACCCAGGGTGGGCCTGAGAGAGGTGACCTCACCATGACGGTGGAGGAAACACGCAAACATGGGTGGAGGAGTCCTCCGAGCGTTCTGCAACCTGCAAATCGGAGCGTCAGGCGCAGAGTGCATTTCCTGCAACATCTTGAATAGGACATTTTTCTATCCTCGTTCCGGGAGACAAGATTAGGAAATATTAATACATGGGCGTGGTCTGGCATTGGGGCGGGAAGGCGCTCGGGGGAAATGTGTCTGTTGACAGATGACTGTCCAGATGTGTGTGGGATCTAATGCTCCCGCCTCTTGGCTGCTCTCTTTTCCTCCTATCTTAATTGTGGGTGTGGGTTCCCTCCAAGGCGTATGGAACTGGGAACAGTCCATGAGGGTCTTGGAAGTGGCCGAGGGGTAAAGGTGTTGGAGACTTTCTTCATCAGTGACATCGGCAGCCAACACGCACCGTGCGTTTGCTCAGGGCCAGGCAGTGCTATAAGAACCCTACACACGTTAACTCCAATTTTCATCAGAATCTGTGAGATTGGCATTGTCTTGGTCCCTATTTTACAGATGAGGAAACTGAGGCTCAGAAAGGTTAGAAAACTTTCGGAAGATGACAGCGTGTGGCTGGGTGAGCTAATGTGTCTAACTTACGGAATCCTTCAAGGAATCTTCTGGAGCATCACCCTGCAAAGCCAGCAGTGAGCACTTGTGCGTGTTGTGCGTTTGAATGTTTACAGGCTGGCTTTAGGGTGACACGTGTCACAGTCGTCAGCGTACTCAGGCTGGGGATGCGTCCTCGCCACCCTCAGCCCACAGAGCTGGGTGGAAAATGGAACAGGATCTAAAGACACTGGGGAGGTAGGAAAAACTCTAAGATGGCCCCAAGGATGTCAGGTGCTGGTCCCAGATGTGAAGACAGATGTGTTCCCTCCCCACTGGGCTACGTTTTTGACCTTAAGACAGGGCTGGGTGGACGCCATCCAACCACATGGGCCTTCGAAAGCTGAACGTTCTCCAGCTGGAGGCAGGAGAGAAGGGCATGCGGGCATCCTATGCACCTTGCTGGGTGACAGTGGAGGAGACACGTGCCGAGGCATGCAGGTGCCCTTCAGGGGGTGGCTGTGGCCCCCCGAATAGCCAGCAAGGACATGGAGACCTCAGTCCTGCAACCACAAGGATCCAGACCTGCCACAGCCCCAGTGAGCCTAGAGGCAGGTCCTCCCTAGGGCCGGGGGAGCACCCAGGCCGGTGAGCCTAGAGGCAGATCCTCCCTAGGGCCGGGGGAGCACCCAGGCTGGCCGGCACTTTGATTTTGGCCTGGTGAGACCCGGAGCAGAAACACAAGCCAAGCCCATCTGGACTTCTGACCTACAGCACGGTGAACTCATAGGGCGTTGTTTCAGCCACTAAGTTTGTGCTGATTCGTTACACAGTGCAGAGAACTAACACACCCCTGCTGGCTGGCACAGCTGCCCCCAAAGACCCTGGTGGGCATCCTACAAGGTGGAAATCCGGAGTTGGGGTCACACTGGAGTCTGATGAGGAGTGTGATGCTTGCAGGGAGGGGCTTCCTTCTCCAGGGAAGGGCAGGAAAGCCAGGCATCCCCAAGGCCTCCATCTCGGTGGGACAGAGAGATTAGCTACAAGTGGAACTTGAGGGCTTCATTCCAGAATTTGGCAGACGATGCAGCTTCTTCTCCCTTCTGGGCCCTGCATCTCCTGCTGACTCTGCAGTCCCTGAAGGGGTGAGAAGGCTGGAGTCCAGCCAGATCTCAGGGCTCACCATTCCTCACTGTGAAAATGGGAAATGAGGATGATAAAACTAATGATCTCCACGAGCTTGCTCCTAGAACCTGGTGTGCAGGAGGCAGCAAGAGATGCTGGCGATGTGGGATGACTGCATTTCTCATCTTCAAAGCAGGGAGAAAACCATGAAGCCTCAGGGCTGGGGCAGGAAATAGACAGGAACGTGGGCTCGGTGCAGTGGTTTACACCTGTAATCCCAGCACTTTGGGAGGCTGACGCAGGCAGATGGCTTGAGCTCAGGAGTTTGAGACCAGCCTGGCCAACATGGTAAAACCCTGTCTCTATTAAAAATTCAGAAAAATTAGCTGGGCGTGGTGGCGGGTGCCTGTAGTTCCAGCTACCTGGGAGGCTGAGGCAGGAGAATCGCTTGAACCTGTGAGGCGGAGGTTGCAGTGAGCCGAGATAGTACCACTGCACTCCAGCCTGGCTGACGAAGTCAGACTCTGTCTCAAAAAATACAATACAATACAATACAATAAAAAAAGTCCTAGGTACTTGGGAGGCTGAGGTGGGAGGATTGCTTGAGCCTGGGAGGTTGAGGCTACAGTAAGCTGAGATTGCACCACTGCATTCCAGCCTGAGTGACAGAGCGAGACCCTGTCTCAAAAAACAAAAGAAAAACAAAAGAAGGGAAGGCAACGTGTGTGCAAAAGTGTCTGCGCACTGGCAAGCCACGTGGGTGGCTGGGGCAGGTGGGCCTGACCTTTCACCAGCAGCCCCACCCCCACCGCCCTGGGCTCCCTCATCTTCTTTCATGGCCAGCTCAGGTGGGGAGTGTGGGAGGCCTGAGTGCATCCGTGGTGAGGGCTGGGGCCTGCAGGTGTGGGACCCAGGTCCCTGGTCCCCACCAGCCTGTGATCCCCATCTTTCTGGGGGTTTGCTGCAGGACCATCTACAGAGGCACTGCACCTTTCCTGGGTAGAGCCTGGTGCTGAGCAAAGCTCTGCATATGCATTAGGCAGAAAGAATAAACAGACGAATGGAGGTGTGTGGCGTGGTTTGGATGTTCCGTCCCTTCTAGATCTCATTTGAAATGTGCCCTCCAGTGTTGGAGGTGGGCCTGGTGGGAGGTGTTTGGATCATGGGGGTGGATCACTTGTCAATGGCTCAGTGCTGCCCTTGTGGTAACACGTGAATTCTTGCTCTGAGTGCACTCCAGGGCCTGTTGTTTAAAGAGCTTGGCACCTCCGTCCCTCTCTCTCTCTCTCTCACTCCTGCCACGTGGGACGTCTGCTCCCCTTCACTTTCTCCCATGAGTGGAAGCTTCCTGAGGCCTCCCCAGAAGGAGATGCCGGCGCTATACTTCCTGTACAGCCTGCAGAACCGTGAGCCAAATAAACCTCTTTTCTCTCTATATTACGCAGCCTCAGGTATTTCTTTATAGCAATATGAAAGGGCTAACACAGCGTGTTTGCACATGTTTACACAGCGTGTTTACACCGCATGTTTACACGGCATGTTTGCACGGCATGGCAGGAGGTGGTGGGGGCGCTGGATTCCTCCCCAGTGCCAGCCACTGTCTCTGCACATGGTGGGTTGAAAATTTCTACCTGTGCATGAGAGGAGGGCCTTGGGAATGAATCATAGAGGGGTGGGTGACCCAGATCCCTGGAGTGGCCATTCCAACCTCTAGCCCTGCACAGCCGGACCCCTGCTGTGGGCAGAACTCCCAGGCTGGGTTGCAGGCTGTGCCTTAGGCTTCAAGGTGCATGAAGGGGGCACTGTCCAGTGGTGGCCCTGGAGGTCCCCGTCCCCTAGCCGTGCTGTGTGCAGAGGTAGCTGAGCCCTGAAACCTTTTCCGGGGAGTTGGTGGGAATGCGAAGGCTGCCTCTGGTGAGAATCCATGGAGGAGAAACAGCTCATTGGGGATGATGCAGGGAGGGCCAGCTCTGAGCTCCAGGTTTCCAGGAGGAATTATAAGATGAAATGGAAGGAAGAGGCCTTCTGCTGGTGCAGGTCACCTGGGAATCACTGTGCATTCAGCAAGTGCTGGGTCCTGAGTCCTCCTGCAACAGGCACCCGGCAGCCCTACAGCACTTCTGGTGCCCCTCAGATGCCCCGGCCAGCACCCACAGGCTGCATCTGCGATGCCACACCAGGGAGAAGTGGGCTGACCCAGCTCTCCTGGTGCCCCTTGGATGCCCCAGCGAGCACCCACAGGCTGCATGTGCAATGCCACACCAGGAAGAAGTGGGCTGACCCCGCTCCAAGTCTGCCTTGGTTAAAAAAACAACAGACAGAAACACGTGTCAGGAATTCACAGAGTTGAAGGGTTGGCTCCCCCTGCCCCACATCTAGATGTGGCAAGACTTGTATCAAGTCTCTGTCTCTGAATCTGTTTCTCACGGTCAGTCTCTCTCTTTATTTCTGTCTCTATGCCTCTGTCTCTGTATTACCTGTGTCTCTCTTCTCTGTCTCCTATGTCTCTCTCTGTGTCTCTGTCTCCCTCTCTGTCTCTGTATCTCTATCTCTGTGTGTGTGTGTGTGTCTGTGTCTCTCCCTAAGTCCTTGGTCCGTAGCTATTTCTTGGCAGTAAGGGCTGTTGAGTTCCGGTTCCTGAGCCTGTTGTAGACGCGTGTTGACGGCAGCCCAAAGCCCGTTTTGGGAGCCAGCAGCCATGCTGAGGGCCTGTCTCTTGCTGCATAGCCAGGGGGCGTCAGCCGGAGTCTCTGGTTGGTTCTGTGGTTCTGCCTCGGCCACTCCTGGGGGGCCCAGCACACGAAGCCCAGGCACTGTCAATCAGGTCTCCCCAACACCCAGCCAAGGCGTGAGCCTTCCCAGGAGGCAGCCGTGAGGGACTGATAAGGCCCCGGTGCAGACCGGGGTTAGGGCAGCCACCTCCCAAGTGGGCTCCCCAGGATCCATCCAGCTCCGACCCTGCTTCAGACGGTGCCTCAGGGGCTGTCAGGGAGGCCACTGTGGCCAACAGCAAAACCGATCTTCTCCCGTCAACGCCCTCCCTTCCTTGAATGCTTAGTGAGCCCCCTGAAGGCCAGGCTCTGTACTTGGGCCTGAGATCTGGCGTGGAAAAGCCGGAGGGTTCCCTGCCCCTATGCAGCCTCCTTCTGGTGCGAGATGGAATGAATGAACCCCAAAACAAATAGTCACAGACGTGAGAAGCTGCAGGGTCGGGCCCTGTTCGGTGCCACTGACTGAAGCCAAGCGAAGGTGGAACCGAGCAAGGTGACACTGTCAGGTGGGGCCAAGTCTTCCATGGTTGTTCCCGAGTTACCACGGAGAAGCACACGGCCCTGACAGCACGGGCTTGTGCTGAACGCCTCACCAGGGTTAACCCTGGAGTCCTCAGAACAACCCCATGAGGAGGAGCAGGGACTGAGGCCAGGAGAGGCGACAGCATCTGCCCAATAGCTCACATCTGGCCAGGGGCAGGTCGGGGTGTGACCCTCGTGATTTGGCTCCAGCCTGTTCTGCGCTGCTGGCGAGGCCTTCACCTACACGTGATGGACAGCTCTGGACCCTGAGGTGAAGGGATGTGCACTCCCCACTGCTTTCACCATGGCCCAGGCCCCCTCCTCTCGGCCAGGGTCAGTTCGGCCCGGGAGGAGAAGGCCCGCCCCCTGGAAGCTGAGGCCGCAGCCCCACGTCTCTCTAGCATTTCTTTCCGTGCACAGCCCCTGACAGGGAATCAGCGCGGCTCTCCTTTCAGAGGCTCTTTCTGCCGCGAGAGACGTCGGAGGAAATGAAAAGCTTGCAGGACTATTGTCCCAGCCTAGAGAGGGTGTGAGGGACAATGGGCTGTGCTTCGGAGAAAGGGGCCAAGAGCAGCATGAGGGGCCCCGAGGGAGCATCGCAGCTGGTGACCCTGACTCCCAGCCCCGCAGAGCCATCCAAAGCAGAAGACCACGTGGATGGAGGCCTTCTGGACCAGTAGTTCTCCCAGTGTGGGCCCAGGCCTGACTTGCGTCCTGGGGAGTGTGTGAAATGCAGTTTCCCAGGCCCACCCTGGGCCCACCCTGCTGAATTAGACGGGGGACAGTGCCCAGCGACCTGGGCTTTCCCCAGCTTCCCAGGATTCTGCTCCAGGCCAAAGTTGGAGTGCTGCCTGTAGAGTTAGGGCAGGCATGGCCCTGCTGGGGGCACCTGCCAAGGCCTGGTAGGGCTGGGATCGCCACCCCAGGGCCCCATTCTCAGCCGGGTGTGGACACTCACGTGGTAAGAGGCGTGCTCCTCCCGGTCCATGGGCCTTGTGACGTACATCCGGCCGGACATGGAGTCAATGCTGAAGACCTCCATGGGGGGCTGGTCGGCGCCCACTCCCGTGATGCTGTACCGGATGGGGATGTCATTGTCTTTGTCGGACCGGATCTGAAAGGCAGGAGCAAAGCGAGAAGAGGTTATCCTGTGGTGAGGAGAGGCCCGGGGCCGATCTCTGACATTCATCCCCTCTCATGAGTTCCTCGAGCTCGACCATTTTCAGGTACAATGGGGACCACAGCTGATCTTTCATCCACTTTGGGAAGTGGAAGGACAGTCGGTGGTCAGGGTTTCACTGAGAGCCGCCGACTGCAGGTCTAGGGCCTGTCAGTAACTCAGCAAATACACCGAGAACTCGGGATGCCTGGCAGACATCCACAGCACAGATGAAAACAATGGAAATGATGGTATAAAATGGCCTCGTGTTCTGACATCAAACCCAGGACTAGACAAAGGCAAGAAAACAGAGCAACCTCCACAGTGAGAGAAAAGACTAGGACCCAATGCATGTGTGTCCCAGCCTTTCTAATTGTTTAGAAAACAATTGAATGATGGTTATCCGGGTCCCAAGTCCAAAGTAAGCTAGAAAAGGCTGCTAACTGGGGGAGGAAATGGAAAGACACAGGCAGACACGAAACTCTGAGTTTTACTTGGGATGGGGAAGGGTTAGGCAAAGGCTTCATTTGGTTTTTGAGCAAAGATTGAGATTCATACAAGATTTTGGGAAACAGAAAGGACACTGGTAGCATTAAAAACAAGATGCACGTCTTTCACTCAGTTGAGGCGAAACCTCCTGTAATGAGGAGGGGGACTTGGTGGTCACCAGCCCACCACAGGTGAGTGGCGCTTCCCAGAGCCTGGGGGTTCCCTCAGGGAAGTTGGGGGAGGCCACGGAGATTTGAAAGGTGAAACTGAGAAGGTGGAATGAATGGATTTGCATTCAACTTTGAGCATGTCTTTAGCATATACTACTTTTTTTCTCAAAGCCCACAGGACCATCACAACATTTCATAATACAGTGGGCCATAGCGGAAACCCCAAAAATACCCCCAAAACAAAATGGAACAGGAATTTTTTTTTTTTTTTTTTTTAGAGACAGGTCTCATTCTGTCACCTGGAGTGCAGTAGGGCAATCATATCTCACTGCAGCCTTGACCTCCTGTGCTCAAGCAATCCTTCTACCTCAGCCCCGGAGTAGCTGGGACTACAGGTGCTGGCAACCACGCCTGGCTAATTTCTGAAATTCTTTTGTGCAGAAAAGGTCTCACTATGTTTCCCAGGCTGGTCTCGAACTTCTGGCTTTTTTTTTTTTTTTTTTTTTTGAGACGGAGTCTCGCTCTGTCGCCCAGGCCGGACTGCGGACTGCAGTGGTGCAATCTCGGCTCACTGCAAGCTCCGCTTCCTGGGTTCACGCCATTCTCCTGCCTCAGCCTCCTGAGTAGCTGGGACTACAGGCGCCCGCCACCGCGCCCGGCTAATTTTTTGTATTTTTAGTAGAGACGGGGTTTCACCTTGTTAGCCAGGATGGTCTCGATCTCCTGACCTCATGATTCACCCGCCTCGGCCTCCCAAAGTGCTGGGATTACAGGCGTGAGCCACCGCGCCTGGCCGAACTTCTGGCTTTAAGCGATCCTCCCACCTTGGCCTCCCAAAGCACTGGGATTACAGGTGTGAACTACCGCATTCGGCCTTACTAGGACCTTTTACTGAAATGATACAATTAAAAGTTAATAACAAAACTGAAAAAAGACCTTTTAGAAATCTGAATGACACTGCGAAATAACCATTGGGTCAACAGGAACCAAAGTTATTTTTAGAGGCTTTTAAAAATATTTCTTTTGTTTAATAATAATATAACAACGCGACTGTTATACAGTGAAGCCCAGAGGTAGAGTGCCTGCAAACCCATAACCTTGAATGTTTTCATAATCAAAATGGAATTACAGCCAACAAACCAAACGCTCAATCCCACAAGGAAAGGAACAAGAAAGCAGGAAGCAGCAGACACCAAAGTCATCAATAAAGATGACACAGAAACTTCCAAATCTGAAAGCAGAAAAATAGGGGTAACAGATTCCAGAGCTGTAGTTAGGGGAAAAGTCCTCAGGAAACTAGCTGTGTCTTTGATAAACTTGAGAAAAAAATAAGATTTGTTTTAAAGCGTTTTCTTCTCTATATGTTATGCAAGCATAGGTGAAAATTGTATGAAATTGATTATTTTTTGAGAAAATATACAATTTAAAACTTGACTAGCAGAGAACACACACCTGGAGATACCGTATGACTTCAGGAAATTCCTTCTAAAAGATCTGAGGACAGGTCAGCTCGCTCTGGAATTTCCTGAAACTTTTCCAGAGCAAAGAACGAGACAGAAAAAGCAGCCCACTCGGTTTTTATGAAGCTTGCAGACCTTGAAATGCAGGAGCATTCTGAATTCTGATGACACACAGTATGACCACTGCAACTGCCCCACGTGTGGCATAGGTGTGACACCCAGCAGAGATGCCAGCCAGCAGAAGCAGCAGTGACTTCCAAGCCTCCTTCATCGCGCCTGAATAGCACTTACCTCAGAGACAGAGGGCTGGCTTCTCGCCAGGCACCTCATCTCTGCAGCACGATGACAATCATAGGCTAGCCTTCAGAGAGACTCAAAGCACGTTTGATAGAGTATCCCTTCCAGCTTAATTCGTATCAAAGAAAGCAAGTCATCCCCTGGAAAAACTCCAATTCATAGAGAATTCAGCCTGATGGAGAACATCTTTCTTAAGCCAGCATTTCGCATTTGCACACCAGAGCTGTTCCTACGTGCAGGAGTGAGGTGCCCCGCACACCGGCCACCCCAAGGCTGTCTCATGTCGTAATAGAAAAAAGCTGTTTTCCGTATAGGAAGAGGGAGATGCTGTTTCCATCATAAAGGCGCCATGGGGGTCAGTGCCAATAGGGGGCTGCTCACGTGCTAGGAGACATCGCCAGGAGAGGAGGCCTGCAGGCCCACGGTGCGCGCACGCGCGCACACACACACACTCCTGTGCACATGTGCACACACTCACAGTCTGTGAGGAGCGTCTTTGTTCCCCCCCGCAATGCACCTCCTTACTTTCCCATGATCAGGTAGGTTCCTTTCCCAGCTCTGCCCTGAGCCGCACACACCAAGCAGAACTTCAGAGACAGCGACCTAGGGAAGGGCGGGTCTGGGCCCCTCAGCGGTCCATGGGAAAAGCCTCCAACGGAGCCTTAATCACCCCTCCCTCTACTGCCCAAGGCCACCAGCAACGTTATTCCTGCAGGCCTTCCATGGGCAAGGCCCATCTCTTCTCCACCCATGGAGAGTTTTCACCAAGTTTGGTCACGAGGGGGTATGGGGCAACGTCTAGATAGAGGGGAGGAGCCCCTCTCCCTGTCACCTCTGATGACTTGTTCCTCGGGGGTGGGAGAAAAGCTAAGAGATCACATTCGCAGGAGAGCAGGCAGCTGAGGTGGAGTACAGAGCCCACCAGCCCCGCCGTCCGGGAGCGCTGCGCTTCTCCGAGGCCTGATGAGTATGGACGCTGCTTTGGCTTTGGGTTAGGAGAAGGGCACTGGGAGCACGCAGTAGGTGCTCGAGTGGCTGAGTGGCACTGGGCTGAGGAGAACACACAGAGCCAGGTCCAGTCTTCTGGAGGCAGGAGGTGGGCGCCAGGGACGGGGTCTGCAGCAGCCGGAAGGATGGGTTGTAGATTCACTGTGCGCTATTGCTAGTTTTGGGCGAATCAATCCCTCTTTCATAGGGAAATTTAATGAGGAGACTGCTGAAAATAATCCACCACCTATTTAAAGAGAATTTGTTTTTCAAGGAAAGCTCATTACGTTTTGGCCATCAGGCCGCATTTGCTTATTCTCCAGGCCCGTTTGGCCGCCTCTGAAATATGGCGGGCAGCGGGTGGCTGCGGGTGATGTGCATCCACGGGCTCTGAGCATCAGCTCTCAAAATGCTCTGAATTCTCCCACAGTTTACCATATTAAGAAGAAATACTGTGCGAGTGAATCCACCAGATCAGGGGAGAACAGTTTTCCACTTGATTTGTGTCTGGCAAATGAGACAAACACCGCAGAAGCCCACGATGGGCCGTGAATAGGGAGCACAGACAGGCGCCTCCAGTGCGCCGATCGCCTTAGGATGCCGTGGAGACCCACGCTCTTCCGCATTTGTTATTAGAGGACAGAACAGATGGTGAAAGGTTAGTTTAAAGTGATGTCTACATTAAAATAACTTACGGGACTCCGCGATAGTGTTCACCCAGGGACTTCTGCTTGGAAGGCCGGTTCTCCTCTCAGAAATGGCTGGATGACATGAAACGTTCTGGCAGAGTCTCCCCCAGGAGGATTTGCCAGGTTTCAAATGAACTTGAAACTGGAGAAAAGTCACCCTGTGTGGTTTTGAATCGCAGACACTTTGGAGGTGGATTCCCTAAGCTTTCAAGGGTGGAAGCCGGGGAGAGAGAGTTACACCCAGATTCTGGGGGAGGGAGAGACCCACCCACCGGGAAGGCCCCTGCACCAGGGCCTCCTGTCAGCCAGAGCTGTCCCAGTGCACGTGCACGGTCGGGAAGGTCTCTCTCAGTCAGCCCGCAGACGGACACAGACACTCTCAGAATTAGGGCTTCTCCCACGAGTGACACCCCCTTAAGTTGTTGTTGTACATCAGGATAAGCATTGCGGGGTAGAGCAAGGTCTGGGAGACCCCTTGGGGCACTGGGCAAGGAAGGCCTTGGAGAAAGTCAGGGTCAGAGTGAGTCAGTTTGGTCCTGACCACTGCCTCACACAGCTCTGGACACACACACACACCATGCACACAAATGCACATACAGACATGTACACATGACACACACACACACACAGTACACACATACACACACACCACACAAGCACACAATACACAAACACACATACACATACGCATACCTACACACAGACACACAACACACATGTGCACTCAATACACACACAGCACACATACATGTACACACACAACACATATACAACACACAAACATACATGTACACACAACACACACACTCAATACACAAACGCATAAACAAACACACAAATACACAATACACACAGACACCATACACATACACAAACATGTACACGACACAAACACAAACATGCACACAGTACACAAACACACAACATACACTCAATACACATACACACGTCACACACACATGCACATATGCACACACAACACACACAATACACATACACAAACACACATACACACAACACACACTAAATACACACATATACACAAACACACATACACATGCACAGTGCACACACAACACATACTCAATACACAAACACACACATCACACACACACGCACACATGCACACAACACAAATACACATACACACACAACACACATTCAATACACAAACATACACAAACACAAAATATGCATACGCACGAACACACACACACAGAACACAATACACACACACACTCCCCCATGCACACCCGGCGGGATATCCTTTCAGAATGGAAAGGGGCGGCCATTCTGCATTCATGGGCCTTGCCTGCCACTCATCAAGCCTCCCTTGGTTCCTGTCCCAGCATTTTAAAGACACTTTAAAAATCTCCTGGATCAAGTTCTTCCAGAAGGATGTAATTCTTCAGCGAGGTGTTTCAGCTTTCTCCTTCTATGATATTAAGCCCAGAGATGTTCCCAGGAAAACAGATCGCAGACCCTTGCCTTTGCAGCCTGTTGGGAGTTCTGAGCTGCCTGGAGCAGTTCCCCTCTCTCCATGGAGTAAAAGCTCTGGATGGTGCCAACAGGTGCCATGGCCGTCTTGCCCCATCCCGAAGGCACAGGACCCAGGCAGGCGGACTTGCACTTGGCCTGCTGAGACAGGCAATTTTCTTTTCTTTTTTTTTTCCTTTTCCTTTTCTTTCTTTCTTTTTTTTTTTTTTTTAGACAGGGTCTTGCTCTGTCACCCAGGCTGGAGTGCAGTGGTGTGATCTTGGTTCACTGCAACCTCCACTTCCTGGGTTCAAGTGATTCTCCTGCCTCAACCTCCCAAGTAGTTGGGACTAGGATAGTTGGGACTACAGGCGCTCCCCCCACCACACCCAGCTAATTTTTGTACTTTTAGGAGAGACGGGGTTTCACCATGTTGCCCGTCTTGAACTTCTCAACCTCAGGTGATCTGCCCACCTCAGCCTCCCAAAGTGCTGGGATTACAGGTGTGAGCCACCGTGCCTGGCCGAGAGAGGCAATTTTCTTTTAGGATCTGAGTCTCATGGGAGCCTTGAGGGAAGAAGGCAACTTGCCCATTTGCACCTGCAGCTTCTCCGTGGCCCCAACCAGTGCTCCTGCTTGAGCTTCTTGGTTTTCTTGCCAACAACATCAGAGTTTTCTCAGGGTTTCTGTCTGTTCCCCTGCCTGCATTGCACAGCCGAGGGCTCCCTACCTCCCCACCTCCTGCCTTCCCCTCCACACCCTTCTCTAGGCCCTGGGAACACACACGGGGCTGCCAGTCCCCAGGGATGGCCTGTTGGTAGGTAGGG
The DNA here is from genome assembly GCF_000001405.40 of Homo sapiens. Taxonomy (NCBI): domain Eukaryota; kingdom Metazoa; phylum Chordata; class Mammalia; order Primates; family Hominidae; genus Homo; species Homo sapiens. The sequence goes on along the minus strand of NC_000020.11, from coordinate 61,838,227 downwards.
CCCAACCGTTCCTGGACAAACAAGTGAAATGAGGAAGGCAGCCCAAGGGGCAGGGGAGACAGGCAGACAGGCAGACAGGCAGACAGGCAGGTAGACGGCCCCAGTCACCCAGCTGCGTAGGGAAACCCAAGGCTGTCCTGGCCCTAAGGAGGCCTCCTGGAGCAGAAAAGGCCACCCCGAGACCCAGAGGAAAAAACGGTGAGCAGGCAGAGAAAGGTGGGGATGGAGGTGAGGGCTTGGGGAGCGATCAGAGAGAATGTGGGAGCCTCTGCACGAGGGAAAATAAACAGGAAGGGAGGCCACAGGGAAGGGAGATGGGAGGGGAGGAAGGGAGATGTGGCCGACCCAGCAACCTGCAGTGGGCTGGCCTGGATGATACATGGGTTCCAGAGCATGAGGAGGAGGAGGAGAAGGAAGGCTCCTGGAGGCTGGGGCGGATTGTGGAGGGACAGACCCACGGGGGGGGTGCTCTGTTCTCCCCTCACAACGGCGTCGCTGGGGGCTTCCCAAGGCTGGTCCTCAGCCTGCTTCTCACTGTGTCTGTCCCTGGGAATCACAGTTCCCAGCCTTGTGTGTCCTCACCACAGCCTCAGAAGCCTCCTCATTCACCCTGAAGCAGGCACAGAAGAGGAGACCCAGAAACCTCTACCCTCCACGCCTGGAATTCCTTAAGGGACCATTGAAAAAAATCTCAGAGCGTCAGCCCCACCTGACCATCTCACAGAGCCCATTCTGAAGATGGAGGGACTGAGGCCCAGAGAAGCTGAGGGATGTGACGAAGGTTCACGAGTAAGTGATGACCCGGGCAGAGTTCCCAGCTCCTGTTTCCGCATCATACTGCTGGCCTAAGTAGCCTCTGAAAGCTGGAAGGGGTCAGAAGAGTTCCCTCCCTGCCATCCACAGGGTCTGAGTGTCTTCTCAGCGCCCCTGGATGCTCCACAGGAGACGAACATCCTGGCCCCTTCTCTCACTCCCACCAGCTCTACAAATGCAGCTTTGGGGGATGCAAGTGCTAAGTGAAACCCCGTTTTTTTTGAGACAGGGTCTTGCTCTGTCGCCCAGGCTGGAGTGCAGTGGCGCAATCACAACTCACGACAGCCTTCAACTCCTGGGCTGAAGTGATCCTCCCACCTCAGTCTCCTGAGTACCTGGGACCAGAGTGTGGACCACCACACCTGGCCAATTTTTAAATTTGTTGTAGAGATAGGGTTTCACTATGTTGGCCAGTCTGGTCTCAAACTCTTGGCCTCATGTGACCTTCCTGCCTCAGCCTCCCAAAGTGCTGGGATTATAGGCATGGGCCAGTGTGCCAGACCCCCTACCCCCACTTTTAAAAGTCTCTCTCCAAGGTCCTGGACTAGAACTTTACTTCAATGGAAAGTGATTATAAAATTGTAACCCCGTCCAGCGTGAGATTCTTCCAGGTTGATGCAAAGTGTAATTCCAAAGCCCTTGCCATGGTACTGGATAACCAGCAAGATTCGGCGACGTGAAACCTGTTCTCATAAAATTAATTGGACAAATGTGGGGCCAAGTAAGGGTTCTCACTTGTTTTCCCCCCAACTCTTCCTTGATTCTTGAACATTACTTAAGAGGTTTGAAGATGTTTGTATTTCTTGCATTTTCCGAAATACTTTTCATGCATGATGAAATTCAGCCTTCAATTACTTTCAATTAGGTTCTTGTAATGAGCAGAAAAGCCCGGGATGTGAAGTGAGAAGTCATTTGTTGTGTAACATTGACACCATCATACAGAACTGTTCACACATACTTTGAGTTTTAGCAATGACAAAAAGCCCCTCAAAGTCATATGAATGCTAATAAAAGGCATGAATATGTTCTCACAGATCTGCCCGGTGGGGAATAGTGAATTAGCTCCTTCTCAAAAATGCCCTTCAGTGTGCACCAAATTAACAGAGAGAGGCACCTCCTGAATTTTTGGCATGGGATTGCAGGAGACTCTCCCGGCTCTTCTGGAAACAAAGGCCAGTTCACTCCGGGGGCGTCATTGTTCTCCCATGGTAAGTGGTCCTGGGAATACAACCGACGTGCCTCACCCTCCCCGTAGCCGATGGGCAGGCCCAGGAGCTAAGCTGGGTCAATCAGCTTCTCTCACCAATGTGGACCTGGAGTCAAGAATGAGTCCAGTGTGGAAACACAGATGGAGCCCTTCCTTGCAATGCCAGAGCCCGGTCAAGACCCAGAGCCCTGGGATCACCCAACCGGCCGGCCTTCCCCTCCAGCCTGTGGGTAGTCAGGGTCCTTCTGGCAGGGTCCTTCCGCTCGGGACAGTCGGAGTTTGCAGGTGCAGCAAGCTGAAGCCTTTGCCTGACCTGGTGCTGTCTGGGGAGCCCTTAACACAGTGCCCGGCAGGACAGAGCTGACCAGAGGGCGACCTGACTGTGGCGCTCAGGGCTGGGCCTCAGCCACAGAGAGGCCCACCTGGACCTCTGGATCCCTGTGTCTTAGGTTGGGGTCCCTATAAACAGAGCCCAAGACAGGGATTCTCGTACAAGTTATTGACTAGGGAGAGCCCCTAGAACCAGCGGGAGGGACGAGTGATGTCTCAGCCTGGGTCATTTCAGCCTCACCCCACGGGAAGCCCTGGTGTATGAACTGAGCCTTGAGGCCAGGAGGCTGCCTCTGTGGGCCGACCCTCCTCCCAGGCACCTCCCAGCCCCACTCCGTCTTCTGGGAGGTGTCCAGCTGTGAATCATTAGCAAAGAAGCCGACCTCATGATGGCAGGGGCTGGGTGGCTGGCTCCCAGGGGACCTGGCTACACTAGCAGTGCCTACCACACCCAGTGGAATTGTCATCCTAGCCCTTGTCATGGCCAGCTATTTTTTTTATTATTAAGAACACTGGCCAGCACGGTGGCTCATACCTGTAATCCCTGCACTTTAGGAGGCTGAGGCAGGAAGACTGCTTGAGGCCAGGAGTTCAAGACCAGCCTGGGCAACATACCCTGTCTTTAAAGAAAATAAAAAACAAATAAAAAACAACAACAACTTAGTTGGACATGGTGGCACATGCCTGTAGACCCAGATGCTCAGGGGGCTGAGGCGGGAGGATCACTTGAGGCCAGGAGTTCAAGACCAGCCTGGGCAGCACAGTGAGCCCACATCTCTCTAAAACAAAACAAAACAAGACAAAAAATGAACTCTGTATTCTTATTTTGTTGCCTGCATTCTTTCTGTCTCGCCCACTGGACTGTAAGCTTAGGAAGCCGGTCTGTGACGACACAGCACCAGCCTCCAGCGGTGTCTGGACAGCTGCTCAGAAGAGTGAGAGACTCTCTGAAAACTGTCTGGGGCAGATGTGAGGCGTCCAAGGAGCTCCTTGAACTTGATGGCTAACAAGAGCTGTCACTGCACAGAAGCCAGAGTGGAGGCAGCTTCTGCTTCTGACTCGGGCTAGGAATAATCCTGCCTATCAGAGAGCCACACAGCTAAAGCCAAGTCCAAAGCCGAGACGGGTTCTTTGTTGTTTCAGCCCGTGAGGCTGCGGGGATAGGCAGCGCCAAGTGTCAACCTGTAGCGCAGCGTGTTCGCCCTCAGAGGTGTCGCCCATGCCATCCCCTGATTAGTCCCTGTCATTTTCTGGCTCCAACATGAGAAGTCAGGAGTCTCGTCAGAAAACCTTCATTGATATTTAATGCACGCGTCCCCACCTGTCTCTGGAAGGTCTTGTCACACAGCGTCTACTTTCCTCTAACAGGACCTGTCTGCCCCTGTAAATGTGCCACACTGCTGGGGATACGGGAGCAGGGTCCTGTCCCTTGGGGGCCGGGCTGGAAGATGCAGGGAGCTTAGACCCTGCCTGGGCTGGAGCACAGGTGCAGGTGTAGTGGGAGCCCAAGGGGGCCAGTGTCCAGCAGAAAAGATGGAGGCCAGACCCCAGACCCCAGGCCCCAGATCCTAGGCCACAGGCCCCAGAAGGAGAGGCAGCTGAGTGAGGGGGGGCAAGGGGCAGCAAAGGAGGGCATTTAGGGGCAGCAAGGAAGCCATGAGGCTGGAGTCAGGCCCGAGAAGGAGGTTGCCGTCAGCCCTGGCTTTGCCTGCCGAGACCCACTTCTGCCAGTCTTTGGAAATCACCCCGGCCCACCCTTGCTCTGCATGGACTGTGTGGGGGAACCATCCCACCTGGCCCCAGGACAGCCATGGGACCCCACGTGGACCAATGAGAGTGCACCTCCCTGGGCACTGTGATTGGCTAGGAAGGACATGTGACCCACGCTGGGCCAATAGGAAGGAGACCTGCCAGAATGGATGTCTCCCACTCCTGCACCCTGTGCCTCCAGGCAGTGCTCCCATAGACGAAGAGGAGGGGGCGCCTCCTCACTGGCTCTTCACTTTGGGAAATGGTTTTATCTCCTCATCTGGAAATGGGATTTTTTAAATCCAGCCTGCAGAGCTGTTGCCAAGAGTATATGAAAGATGGTAACTGAGGATCTGCAGTGTCTGTAATTCGATGCTGATGGCCGAGTGCTGTGCTCAGTCACCATGGGGGCTGAGTACTGTGCTCAGTCAGTTATAAGGGCTGAGTACTGTGCTTGGTCAGTTATGAGGGCTCAGTACTGTGCTCAGTCAGTAATGAAGGCTGAGTACTCTTGCTTAGTAATGTGGGTTGAATACTGAGCTTTGTCAATAAATGAAGGCTGAATACTGATGTTTGTGAATAAATCTGGGCTTTTTGTGTTGTCAGTAATGAGGCCTGAGTACTATGCTATGTCACTAAATGTGGGCTGAATATTGGTTTAATCATTAATTTAATCAGTAATAATGCCGGAATACTATGTTTGCTGTCTCCCCCGGAGAGCTCTGCATACTAGTAGACACACAGAAAGTGCTCTGCAAACCAGAGTGGATGATTGAATGAAACAAGGGACAAGGGGCAATAAATATCTGTATATCCAGCCTGGAGGTCCCAGACCACAAGAATAAAATGATTTAATTTAGGTTTTTACTGCATGATGGCACTTTTAGGTCTCGTCCATTGGAAACGTCAGAAATCCCAATGTAACTGGCTCAAGCAAAAAGGCAATGTGCTGGCTCCTATCCTGGAGTGGTGTGGGTTTCAGGCATGGCTGGATCATGCGGGCTGAGTACTGTGTTCACTCACTCATGGGGGCTGAGTACCGTGCTCAGTCCATTATGAGGGTGACCATTCTGACGGGGCTCTCAGCACTTGCTCAGCCCACCCCTCAGACTCGCAGGTACTCTCTCCCCTTCTGCTGCCTCACACTTCTGTGCTTACATCCCATCAGCCTAGCAGCCCCAGGGGTAACAGCAATAGGCTGACATTACAATTTTGACAGTACTAGTAATAGCATCAGTGTCAGGGGCACAGAAATAAGAGGTCGTAGAACCAGTGATGATGGTAATGACAACGGATGCTTCCCTAACTAGTTTGCAGTGCCAGGCAGTACCCCAGGTGGTATGGTTAGACTTTGTGTCCCCACCCGAATCTCATCTTGAATTGTAATACCCAGGTGTTGAGAGGGAGACCTGGTGGGAGATGAATGGATCATGGGGGCAGTTCCCCCATGCAGTTCTCATGAGAGTGAGTGAGTCTCACGAGATCTGATGGTTTCATAAGTGTCTGGCGTGTCCCCTGCTCGCACTTCTCTCTCCTGCCTCCATGTGAAGAAGGTCCTTGCTTCCCCTTCGCCTTCTGCCCTGATTGTCAGTTTCTTGAGGCTTCCCAAGCCCTGTGGAACTGTGAGTCAATTAAACCTGTTTCCTTTGTAAACTATCCAGTCTTGGATAGTATCTTTACAGCAGTGTGAAAATGAACTAGTACACTAGTCACATTACATCCATCCACTCACTTACTCATCACCACAACCCAAGGCAGTGCCGTTAATACAGACAAGGCCATTCATATGCAGCCCTTCCCTGTTACAGATGAGGAAACTGCAGCACAGGGAGGTTGAGTCACTCACCCAAGATCACACAGCTCACAAGCCCTTGAGCTGGGATCCAGAACCCAGGTGTCCTGGCCCCAGTGCCCCTGCTCTGACCCACCAGCTCCCTGCCTCAGTAGGGAAGGTGGCTGTTTCCAGACAGCTCCGTCAAATGTCCTGGGGCAGACACTCATTGGCTCTTACCCCAGCCTTGAAGCAGCTGCCATGGCTGGAGGTTGGAATGGGTACATCTACCAGGCCTGGGTTGGCAGCAGCATCCACCCAACTTGCAGGATGAGTGGGCAAGGTGGTCTCCTGGTCAAAGGAGATGGAAGGAGGAAGTGGATGCAGGCAGGCTCCAGCCGCTCCTGCCCAGGCCCGAGGCTTCCAGCCAGTCCTACCTGTCGGGTGCCTGTGCCACATCTCATAGCCTTCTGGAAGCCATGAGCCTCTCGGCCTCTGTGGGAATGAAGGCAAATGCTGGAGAGGCTGGAGGATTCAGAATTGTGCACACCACGTGCCAGTGACACCTTCTCCCCTTAACGCTGGGAATCCCACTGCAGGGGTGGTATGTTGCGGAGAAATCCCTGTCCCCCCACCCCGCCCAGGAGCCTGGAGGGACCACATGAGGGTGTGCAGGGTGGGCCTGGGGTCCTGAGGGGGAGGAGGCTGCACTGTGGCCTGCCGGACATTTGCTTTGTTCGGCATCAAAGTTTGATGAGGACAGGGACCTGCTGCATGGTTCAGGTGAAGCATAAGACCAGAAGCTAGCGAAAAGCTGGTATTAATGGAAGGTCAGGGAGTAGCGCATTCGGGGTGTCAGGCCTGGCTGTGGCCAAGGGACTCACCCGTCCTGGAGGGGGTGCAGGCTCTACAGGTGCAGGGATTTGAGCACAGGCTCTGCTAACAGAGGCCTGGGGCTCTTCCCTCGAGACTTCACTGCTCGCTAAAATGGACAACTTTTTACAAAGAAATGGCTGCTTCTCAGTTGAAATTCAGCCTGGAAGTGGGCCAGGTCTTTGCTGGTCACCACGAGGACCCATCACCATGATTTATCCTTTTAATTGAAATTTCACTTTTATTTATCCTCAAGTGCAGGGCATGTTCCCAGTGCCAGATGTGGTCAGGGCAGCCACAGGAAGGAAGCTTTGGCCGCCTGGTCTACCAGGGACATAACGCCAGTGTGAGGCTGGTGAGGAGGCTGAGAAGATCGATTTCAAGCAAACTCCATTCACAAAAGCTCCCCCAAGAGTTGAGGGTAGCCAGTGCCTCCAGGAGGGGCGAGACCCCGGCCCTCTTTCCCAGAGTTCTTCCCTTTCCCTGCCCTCGAGGCCTTCAGAGCTCAGCTTCAAACCCCACTCCAGGAGCCCTCCCGACTGACATTTCAATTTCCTAACTGCAGCAGCGGGTTCCTGCACCATCAACAAACAGGGCATCAGGAGAGAGGAGCGGAGGTGGGCAGTTGGCAAGCTCCTGCAGCTCCGAGACTCAGCACGTGCGACCAAGAGCAAGATGTGTAGAGGCAAGAAAGGGCGCCCAGAAGCGGAAGTAAATGACCGCGGAGTGAAGCCAGCGCCGCCCGCTCCTGCCGCTCTGCAGGGCCTGCCTGCGATGGATTCTGGCCTCGGGGGAAGAACTTAATGGGTGAGGAAGGGGGACCAAGTTCATTTCAGTGTCTCTCCGGAGCACACGCTAGGGCGTCTGTTGAGGTGGGCAAGCTCAGCATGGGGGAGGCCTGGGAGGCGGGGCCGCTGCAGATCTCCTGGGGTTCCTGTCAGCCCAGCCCCACCTCACCAGCAGCAGAAACGGGGCAACCTGGGCTGGCCAGGTCCTGGGGGGCCTTGGGAGGTGGTGGCCCTGGGCCGGATGGCAGAGGCCCCGGGAGGTGTGTGCTGCCCTCCTGGATGCAGGGGGACAGGTGGAGTGTGGCAGGCGGTAGAAGCCCAGGGAGGGTCCCGGGGAAGCACGCTTAGGGCCTGCTGTCTCTGAGGCAGAGGATGTGGATGGACTTGAGTATGTTCCACGCAGGACGCTGAGCCCCAGGATGTGCCGTGCTGCGCAGGTGCAGGGATGTGGCCTCTGACAAGAGAGGACTCGCCTGCTCCCTCGGAGCCTCTGTCTAGTGAGAACAGGAGGCATGCTCAATTTCACCTGGGGGCGGGGGGCTCCAAGGAGATGGATCTGGGTCACATGAACGGGTGTGGGGGTGGGGCATGGGGGTAGAACTGCGGGAGTGGGGTTGGGGGGCAGTCCCCATGAAGGTAGGGCTGTGGGGGACAGAAAAAAAATTTAGAGATCTGGGGCCTGCAAGGGTTTCCATAGCATGTAATGGGAGTTTGGGTCGGCTTGCCAAACACACCAAACCACCCACCTGCACTTCCCACACCTGCCTCCCAGCCCCAGGGCCGGCCGGGCAGGAGCCTCGTCCCTCCCACCCCAGCAGGCTAGGGGCGGGAGGGATGAGGGAAATGAGCTTTGCCCCTGGTCCAAGGGGACTGGGGTCTGGAGGAGGGCTGCACAGACTCCCTGGGGGCAGAGCCATCAGCCCCAAAGCTGGAGGCTGAGCAAGGGTCCCACAGTCACCCACCCGTCTGCAGCCCACGGGCGTCGGCACAGAGGGAGCCTCCTGGGGGCTCCTGGAGTCCAAGTCCGTCCCCAGTGGTGAGTCCGTATTTAATGCTTGGCAGAGGAGCCCCCACTCGCCAGGGCTTCCTCAACAGGAGGCCCGCAGAGCCGCCGTGGAAAACAGGCTCGTGGCCTCCAGAAAGGCGAGCAGAGCTGCTGCATGCGTGACCCAGCAATCCCACTGCTGGGCAGACACCCTAAGAATCAACATCTGTCCACAGAAAGCCTTGCACACAGACGTGCCCGGCAGCACACTGACAACAGCCCCAAAGTGCAACCGCCAAGTGTCTGTCAGCTGCTGAGTGGCTAAACGTGGTCCACCCACACAGTGAAATGTTATTTGGCCCTGAAAGGAACTAGGTTCTGATACGAGCTGCAGCATGGCTGAACCTTGAAAACATTATGCTCAGCGAAAGAAGCCGGACACAAACCCCACATAATACCTCCTTCCATTGACACAAAGTATGCAGGACAGGCAAATCCATAGAGACAGGAAGTACGTTATTGGCTGCTGGGGGCGAGGCCAGGGAAGGAGAAGCGACTGCTTAAAGCAGGGTCCCCAACCCGGTACCGGTCTGTGGCCTGTTAGGAACTGGGCCGCACAGCTGGAGGTGAGTGGTGGCCGGGCGAGCATGACTGCCAGAGCCTCCAGTGCTCCGCCTCCCATGATGTCAGTGGTGGCATTAGACTCTCACAGGAGTGTGGACCCTGTTGTGACCTGCGCATGTGGATGGAGGCTGCACGCTCCTTGTGAGAATCTAATGCCTGATGATCTGAGCTGGAACAGCTTCATCCCGGAAGCATCCTCCTTCCCTGGGTCCATGGGAAAATTGTCTTCCAGGAAACCAGTCTCTGGTGCCAAAAAGGTTAGGGACTGCTTATCTTATCTTTACAAGCATACGCTGAGGCAGGTAAAATAATCATGCCTAGCTTATAAGTGAGGAAGCAGAGGCACAGAGAGGCTCAGTGTCTGAGCCAAGGCCACACAGAAGTGAAGTGCAGAGACTGGGAGCTGAGCCAAGCCTGCAGGACTCCCACAGGGAGGCCATCAGCAAAGGGAAGGAAGAGCCTTGGGAAGCAGTCCATTTCCTCAGGACCCTCCCCTCAGGACCTCTGAGCAAGAAGTCGATTCCGAAGGTGGGGCACACACTGCCACCAGCTGATTGTGCTCTTAGATCCCCTTGAATTTAGAGGTTCCTCCCTCTCTTTCTATCTTCTTGTGGTTCATGTGTTGAGGAAACCAGATCGTTGGTCCTACAGTTTCCCCAGGACTGGATTTTGCTGGCTTCTCCCTATGGTGAGATTTAATCTGTCTCCCTCTCTTTTGTATCCTACACATGGTGGTAAGATCCAGAGGCCAGGTCAGGATCATGTGTAATGGGGGGAGGCAAATACTTCACAGGTGGCGGGTGGTGGGTGCTTTCGTTAGATGCGGGTAATGTCTGTTTTCTCTCTTTTTCTTGGTCTCTCTCGTTGCCACTGTCTCTCTTTTATTTATCAATTTTTTGGGAGGTTAGCAGCCACTAATGATCATTGTCTAGACCCATTATTTCATTAAAGATCACAAAATAGAAATATTTCATCACCTCTACCTCATTTATCAGGTGGAAAACTTTATGAGGTGCAACTTCCCGTCATATTACCTTGAGGCAGTGGGCATATAGAAATGTCAGGAAAATGCTTAGTTCTTTTGCTTTATTTTCCTGTTTTCAAAATAATGAGTTGGTTACTTAGCTTCCTCAAGGGTGACCCGTGAGATTTATTTATTTGTAAAGAATCCTGAAGAATCTAACCTACTAGATCTATTTCCATCTGTTGCAATTGCTACACTGAGAAACTGTTCCATTTTGACCAGTGGGAGCATCTTCAAGTTGACCTGGGTGTCCTGTTGGTGTGACCCTGTCGTCTCTGAGTGTTCATTTGCCTGCTGGTGTGACAAAGTGTTTTGGTCTCATCTTGTACATTTCCTACCTAGAATTAAATTTTCTCTAAGAAGCACTGATTCCTCTTGGTAGGAAACGGTCTTTAGAGGCCATAGCCTAGGGGCTTGGGTGTTCAGTGCTATTGGGCTGGTCTTTTATTTCTCTATAATGGATAGAGCTAGGAAATACATTTTTTAAAAAAGTTGTCATATATCAGGAGTTCACATTAATACCTAAAACCAAATTGAGGACTACAAGGTAGTAGAAATCATTGATTTCACATCTGTGTCTCCTTTCTCCCATACCAATAATCCTGGTCCTCAATACTTATTCATTTGCTTTATTCCATAGGACACAAACAACAGTCTCAAAATAGCAATACCAATAAATCCCAAACAACATGGTTACTGAAAGTAGTTATGATTTTTCTTTTTGGTCTTGGACTATATCCCACCAGGAATATGTAAGTAAAATTATCACGTCTTAAAGTCACTTAAAATAATTAAAATAATTCCCACCGGTGTAGCAATGTCACCAACTTGATAGACGGACGCGTTGATTCCCTTTTGCTTTTGATTTTCAGGGCTTGCTTTGTTAATGTATTGTAAAAGATAACTTTGTAAAAATCTTTCAAAGTCAAATCCACCGAGGTCTATTCTGAGACGTTCAGCTTCTATTTCTATCCCCTCTATCCTGGCCTCTTCCTTCCCCACATTTGTTCATTTTTTATTTATTGTATCTTTTTTTACAATAAGGAAACACATACACACACACACACACACACACACACACACACACACACACACACACACTTTTCCCTTCTTAAATGGTAATAGCTATGCACATTTTCCTCTACCTTGCTTTTTTAACTTACTGGTCCCGGATCATGGTTTTGTCTTCAGACCTCTCTGTGGACTGCAGAACCTCTGCACTGGATGGGCCAAGAGCAGAGGTGAGGAGACAGGTAGGAGGCCATGAGGCCACCAGGTGAGCAAGGTGGGCAGCCTGGTGAGTGAATGCTATCCTAGGCCATCAACGGGTCTCGAAGGACCCAGCACACCCTAATGCATGCAGTAGGTGTGAAATAGCGACTTACTTAATTCACCCGAGAACAAACATTTGTGGAGGTCTTTGCTGAAAATGTTTCCTTCTCTGGAATACTGACCAGCTTACATAAAATCTCCACCTGTGTTATTCTTGAAACCACCCCCACCCCCATCACCGCCCTAGCTTAGCACAGGGGCTGGTGCATGTTCTCCTTAGCACAGGGGCTGGTGGTGCTGTTCTCATAGACATGGTTTTCCATAAGGGCATCAGCAAGGCCTTCTCTGACAGGGTGGCCCTGGAGCAGAGGCCTGGATGGAGTAAGGAGACAAGCCACGTGGGTGTTGAGGCAAGAGCATTCCAGCCAGAAAAGACCAAGAGTGCTTGGGAAGGCAGAGGCGCTGGGCCGGGAGCTTAGCTGGCATGGCCGAGGGCAGTAAGGAGGCCAGGATGGCAGATGTGGAGCAAGCAAGGAGAAAGTTCATAGGAAATGGGAGTAGGTTATGCCCAAGAGGCCCAGGGAGACCTCACAGGGACTCTGACTTCCACCCCCACGAGAAGGGATGACACCATCTGGGAGTTCTGAGCAGAAGGGGACACTACTGACGTGCATTCTAGAGGGACCCCTTGGGCTTGCTGCATGGCTTGCAGGAAGAGTCAAGGGCAGAAGCAGGGAGGACCGTGAGGAGGCTGCGGCAATAACATAGGATGGTGGCTGGGGTCAGAGCACGCTGTGGCAGTGGGAGAGGCGGCCTATTCTAGATCTGTTCGGAAGGTACAGTTGACAAAATCTGGAGACAAATCGGATGTGAGATGTGGGCGAAGAGAGGCATCAAGCAGAGCTCCAAGGTCCTGAGTAGAGCAGCAGGAGGGCAGAGCTGCCATTAACTTTGGGGAAGCCCATGGGGAGTGTGAGATGGTGTTGGAGGGAAGTCAGGTGTTCGGTTGGACATGAAAAGTTTGAGAATCAAGTAGGCAGCTGACCATGTAACAGCAATGCCTTGGAGCATGGCAGGTGGGAGACAGCTCTGGGCCTAGACCAGATGAGTTCAAATTCTGCTTCCATTTTCTGCCTTGTAATCTTGGGCAAGTCACTTAACTTCCTCTTTGCCTCAGTTTCCCCTCTGGTAAATCAGAGATAAATACAGTCTCGCCTTCCAAAGTTTGGGTGAGTATTAACTGAGATCTTTATACGAGGCACTGAGAACAGTGCCTTGTCCTTCGTCAGGGCTCAGTAACATTCTTAGGAGTGAGCTTGGTGTTGGGGCAAGAGCTAGAGACTAGGTCTATCAGTCTATTTTGGTGTTATTATAGTTTTTGTTTATTTTTGAGACAGAGTCCTACTCTGTTGCCCAGGCTGGAGTGCACTGTCATGATTTTAGCTTGCTACACCTCCCAGGTTCAAGCAATTCTCGTGCCTCAGCTTCCTAAGCAGCTGGAACTACAGGCGTACACCACCATGCGGGGCTAATTTTTTGTATTTTTTAGTAGAGATGGGGTTTCACCATTTTGCCCAGCTGGTCTCGAACTCCTGGCCTCAACTGATCCACCCACCTTGGCCTCCTAAGGTGCTGGGATTACAGACATGAGCCAGCGTGTCTGGCCTATAAAGATAGTTTTTAAAGTCGTGGGGTGAAGGAATGAAGGAGGGATGAAAGGAAAAAAAAATCACCAACTTACAAACTATGTAGAGTGAGAAAAATCAACCCATGCCATAAACCCAGTTATAGCTGTTGTTATGGGATAACGAAAGTGGCCGTGGGGTCCCAGGAAAGGAGTGAGGTTTGGAAAGACGATCTGACTTTTCAACACCATCCTTGAAGAAACCTCATGCTTCAGCTGTCAACACTCAGAAAATTTAAATTCACTTTGTGGTCTTAGGAGGAGGGTTAAGCCTGTTCTTACAAGGCACATGGCCCGGTATTATTATACAACTTAGTGTCTCCTTTACAGACTAAGCGGATAAAAGGCTGCAGATGAAAAGGCCTTCACAGGAAAGGATTTCCCCCCTCTTCTAGATATCACTACAACTGGATTAAATGTGACCTGGATCTCTTGTTTGGTACTGGCTTACTATTTCTTATCAAGACTACTTTTCTACCAAGTGTTCATGCTGGTTAATTCCAAATAAGTTAATGATGTCAATATTAGAAATATGAACATATGCGTACACAGAATCTTCTAACAGGGCAGACGGCTCAGCATAGGGAAAAAAGGATGGGAATTTCACCTCCTTAGGTGAGACCTGTGACCCTGTAATGACACTTCCCAGGAGTCTCTCTGCTTTAATTCTCGCCTGCCTCTCCACCATCATTGATCCATTTAATTCATGTCGCTGGGGTTGGGGGGAGGCATCTTTTTTTTTTTTTTGTATTTTTATCCATCTTTTTAAGAGTCAAGAGCCAACACTCATCTCAAGCCATACCAGTTATCCATGAATCCAGCTACCCACCAGACACCTGTAGTTGACAAGGTGGCAATGGGGATGGCTTCTAAGGACAGTGTACTTGACAATGGAGACAATGGGAATGGCTTCTGAGGACAGTGTAGGAGGGGATGAGGCTATGCTCCAATAGAAAGTGGGCACGAAGCACCATGACCCTCAAGCTGTGGTGGACAATGAGGAGGTTTTCCAGGGAGCCTGTTGCTCTAGACATCTGGTAGAAAACAGTAATGTAAAAAGAAAATAGGCTGACGTGTTTAACAGTGGCAAACAAAATAATGGTCCTTAGTGACTTTGCTTTCTCCAACAGTTCCTTACCTATCCAAAAGACATTGTCTCTTCAATCTCAATAAAACATGCCTTTTACACATAAAGAAAGCCGCCCCACTACATGGTTTTACTACATAGTATTTATTGATAGAGTCATCCTTTGGCATAAAATTTACTTAGCAGAGAATAGCATGTGTTATTTTCTAAATAATGTACATGAACTGGCAACAGAAATGTTCTACACACATATATTCTTGTGCTACCAAAGACTTCAGTGGACACCAAGAGATTTAGCAATTCAGTTGGGTTCAAAATATACAAATTCACGGTGAAGATACCATGTCAACAATCATAAGCATGGGTTTGGGATACAAAGAGCTCTGGGTTCAAGTCCTCATCCTGCCACATTTTAGTGTATCTTTGGACAAGTTTTGACCTTCTTAATTCTTGGTCTCCTCATCTATAAAGTGGGTATGACACCTACTGCATGAAAATTCTTGACAGGATTAAAACAAAGATGTTTGTAATTCAGATGACTCATAGGAAGTGCTCAAGACAAGGTGGCTGCAGCTTTCTCTTCCTCTACCACCATCATCACTATCACCTTCATCATCATCACATTATTATTCACCTTCATCACTGCCATCATCATCACTGTAATCACCACCAACGCCATCACCACTATCATCACCATCAACACCAACATCACTATCCATGATCATCACCATTACCATCAACACCATCATCACCACCATTACCATCAACACCATCGCCACTATCATCATCATCATCACCATCACCAACACCATTTAAACTGGCCAACTCTGGGTAAAGCAGACTGCCCTCAACAGTGTGAGTGGGCCTCATCCAATCAGTCAAAGGCCTGAATAGAAAGAAAAGGCCAGCCTTCCCCAAGCAAGAGAATTCTCCATCAGACAGTTTTGGGACCGGAACTGTGGCTGCAGATCTTAGGACTTACCAGCCTCCATGGTCGCCCTAGCTAACTCCTTAAATGGAATCTCCTTCTCCCTGCACCTGCATTCCCCAGTTCTGCTTCTCTGGAAGCCCTGGCCAGCACACCTGTGCTGGAGGTGACGGCAGTTGGGTTACCTGGGATCTTCGACCTGCTCCTCTGGCAATACTGTGTTCACAGATCACGGGAGGAAGGCATGCCCTGTTGTGGCCGGAGTCTGACCTGGGCTAGGCAGCCCTCGTCCATTAGGGAGAAGGATCAGATGGGCAGCTGGCCTTTTGATGAACTCAGTGCCCTTTGGTGGGCCATACCTGATGAAAATTGACCTTTTCCCGCCCCAAACTCAGTGAAGCCCAGAAGTACTTATGCAGATGCTCCATGGGGAAGCAGGGGCGTCGGGGGTGCCTCTAGATGTTCCCACTGACTGCTCCACCCTCAGATGACGCCATGGTGTCCCTCACCTGGCACCCTCCCCTCCCTGCCGTGTGGCTGTGTGCACAGAGGAGGCACCACGGAATACCTTGTAGATCGATAGCGAGGTCGCCGAACCACACCTTCGCTGCGGCTCTCTGCCTCAGACACCCTGGGAACTACAGGTGTATCTGCTACTTTTCCCCTGTTATCAGTTTTATTTTAGCACCATAATAAAAATTCTGATAATCTAAACACAGCAATAGCTCTGCTCTGTAAAAACGACTGTCTCCCACATTATTGCTCTCATCAGAGGTGCGATAATCATACTCACCCACAAGACAAGACGGTTATTATATTAAAATGAATAAATGACAAAGGTTTCCATTACACAAGCAATTTTTCTAGGCATCGAGATGTTTTTTATGCAGGACTCACGTAATGAACACATAATTCATCAGTACGTTAGAGCACAGGCCTTAGAAAGTCTGAAGGCAGAGTTACTGCAAATAAGTAAATCATTAATGAGATGAAGTTTAAAAATAAAAGCGCAGAGCCCCACCTTCCTCCTAAAGAAGGAAAAACAAAATCTAGTAACTATCCAAGCCAAAAATCACTTTCAGACCCATCACTCGCTGGGTGGAACGTTCTCCCCACTTGCTCATGAAGAGCCTGGGGAATCCTGTCTGCACCCCACACAAGGAGGCGGGGCAGAGCCTGCCCTGAAGGGCCCACCTGGCTGGAGAACCACAGGGTGTGTTACTCATTAATGTCTGGGTAACACTTATCTCCTGCCATCTCTCTCGGGTACATGGTACCCAGGCCATCCAGGTGCCTGGGAAATGGTTGTAAAATTGAGCTGGATTACAATTGTAGGATTTTTTCCTTTGCTTTTCCCAGGAGAGGAAAACCTTCCTGTAGATCCAAAGTAGACCCCCCCAAGGGTCTTTCAGGAAGCACAGGTGTAAGCCCAAAACCCGGGGAAGCAGTTTTGGCTGAGGTGACATCTCCTTAACTGCGTCCTCCTCACTTGCAGGACTGGACCTTTCTGCCTCCTGGAACATCAGGGAGCAGGGATCTGGGCTGGGGTGGGGGCTGCGTAGGGAGTGAGGGGACTGGAGCAGTGGGATCTGGGCTGGGGTGGAGGCTGCATAGGGAGAGGGGACTGGAGCAGTGGGATCTGGGCTGGGGTGGGGGCTGTGTAGGGAGTGAGAGGGGACTGGAGCAGTGGGATCTGGGCTGGGGTGGGGGCTGCGTAGGGAGTGAGAGGGGACTGGAGCAGTGGATCTGGGCTGGGGTGGGGGCTGTGTAGGGAGTGAGAGGGGACTGACTGGAGCAGTGCATCTGGTCTAGGGTGGGGGCTGTGTAGGGAGTGAGAGGACTGGAGCAGTGGGATCTGGGCTGGGGTGGGGGCTGCATGGGGAGTGAGGGGACTGGAGCAGTGGGATCTGGGCTGGGGTGGGGGCTGTGTAGGGAGTGAGAGGGGACTGGAGCAGTGGGATCTGGGAGGTGGAGGCTGGGTAGGGAGCGGGACAGTGGCATCTAGGGACCTGGGATCTTGGGGAGTGGGAGCTGGCAGGGGGTGAAAGCTTTGGGGCGGGGGGTAGCGGGAACTGCCCCGCAAATCCTAGAACTACAGGATATGCTGAGGCCCAGCACTGTACCTGGAGCCCAGGACACAACAGGATTTTAAGGATTTTTATTTCACTCCGCAAAGCCTGTCCTATTTCTACCTGCATGTCATATTTCCCCAGGTGGACAGAGGGTCCTGGGCCTGAAGGGGGCACAGCCTCCCTGCCTGGCTGCCTTGAGCTGATCCTGGGAAGGTTTGAAGGTCAGGGCAGAGGCAACTTGGCTTCAGAAAGCTGATGAGGGTCTTGGGAGGGGAAAGCTCCTGTATGCAGTAACCCAGGGGTTTCAAAGCAAAGCTGCCTCCAGGCCTTGAGGGGCTGCGAGGGCAAGAACACAAGAGGGATGGGGGGCGGCGATGCTGGCACTGCTGTGTGGGAGCCCCGTGGCCTGGCCACAACTTCCACCTGCCCCCTCCGCCTCAGCTCCCCTCTGCTCAGCGGGTGCAGTGGGACTGCTGTGAGGGTGACGTGAGGATCGGTGTGGACAGAGTGACCCTTGGGCAAATGGCTGCTGAGGAGCCTCCTTGGGTGACTTTGGTTTGACCAGAACAGGTTTTAAAAAATCTGAATGTGAAGGCCTTGAGGTGGGCAGGTGCCCGGAGGCCCGCAGCTGCGTGGCTGTCCCTCAGATCACCAGCCTGGCCTCAGTGGTATCTGCAGTGGCTGCATACGTCCCCCACGGACACAGGGCATTCTTATGCCAGGCAGCAGCCAGTGAGAGCCGCTGGTCGCTGTGTAGGTGGAAGGCGGTCTTGGGGATGCCAAGTTCTCATGCCAGGCAGCAGCCAGTGAGAGCCGCTGGTTGCTGTGTAGGTGGAAGGCGGTCTTGGGGATGCCAAGTGACCTGGGCCCTCTGGGCAAAACCGGTTTGGGAAGACAAGTGGAGAGGATAGGAAGCCACAGCGGGAGGCAGGACCCCCCGAGTCTGAAGCAAGGTGCAGCTGAGGGGATGGGAGAGTGCGGGAGGAGGAAGTGGCCAGACACGGTCCCCGGGAAAAGTCAGGAGGTGGCCACCCCTGGGCTTGGCTCAAGGCCTTTCACGGGCAGGTGTGCACACAGCTCAAGGTCGCGGGATCAGATCAGCAGCCCCGCACCCTGTGTCTCCTTGCCTGGTCTGGTACCTGAGGACCAGGCCTGCTGAACAATAACAGCTAAATAACCACCAGGCCCCCTAAATGAATATGCATTTCATCAGCACAACTAAAACAGCACCTTTAAAACGTCTTTCCTCCTCGAAGTTCACAAAGCTGGGAAGAAGGGTTTGTAATTATATGTGTATCACCAGCAGTCCCAGCCTGGCAGGGGGCTTAGAGCCTTCATATAAATTATACCAATCAGCAGCGGAGGGGAGAAAACCCACAAGGCTATCAAAAGTGATACTTTCTTATAACTGGTGTACACAAGTACTAAATCATGGCAAAACAGTGCTGGGGGTGCAGTGCTGTCATCATGAAGCGGGTGCTGGGCTGCAGCCCGGCCGCCTTTGTAAATGCATGTGATCATCTTAATGACGCATTTGGGGAGACGTGGAAAATCACAGTGTGGAGGGAGGCTGCAGAATGCGAATGCATGGAACGCTCCCGGGGCAGAGCGAGCGAATGCATGGAACGCTCCCGGGGCAGAGCGAGCGACGCGTGCTCATGCATCTGGAAGCCGAGCAGCATGTGCCAACATCCATGTGCTCTGGTTCTCTCTCTTTCTTAGAAGGGGGCAGTTTCTGGGCCAGCACCGGTTCAGCTGCCCTGCGGTGGCTTCTGATGCACTCTCGTGTCCACTTACCTTGGTCCCTACAGGGCCTGGCCGTGGGGCTGTCTGAGGGGGTCTATCTGGGAAGCGGAGGTGACATCCTTGCAGATACAAAGACCCCAGAGCTCAAGGATGGGGGAAAGGGCTGCAGCAGTGAGCCCAAAAGCCCATCTGGACAGGGTCCTCTGTCTGCTCAGGGCATGTGGGGCGCAGCCACATGGCTCCTGCCGTGCTGCCCACCTCAGAAAGTGCCAGCAGGTCTCCCGACAGTTCCAAGGGCTCACCCTAAGCAGCCCCTGCAGGCCAGGCTGGGACGCAGGATAAGCAGAGGTCCGAGAGAGCCCCCTGCTCTCTGTGCCATCAGTTAGGACGACATGCGTCACCTTCTGCTTGGACTGCCGGGTGGGGTGGCGCAGGGGGTGTGGATAAACAGAGGGCTGCCTGGAAAGCCCACCTGCTCCTTTCCGCCCACCATCCTGGAATCCCCAAGAGATCTGCTGGGGCCTGAAACACTCCTAGGCCCATACAAGACGCGGAGAGCAACTTCCCGCTTTTTTTTTTTTTTTAAATTTTTAGTTTTTTAAGAGACTTCGTTCTATTGCTCAGGTTGGAGTGCAGTGGGGCAATCATAGCTCACTGCAGCCTGGAACTCTGGGACTCAAGCAATCCTCCTGTCTCAGCCCCGCAAGCAGCTGAGACCACAGGCACACACCACCACCATGTCCAGCTAACTTTTACATTTTGTGTAGAGACAGGGCCTTGCTATGTTACCCAGGCTGGTCTGGAATTCCTGGCCTCAAGCCATCCTTCCACTTCAGCTCCCAAAGTGCCGGGATTACAGGATGGGCCACCACACCCAGCCAAGTTCCCACTTTTTGGAATTCTGACCTAGAGACCTGGAAGGCAGTTCTCACCAAGTAAAGCCCAGAATCAGGCCTGGATGGGTTGGGAGGACAGTGCAGAGAGGGCCTCCCCCACACCCCAGCAAGGGCATGCAGCCTCGAAGCCAAGCCCTCCTCACTGTCTGCGTGATGTGAGATAGTGTTGCTGAAATACAAAACATAAGAGGCGTAGTGGTGTGTACCTATAGTCCCAGCTACTTGGGAGGCTGAGGCAGGAGAATCGCTTGAACCCAGGAGGCAGAGGTTGCAGTGAGCCAAGATCGCACCATTGCACTCCAGCCTGGGTGACAGAGCGAGACTCCGTCTCAAAAAAAGAAAAGAAAAGAAAAAAAAAAAAGAAAGTGCAGGTGACAGGGCAGCTGCCCCAGGTGTGAGGCTGTTTTCATCTGAAACCCTGCAAGATCCAAATTCCTGGGTTACTGGAGGTCAAGAAGTCCCAACTGTGAGCTCAGCGTGTGTCCTGCTGCTGCTCAGAACCCTGGCTGGCTCCCTATGGCCTCCTGGGAGACAACCCAGGCATTCGCAGTGCGTTGGCCTCCACTCTCTAACCCAGTTCCTAATTCAAGCCCTTGCTCTCAGCAGCCTGGCCTCCTCCCTGCTGGTGGGAACGGACCTTGCTGACCCACTGTCCAGGCAGGCGGCACGTGTGGATGCCCCGGCATAGCTAGCCGTGGATTCAGAGATGAACGCGCAGACACCTGTGACCTCGGGGCACTCACTGTTCAGTGTGGAAGAAAGCACACGTGGGAAGGTGACAAAGTGCGCAGGACAGGCAGCCCAGGAGGAGCGCATACCCCACTGCACTCCAGCCTGAGCAATAGAACGAGGTCTCTTAAAAAAATAAAAATAAAAAAAAAAGCGAGAAGTTGCTTTCCGCGTCTTGTGTGGGCCTAGGAGTGTTTCAGGCCCCAGCAGATCCATTTGGGGGGTGGGGAAGCCTTCCCGGACCAACTGGGAACAAGGCAGAGCTCGGATCTGGGTAGGCTAAGCCCAGAGAGCAACCAGGCAGAGGCGGCAGCGTAGCAAGGCACAGAGGTGAGAGCTGGGTGCAGCCCGGGACCTAGCGGGGCTGGGCCCGGTGAGGGGCACTCACTCGGGGGCCCCTGCCTTGGGGTCCTGATCTTGCTCCTGCAAGAGCTCACATAAACATGTGATTTGGGGTTCAGACTCAGGTATCAGGGCTGCGCCCAAGGATGTAGGGGATAGAGGTATCAGCAGGTTTGGGAGAGGACCAGCGGTTGGCTGGTGAAACACAGTCAGACAAAGTGGGGGTCGCCATGTGCCCAGCCAAGGAGTGAACATTTCACTTTAACGGAAACAGATGCTCTTCCATGCGGCGGCCAAGCCTTTCCTGTAGGTGCAGGCCTGCTGTCTGGTGTTCTCTGGCACCTTTTACCCCAAGCCACTGCCATGATATCGAATTAACTTGCAGAAATGAGAATGGGTGGCACACACAGGGAACAAACATAAATGACCCCTGAGCGTCCCCACCGGGCAGGGGGATGGGGATGCGGGCGAGCTCAGGGCTGCCTGCTGATGGGAGTGTCCCAGGCCTGGGCCCAGCTCTGTGTCAGCAGCGGGTCATGCCCCACTGGTGTGGCAGGTGATGAATTGAGGCCTGTGAGGGTGTCTGCCCCCTTGGCAAACCCACAAACCGCCCCCCCCCATTTAACGTGCGATTCACCCAAGCGCCATCATCCCCTCCAATGCCCGCCTGCCTTAGGGTGGCTTCTGAGCCCTCCCCAGCCACTCACCCATGGCAGGAAACACATGGAGCGTATTTCGGCTCAAGCAGTTGTTTGAATAAGTCTCAGGGAGCAGAGAGAATGGGTTCTATCTGTGATAGTAGCTACTTTTTATAACTCCAGTTTGCACATATATAATAGCCTCAGTTATTATAAGAATTAACATCTCATAGGATAAAAGAAAATAAGTTTGGTGTTTAAGAAAGTGGAAAATAGAATTCTCCATCGCTTTTTTCCTAAGAATCTCAGCTGAACTCTGCTACCAGAATGGCCCCTTTTCTATTTAGAAAATCAGGGAGCGATTTGAGAAAACTCTTTAATCTTGCTGTGTGTTTTATCCTCTGTGAACATCACAGAGGGGAAATATTATTAGGCAAATGATGATGAAAGCAAAGACAATTGTTAAGTTTAGGTTTGGGAAGATGATGGTGGCACCTCCTGGAGATAACCTGCTTCTTCCCAAGGCTGCCACGGGACAGACTCCAGGTCACAAACCCAGGGCCCCCCAGCTGCCCTTCTGCGGGGTGCTTGCTCCTGGACTTCCTGGGAGCCGCTTGGGGAACCTCCTAGTTTGTTCTGAAATGCAGCTTCCCTGGGTTTATGCGACTTTAAGCTCCTTGGTGCCGAGGCCAAGTGAAATTGCTTCCTTAAACCTTCTTTTGTAAATTGAGAGAAGTGGAAGCTTTAACAAATGAACGCGGGCATTGCGGCTCACGGAGCAGCCAGGATAACCAAGGACAGATAAACACAGTCCTGGTTCCAAACCTGGGCAAGTGGGAGCTTTGCATTTCTGGCTGGGGCATATTTTGCATTTGATAATCTAGGATTAACAGTTTCAAAGATTTAAAATCAGAAAACCGGTGTTCCTTTGGTTTATTTTAATTCTGGCCTGGACCTCCCTCAGCCGGGCCTCCGGGCGTCGAAAGCACAATCTCTCAGCTTTCCAGGCTGCTTCTGTACCTTTGCTAAAACAGATGCCAACCAGGCGGGCTCTCTACTCTGAGGAGGTTTCATCAGGGGGTCTTCAGGCTCCTGCAATCCAGGGAGTTTCATTTCATGTGGTTTTACCTTCAGAGGCTCAGGACAGAGGCTGCGTCTTCCTCCTGTCTCCCGGAGCCTCCCTGGGCCGATGTGGTGGAGGGTGAAGTCCAGCTGAAGAGCTCTGATTGTTCTAGAAAACAGCGACGGGCGGCTTCCCCGCTCACCAGCATAGATGTTACTGGAGTTATCACAGAGGCCACTAAGCCTGGGCAAATCCTTCGTGGGCACAAAGCATCGTACACGAGACTCATGACAGGTAGCCCCACGCCCTCCACAGCAGCCACCCTGGGATGCTCTGTTATTGCTTTTCGTGGCTGGATGTGTCAGGCCTGTGATCGTGGCCTTGGGGTTAGACAGGACTTCGTACGTAGCTCAGCCACCACTAGCTTTTTCTGCCCCACCTCCCCCAGTCCTATCTCTTGCAATCCAGGGCAGAGACTGTGTGCTTAACATATTAAAGGGAACCCAAGTTAACTCAGGGTGCAGAATTTCCTAGCATCCTATTCAATGATTTCAGAGGTCCAGGGTTCCCGGAAAGCCAGGCAGGATAGGGAGAAATTCATTTTGAGGGGTGCCTCCCAACCTCAGCACCTATGCTTACACGGGCACTAGAACACCCTGGGCTTTGCAGAGCCGGGGAGCGGAGCGTGGGAGGAGCTCATGGAATTCATGCTGTGGAGACTGGGCCTCAGCACCTTGCAGGGATCAGAGAGGACTGACTTTCCCTGGGAGGCTTACTGCAAGGAAAGGTCGGCATCAACATGGTACCACGAATACCGTGAGCACTGCCTCGTTAGACTGTTTGCTCAATAGCAAGGAGGACATTCAGAAGCTACTCCATCAAGTGCTCATCGCCCCTGTGGAGAAGCATGACGAGATCAGGAATTTATGAAGATAGCAATTACAAACACTCCAGTATCTTAAGTATGTATTTAGTGGATCTATTCCTTTAACGGGGGTCCATTTCCACATCGCTGCAAAGCAGCTTAATTGCACACTGCAAATGTTGTCTCTGTACATGAGCTCTGCCTTCCATCTCTTGCACAAACAAGTTTTCTGCAAGTTATTTTGGGGGCTTCGAGCGTGGGTGTGAGGGGCTGGGTCTGCAGGGATCGTCGTCGAGCGGCCGCAGCCTCCCAGGTCAATGCTGCCAAGCTCCTGGGCAGATCTGCCAGCCTCGGCCCACAGTGAGGGACAGGTTTTCCAGGGCCCTTCAGGTGTCTCTGAAGGCCTGGGTTCCAATCCTGCCCCTACTTCCTAGCAGTGTGACCTGGGGCAAATTGCTTGCCTTTGTGCCTTGCTTTGGGAGGGTCACAGCGTGAGGTTCCTAAGAGAGTCCCTGGGGTGGCCTTAGGGGCATCAGGCCTCACTGCCTACAAAGTGGGCCTTTCCTGTCCCCGTTCCACAGATGGAGGACACACAGGTTACCATACTCAGCAGGAAGGTGGGGACCTGCTCCCCGTACTGAGCCCCTCCCCACGCTGCACATGGGCCCGGCACCTGGGGTGGGCTCCTCTGGCCTGGATGTGCCTGGAACAATTGGTCTGCATTCTCAGGAATGGGGATGGCCTGGGAGCCAGCCCTGCACCAGACACGTATGGACTCCTGCTACATATTGGGCTGGGGAGACCCTGGTGAGCAAGGTGGGCCAGGGCCTCAGCTGCTCCCAGGGGCACTGGAGACCACCCTCTGTGCAGGGTTTGTGCGGCAGGGGTAGGGCCGTTGGTAATCTATTATACTGGAGAGGGCTGGTGAGCCAAGGAGGCTATGGGATCCCTGGCAGTTGGGCATAGCTTCCTGGGAAGAGTCAAGCTTTGTCGAGGGAAAGGGAACAAGGTGAGAAAATAAAAATAAACAGAAATAAGCTGGAGCCCCGAAAGAGGCCCAGGCACCCAGTTCTTGCCCTTCCGACAGCCAGAGTCTGAGCCCCCATTACACAGCCCTGAGCCAGCAGAACGACCGCTCCCTCCCTGCCAGGCCCAGCCCCAGAAGCTGGGGATGCGATGCTTATACAGCATTTGGAATTACACATCTGGGTTTGAAGCCACTGCCTTCCAGCTGTGACACCGTGGGCAAGTGACAGCCTCTCTGAGCCTCAGGTCCCCATTGGTGGAAAGAGAATGTCCCCAGAGTCCTCACAGGGATGCTCACTTCATCCCCCAGCTCCTGCTATCAGCACATGTGGGGCACTGGGGAGGGGCAGGTTGAGGGGCCCAGTGCTTGGTAGCTAAGTACATTACTCCAGACTCCTCAAGGGAGTGAGGACACACGTGGACTCCCGAGGGTGTGGCCCTGGGTGGGGGAGATCCCGGCCCGAAGCTGGGGACCTCCAAGGAGCTGGAGGGAGCTTGTGAACCATTTGAACTGGTCACCCCACCACAATCTTGTTTACACTGGTAATACTAAAAACCAAAGGAGTTTGCCAAGGACGTTAGAAATTCTGTTTGAAATCTCTGGCAGTAATAATTTAAAACCTTGCTCTCTCTGTTTGAAAAGGAAGGCAGCGGGATGTGGTTCGCAGTCAGCCTCCCATGTGTGCGTGGAGACTCCCAGCCCTGCGGCCCGGAGAGCCTCGGCAGGGCGCCTCCACCACGTCTGGACTTGCAGTTTCCCCACAGAGTCCCCATTTGGTCATCATGTTAGGGCTTGTGTGTTACCAGGCGGCTGTGATTTTTCCTCATCTGTTCCTGGCTGTGCAGGTGGCCTGCAGGAAGAAGCTTGCATGGCTGTCATGGCCTGGAGAGCACAACCCCTCCACGTATTTGGGATACAGTAGTTGAGGGAGGGATAGGAGGTTGCAAGCATTTTGTACAAATGCAAATCGTGGAAAATGCACACATCCAAGCCCCAACTCCCCGTATTATCCCCAAAGGGCGTTGGCTGGCAAGGAGCAATCTTCTACATAACTGCAGTTAATATCTGTTGGTCAGTGACTAAATTACATACCAGGGGCAGGGAATGTGTTCATGAAATTTTAAGACTATGTTTGCGATGGTTTGACTGAAAATACAGACCAGGTATGGTGGCTGAAATTCTCTCGGGGGTTAAAGGATACGTCAAAGAGAGAGGTGGAAGCTGGTGCAGTCGGTACCAGGCCCAGACCCATTTCCCTGGGCAGCGAACCCCTTCTCCAGCTGCTGGGGGCTGGCTGTTAACAGCTCACAGCTGCCCCATCTCTGGAGAGCTGCCCTTGGCCCATGGCAGCCCCACCCGGCAGGCCCAGCAGCCCAGGGCCAGTGACGGCTTGAGGGCAGGGACCCCAGGCCAGCCTGTGCTCCTCAGCTCTGGCAGGGATGGGGCTGAGACCGTCTCTGGCTGCAACCACGCCCTCCCTTAGCTGCTCCCCGACCCCTACCACTTCCCTCCCTGATACCCCGCCCCCAATAACATGCCCCTAAACCCCAGTCTCAGCTCTGCTTCTAGAAAACCTGAGTGAAGCTTAGGCAGCCACCCTTGGAAGCAGATGAACTAAGGCACGGTGAGAGTGCTGTGTCCCCCGCAGCGGGGGAGAAACAGGAAAGACGAAGGCGGGCAGATGGGAAAACCACACAGGGCCTCAAACCCAAGCCCAGGCGGGGAGTCTGAAGGACAGCAGGCGGCTAGGTGCAGTGGCTCATGCCTATAATCCTAGCACTTTGGGAGGCCGAGGTAGGTGGATCACCTGCGGTCAGGAGTTCGAGACCAGCCTGGCCAACATGGTGAAACCCCATCTCTACTAAAAATACAAAAATTAACCGGGCATGGTGACGTGTGCCTGTAGTACCAGCTACATGGGAGGCTGAGGCAGGAGAATTGCTTGAACCCGGGAGGCAGAGGTTGCAGTGAGTGGAGATCGTGGCACTGCACTCCAGCCTGGGGGTGCCAACTCAAAAAAAAAAAAAAAAAAGCTCAGTAGGCAGCCAGGGGCGTGACCCCGGGTGGCAGGGGCGTGACCCCGGGTGGCAGTGGCTGGGCTCATTTGTGGGCTGGTGGGCTCCGCTTTCACACAGTAGCACTGGCAAGGCCAGGGAGCCCTGGGATGTTCTGGGCTAGGGAACCACCATTTTCCCATTTCTAACTGGTTGATTCCACTGCTCTGAAATGAGCTTCCTTTCCTCATGGCAAAAGCATACAGATAGATGTCTGCTGTTTTTTCCTTGCTTCAGATTGTCAAAAGTGTGATCTTGATTTCAGGCAAATGGTCACTGCTTTTTCTCCTGGGCTGTGTCTGTGTAAGCCGGGAAGGGGCATTTCATTCCCACCCCCGATGAGGGCGGTCTTGGGCTGCCGGCATGTGGATCCCAGCTTTCAGGAAAAGCTCCTTGCCAAAGTTCAAGCCGTTTGGATGTTTCCTCCAGCAATTCTTCACTTCACCTGGTTCACATCCTCAGCAGGGATTGCATTTTTTTTTTCTCTAAGAGTTTGGGGATGTTTGGTTTTTTGGAAATGTGGTTTCTGTTGTTCTTCCAGAGCAGCAGGTGTGACAGGCGGTGGCGGGGCTGCTGAGGATGTGGCGCGGCTGCTGAGGATGCGGCAGTCAGCACCGCGCCATTAGTTTTGCAGGGGATGAAGAGCCATGAGTTCGTTTGACTGATTCCTTTCTAGCTCCCGTTACAAATGCAGCATCATTTGCAGTGCAGGATAACGCAGGCTCTGCAGGCTCCTGCAGCCCCCGTCTCGAAGCTTCCTGGAGCGGCCATACCCTCTGTGCTGGCTGCGTTCTGGAGAAGCCGGGCCAAGGGGCAGTGGCTCTGTTGAGCAGCTGAGACTGGAGAAGTGACCACCGAGGCATCTGGGGGTCCCAGGAGTTCTTGCAGACTGCGGGCCCTGCTTGGTTCTGCCCTGGCAGCCAGACCCTGAATGCGGCTACACGTCATCTAGCGGCAGAGTACTGATTTTTTCCAAAATTAAATGTTTTATAGCCCTGGAGTGGTTCCTGGCTTGTTAGGGGGCTGGGAGGTGTTGGTAGTGGTGGATGGGAGCAGGGCGGGAGGCAGGAGGCAGGGTGAGGCGGGCACACGGGCTGGGGCTCTCTCGGGCTTCCTGTGTGCCTGTGGCTCCCTGATTCTGGTTCCCGTACACGCTCCCTTGCTCCTTCCCACTGCGGGTGAGCAGAGTGGGTCAGAACTTGGGTCTGAGAACCCGGGTCAGAACTTGGGTCTGAGAACCCAGGTCAGAAACTTGGCCGAGGGCAGTTTTTGCTGGGAAGAGTCCTGGTAATGGCACAAGGAACTCTGTCACAGACACACACAGCAGGCTCATGGGGGGGACGACAGCCTGGCACAGCCGCCCCGACTGGCCCGGTGGATAGCCACATGTGGCCATACCCACACATCCATGTGGGTGGCCATGGCCTTTCCCGGGGTCTGCCAGTGGGATGTTAGTGTGGCTGGCCCGGCCTCCCTCACCCATCTCTGTCTCCGTCTTGAGAACAGGTCTAGGCTCAGGTGCCCCCCACCCCACCCCGGCTGAGGCCCGTCCAGGTCTGACCAACGCTAGCCAAACCTCTGGATGTGTGAGAAACACACTTGTGGTTGGATGTCACTGAGGTTTTATGGGTGGTTGTTATGCAGGATTATCACGGCAATCACCAACTGATACGATGGTCTTCTACAGGGCAGCCAGACCATCTTCCTCCCCTGACTGCCTGCAACAGCCTCCTGTGCCACTGAGAGCAATGCACACGCTCTTCACCACGGTCTGTGGCCTGCAGTGACCCCCACCCCCCGCTGTGCTCCGACCTCACCGTCCTCACTCTAGACACCTGCCTTGTCTCAGGTACTTGTTGGTTGTAACATTTGCAAGTATGGAAGGTTCTGCCTTCGTCCAAACAGCCTCCCAGCAATGAAAAACACCGCCCTGGTTAGAAAATAGCTGCTTTCTACCGGAACCCCTCCTGGCATTAAAACTCCAGTTCCCAGCTTTGGCCTCCTCATCTGCCCATTGTCATGCAGTCCCCGGCATAGGCGGATCCAGAATGGGATCCAGCCATGCCTTGTGTGCTCACAGCCTGCTTTCCCTCCTCCAAGCATGAACACTCATTAGTCCCGTGTCGAGTATGTATGGCTATAATTACACTTAATCATCCAGCATACTGGGACTTTGATCTTTAATGAGATGTCACTTGTTTTCAGGATACTTGGAACTGGGAATTGGTTTTAGTTATGTAATCCACGCAGATAACAGGTAAACTTGTCTTCCTGGGTGTCATTTGCAATTTGCCACGACATTTAAGATCATAGATGAATTTGAATCCCAAGTAGCACAGATGCGTCACACCCATCATCCTGCCGCTGACCATCCCCGGGACCACATCACACCCATCATCCCGCCGCTGACCATCCCCGGGACCACCATGGCGGGTCATGACAGCACGTCCTTCCTAGAAACACGTCTGAATAGTACAAGAAAAGGACACCACCCGGATTCGCGGAATCAGATCACATATAGATTAATTCCCAATCAAAGGTCTGGGTCCAGAGGACCCCTGGCCACGTGCCTGCAGCCATGGACACGGGCATTTTCCAAGGTGCCAGGCGTCTGTGGCTGGGACTCGGGATGCCTTCTGTGGTGGGTGGGCACACACTCATTTTAGACAATAACATGACTTCTGTATTGACATTGTATTTAATCTAGAAAGTCACATTATCTTTATGGCTACTGACTTGCTGTTGTTGTTAAACAATGACTCCATAAGATGTCCTCGAAAATCAACGTCTGTAGTTTAAAAAAGAAGTTGATTTAAACAAACACATCAGGGTATCAAGAGTATTCTTGGAATCCAGTCAAAGGTGGAGGGGGCAGGCGGGCGGGTGTGGACACTCGCCCTTGGCCAGCGCCTGGACTGGACAATATGCAGGAACGCGGGTTGGACGGGAGCAGCTCCCACACTGGAAAGGCAGTTGCAGGCTCACAGCCTGGGGAGGGGCGTGCTGCCGGAGAAGCTGCTCCGAGGGCCAGTGTGGGGCTGCTCTTCTGTTTCAAATCACATTAAGGAGGAATTTTGCATAAATTCCCTTTAATGTTCCGAAACGTAGCAAGATCTGGGAGGGGCTGAGCCAGGGCTGGAGACAAAACCTACACATCATTAAGATCTAGAGTTTGTCCTTAATGTGCCCACAGACTCAAAATGAAGTCTACACGGAGGCTTTCCCCACCGACTGCAGGGCGGAGTGATTATAAATGTGTCTTTGCACAGAGACGTAGCTGTATTTTTTTAAATTTATTTATTTATTTATTTATTTATTTTTGCAGCTGGTGTTGCTACATTTGAAACAAGTCCAAGAAAACAGATTGTATCCCTTAGGTTTGAAATCAAAGTGGGGTTCTGGAAGTGAGGATTCCTCAGTGACTGGCTGAGACGGGGTGATTTTGAACCCAGGGCTGGGGTGGGGCTTGCAGCTCTGTTCCTGCCAGAGCCACGGTTCTGGGCCCCCGCAGCCTTCCCCAGGCTGTGGGGGCCCAGTGCTCAGCTAAGGAGGATTTATTTCCATGCTGCTTCTGTGTGGCAGGGGCATGCTGACCACACTTGCTGGTCTCAGCTCCCTTGTGCCGGGATTCCCAGGAGCTGGATTACTGGTTCATTGTCAGGGCTGGAGACGTGTGTGGGCTCATCGCTGCTATGGCAGCTTGCCCTGAGGCGGCACCCAGACCACCCAGCACTGTGCTGGATCGCGCTGTGCCTGCATCCCGCCAGGCCCACAGCCTGCTGCCCAGTGGACGGCCTCTAACCTAACGAAAGCGACAGTACTGACCATCCTGCATGGATATGTGCTGTGTGCAGAGACGTCCTATCACTTCCCTTCCTATATTTCAGAACTCCCAGCTAGCTGGGCCTCCTACTGGCGCCAGGCATTTTCCGAGTCGGTTTGTTCATCACACCGTTTGAGTCTGAAGAGCCGTCCACAGTTCCCCAGCTGTTCTCACAATCTTCTGTTTACCTCCCCGAATGCTATTTGGCCACCACTCTGTGGCTGGCCTCACACCAACCAGCCCTGCACGGAACACCTGCCCTTGGTCACACTCCCCTCGCTGATGGTGGACACAGCTGCACCTTGACGGGGAGAAAGGGCTGCAACTTCCCAGCCGGGAGGAGATGGAGTAGAAAGAGGAGGGAGATTTCCAAATCCAACACATTGAACTTGAATAGCCTCAAATTCCGACATTTAGGTACCCAGACACCCTGTTACGAGAAGCTGAGGGTAAACTCTACAGCTCAGGGAATCCTCTCCCACCGCCCACTCTCCTGAGATCCAAAGACCCCAGCGGGGCCACAGCAAGGCTGGGTCTGGCCCTGGTGGTTCTGAATACAGCTCCATGGACTGGACAACACCCAGTCTCTACAACATCACTGACTTCCTTCCCCAGGGCAGTTCTCCCACAGGCCACTCCTCTGTCTGGCAGGACCCACCAGGCACCTCCCGAGGCCCTCCCGGCACCTGCCCCACTGGCCTTGCAGCTGGGGGCTGGCGGGGCTGCGGGGCCCTGGGAGCTCATAGATCAGGGGATGAGCGAGACATTTTCAAAATCATCTCCTGTGTCAGTTTCTTAGCAACCCATTATTAGAGGGCTTTGTAGTAGTTAAAAAAAGATCCCCTGTCAAAGTGTAGCTGTGATTTGGAGAAGCCCCCATCTCTGTACCGTGCATTACGGGAAAACCTGGAGTGCAGCGGCTCTTACCCAGGTCCTCCAGGCCCTGTGGCCACCCCTCCCCAGCAGGAGACAGGAACAGGCACAAAACACCACCCCCAGATGCTGACACTTCCCACTCACAGAGACGGTGTGCACATGTGTGTGGCAAAACATGCATGTTGATGAACATGTCCCTGATGTCTGCTCACAGCAGCCGTGGCAGGGACCAAGGTTTCCTCCTGTGTCCTCACTTCCCCCGCAGAATTAAACAGCCCCAAGGGAAAGGTGAGGCAGCTCCTCCAGCAGCCCCTGAGCAATTCCAGTCCGGCCTCTGCTACAGCCCCCACCCTCCACCTGCTCCGATGGTACTGCATGTGTGTGTGCGTGCGCGTGGACATGTGTGTGCGTGCGCGTGGACATGTGTGTGCACACGTGTTCCTCAGATGCTCACTTGGGTATGGAATTGCCTCCCCACTCCCTTTTAACAGGGCACCTCCTCACCCTGGGTGTGCACGGCCGCACAAACTGTGTTTCTGGTGCCCTCCTGCAGGCGAGTGGACGGTCCTCCCCGTGTGTTCCTAACCCCGTGGGAGGTGGTGGTGCCTGGTCTCCTTGTCCTGGGCATGAGGCTTTGGGTAGGCTTCCTTAGCCCTGTGGACGCCCCCCTCCTCATCTCTCCAGTGGTGACAAGAACACTCCACCCCCAACCAGTCAGGCAGGCAGGCCACGACGCCTGGCTCTGACATCTGGGAAGACGCAAGGGTCCTTTTGGCTACTAAGAGGTCACTGCCGCACTGTCCTACAGAATAGGCTGTTGCCTAGAACAGACACACATGTGGAATTCCTTCCAGAATGACATCCTGCAGCCATTCTAAATGTGCCCCGAACCACAATGCTTTCAGTACTGGGTGCCACAGAGCGGAAGGAGCCCCCAGGCGAGGTTTCCTGCCTTCCCCTTGCCCCAAGCACCCACCTCCCAGCGGGCCTGCGTAGCTTTCCACAGCACCACAGTGGACACCGAGTGAGTGATGGTGGGTCTCTCCTGAGCATATACCTACATAGCTGGCAACTGCCGGGCAATGAAGATCCCATATTTTGGCTCTTTCTAAATTAAATCTGCTTTGTGGAGCTCTGGCTGTGACAACTCATGCACCCACCACAGGGCTGGATGATCTTGGGGTGATGGCCGGTGTGAGAGGGCCCCTCCCTGAGTTTGTTTTCCACGGATGATCAATGAGCTTGAGCATCTCCCAATACACTGCCCTGGCCTCGTGGGAGTTTTAAACATACCTCTGCCATGCGGTAGGTTGGGTGGCATCAGGCAGTCGAATGCTCCCCAGGTGATTCTGACCTGGGGTGGGTCCGAGACCCCCGGGCAGGCTGCCCTCTCTGTGCTGCACACAGGAGCCTGTGTTTCCTCGCAGGAGGGCGAGTGTCTGAGGCCGGGCAGGGGAGTGTACCCTCTGGATCCCGGAAAGGTTGTGCCTGGCCGGAAAGGTGGCCCTGACCCTTGCTGGCCTTTATGGTTATGGGGCTCGGGTGTGGCTCTGTGGGACACCCAGCCATGCTGCCCACCTCCATCTGCCAACACAGAGGCCATCCTGGCCACTTCTCAGCAGATGCCTGTTTGTTTTGCTTGCTCACTGTCCACTGTCCACTCTCCCCTCTTCTGGGGACAGCACCCCAGGGATCCTTAGGGAGCTGTTCTTCTCTGCTCCTCTCTGTTCTAGTAGCTTGGGTAGGGATGGGGGGCTGGGTCAAGGACTGGCCAAGCAGAGCCTAGAGTCTTCTCAGCACCGTACCGGCTTCCGGCTGGGCATATGAGCCCATCAAAGCCAATGAGTCACTCCCAAGATGTTTGCTGGAATGACAAGAAGGAAAGGACCTCTCTTTCCACGAACTTGGAGTTACTGGGATGCACTCTTGGCCTGGCGCTGGGGCTTCTGTGGAGACCGGGGCTAATGTCAAAGACGGCAGGTCTGCGGGATGAGGGGAAAGCGCCTGCTGACTCTGGCATTGTCTGAGCGCCTAGATCCTGCCGGGCCTGAAGCTGACAGCTCTGTATGTTCCGTTTATGTGCCCCATAAATCTTGCACTTTTCACTGGCCTCTGCCTTTTAGAGTTGGCTTCTGCCCCTTGCAACAGATGAGTCCTGACTGTTCTACTCCAGACCTCTGAGCCATCTCTTCTTCTGGTTTCGTACTTAGATGGTGATGCCTCCACACGGGGACTCCCCTCTGGACTTTCCCTGCACTTCTGAGGCTACGGCCACTCCCTCCCCTGGAGGATCCCCACACTGAGGCAGCAGAAACCTGACACACCCACCAGGCGAGAGCTGGGCAGGTCCACAGAGGAGACAGGAGGGATGCTCAGAGGGGAACCCATATGGTAAGGAGAGGGCAGGACCTGGAGGCTTCAGGAGGAAGGGGGACTGAGTGCTTTCGGTGTGGCTCAGAGGTCCAGACAGCAGAGCTGCCCCCCGGGTGTGGCTGACCTCCAGGTGACTGGTGGCCAGCAGTGGGTGAGGCCGAGGCCAGATGCAGAGGCTGGACGGCGGAGAGGGGTGGTCAGACAGCATGGACAGTGGCTGTGCAGGGGACAGCTCTTTGCCTCTCCTGTCACTTCTACCCGCCTCGGTCCTCTGTCTCCTCACCTGCACCATGTGGCTGGTGACACCCGTCTGGTGATGCCTCAGAGACAAAACAGAACCTGCAGAGGCCAGCCCCTCACCTGAGGGCGAATCTCCAGCCCCGTCCTCAGCACAGCAGTTCGGGCGGCTCTCAGGCCGCCATGCAGGCAGGACCGACATCCTGCAAACTGCTGTTTCCACCACCTGCTCCGGGTCCCAGCTTGACACGTTTTCTGTCGTGCCTCCTTACCAACAACAAGCTCGTGTGGAGAGCAGGCGCCTCTCTCTTGGCAAGAACATTTGTGAGTTTGGCAACTTCCTTGACAAGAGATACTTGCTAAACACAACAAAAAAGTTTCACTCGTTTCTGCTTCCATTACCTCCGCCGTCTCGGCACCGCCTCCTGGAAGCAGACGCAGCGGGGGCCGGCCTCACGCTCTGCAGCGATGGAGCCTGTTCTCGTTTCTCCTGTCCTTCCTGGGTGGCGTGTGTTTTTCAGTTTTGAGTTTTCTAAGCTGCAGAGCCACTGGAAATGGAGCTTTTCTTACAAATGACTTTCACTGACAGTTTATAAACATCGAGTGATTTGCTAGGGCTCTGGGAAGCACACAGTTGAACGTTTCCTTCCAACCTCCCTTGGGGAACGCAGAGCTCTGGGCGCCCCCTTATCCTGGCCATGCAGAGTAACTGGAATCCCGCAGCCTCAAGATGCCCCACCCTCCAGGCCACCAGGCCTGCGGCTCGCCCGCGGTAGCAGAACTGATTCCTAATTTGGATGGATTCCATTCGCTGGAGGATGAACTCAGAGGGGCAGAGATTTCGGCTCTAATCCCCCGACCAAAGCTACCTTAACATGTAATCAAGTTACCATTTCATATTTCCAAATAAAGTTGAACAGTTGAACGAAAAGATTTCATTTGGGAGCCAGACTTAAATTTAAATACCGCCCGTCTCTTGGTATTAGGGAGTTTTAGACTTTCAAATAACCCAGCCCGGGGAAATTGGGTTGGACAGCCTCTCTGGCCGCACTTCTCTGCCTGGCTTCTCTAACTGCCAGCCCGGGCGGATTGTGCCGAGCGTGGAGAGTACCCAGGCTGCTCCCTGCCACTCTGAGAGCATCCAGAGGAAGACCTCAGCCCGTCCACAGCCGCCACGACGGGACCCCACAGCACATCGCGGACACACCGTCAACGACGGAGCTGCGACTCGCCGCGCTGCTGAGACAGGGCTGGCCGCTCTACAGGCAGGCAATTAGCAGTGGGGGCGTGGGAAGGAGGGGAGCGCTGTCCAGACCTGTTGGTAAATCAGGCCCCGGCAGTGACAAGGTAGACACGCCGCCTCCTCTGCCTCCCCAGCTGCCATGTTGGAGAGAGCCAGACCCAGGATAAACAGAATTCGGAGAAGCCCCTCCAGCGAGAGCCAGCCTGCGACTATCCCGCAAAAGGCAGCAGCCAGGAGGACGGGGAGGAACGCTGCATGCACCTGTGAAGCCTCTGTGGACGGCGGTGGCCACAGACAGGGCCCCGTGGTGGGAAGGCCCGGTTCCTCCAGCCTCTCCTCCCAGGCATCGCCCCGTCTAGGCCCAGGTGGCACCTGTTTCCCCCTGCCCGGCCCCCAGGCTGGGAGGCAGCTCCCAGGGCTGCGCTCTGCCTTTTCTCCATTTCCTTTGCAGCCATTCTGCAGTGAAAATGGCTGATTTGCTTGAAGCAGCAAGCGAAAAACCCACGCGTGGACTCCCGTTTGGAAATTGCTCCCAACGGAGACAGTTGTTTTTTTTTTCCCCAAGTAAGTTTTCCTTCAAAGCGATGCTCTGCAGAGAAATTCCTTTCTTTACAACTAACTCAGAGACAGTGAAAACAGGGACGATGGGGCCACCCCCACGATTTTGGGGGAGCTTCAGTTTCCTCACATACTTTCTCAGGCACAACTGACCCCCACGAGGTTCTCGGCTACACACAGCAGGGTGGCTGCAGGGTGGGCTCTTTAGTCTGACTTTTGGGGTTCAAAGCCCAGTTCTGTACTTTGAGCTGTGTGACCTTGAGTGAGAATCCTGACCTCTCTGAGACTGTTGTCTCTGCTGGGAACAGAGCATGATCAGGGTGTGTAGCGCCCTTTCTGGGGCTGCCACAGGGGCTGAATGAAGCCGAGGAGGGGTCTGCCTGGGCCTGGCTCCAAGGAGGTGCTCTGTGAATGCAGCTGTCTTTGGCATCCTCGTTTATAAGAGAAAGGTGGGGAGGGCTTGAGGACATTGCCGGACAAAGGGGCAGAGACCAGACCTGATTGAGGCCCGCTCTTGCGCCACTTACAGGTCTGGGAACTCCATGGCATTCTCTTATGGCAGCAAGGCTGGCTGAATCCGGCTGCCAGAGACATCTGGGTTCTCATCCTGGGACCAGTGAAT
Source organism: Homo sapiens (assembly GCF_000001405.40). Classification (NCBI taxonomy): domain Eukaryota; kingdom Metazoa; phylum Chordata; class Mammalia; order Primates; family Hominidae; genus Homo; species Homo sapiens. The sequence goes on along the minus strand of NC_000020.11, from coordinate 61,801,928 downwards.
GCCACCTTCCATGGCAAAAGAGAGTTTGCAGACGTGATGGAGTGAAGGATCTTGAGATGAGGCCCATCCTGGATTTCCCAGGGGCCCCTCAAGGCCATGTGAAGGGTCCTTATGGAGGGCAGGAGAGGGAGCTTTGACTACAGAGGAGAAGGTGATGTGGAAAGAAAGCAGAGAGAGGCTGGAGGAGGCTGTGCTGCTGCCCTTGAAGACAGAGCAAGGGGCCAGGAGCCACAGAGGTGGGGCAGGAGCCTCTAGAAACGGGAAAGGGCAGGAGATGGGTCCTCCCCTAGGGCCTCCAGTGGGAGCATGGCCCTGCTGACCCTTGACTTTGACCCACAGAAACTAACCTCTGACTCTGACCTCCAGCACCATGTGGGGCTACACGGGGCTGTTCTCTGCCACCTGGTTTGTGGTGATTTGTGACAGCAGCTCCCGGCAACTCACACAGACAGGGAGTGACCACTGAAGGAACACCTACTTCGGCACTTCAGAGACACAAAGAAGAGGACAGGTGGCTTCGGGATGACGTCTCAGAACTCTGAGGGTCCATGGCTTTAACCACACACACCAGTGTTTGTGGTTGATGCCCTCAACCCTAGAGAGACGCTTGGCTGATGCGGCTGGACACCCTGGCCCTGCCCAGAGGCTGCCTGACCCCACTCCCCCAATGTCTAGGTGTCGGGGGACCACCCTGCTTTCTGCCGGCTCTCCCGCTGCAGCCTGCAGACACTGAGAGGTGCTGCTGTCCATGCCTTTTGTCCCCAAGCCCTCAACACCTCCCAACGGGAGGCAGGAGCCCCGGTGCTGTGGCGTCTTGAGGACTAATGTCACTGCAGAAGGTGGGTTTCTCAAGCCCCCACCGAAAACCAAGCCTGGGGTTGCAGTGCCCAAACTGACAGATGAGAAGGGGACAATCAGTGCCCCTCGTAGCTGCCCCCAACCAAGATGCTTGGAGGGTCCCAGGAGGGCCCTGCAGCCATGCCCAGGCCTACCCTATGTGTGGCGCAGATGGGCCCGAGGCCACTGTGGAGTGGACACTGGCCATTCTCACTGGTGGGCTCTAAGGATGTGGAGTGCCAGAGGTTACACGCCCCAGGGTCCCCAGTGGGCCTGTTATCAGGCAAGGGAAGGCAGGGAGTTCCAGCCCATCTGTCTCCCAGCCCCGGCCCCTTGGGGTGTGTCCAAGAGGCCATCTGTGCTCTCGGCCTGCCTGAGGCTCTGCCTTGAGCCGGGCACTGCCAGCACTTCCTGTGAGCCCCCTGCCCATATCCTGGGGACTTAAGGTTGTCAGGTCCTAAGGGCAGGCAGTGGTCCTGGAGCTGAAGGGCTCACACTGCAGCCCCGCTCTGCCCTGTCTTGGCTGTGTGTCTTTGGGCAGGTGTTTTACCCTCTCTGGGCTCCATTTCCTTTCTGTGGGGGGCGATGAGGAGATTCACAAGGATAGTGGTGGGAGAAGCACCATCCCCCGTGGAGCCATAAGGTAAGAGTGCAGCAAATGGTTGCAGTGACAGTGGCCCTGAAGCTGGGTCAGCCCTGCGGCGGGCATGGGACTCTTGGCGTAGTCTAAAGGGAGTGCCCAAGGAGGGGGCAAAGAGTCGGCTACGCAGAACTGCCCCTGCCCGGTCATGGGGCGAGGAGCTCTGCCCCCCTGGCGGCCGGGCAGCTTCCCAGAAGCACCGTGTGTGCACTCGAGGGAGTGCGGTCTGGTCTTCGGGGCTTTGCAGCACTCACAAAGGGCCCTTGGGGCTGCAGGCCGCTCGCTTGCTTGCACACAAAGAAGATGCAGCCCTGCACAGGCTTCAAGGAGGGAGTAGAGGATGCTGGCCCCACCCGGCCCTGGACCATGCTGTGGGCTGGGGAACCCCTCAGAGGAAGCACAGGCGGGGAAGCCGGCCCGGTGACTGTGCCCACCGAGGGCCGCTGCAGCCGAGCGGGTCATGGGAAGGGACGGGCCATGAAGACAAGCGGAGATGGCCCTGGGCTCTCAGGGAGGTTGCATGAGAGATGGGGAGCGGGGCAGAGCCACTGCAGAGGCCCCACTCGAGGCCCCGCAGGGACCGTGGTGTTATGAGGCTGGCAGCCATGACCATGTGACTGGCCTTTTGGGCTGAGCATCAGTGAAGGCAGCACGGGAAGGAAATCTGTTACCGCTGTGACCGGGCCCACGCCCTGCCCACCCAGGAGCGGGGATACCCTGGGAGGGGCTTGAAGGACCCAGGAGAGATGGAGAGGAGCTCCCTGGGCCCAGCTCAACAGCCCTTTGTGCAGATACCCCAGCACCCCTCCTATCCCCAGTGCCCAGGCTGAGTGTGGTATCCTGGTGGGGAGGAGCAGCCCAGGACGCATCTCCTGAGACGTGGGAGAGAGCAGCCCCCTGGCCTCTCCAGACCACAAAGGGTGATGCCAACCCACCTGGAAACGCAGGCCCAGGCTCTGGGCACAGGTGCCAATGGTTAACGGTTAGCACAAAGATCGACTCTAAAATGCAAAGTCCCTACCAGCCTGCAGGGAATTGAGGCCTCAAAACATTCATAGCTTGCTCGTGTTCTCCAGAAATTCATGGGAATATTTAAAATAATCCTCTTATATTATGAAGCGTATTTAACCTTTTTCTCCTGGAGGTAGCAGCTGGGTTTCGCCCAACTCAACACTCACACCAGCCAGTTGCACAGACCTACCTCTTTGCAATTCCCAATTTATAGCTTTCCACACGTAATTTCCTCATAGAGGTAGTAAGACAGTTTACTTAAGCTATTCAAATATTATCTGATTATTTTGAAACATTTATAAGGGCTAATTACAAGTAACAGTTGATGAGCAATGTAGCAGCTATAAAATTAATCCTCAGTAACCACAGCTCTGACAAGTAGCTGGTATCTACTTAACATACATTAAAAGCTTTTTAAGTTTGCATTAAGAAAGCCTTGAGCTTAGTGAAATCTCAGGGGACTGTTGATCACAACACAGTAGCTGTCAGCCCTTGCCCTGTGTCGCGAAAGGAGCCCGGGTCATCGGGTCGGTGGGGACTAATCCTCACTGACTGCCAGTTTGGAAAGGACGCATCGACGTGAGCTAATGAGACTGGGACCAGCGCCGTGTCCTGGCTGGACTCGGGACACACAGCCGCCATCCTGCCAGACTGACCACTGGCACCTGGGGCTGCTGCGGAGGACTCCTGCCGGCCCGGCCCTCTCCTCTTCTGCAAGGAGGAAGAAGCAGGCTGTCCAGGGTCCCTGGCTTGTGAGAAAGTTACTCAGAGCCTCTGCCCAGCGTGCTGGTGTCCATGAGTACTGGTCACCAGGAGCAAGGGGCCTGGCCGAGGTGGCATTTGTCCATGTGGTCTTGGCCAGTCTAACACTCAGGTGGCTCCACACAGAGCATGCAGCAGCCGCGTCTGTTGAGTAGTTTTCTTCCTGAGGGGCCCACCCGCCTGCAGTGGAATCAGCGCGATGCACCCCGGGGCCACGCTCTGGACCACACCCCACAAGGCCTGCTGCGCACGGAGGTAGCAGGAAAGGAGCGGAGGGTCCGGACGGGCTGAGGACCCACAGCCCATTCTGTATGTGAGGAGTGTGGAGGCCCGTGGGGCCAGGGAGAGGCTGAGGCGCAGCGAGGGGCCGCCCACAGCGGGGATGCGTGCGAGGCGGGACCACACCCCCTCCCCTCTGTTGCTGCGTGCTCCCGCAGGGAGCTGAGGGTGCTCCTGGCAGGAGGTGCTGCCACAGAGCCCGGGGCAGGGCCGGGCGGGGCGGGGGTTATGGCTGCTGGCTCAGGAGAGGCGCAGGGTGAGAGGGCGGTGACTGACGGTGTGACCCGGGCGAGGGGTGTCAAAGGAACTGCTCATGGATGTGACAGCGAGACTCAGAGAGGCTGGCTGTGGACGCTCAGTGAGGCTGGAGCTGACCCCGGAGTGGTGCTTTTCCATTTTGGCTTTCTCTAGAAAAACTCTAGGATGAGCAAGCACTGTCCCCCAGCACACAGGGCCCCGTGAGGCCCGCAGCTTGCCCTAACCTGCGGTCCGTGTCCTGCAGCCATGCCCTACCTGAGAAGCTGGAAAAGATGCCGATCTCTCCGCCTGGGCTTCTCCGCCAGAACCTCAGTGGGGAGGCCTGGCCGGACATTTGTCTTTTTTGTTTTTTGTAGAGACGGGGTCTCACTTTGTCAGCCAGGCTGGAGTGCAGTGTCACTATCACAGCTCACTGCAGCCTTGAATTCCTGTGCTCAAGCAATCCTGCTGCCTCAGCCTCCCGAGGAGCTGGGACTACAGGTGTGCCCCACCACGCCTGGCAATTTTTTTTTATTGTTTTGTAGAGATGGGATCTTGCTATCTTGCCTAGGCTGGTCTCGAACTTCTGGGCTCAAGTGATCCACCTGCCTCCCAAAGCACTGGCATTGCAACATGAGCCACTGCCAGAGGCCGGATGTTTTTATCAAGCCCACCAGGTGGTGTGGTTTTGTTTTGTTTTGATACAACCCCAGCTTCATGTAAGCCAGGACTGCTTGATTTTGGGCTGTGGGGAAGTGCAGCTCAGCTGCCAGATCCAACGCTTACCTCCCCGCTGTGCAGTTTCAGCCTCTTTCCTGCTCGTCCCCACCCTGGGCAGTGGATGGCGTGAGCCTTCCCCACCCTGGGGAATGGATGGTGTGAGCCCTTCCCCATCCTGGGCAGTGGCTGGTGTGAACCCTTCCCCACCCTGCGGAATGGATGGTGTGAACCCTTCCCCACCTTGGGCAGTGGATGGTGTGAGCCCTTTGACTTGGCAACGGCATTATTGTTCTTCCAATGCTCGGGGAGAGGAGGGACTTGTGTCCACCAGGAGCTGGCCAGTGTTGGGGGGGGGGGGGCTCTTCCTGTCCCAGCCTTCAGAGAGCAGCTCTCACCCCCTCTTACCCGGCCACCCAGGAAAGTGGCTGGCACTGCCTCCCCAGTGGGGAGCTGATGCCACAGCTGGCGCTGTATGGCGCTCCCAAGCAAGCCGGCATGGGCACGCGAGCCTCACTGTCAGGAAGGCAGCGTGAAAGTTAAATAATTTCTCGATGGAGTGGGAGATTTCCCACTTCAGCAGAAGCCCTGGAAACGGTTTCTGCTCGGTAGCTCCATTTTCTCCCTCCCACCCCTCGGTTCTCACATACTCCAGTTTCTAGCATTTCCCAGCAGGATGGGGGTGCTGGGAGCCACAGGGTCAAAGCTCCCCTTGGGCCCTGACACCTCTGGGCGGCTTCCACACCATGGAGCCTCACCTCAGCCTTCATGTGAGACCCTGGCTCTGTAATCAAAGTGACTTTCTCAGGGCTAACCACACCCCAGGGGTGGCCAAGCAGAGAAATAATCAAATCCTTTGGTCCTTCCTTTCCCAAGCCAGAGCAATGGTCGGGGGCCACTACAGGGCCCGGGAGGATGGCAAGCAGGACCTCATCTATTCCTACAGGATGCCCCTTTCCAGGAAATGGGAGGCAGGGCAGTGGGCCCAGTGAGGCTGTAGGACGCGGGGCTGGGGGTAGTGACGTCTGTGTCAGAAGGTGATAACCCAAGCTGAGTCCTCCTGGGCAGCCCTGGCCCGTGCTGGGCTGTAAATAGAGTGTGGGGTGGAGGGGCCAGAGAGCGGCTTTGAGCGGTTGTCATGTGCCCTGGATGCAGAAGGGATGGGTCAGGGTCCTGCTCTGGAGATTCCTGGCTGTGTGGCCTCAGGGGAGTCACTCAGCCTCTCTGAACCTCAGTAAAACGATAGGAGTAAAATGATAACACTCCTCGCCTCACAGGCCAGGGCAGTGCAGGGAAGGACTGTAAACAGCCAGTGGCCCCACAGGGTGAGGAGGCAGCGGTCCGGGAGCCTCCCTGGATGGTGGTCTGGGCTTGAGGGAGGGGGAGGGGCCAGCCCTGCCCTTGCCTTCCACCAGGGTCCAGCTTGCTGTGTGGGGAGTGGGAGGGGAAGCATGGATTAAGGTAAGCACAGATCTGACCATGTCACTCAGTGCCTGAAAGCTCAGCAAAGGTTCTCGTACTCTCAGGACAAAGCCCGCCCTTCTTAGCACAGCTCTGAGAATCTTCATCCTCCATCCACTCATTCATTCATTCATTCACTCATTCATTCATTCACTCATGCAACATTGCTTCTGTCCCAGGCAGCCTTCCAGGGTGGCTGTGTGAATGAAACTCCAGCCCAGTGGCTCTTATGGTCCTGGGGCCCAGCCTCCCTCCTTCCTGAGTCCACACTCCTGGCCCCGCCTCTGGTATGTTCCAGACAGGCAAAGCAAGCTGCACATCCCAGTGGCCTACTGGCCTCCCTGCCCTTCTCTCTGCCTTGATGCCCTCCTGCTTTAAGGGGATGATGCCTTTTTGTTCTGTTTTCTGCTCACGCCTCTCTTCCCCTGTGAAGCCTGCCTCAGTCTCCCCAAGCACAACGTATGTGTCGTCCTGGGGGGCTCCCATTGTCACCCTGAGTGTCTCATTTACGCCACCATGATGTGACTTCCTGCTCACCTGTCATTCCTCTCACCTTCCTGGGGGCTCCTTAAAGGCAGAGGCTGCATCTCATTCACAGTAATCATTCCATTCTGTCCCTGGTACACAGGAGAGCAACTGGCTGATGGGGCTCAGGATACTATGGTGAAGAAAGGGTCAGTACAAAGTGATTGCTGGGAAGGTGATGGCTTTTATGAGGACTAAACTTAGGATTTTAGAGATGATCTGTATGAAACTCACATGGTAGCTGGTAGCAATGATAAATACTAGCCCTTGTCCTCCTCTTAATTATTATGATCACCAACCCCATCATCCTTACCACTACCATCATTTCCATCATCACCATTATCACCACCATCATCACCATCATTACCATCAACATCATCACCCTCACCATTATAACCATCATCATCCTCATCATAAACATCATCACCACCACTCCCACCTTTATCACCATCATCCCAGTGGAGGAACACTCTGTTCTACTGATATTTAAGAAACCAAGAAAACTCTGACAAACATTAGGACAGAGGGAACCACTTCAGGAGTGGCTCAGGAATTAGGCCAGTTTGACGTTCTTCCTATAAGGCGCATAGTTACATTTAAGAACATCCTAAAATGCCCACAGTGCCTGGAGCAATGAGCCCTGTGGCAGGTCTGAGAGCAGGCAGGCAGGACCCACTTGCGGGACTGTGTGATCATGCACTTTGCAGTCCTGCTGGCCTGGGTTAGAGCTTCTTTTTGGTCCTAGGTGCATGGGACCAGCCATAGGTGGTTTGGGGGAGAGTCATGGAGCCTGTGTCCAGTCCAAGGATGTGCTATTGTAGCAGAAGCTGTGGGTGCCCACCCATGTCTGCCTGATGTTATCATTTCAGGGCACATTTGCCAACTTCCAACCAGCACCTGTGACTCTTTGCCAGTGGCCTTTCTCTTCCCACTGAGCCACCTTTGCTACCCACTTGACAGGCTGAAAATGCTGAGGAATTAATGTCCTTGGGAACAGCCTCCAACCAAGGACCAAGGGACTTGGTGTATGAGCACCCCAGGACCTCAACACAGTGGCGGAAGTGGGGGAACGACGGGTTCCCAGGGCTGGCTTAGTGGAATGTCCAGCTGCCCCCAGGCGGGTGTCTTGATAACACATCATTTACTGGCCTGCCTCCCCTTCATTGGTTCACTTCCCTGCCCCACCCTGTGTCTCCTCCACCTCTCAAAGAAGTACTCACATCAGAGTTCTCCCAGGGGCCCAGGCTTAAACACCTCCTGAGCTGCCAGGGTGAGAGGTATTCACTTATTTCAGGCTCATTCTTTTTTTTTTTTTTTGAGATAGAGTCTCACTCTGTTGCCCAAGCTGGAGTGCAGTGGCGCCATCTTGGCTCACTGCAAGCTCCATCTCCCAGGTTCACGCCATTCTCCTGCCTCAGCCTCCCGAGTAGCTGGGACTACAGGTGCCCGCCACCACGCCCAGCTAATTTTTTTTTTTGTATTTTTAGTAGAGACGAGGTTTCACCGTGTTAGTCAGGATGCTCTCTATCTCCTGACTTCGTGATCTACCCGCCTTGGCCTCCCAAAGTGCTGGGATTACAGGAGTGAGCCACCGTACCTGGCCTCTTTTTTTTTTTTTTTTTAAATGCAGTCTCACTCTGTCGCCCAAGCTGGAGTGCAGTGGCGTGATCTCGGCTCACTGCAACCTCCACCTCCCGGGTTCAAGCAATTCTCTGCCTCAGCCTCCCAAGTAGCTGGGATTACAGGTGTCTGCCACCATGCCCAGCTAATTTTTGTATTTTTAGTAGAGATGGGGTTTCACCATCTTGGCCAGGCTGGTCTTGAACTCCTGACCTCGTGATCCACCTGCCTCGGCCTCCCAAAGTGCTGGGATTACAGGCGTGAGCCACTGCGCCCGGCCTCAGCCTCATTCTTGCTGGGATCCTGAAAATGACTGTCCAGGGAGCACCCTGACCTCGGGGGCCGCTTTATGGGTCCCAGAGCGATGTTTCTCAATGTCTCTTATTATCCCCCTAGCCCCCAGAGCCTTTTTAAAATTTTTCTTTCCCAGTTGCCTCTTCCAGCCATGAAATCTGTTTATGTGCCTTTGGAGGGCCACCATCCATTATAATATCTAAGTTGTTTTTTTTGTCGCCAAGAACTAATGTTTGCTCTGCTTGGGAGTGACATTGCTCCCATTAAGACTGCACCATCTGGGCCAGGCACAGTGGCTCACGCTTGTAATCCCAGCACTTTGGGAGGCCAAGGTGGCCAGATCACTTGAGGCCAGGAGTTCAGGACCAGCCTGGCCAACATGGTGATAACCGGTCTCTACTAAAAAATACAAAAAATTAGTTGGGCGTAGTGGCAGGCGCTTGTAATCCCAGTTACTCTGGAGGCTGAGGCAGGAGAATCACTGGAACCCAGGAGGCAGAGGTTGCAGTAAGCCAAGACTGCACTACTGCACTCCAGCCTGGGCAACAGAGTGAAACTCTGTCTCAAAAACAAAAACAAAAACAAAAAAAACACATAGGCCAGGCACGGTGGCTCATGCCTATAATCCCAGCACTTTGGGAGGCCGAGGCGGGTGGATCACAAGGTCGGGAGTTCAAGATTAGCCTGACCAATATGGTGAAACCTCGTCTCTACCAAAAATAAAAAAATTAGCCGGGTGTGGTGATGCACACCTGTAATCCCAGCTACTCGGAAGGTTGAGGCAGGAGAATCACTTGAACCTGGGAGGTGGAGGTTGCAGTGAGCTGAGATCATGCCACAACACTCCAGCCCGGGCCATCAGAGCAAGACCCCATCTCAAAAAAAAATACACACACACACACACACAGCATCATCTAAAGATATTCTGATTTATTTTGATTTACATTTTTTGGGGTGGACTAAGAGACAATAGAATAAAGATTGTGGGTGAGGTGTCAATGGCCTTATTTGATTTCCTGCTTTCCTGCAGCATCCTGGAGAGCTGAACACAGAGCCCGGGAATCAGCCCAGCAGACTTAACTCCCGCGCACCCAGCAGCTGCATCTTGGAAGAGGCCCTTGGGCTGGGGCAGGAAGCCTCTTTAATAACAAGAGGTGAGGAGGGAGTGGGAAGAGACAGATGTGCAGGAGGGGGGACAGATGTGCACAGTATCCCCATGGCACCCCACACGTGGGCACCTCCTGAGCAGTGGGGATGCTGGGTGCTGTCACCTCAACAGCAGGGTGGGCTGAAAACCCAGGAGCCAGCCTCGATGGCTCCCTTTCCTCCACCTGCCTCTCCCTAAGTCCTCTGGGTCCTTCCCTGCAGGCCATCTGGGCCCCCGCTTTCCCCTCCTCACCTTCACGCCTCTACTGTCCTAGCCCAGGCCCCCACATCTCTCCTCAGGGCAACTCTCTCCTCCCTGGGGCTCTGGGGCAGCTCTCGCCTTAACCTTCCAGCCCCACCAGGCAGCCAAAGGCATCCAGGGGATGATAGACGGACAATCAGATGGCTCCTTGCAGGCTTTTTCCTGCATTGGAGCTACACCCAACCTCCTACTGGCTGGGGGCCCTGGGACCTGCTCCTGCCCTCCCCCAGGCCCCTCCCTCCCTTTCCCTCACTCATATTTTCACCGCACAGACCTTTCCATTCCTTGGGTGTGCCCAGCTCATTCCTACCCCAGGGCCTTTGCACTTGCGGGTCTCTGCCTGACCTGTGCACAGCCGGCTCCTTGCCATGCAGGCCCAGTTCAGCATCTGGCTCCTCGGAGAGGCCTTGGCTGGCACGTCCCATCTACAGCCTTGCTCCCCATCCCAGCCTGCCCCTCACTGCCCATCCCATCCCTGTGCTCCACTCTCCCTGTGGTTCCTTCCGTGTTCTAACAGTTTCTTCTCCTCCCATCTGTTCTTGCCTTTACCGCCTGTCTCCACCAGCAATGTATAGTGCTTCAGGACAGGAACCGTGACTGAGTGGCCCACTGCGGACCTCAACACCAGCCACAGAGCTGATCGCAATACACGTCTCATCCATGACCGGGTGAATCACTGTTTTCATCCGGCCTAAGATGGACTTTCCTAGAAAAACCTAACATTTCCTCTAAGGAGAAATCTGGGTGAACACACTTCTTTCTCTAAGTCCACATTTTTGTTGCTGATGATTTAGGAAAACAATCAAGGAGACTGCTCTGGTCCTAAAATCTTCCTCAGGGCTAGGCTTCAGCATCAAGTCAGAAAGTTTATGTAGTGTTCATAGGTAAGCCAAATGGAATGGCTTTCCCCAAACACCTGGAAGAATTGTCCACCACTGTCAAAAACTTATTACCTTTATCCTCGACAGGGAGTTTTCAAATGTTGAAACAGTTTTAAGGACAGCAACTCATGACGCAATTTTTTTGCCTGTTCGGTTTTTCGTTTACTTGAAAGGCCTTAAGCGTTTTGAAACAGTAGCTGGAGCTGGGTGCTGTGGTTATGCCAGAGTTCTGGCTTAGGGGCCTGCTGCTGTCAGGAGCAATGAGATAGTCTGAGGGTGAGAGCACTGAGGATGGATGGGTGGATGGATGAATGGATGAATGGAGAGATGAACGAATGGGTGTAGAAATCAATGGATGGATGGTAGGTGGGTGGAAGGATGGATATACGGATGGATGAATGGATAGAGAGATGAATGGATGGATGGTGGGTGGGTGGGTGGATGGATGGATGGGTGGATGAATGAATGGATGGAGAGAGAGATGAATGGATAGATGGATAGATAAATGGATGGAGAGATGAAAGGATGAGTGGAGAGATGAATGGATGGAGAGACAAATGGATGGATGGAGAGATGAATGGATGGATGGTGGGTGGGTGAATGGATGGGTGAATGGATGGAGAGATGAATGGAGAAATGAATGGGTGGATGGTGGGTGGATGGATGAATGAATGGTTAGACAGATAAATAGATGGATGGTGGGTAGGTAGATGGATGGAAGGATGGATGAATGGATAGGTAGAAAGATGAATGGATGGATGGAGAGATGAATGGAAGGATGGTGGGTGGGTGGATGGATGGGTGGATGGATGAATGGATGGATGGAGAGATGAATGGATAGATGGGTAGATGAGGGGATGGGTAGAGAGACGAATGATGAGTGGAGAGATGAATGGATGGATGAAGAGACAAATGGATGAATGGAGAGATGAAAGGATGAATGGATGGATAGTGGGTGGATGGATGTGTGGATGCATGAATGAATGGATAGAGAGATGAATGGATGAATGGAGAGATGAATGGATGGATGGTAGGTGGGTGGATGGATGGGTGGATGGTTGAGTGGATGGATGGATGAATGGATGACGGATGGGTAGATGGGTGGGTGTGTGGATGGGTGGACAGAGGATGGATGGATGAATGGATGGGTAGGTAGAAGTGTGGATACATGGATGAACAGATGGATGGGTGTATGGTTGGAAGGGTGGATGGACACTAACCTAATGTAATAGACTGTGGATATACTGTTCACCCCGTCATACTTTATTGACCAATTTCAGACTGAACACAATAAATTATGTCAACCCTGCCCAAATCTACACCTTGAATTTGCAACATGGATTAGCTTCAGATTCCATTATTTTTCATAGAAAACCTAAGTCTTCACCTAGCTACTTATTTATAGAGACAAAGTCTTCAGGCCTGGGCTGTCCCCAATTGATCGCATAGGACAACCATACTTCCTTTCCCTTCTCCACCAGTTCTACCTCCCAGGGGCAATGGTGAGTGGGAAACGCTGTGCTTGCAGCCCCTGCCTAACTCTGGGCCTGCATGTCGGTTTGCTGGGCTGAGGCGCTGGCATGCCCCGGGCAAGGCAGGCTCATGCACGCAGCGACATGAGGAACGATTTTCTGCTGAAAACACGGAGCACATCAACAATTTCCTCTCCTCCCTGATGTGCCTTATGTGTGTAGAAAATTCCTGAAACCACTAGATCAGATAAGATCCACTGGTTTTGTCCTCCAGGGAGAGGCCGCTTCAGGCAGGCAGGGTGTGACTGCTGGCCCCTCCTATCCCGTGGGTGCCAGCCCAGGCACCGCCCCCCTCCCCTTTTCTGACATGCACCTTGGCTGATTGCTTAACTTTGCTTTTAAGAAACAGACACCAAGGCTCCATGGCTTTTCTTGTTTTAATAAGCCTACATTTTGGGAAAATGAAATCAGCTTCTCAACTTCAATAGGCATTACAACTCAGAAGCCCAAAAGCCGAAATCAAACATAACTCCATCGAAAACCACTCTGACAGGGCCCCACACAGCTCAGGTGCAGATGCATCCGTAGGCCATCTCGGGCCTCTACGGAGAAAGCCAGTGCCATCAAGAGAGCTTCGAGGACTTTTCCCCGGGTTGGTACCAGGGAGGTCCCTGAGCCCTGGTGCCTGACCAACCCACACCTGTGTCAGACGAGACTTTCTGCCCGAGCAAAACAAAGCCCCACACAACCCAGGCCAGCTTGATGCTAGGGCCCCGGGGACAAAGTCTCTTTCTGGGGCATGGTTTTAGAGAGTCATTTTGAAGACAGAAGCCTGACTGTTTCAGCACCACTAGGGAAGTGGAAACTGAAGCAGCATTTTCTGCTGTCTTCTATAGCTAATGGACAGGTTGATTTCCAAGATGCAATTCCCCTCCCACGCATCTACTTCTCATTGGCTTTGCTTTTGGGCCTCGTCTCCCATGCCCTTGTTTCTCTGAGCTGAAGTCAGGTCTTTGAGCAGAGAGCTTTGGGGAGGTGGCTTTCCCTCCTTAGGTCTCTAATATTCTGAGAAAGGAGTCTTCAGAATATTAGAAAAGTCTGCTGTTAGAAATTAACAGGAAACATCAAATATCGGAAACATGGTCAGGCCTCCTGCAGGACTGCTGTCAGCAGGAAAACACTGCCGGGCTGGGAGCCCAGGAGGGCTGATGGCACACAGGCTGTCTCCTCTGTCAGCTCCAGGGAACACCTGCTGTCAGCACTTGGGGGCCTCCTGACCCCACCTCTGGGTGCCGGAAGGGAGCTGGGAGCCAGGATCCTGGAAGATGAGTTTCCGTTTCCCCAGGGCTCCTCTGCCATCACTTCCCTTCCAAGCCAGGAGAAATCCTTTAACCAGAACCTACGCTGTGCCTTATCCCCACCCTGTCTGCACCCCCAGCCCTCCCCCAGCCCCTCAGGGCTGTTTCTTTTTCTGGCTGCCACACTCCAGCTCCTCACATACACACACAAAGTGAAGCAGAAGCTCCGCGACCCCATGCTCATGAGTAGAATCAAAGAGAGCCTCTCATTCCTCAAGGGTCACAGATGTCCAGTCTGTGATAAGATTGGGGTTTCCAGCTGTTTTACTGGGCGGGACATTAAAACAACACCCCTGGCCTTCTGGTAGCTCAGTGGGAGGGTTGAGAAGCTGCCTCCTGCTACTGCCTTTACTCCTGCTCTGCCTGGTCCCTCACGGCAGTCAGAGGGGTCTTGGTAAATCAATTTATGCCACACCACATCACTCTTTGGGTTTCAGAATCAACCACCAAGTCCCTCCCATGGCCACACGCCCCTGAGTGACCTGGCCTTGACACTCTCTCAGTTCTTCTCTCTCACCCTCTCCCTGGCCATTTCTATTCAGCCCCTCTGACATCCTGGCTCTTCCTCTAAGACTCTGAGCATTTGCACTTACTGTTCCCTCTGCCTGGAGCACTCATCCCCTCGATATCCCCATGATTCTCTCTGCCACTGCATTCAGTCCTCTCAGAAGTGACTTTCTTGGCCACCTTATCTGAAATCAAACTTCAATGGCATCCCACATTCTCTGGTTCCCAGACTGTAACTAAGAGTTACTTATCCCTGTCTTTGATCATAAACTCCATGAGGGCTGGACTGTTCCATCTGTTCCCTGTTGTAGCCTCTGTACCCACAACAGCACACCTGGGGGTTGATATGGTTTCGCTGTGGCCCCACCCAAATATCATCTTGAATTGTAGTTCCCATAATCCCTCTGTGTTGTGGGAGGGACCTGGTGGAAGATAATTGAATCATGGGCGCAGTTACCTCCATGTTGCGCTCGTGATAGTGAATTCTCATGAGAGCTGATGGTTTTATAAGGGGCTTTCCTCTGCTTCGATCTGCACTTCTCCTTTCTGCCATCATGTGAAGAAGGGCATATTTGCTTCCCCTTCCACCATGATTATAAGTTTCCTGAGGCCTCCCCAGACCTGCTGAACTGTGAGTCAATTAAACCTCTTTCCTTTATAAATTACCCAGTCTTGGGTATGTCTTTATTAGCAGCGTGAGAACCAACAGATACAGGGTGCTTGACATGGAAAGGCTTAGTGAATGCATGAATGGATGGATGGAGGGATAGATGGATGGATGGATGGACGGACAGACGGATGGATGGATGGATGGATGGATGATGGATGGATGGATAATGGCCACCACAGCCTGCTGTCATCATCATTTCATGCACAGACAGTTTCACCTTCTCAAGTATGAAGGCCACAACTGAAGAATGAAGGACATCTCTTTCCAAGCAAGGGCTGTTGCCAGCTTGCCCCAACATACATACTCTCCTTCACCCTTAAACTTGTCCTCAGAACAGCTGCACTCTACAGTGGCCCTGGGAGCCCACGCATTAGCACCTAGACAATGTCTGGTCAGCAGTCCTGGAGCTGGCCTGGCAGACACAAGGCTCCCTGGCCATTGCCAAACTCTAAGAGTCCATTTGTGGAAGGTGCCTGAGCTCTCATCCTAAACACCTGTTCACAGAGGGTGCTCCAGCAATTCAGTGACAAAATTAAATCCCTGAATATTCAATTAATGATGAAAATCTAAAATATTAATATATTCGAATTGAATATTCTCCAATAAATTATCTGAGCATTTGCAGCAATTTGATTTTACTTTCATTTCTTAAGGAACTTTCAGCTGCGTAAATATAGCCATTAAAGCATTTCAAGAAAGGGAACATTTTCTGCTTGGATGAGAGGGCGGTAAACACAAAGGGCCTGCCTGTTCCTTTCACACGAGCAATTAAACCACACAACCCAGGGCAGTAGAGTCCAAAATGATTGCTTTCTTCACATCCCTCTGGCTTCAGCGGGGACAATGTGAATCCCCGTGGGTCTCAGCGCTGTGTCTGGCTGCCGGGCGACTCGCAGACTGCAGCAGGGCGATCGTGTTCATCTTGGGATTGCGTCTTCAGAACCACACTCAAGACGGTCATGGGGGTGGTGCACATGTGTAGCCGCCCCTCCTGCCTGGGGCCAGGAAGGAGGTGGGCCCTGAAGTGTAGGTGATGGGCCAATGGAAGTGCCACGCTGTTTTGCTGCGGAAGGAGACGCTGTTTGAACGGGGGGTCCAACTTTCTCAAGGGTCCTTGTTTCCCCGGAGGGCTGAGCCGAAGACCCCCAAAGCCTCTCGTTCACGTGTTCTTAGAGCAGTTCCTCCCATCCTGGACGTGGATTCTGTGTCTGGTGAACCAGAGGGGAGATTTCCACAGTCCACTTACAGGGGAGAAAACCCAGACTCAAGCTGGCTCCTGGGATACCTCCGGCCACTGGTTTCTTCCCAGAGACTTTCAGTCTGAAGGTTCCTTTGGAGGAAAGAAACCTACCTCATTCTCCACTCGCTCGCACGCTCCCTGGCTCTGAAGGCTTAAAAATTCACTAGCACAGCTAGAGCTGGAGCATCAGGGGCCTCTGCCCTCTAAGAAAGTGGCTAAGTGGCTAAGCTGGCCCCAAATCTCTCTCCAGGTGGCTCCTTGAAAGGGAGGTGTCCTGAACTTTAGAGGGCCCTGTCCACCTGGGCAAGGTCTCTACACACCTGGGTAGGAGCCCTGCACACCTGGGTGGGGGCTCTACACACCTGGGTGGGGGCTCTGCAAACCTGGGTGGGGGCCCTGTCCACCTGGGTGAGGGCTCTGCGCACCTGGGTGAGGGCCCTATCCAGCTGGGTGAGGGCTCTGTGCACCTGGTGGGGTGTGCAGTGTCCACCAGACGATCCTACCTGACAGGGTTAGTCCAGGGGTCACAAACCACAGCCCACAGGCCAAATCCAGCTCCTGCCTCTAGCAGGTCACCATCCACTCCTCCAGCAGCGATTCACTGAGGGATTCTCTGGGCCAGCCTGCATTCTTAGTGGCTGGGACACAGACAGGGGCAAGATCAGAGCCGCCCCACCCTCAGGGAGCCCACAGCCCAGCAGGAGGAAGCGGATGGTAGGCAAAACTGAGCTGCCACAGGTGTGACCCTCCCCATGAGGAAATGCCACGTGGTGTGAGGAGATGGTGAAGCATGGCCAGGGAGTGGGCCAGGGCTGCGTGTGAATAGGGTGGGGGTCCTATCGTGGCAGAGAAGCCATCGGAGGAGAGACCTGATGAACTGAGGTGGTGAGCCCTAGAGCCACATGCTGGGCAGAGCCAGGGAGGAGTGTCCTGACCCCGCCTTTGGGGAGCAGGAGGAAGCCCCCAGTGCCCAAGCGTCGGCCACAGCTTCGACCTCGAGTGAGCTTGGGGAGTGGCCAGCGTGGCTCAGGTGTAGAAGGCCCCTCTGCTCCAGGGGTAGGGCAGTGAGCTGGAGGCCAGGAAGGAGGAGGCCAGGATCCAGCCTGCACTTGCCCATAGCCAGGAAGGGGATGGGACGTGGGAAACTCGCGCCATCCAGAGCTGCAAAGGGACTGCATGCTTAATGTCTGATGAGGCCCCGGGGGCACAGGACATCTGAGGGCCTGGAGAACTGTTCCGAGGAACTGGGCTTACATTCTCCTGGGGGCACAGGATATCGGAGGGCCTTGAGAACTGTCCCGAGGAACTGGGATTACATTTCTCTTGGGGGCACAGGACATCTGAGGGCCTCGAGAACTGTCCCGAGGAACTGGGCTTACATTCTCCTGGGGGCACAGGATATCGGAGGGCCTGGAGAACTGTCCCGAGGAACTGGGATTACATTTCTCTTGGGGGCACAAGACACCTGAGGGCCTCGAGAACTGTCCCGAGGAACTGGGCTTACATTCTCCTGGGGGCACAGGATATCGGAGGGCCTTGAGAACTGTCCCGAGGAACTGGGATTACATTTCTCTTGGGGGCACAGGACATCTGAGGGCCTCGAGAACTGTCCCGAGGAACTGGGATTACATTCTCCTGGGGGCACAGGATATCGGAGGGCCTTGAGAACTGTCCCGAGGAACTGGGATTACATTTCTCTTGGGGGCACAAGACACCTGAGGGCCTCGAGAACTGTCCCAAGGAACTGGGCTTACATTCTCCTGGGGGCACAAGACACCTGAGGGCCTCGAGAACTGTCCCGAGGAACTGGGCTTACATTCTCCTGGGGGCACAGGATATCGGAGGGCCTTGAGAACTGTCCCAAGGAACTGGGATTACATTTCTCTTGGGGGCACAGGACATCTGAGGGCCTTGAGAACTGTCCCGAGGAACTGGGATTACATTTCTCTTGGGGGCACAAGACACCTGAGGGCCTCGAGAACTGTCCCAAGGAACTGGGCTTACATTCTCCTGGGGGCACAAGACACCTGAGGGCCTCGAGAACTGTCCCGAGGAACTGGGCTTACATTCTCCTGGGGGCACAGGATATCGGAGGGCCTTGAGAACTGTCCCAAGGAACTGGGATTACATTTCTCTTGGGGGCACAGGACATCTGAGGGCCTTGAGAACTGTCCCGAGGAACTGGGATTACATTTCTCTTGGGGGCACAAGACACCTGAGGGCCTCGAGAACTGTCCCGAGGAACTAGGCTTACATTTCTCCCGGGGGCACAGGACATCTGAGGGCCCGGAGAACTGTCCCAAGGAACTGGGATTACATTTCTCTTGGGGGCACAAGACACCTGAGGGCCTCGAGAACTGTCCCGAGGAACTAGGCTTATATTCTCCTGGGAGCACAGGACATCTGAGGGCCTCGAGAACTGTCCTGAGGAACTGGGCTTACATTTCTCCCAGGGGCACAGGATATCGGAGGGCCTTGAGAACTATCCCAAGGAACTGGGATTACATTTCTTTCGGGGGCACAGGACATCTGAGGGCCTCGAGAACTGTCCCAAGGAACTGGGATTACATTTCTCTCACGTATTGGAGGAAAGGAAGGGAGGGAGACCTTGATGTCACTTTAGCTGTATTTAATGTTTTTATCTAGAAAACATGTACATATTAAGGAAAGGTTGTGGGCAAAAATCATATAGAATGTGCCTTTGGAGAATTTACAGTTTAAACCATCGACCCTAGAAATGTATATTAGTGTGTTCAGATAGAATGTTGGGTAATGAATTTGGAAGAAGCCTTCAGAATCATTGACGCCTTGTATTTGTTTTCATAGATGGGCACATCCAAAACTCACTTATTTGTGCTAATAAACGGGACAATCTGGTGACTAACAGTTTTCATTGACGCATATATAAAGAAATTCTTTTTTTTTGAAACAAGGTCTCACTCTGTTACCCAGACTGGAGTACAGTGGCATGATCTTGGCTCACTGCAACCTCTACCTCCGGGGTTCAAGTGATTCTCATGCCTCAGCCTCCTGAGTAGCTGGGATTATAGGCATGTGCCACCACGGCCGGCTAATTTTTTGTATTTTTAGTAGAGATGGGGTTTCACCATGTTGGTCAGGCTGGTCTTGAACTCCTGGCCTCAAGTGGTACGTCCACCTCGGCCTCCCAAAGTGCTGGGATGACAGGCATGAGCCACTGCACCCAGCCTTAAAGAAATTCATTTTGATTAACTTAACTAATGAAAATACTCATCTCAACTTCATAAGCATCACAGTTTACCTAGAGTTAATATTGGACCACTTAACCAGCAACGTCAGAACCTCAAAACAGCCTTGCTCCATTTACCCCGTCTGTCCTTTGTCCAACTGTTGTCTTACTTAGTTTTTCTCCTACTGTTGTCATATTTATTACATCAACATACATTATAAACTCCCTAATACAATGCTGTACTTTTGCTTTAAATAGTCAGCTTTTTAAAAGAAATTAAAAGAAAAATGATAATCTTTTATATTAGCCCATAAATGTATCTCTTCCTGAGCTCTCCATCCCTTCCTGGAGGTGTGGATTTCCAACTGGTGTCATTTGTTTCTGGCCTGAGGAACATCCTTTATCACTCCCTCTGGATCTAATGGTGATGAATTCCCTCAGTTTGTTTATCAGGAATGTCTTTATTTCACCTTCATTTTTATTTTTATTTTTTGAGGCAGAGTATCACTCTGTCACCCAGGCTGCAGTGCAGTGGCGTGATCTCGGCTCACTGCAACCTCTGTCTCCCAGGTTCGAGCGATTGTCCCACCTCAGCCTCCTGAGTAGCTGGGATTATAGGCATGTGCCACCACACCCAGCTGATTTTTTTGTATTTTTAGTAGAGATGGGGTTTCACCATGTTGGGCAGGCTGGTCTTGAACTCCTGACCTCAGGTGATCTGCCTGCATTGGCCTCCCAAAGTGCTGGGATTACAGGTGTGAACCACCATGCCCGGCTTCACCTTCATTTTTGAAGGATATTTTTTCTGGATATAAAACTCTTGGTTGGTAGCTTCTTTTCAGTAGTTTAAAGAAGTTGTTCTGTTGGCGTGTGCCTGCAGGGATTCTGAGGAGAAGACCCCATTCTGACTGCTGCCCCGGACATATTGCACCTTTTCCTCTACTTTAGAGATGTTTTCTTTATTTTTGCATTTCAGCAGTTTGACTATGATCGGTGAACGGCGTTCTTTGTATTTCTCCTACCTAGGGTTCACTGGGTTTCTTGAATCTGTAAGTTTGTTTCACTACCACATGTGGGAAAGTCTCAATCATTATTTCTTTGAGGATTTTTTTCTGATCATCTCTCCTCTCCTTCTGTTATTGCCATCACACAGATGTTAGGCCACTGGCCACCGCCCCACTGAAGCTCTGTGTGCTTCACTTCTCCTCCTTCTTCAGGCTGGATAATTGTATTGATCCATCTTCAAATGCGCTGACCCTTTCTCCTGCCTCAGCAATCCACTTGTGAACCCATCCAGTGAGTTTTCCGTTAGAGATACTGTACTTTTCAGTTTTATCATTTCTATTTGGTTATATTTTTAGAGTATCAAATTTTTTTTTCTGCTGTGATTCCCCATCTATCCATCTATCCATCTATTCTGACCCTTGAACATACTATAAAGCATTATGTTAAAGGCCTTGCTGCTAGTTCCAATGTCTGGGTGATCTCAGGGTTCCTGGGTTCCTTTCTCTGGGCAGTTTTTTTCTTGATTGTGGATCACATTTTCTCTCTTTTTGACATGTCTAATAATTTTTGTGTGTATACTGATCACTGTGAATGCAACCTTGTAGAGACCCTGGTTCTGTTATCTTTCCCTGAGGGTGTTTATTTTTCATTACAGCAGGGAGTTCACTTGGCTGGAGGCATATCTCAATGTGTTTCCCCTGGAATCTCTGCTTAGTTCTTTCCGTCTGCTGACTGTTGCTTTCACTGGGTCCTTCGGTGCCTCTCTGTGCATGCACATTTCCGGGGCAGCCAAGGATCTGGGCAGAGCTTACATGCGTACTGGGGAGTCCCTATCTGTGGCTATGTATTTTCTAGAATTTATCCCCTCACATTCCAGCTGCTTTGTCAATTCTAAACTCCATCTTACAGCTCCTGTGACCAGCACGTCTGTGGCTTCCTGCCTGAGATCCACTCACCCTTTGAGGCAAGGCCTGGGATGGTGCCCTCAGAGGGAAGCCACCTGCACACACGTCTCACCCAGTGCCATTTTCTCCCTTCGAGCGTGGAGTCCCCAACAGATTCTGTCTACTATCCATTTCTCCCAAGTAACTTCAAAGAGCTTAAACATTTTCCCCTAGAATTTATAGTTATTATTGATAGGAGTGTTAGAATGAAATAAACCACACCACCATTACTAAAAGACCTTCC
The DNA here is from genome assembly GCF_000001405.40 of Homo sapiens. Classification (NCBI taxonomy): domain Eukaryota; kingdom Metazoa; phylum Chordata; class Mammalia; order Primates; family Hominidae; genus Homo; species Homo sapiens. The sequence goes on along the minus strand of NC_000020.11, from coordinate 61,780,608 downwards.
AATTTATTATTGCCAGGTACTGTATCCCTAACGTAACAATCTTCCTAATGACCATGAAGGGCTGACTAGCAGAGGTAGGCACTAGGGCCGTGTCCGTCATTCTCACTTAATGAGTGTTTAACGACATGTGTGCTCCTCAAGGAGCTTTAGGTTTAGTGGGGGGTGCAGACAATAATTACCGACGAAACAGTGTCAAAAACTCTGCCACAGTAGCAGGCAAAGTGGGTGCCCTGGCCCCTTGGGAAGGCCTCTGATGGGTCCTGAGAAGTAGGGAGTTCTCAGAGCAGGTAGGGAGTAGCCGGGCTGAGGGGAGTGTTGGGTGCACCGGGAAAACCCTCCAGGCTGAGGGGGGAGCTTGTGCACAGGACTGCAGGTGACCAAGGCTACGAGCCAGTCTGGAAGCTACGAGCCAGTCTGGAAGCTACGAGCCACCAGCACAACTGGAGCTTGCTGTGCCAAGGGGTGGCATGAGCTCATGAAACCTGTGGGGCAAGGTGAGCATTCAGGCCATCTCCCAAGGACAGTGGGAACCACACAGCCACATCCGTGCTTTGGAAAGGCCACCCTGCTTCCATGAGACAACGAATGACTGCCACGTGAGTCATTTGTACACACATGGATGCTTTAGAGTATTGGAAAGTGGGTGCTTAGGTGGACTCCGTGCTAATTATACTGCTAAGTTACCCAGCAAACATTCTGTAAAGATAACGTGGGGCTAAAATTCAGCTGGCCCCGCCACACGTGCTCACACATCCAATCAACTTTTATGGGGCCCCTGCCACGGGCCAGAGAGGGGTCTCCGGCACCTTGGCCGTGCATCTCGGGATGCAGACCCAGCTCGGGGCATCACTCATTTGCTGAAGCAGTCCAGAGCCCGTGCAGGGCAGCCATGTGCCCTTTCACCTCCATGCTCCCAAAGACCCAGCCCATCTCTGTTCACATAGAACGGTGTAAGTATTTGTGGCTGGATGTGAAGCAATGGGGTGTATGTGCACAAATGGGAACCGAATTTATCCAGAAGACGTGAAGGAAACGTTGCACTTCAATCCGCTTAAGCTCATTTGAGTTGTTCGGTGTAGGGGGCTGACTTGAGCCATCCTTTGTGAGCCATCTGTGGCTGCGCACCTGTGATTGTGCTTCTCTGGAAATGGCTCCTGTGTGTCTCCTCCGAGCGACCTAAGCACCTCGCAGGCTCCGCGACTGTGGAGCGACCTCCCTCCAGAGCCTTGTCTTCAGAGCTCTTTTCCTAGCTTGTCCTCTGGCAGGGGGGCCCGAGGGTTTGCATGACTTCTTGTCTTCTAAAATATCAACTGCCAAAATGAAAGGATTCGCACCCAGGAGCACCACGTTCCCCCTCATCACCTTCAGCTGATTCGCTGATTCCTGCAGTTGCCCTGGACAGCCTCTCAAGGGAACATATTGTGCATTGGTATTAGACTCAGCCAAGCAATAGATGCTCTTCTTAAAAGTTTCATTTTATCCTCATTCTGAATCTCGCCAGGAGTCAAACCTAACGTGTATGCTAGCCAAGCAAGTGGCGTTTTAAAACCCTTTAAGAATGTGCCTGTGTAGGTACCAGCCCTACAAGGGCCGAGGGACCAGGTTGTGAACTTCAGGCAGAATGTGGATTGCTTGGTGGTTCCTGAAGGCCACAGGAGAGCTCTATATCCTCTCTCCCCTGAAGCCCCAGTGCCCGCATGGTGCTTGGCACCATAGCAACTGCCCAAACTGTCCAGTCCAGAGCCAGAATTCTGGACCAGGGAGGGCGTCCTGCTAACCTTTTAAATGCTGCTCCCTCCTGCCATTTTCCCCAGTTCCCCTGGGGACATAAAGAAAAGTCCCTATCCAAGTTCCTGGAAAATCAGTTCGGTAACTGTGAGCGGCTTCCTCCCTCCTCTGCTTGAGAAGAAGGGACAGCCTGGGGTTCTGAGTGTTCCCTCCGCGGTGTGGGTACACCTCCTCACTCACCACTCACTTTAGACTGCGGTCTGATTCCAGTGGCAGAACCACCAGGCGTGGCTCCCTGCTTTGCCACAGATACCCCTGGCTCCACAGCCCCGCCAATTAGAGCCACCCCTTTGCTTTTCAGGGCTTTCCTCTCTACAAGTAGGTTACCTATTTCCCTCTGCGTGGTGCCGTTAGTGCTTAGGAAGAGACGTGATATTCCTTCCAAGGAAAAAGCCTGTAATTAACAGACTTTTTTTGGGGAAGAGTATTCTGCCTCCTCCTCTCCCGCTCGTTTTTTCGTTTAACATATTTTATCAGAATGAAATGCCTTAATGAGCGCAGAACTGCAGCTGATCCCAGCTGAACCTCAAAGCGCTCTGTGCTCAGCTTGCCGCCCCGCATCAGGCTGCATTCACCACCGTCTCTGTGATTGGGGCTTCTTCCAGGAGCCGTCTCCCCTACAACACTGCCAGGAAGCTCATCAGCTTCCTATAGATGGAAATGGGGACAGGAAAGCACCCCACAAACCACTGCCTGTGCTAGATAAGAATTCAATGGAAGATAGAGGGGAGGGTGGAGGGAGGGAGGTGGCAAACATGAACGTGTAGGAGTGTGTGTGTGAAGCAGAGTGGTATGTGCACATGTGTGCATGTGTGTATAGTGTGCACGTGTGTGTGCATGTGGATGTGTGTATAGTATGCACGTGTGTGCATGTGTGTATAGTATGCACGTGTATGCACATGTGGATGTGTGTATTGCATGCACGTGTGTGCATGTGTGTATAGTATGCACGTGCGTGCGCATGTGGATGTGTTTTTGTATGCAAGTGCGTGCGCATGTGGATGTGTGTTTTTGTATGCACGTGTGTGCGCATGTGGATGTGTGTTTTTGTATGCACGTGTGTGCGCATGTGGGTGTGTGTTTTTGTATGCACGTGTGCACGCATGTGGGTGTGTGTTTTTGTATGCACGTGTGTGCGCGTATGGGTGTGTGTCTTTGTATGCACGTGTGTGCGTGTGTAGACGTGTGTTTTTGTATGCACGTGTGTGCGCATGTGGATGTGTGTGCACATGCACTGAGTTCTTACATAATGACTTGGAGTCCATTTGGAAAAGGCAAATCTACAGAAGCCACAATGGAAATTCCATTTTCCGTTCACTAAAGGTCCATCTTTCCTGGCATTAAGCTCGGTTTGGATGCCCACTCCGCCTTCCTTTGGATGGAAGCTGAAGGGGATGCCCCTGTGTGAGCCACAGCGATACTTGCAGGGACTCTGAGAGCCAGGACAGGCAGTGCTAACGTTTCTGCCAAATTCCAACTGCTGGGCCATTTTGCAGGGTTAGCTGATGGGTGCCCAGCACAACAGTCACCACTGAGATCACGTCTATCACTCACTCACTCACTCATTCATTCCCTCAACAAATAGAGTGCCCACTGCATGCCAAGGGCTGTTTACAACACTAGGGGTACAGCCAAGATCCTTGTCTTCAGGAAGCCTCCTCTTAGAGAAGAAGTAAGTAGGTGAATAAAGACAGAAAATACAGCCAGTTCACACCAAGCACTATGGCGAACTGAAGCAGGGCAGAGGGTAAAGAATGATCTGGTTGGCGAATTACATCTGAACTGCTCACCCAGGGCTCCAGTGACTAGGGACTCCTTGGGACAGTGGGTTCATCAGGGAGGAAAGGACACAGGCTGATCTCATCTTTAGAAACCTGCTTCGACAGAGACCAGCTGTTCACCAACCATATTTCCCCCTCCTTCATGACACGGAGTTGGACTCGTTCCCCATGTCCCTTACAATTAGACGTGGTCATGTGACTGGGCTTTGGCCAGTGGCATGTAGGCACGATTGACGTATGCCACTTGTAAGCCTCGCCAGTCCCGAGACGCTCATCCTGGGTGGCTGAATGGCTGGAGCACAGGCCACCCTCGCCCTGCCCACCAACCTTCACAGTGAGCAAGAAATCGACTTAGGTTGGGTTCAGTTTCTGAAATGCTGCAGTGCAGCTCGTCAGCCCTAACACGCACCCACCTCACTGCCTCCTTCCGCTCACGGCCTGTTCTGCAGTGACGTTCTGGGCATGGAGGTGACCCTGCCTGCAGGGGCTGCTGGACGAGTCAGGGGATATGAGGAGCAGATGACAAAGTGGTTCCAAACCATAGCAAAGCCACAGACCCCAGAACAGGAGAAGCTGCCACTTCCTGGGTCGGAGATGCTGGGGGTGGTTTCCTGGGAGCACGGAATTTGCAGCTTTTCTCATTCTGACACCCAAAGCCAAATTCACAATTCCTCCCTGCACATTTCTAGTTTAGAAAGGTCAGCAGCAGACAGTCCTCAGGAGGCTGCACCTGCAGGGCCTGGAGAGCTCCCGGTGCCGGCTGCTCTCTCAGCCACACTTTCCAAGCTCGTGTTAATCAGAAGGGGCATATTTCCCTGCTGCAAATTGGAAAGCCATGTTCCCCATCAGGGCATTCAGATGTGGCGTAAGGTGGGCTCTCATGATGATGTCTTCCGGAGAAACGTTCTCATCAACAGGACAACTGGGCCCATCCTTACCCGAGCCCTCTGCTGGTCTGGGAGGATTTGGTCCTTTCATGGGGCCTGTCCCAGCCCACACTTCCTCAGCCACTGATGCTGCAGGAGGTCTTTCTCTCCACTGTCCATCAGGAGATGGTGTGTGGGGCCACACACAGCTTGGGGACCCTCCTGGGACAGGGGCTGTGCCCATGTGACCTCGCTCTTTCATGTTCCCTTTTACAAGCCTATCTGTGGAGCAGAGCTGAGGAAGAAATTCCCACCTTTCAGTCCTAGATCATCAGGCTGAGAAACTCCAAGAGCCAGGACAGCAGAATATCCCAGTTGTGCTAAGATAACAGAGATAACAGTCAGATGCCGCTGGTACCCACTCTGTGGTGTGCAAGCAGATGAGGGCCCTCAAATTCACTGCTCACTCACTCCACAAATAATGTGCCTACCCTGTGCCTGTGAGGGTGGCTTGGGCAGCCCTTTCTTGAGTTTCGGAAAAGTGTCTGATTGGCAGTTGTCAAATCATGGCCCATGGGCTAACCCAGCCCACTCCCTGTTTTTGTAAATAAAGTTTTAGTGGAACACGGCCAACCTGTTAGTTGACACATTGCCTGAGACTGCTTTCACACCACAGCGACAGAAGCTGTATGGTCACAATGCCTAGAATATTTACCACCTGGCCCTTCACAGAAAAGGTTTGCTGACCCCAGAGTAAGATCGATGACTGTCTACCAGGGGCAATGTGGGGGTGGCAGAAGCACAAGGCATTAAATAAGGTGGAAGAGCATGATGGAAGCCCGCTCCCTGTCTCGGTGACCTTCAGTCCTGATGACCTTCAAAGAGGAATCTCTGGTTGGTCCTCATGCCTCCAGCACACCCTTCAGCCCCTGCCCCACTGGCCTGGGTAACAAATCAGGGGCAGCCTTTGTTCTCTCACCTTATGCTTTTCTCTACAGTCAGCTTTTAGCCTGACAAACTATCCCAGTGATCAAACTGTGGTTTGGTATACAATCTCCTTTGGGGATAAACAGTGTGGCAATTCCTCAAAGTCCTAGAGGCAGAACTCCCATTTGATCCATAATCCCATTGCTAAGTGTACACCCAAAGGAACAGAAGTCATTCTCTTATAAAGACACATGCACGTGTATGGTCATTGCAGCGCTATTCACAACAGCAAAGACATGGAATCAACCCAAATGCCCATCAATGACAGACTGGATAAAGCAAATGTGGTACAAATACACCATGGAATACTATGCAGCCATAAAAAGGAACGAGATCATGTCCTTTGCAGGGACATGGATGGAGGTGGAAGCCATCATCCTTAGCAAACTAAAGTGGGAACAGAAAACCAAACACCACATGTTCTCACTTATAAGTGGGAGCTGAATGATGAGAACACATGGACACAGGGAGGGGAACAACCCACACTGGGGCCTGTGGGAGGGGTGGGGCAGAAGGAGAGCATCAGGAAGAATAGCTAATGGATGCTGGGCTTAATACCTAGGTGATGGGTTGACAGGGGCAGCAAACCACCATGGCACACGTTTACCTAGGTAACAAACCTGCACATCCTATACATGTACCCCTGAACTTACAATAAAAGTTGGAAAAAAAATGAATCACTTTGAGACGAATTTTAAGTCAATGACAACACAAGCAATGGCCGGATGCAAGAAATCCCGGCCCCAAGGATGGTGAGGTGGGCGCAGCATGGGGGCCACGGCACTGCCATTGGCATCGTCTCTAGCATCCGTGGTGGGCGGGAGGTTGCCCAGTGGGCCCAGGAGATGTGGGCCTGGGAAGCTCGCCCAGGATGGGGTTCCAACCCCTGGTGGCTTCCTTCAAGCCCTGAACTGCATTTCACAGGAAAATCTCCAAACCTGCCTGGCCCTCAAGGGGCATGGGTGGCCAAGGAAAGCTGAGCCCCTGACAGGGAAGAATGCAGCAGAGGCTGGGTGCTGAGGTGGGAGGGCCGGCTCTGTGCAGAGAAGGCAGGTGATACATTTGCAACCAAGTCACCTTGGCTGGGGTGTGGAGGCACACTGCATTCACTCATGCCAGAGTTTCTGCTATAAATAACCGGTCATTTTGGCTGCTCCCTGGTGGGGTCCCCTGGTGGCCGAGGTTAGGGATACAAAAAATTGGGGGGACCCTGCCTGGTGGCTGCTCTCTTCCTCCCATCTCTGCATTCCAAACGCACAGCCCAGCCTTCTGCATTGAAAGGAATGAGAAACAAAACACACTAAACAGCACAAAGAATGAGAATGACCCCTTAAGCACACTCTGGGGACCCTCATTTCCAAAGGGTGGGGTGAGGCTTTTCCACAACGGTTGGGAATTATTTAATGGAATTCTCGCCATCCTTTTATCAAATTGTTGCTCAGATTGGGCTGCAATTTTCTTCAAAGGGAAGAAGAAATTGCTCGTTGATGGCCTTGATAATAGAAACACAAATTTGTAAAATAAATTATTTCTGCGGTAAAAGCAATCTCGGGTGGCCTTGGGAGCTCGGGGACCAAGAACTTGCAGACAGACCGCGGCACGGCGCACGCTGGCCTCGGCGCAGGGATCGTCATGGCACCACCCCATCATCCGGGATCTTAGTCATCCATGGAAAGAAATGTGATCAGACCAAAGAAAGGGGTCAGAGGTCAAAGGCCACGACCCACGCCCCTGCCCACTGCTTCCACACACACAGCAGCCACTTGAAAGTAACCAAGAGAGAAATCACCCCTAACTCACAAAGGCCCATCCACCGCGGAGGACGCAGCTTCCCCGCCTGAATTTTTCATCGCGCTGTGTAAGGCTTATCTCATTACAGAAAGGGTGAAATCGCGACCTTCTCAGACACCAAACGCGGAACCCGCCCCTGGCTTTGGGATGTCGGGAGAAGAGCCTACTGCTAACGCCGAGACCCCCGTGCCCGCGGGAGGGGTCTGCACTCACCCTCACGAGCTGCTGCGGGAAGGGCCCGCGCGAGTTCTCGGGCACGTTGATGGGCGGGATGACCCAGTCCCGTTTGCGCCGCCTCAGCCCGTTGGCGTTCTGGTGCTGGGGCCACGGCAGCAGGGTGTCCTTCGGAGGCGGAGAGGGGTCCAGAGCCACGACCTTCTTTCCTTTCTGCGGCTTTATTTGGAAAGGGGAGAGAAGAGGCAGAGAAGTCCAGTTAGGTTTTGCACAGAGGAAAATGGCATCTGCTAAGATGATCTGTACTGCCCGAGACTGAGAGGGAAGGCGGGTAACGCTGGGACAAGGAGCTAAGCGGGAAGGGCGGGATAACGCTGGGAAAGGAACTATTAGGGAAAAAAAAAAATCAAGTGAGACCCCCATCAATATGATGAGACCGATTACAAAATTAAATGCGGGAAAAAGAAACCATAAACAAAGAAGAAAATATAGTGGACAATGTCACCAATAGTGTAGACAGGGCTTTTTAAGCTCACCCCAAACAATGCAAGAGATCACAAAAGAAAAGACTAATACGTTTTCCCACAAAACTCCTGTTTATGAAAACAGACCCAAAAGGCAATTGACACATTTGGAAAATATGATTTACAACAATTTGACACAAGGTTAATAGTCACCATATAAAGCACTCTTAGAAATAAAAAAATCAAATGGAATGTTGTTTCCAAACAAGAAAAGGACATGAATAGATAATTCACAGCAAAACAAATATAAATGATCAATAAACTTATGAAAAATATCCACATCTCCCAGTAATCAAATAATGCATATCTAAGTAATATATCCTTTTTACCTGTCAGATTGACAAGGCTGAGCGAAATAAATCTGCAACACTGGGGGTGCGCAGTGAGTCAGTGGGTGGAGGCTGATGGGAGTCAGTGGGCGGAGGCTGACGGCTGAGGGTGTGGGATTTGGCCTTGGACCCCACCTGTGTGTATGTACAAAAGCTCATGTGACGTGGGGCAAAGTGCCTTCATCTCTCACAATCCTGGGTTCTTCTCTGACAGAAGGGAGATAGTAGCAATGGCCCTGAGTTTAGGGACTGCTATGGGAATGACATCAGATGACAATGAGAAAATGCCCAGCCCATGCTTAGCATAGGGCCCAGGCTGTCAGGACTGACACTGATGCAGCTCCTGCTGCTGGGTCCCCGCGGTCACTCAGCACAGCCCTCTGCCTCCCAGTTGCCAGTGACTATCAAGAGCCTCAAAAAGGACGGTCCCTTTTGATCCAGTAACTCCACAGCTGGAAATCTGTCCCCAGGAAACTCTAGGTGGACCAAAGTCCTTATAGACAGATGTTTACTTTGGATGTTTTTTAAACAAGTAAAAATACCAGAGCACAAATCTGAATGTCTGACAGTGAATTCTAAACGCATTACACTGTGTTCATGTCTTGGAATATTATAATCATTAAAAGTTACTCTTTTAAGACTGACATGAAGAAATGCCCATAAAATATTAGTAAGTGGAGAAATAGCACCAAAGCATACATACAGCATCAACTGCACCTGCATTTTTTCCTTTTTTTTTTTTTTTTTGAGATGGAGTCTCACTGTGTCATCCAGGCTGGAGCAGTGATACGATCTTGGCTCACTGCAACCTCTGCCTCCTGGGTTTAAGTGACTCTCCTGCCTCAGCCTCCTGAGTAGCTGGGATTACAGGAGACCGCCACCACATCTGGCTAATTTTTGTATTTTTAATAGAGATGGGGTTTTGCCATGTTGGCCAGGCTGCTCTCAAACTCCCGACCTCCGGTAATCCGCCCGTGTTGGCCTTCCAAAGTGCTGGGATTACAGGCATGAGCCACCATGCCCAGCCTCAACTGCATTTTTTTAAAGGATAGAAAAAGAGCCTGGGTGTGGTGGCTCACGCCTGTAATCCCAGCACTTTGGGAGGTCAAGACAGCTGGATCACCTGAGGTCAGGAGTTCGAGACCAGCCTGGCCAACATGGTGAAACCCCATCTCTACTAAAAATCTAAAATTAGGCAGGTGTGGTGGCACATGCCTGTAGTCCCAGTTACTTAGGAGGCTGACACCGGAGAATCACTTGAACCCGGGAGGTGGAGGTTGCAGTGAGCCAAGATTGTGCCATTGCACTCCAGCCTGGGGAAAAAGAGCGAAACTCTGTCTCAAAAAAAAAAAAAAAAAGAAAAAAAGAAAAAAGAAATGTAAGAAAATACATGAAAATGCACACACTGGTTTTCTCTGGTCACCAGGGAGTTCTGTTATCATATTTTACTTCCTTCCTTTTACCTTTCTGTGTTTTTTTTTTTTTTGAGACGGAGTCTCGCTCTGTCGCCCAGGCTGGAGTGCAGTGGTGTGATCTCGGCTCACTGCAAGCACCGCCTCCCGGGCTCATGCCATTCTCCTGCCTCAGCCCCCTGAGTAGCTGGGACTACAGGCGCCCGCCACCACGCCCGGCTAATTTTTTGTATTTTTAGTAGAGACGGGGTTTTACCGTGTTAGCCAGGATGGTCTCGATCTCCTGACCTTGTGATCCTCCCGTCTCAGCCTCCCAAAGTGCTGGGATTACAGGTGTGAGCCACCGCGCCTGAACCCTTTCTGTGTTTCCTAAACGTGATAGTGCACATGACTCCTGCGGCTGACAGCGCCAACAGAACGTCACGCGTATATGCGGCGTCCATGCGTCTGCCACATCGGGGCCAGTGCAGGGTGCCCACATGGCATGGCATGCCTCTCCAGTCTTCGTGGTTGATGCTCATTTTATCTGAATTGCAGAGGCAGTAGGATATGAGAGTTCACGTGGTGGAGAATGGACCTTGCACCAGGGCAGCCCAAGGCAGGGAGGACAAAGCTGGCCGGGAGGCATCTGACCACAGGCTGCCCCTCCAGGCAGTGGGGGTCCACACCACCATTTGCCTCAATTAATAAAACCCAGGAGGCTTCCATGGGGCGCTCCCAGCCTTCCTTAGAAAGGAGCCATGTGAGGTGCAAACATGGAGACCCAGGGGTCTCGACTTCAGCCCCTCATGATGACAAGGGGCGGGGGCTTTTCTAGGCTCCTCAGGGGCCTTTAAAGAGCTTCCAGGACAGTCCTAGCTGCACATTCTCCCCGGAACCCAGCACAGACAACTGGACTCCATGCTTTCCTCGCCCAGACCAGTAGCCTGTGCCTCATAGGTACTGAATGTCCGATGAGCAGGACAGCAGGACTCTGCATCTGGCCCTTCCACTGAAGACATCCCACCTGTCCTCCAAGACCTAGCCCCAGACAGATAGCACCTCCCTGGGAGCTGGTCTCTACCTTGGGGATATGACAATTTATGTTGATATGCTCTAAGCTTTGATGAGAAAGACCAGATTAATCCCACTGCTCAAAGTGGCTTGAAATAACGCCAACATAGCCCACAGGAACAATGGTAATAGATGTGGCGTGCACTCAGGTTCCAGGCTCCAGGCCAAATGCTGTTCCAGGTAGTCTCCCCATAAGTCCTCCCTCTCACCAGTTCAGCGGGGAGCACCATCATTCCCACTTTCCTGCCATGCGAGGCCAAGGCACTCATGAAGCCCATGCAGCCCGTTCAGCAGAGGCAGGATTCGGACGCCAGGAGTGTGACCCCAAGGCCAGAGCACCTGAAAGTGCCACCTCTCCCTTCTGTGGTCTCTGTTTGTGAAGTCGAATCCCCTTTGCTGGACTTCAGGAAGGTCCTGGACTGGGCGGAAATCGATCTTCCCATGGAACAGATGGGGAACCAAGGGAAAAGGGGGTCTCAGTGATGTTTCCTGCACCCACCCGGGATGTGTTCCATAAATCCCAGACTGGGGAGAAACAGGTCTGAGCTCCCAGGCTGGTCCCAGGACCAGCAGCTCAGTGCCCTGTGGAGCTCATTAGGAATGCAGGTTCCTAGGTCTCACCTAAGACTTAACAACTCTGGGGTGGGGCCGCCAACCACGCCTGATATGTTCTGCAGTTGGAGAACAGGGCGTCTCCCAGCCCACAGGCAATTGGGGATCCACCTCTGGAGAAGGGTGGTGGAGCATTATTTTTGTGCCTGCACGAGGGCAGGCAGCCTGGACAGATCTCTCCCAGATGAGGGCGAGGGGAGCCTCTGGCACAGCCACTAGCAGGGGCCCTCTGGGCATCTGCAGCTCCCCCGCATCTCCCAGCGGGAGACGGAGGCAGAGACTGGCTGGTCTCTCCCGCCTGGTGGTGCTTCAGAACCAGCAGCAGCTCACCAGGGCCCTCTGAATCTCAGACTCTGAGTTTTAAAGGGTTTCCATACAGCCGTTTTTTAAAAAAATCCTTCATTTTCATTTGCTTAGTATGAGCTTGTATGGCGTTAATTTCCCTAGTGTTGTTTAAATAAATTGCACATATTTGCTACTATTTTAAAGCTGTGAGACAAATGTAATAACAAAATCTGGTGAAAATCAGTGCCAGACCTGTGCGGGCTTCTGCCTGGAAGATGCGCCCGCTTCCCTGGAAGAAAATGTCAACCACAATTAGCACTCACCCTGGTCGAACAAGCATGTTCTTTTGAACACGCAGTCATCTTGGGCCCATTCAGAAGACATCACATAAACACTGATGCATAATTATACTCACTGAAAATAATGCTTCCAGTTACACTTAAAAATATTTTCTAACAGATGACACCTGCTGATTTTCCCTGGTGCCTGTTTTTCTTCTGTATTTCGGAGTGAATGAAGACTGAGCATTGGGTAATGACTTAAGGGTGACCTCTACTACACCATTACCAGAAACTAGATAGTACACATGCGCACATGTGTATACAGGCGCTATGCACACATGTATGCATGCATGTACGCACATGCACATATAGATATATATGAATGCACACGTCAAATATGCACAGATGTATGGGTGTATGACTACATGTACACACATGCACAAATGCACATGTATGAATACATGTGTGTTTATGCATTCTACACATGCACAGGTACGCATTGCTTATGTGTGTTTGTGTGTCTGTGTGTGTGTGTATAGAGCACATCACAACTTTCTCAAAACCAACAGCCCAGCAGCAAGATATCTTGGCCGTACCCACTCCCCGCATCCTGACAGTTTAGCTCAAGCTAGAAGTCCTGTAACTAGCAGCGTCCAGGAGGGTCCTGGTGGCTGAGCTGGTCTTTGGGGTCCAACCAAGCTCGTGCCTGCAGATCTGCAGAATCAGGAGCTCCAAGGCAGCCGCCCACTGTCGCCTCCATCCACTCACGGACACCTGGGAAGATGCATGAGGGGGCAGCTTCCCGGAGCTGCTGCAGCCTGCAGGATGGCTCCCCAGGGATGTTTCATGGAGCCGTCCTTGACAGGATGAGACCTGGGCTGTGGTCCTACTTTTATCTCCCATGAGTGTTTCTGGGCCTGGAAACTGGCCCTGTGGCCAGGGCCCTGCCCAGGGCTGCAGTGTCCCATACCCCACAGTTCCCCTCCTGTGCTCCCTCCTCTTCCCTGTGCCTTTGACTCTGCCCTGCTTCAGCCCCACTGGGCTCCCTGATGCACTCTCAGCTCCCTCAAAGCCCTGCCTATAGGACAGTGGGCAGGAGCGGCCCAAAGCGCCCACTCTGGCCTCCAGCCTATAGGGTTTTAGCTCACCCGCCAGGTGCTGGGGACCAGACCTCCACCTCCACCGCCCAAGGCCCTGCTCCTGCCCCTCTCTCTGCCTGGGCGCCTCATCCTCATGCCAGGCTCAATCTACAGCGCCTCACCTGGCAGGCCACACTCCACACGGCAGGGAACACCTGCTCTGGTGCCACCCCGGACCTGCTACTGCCCCGGGGGCTGTGCATCTTTTCCTAGTCCCACACGTTAGGGAGGTACCACAGCCCCGGTGGGGGCAGCAGGGCCCTGATAGCCACTCACTTTCTATGGAGCAAACTCAGTGGACAGACTTAAGCCACTGCATCCACACAAAGTTACTGATGCCACCCTTGAGCCAGGAGACGACAAAGCAAATGGCCCTCAGCCTGTCTCCTGCATGCTCATGTGGGGGCGGGGTGCAGCCATGACCTCAGGGACACCTTCCTGAGTCCTGCACGGGCCCGGGCCCTGCCCAAGTGACTTCCCAGACACAGTCTCATTTAGTCCTCAGGGCAGCACACAGAGGACATCAAGCTCAAGGGATGAAGCCCCGCTCAAGCTTGGAAGGCCAGGACTGGAGCCCAAGCTGTCTGACCTGTGGCCCACCATCTTGATGGGCCCATCCCACCACTTCCCACAGGGCCCACGATTGGTGCAGAGTCAGAATCAGGCAGGAGGTTCAAACTGGCACCAAGTCGCACACAATCAGTCCACTGGGGACTTGGGGACAGAAATACTCATGGTGGGTATTATATCTCGGTCAGGGCACTGAAGGGTGAATAGGACTTTGCCAGGCAGGACGGGCCAGGAAGGGGGCACAGACAGTGGCACAGGACAGTGTGGATGCCTCAGAAACCAGGCAGACACCACCATTATTTGGGGCCTGGAAGGAAAGCAGGGTGGGGGCGTCACAGGCTCCGAGGTTAACAGAGCTGCGTGGAGCATGGCTTTTCTCTCCACTGCTCAAGTCAGGATTTATTTCATCCCCGATCTCAGTCCCTCATCTGTGAAAGGGGGATGATCAGGAAGCCCCCCTGCCAGGTGTGGGGTGAATGTGGTACTGTCTAGGGAGCATTGACAGACATGGGGACCTTCAGCCCTGCTGTCGGAAGAAACCTGAGAAGGGGCAGAGCTGGGGGTGGAGCTCCTAAAAGCTGGGCAGGACTTCCAGAGGGCAGAGAAGGAGAGGGCAAGACTCCTGCAGCCTGGAGGCTGGGCCAAGGGGGGCCTAGGATGAGCTCTGAGTGTTCAGGGGCTAGGGCTGGGGGGCAGGCGAACTCGGGGTGTCCCACAACCCTTATATTCCAGGAAGGGAAACTGAGGCCCAGGCCAGTGGAAGAATTTGTCCAAATTGCCTGGCTAGGGAGAGCTGGGGCCAAGTGGCGAGGGAGACTGAGGGTGGGGTAGGGAGGGGAGGGTCAGGGACTGCTCTGGTGAGGGCACCGTGAGCAAAGTGGGCTCCTGGACCCAGACCGAGGGGCCTGCCAGGGAGGGAGGTGTGGGCCCAGGCTCCTTCCTGGGTGGCCTAGTGGGGTCCTAGAGAACCCAGGGCTGGGCCCAGCATCCGCGGTCCCTCTACCCTACCCATACTTTCCTCCTGGGAGCCAATCCCAGAGGCGCGGGGGTGGGCCTAAGGGTCCAGCTGGCCAATCAGAGTCCGGCATTCCACCTGGCCAGGTGACTGCTCCAGGGAAGGCAGGTGACCCCAGCAAGTGACTTTCCCGGGGCTGCTGGAAGGGGTGGGCTCTCCTCCCTGGATGAGGGTTTGAGATGGGAGGGTGGGAGCCCTGCCAGTCCCCTTGCCCCCACAGGCACCTGGGGCTTTGGGCCTGGCCTCCAGGCCGCCCAGGTCAGCCCCTGCCTTCCCCTTCCTGACTCCTGGCCCCGGTCTTGCTGTTCCTGAAATGTGCCACGCCCAGGCTGGTCCCTACCAGGACAGGCTCCTCAGAGTCTGTTCACACTCGGCCTCCTTGGCCTGGACAGCAACCTGGAGACACCGTCCTCCTCCTCCTCCTCCTCTTCCCTGCTCTCCTTACGCCCTAAGGCTGCTCTGCTGCAGCTGAGCTGAGAGCCCGGCCTGTCTGTTTGCAGATGACATCTGTGAGCCCCACAACTGTGGCTTCGTGGCTTCAGCTACCTTTCCTGGGACAGACCCCAGGGTGAGTCCCTGGCCTCAGTATCATGTACAGCCATTGACTGGCTGGGGATGGTGGTCCATCGGTCGAACAGAGCCCAGGGGTGGGGAGATTCTGCAGTCTGGGGCATCATCAGAGCCTGGAGCAGTGTGCCCCAGATGCCTGGTAAATGGTGTCACCACTCCCGCCTCTTACTTACACGAGGCTGTGGGAGGTCCATCCTCGGGACCCCTCCGAGCCCTGAGCGGCCAGGAGTGGCAGCAGATGAACTTGTCTAGGGGCCCAGTTTCCAAGGTCAGAGCCTACCTGCCCAGTGCTGAGCAGGGACAGGGCCATTTCCTCAGGGGGCAGATGAAGGGTGTGGGGGCCTGAGGCTCCCAGGGATGTGTCTACAAGGTGCAGGTGACTCTAAACCTGCCTGCTTCTTAATCAGCTTTTATTTACAAAGTGCTTCTCATTTCAGATCGCCTCTCCCCATTAAGCCCTAATCAACTGTGCTTCCTATGGAATGCATTCTGCTGATCCTACTGTAAGATGGTGATTTACGGAGGCGGCAGCAGCAGAAGCCTCCAGGCACGGGTCCTAGTGCTGGGCCCTGCGACCTGCATGAGGCTTCCCTGCTGATGGAAGGGGCTGGTGAGCTCTGTGCTCCGGAGCTACGTGGATGCCTGGGATGTGGGCAGCAGTGGGGATAGGAGTGATGTTAGAAGCCGAAGGCTGGGGCGCCTTGGGGAGCGGAAGCTTCACTTTACATCTGGGGAGGAAGGTGCTGCAAAACTGCCACTGATGGGGCGGATGCACGACAAAGCCCCATGCATAAGTGGAGCTTGGCTTTTTAGAGATAAAATGACAGCCTGGGCTCCAGTGGGCTGCTCGGGGGGCCCTGCGCGGAAGGTGTGTTCACTCTCCACCCATGGCTCGAGGGGTCTGGGTGGTCTCATGGTCTTTCTGGATGAACTCTTCTCCAGCCCCGGGTCTCTCTGTACAGGCTTCCTGGACCAATCTCAAATACAGGCATCCTCTCTCTTCCCAGGGATACAGTCACCAATCCCTCACATTCAAGAATACATAAATTGTGATTCAGGGGAAGTGATGAGAGGTAAATGAGCTTAAGAGACAAAAGGAAGGCACACAGACAAAGACAACTTCCGTTCGACTGGAAGTCGGTGGCCCCGGGGTTCACGGGCAAGGTGCATGTTGAGAAAACCACACTAGCCCCCAAGTCCACACCTGCACCCTGCGGCGGCCTGTGCTCTCCCCAGGGCCGGATTCTGCCCTGCCGGCTTCTTGGGGCCACAATATTTTATTTTCTTAAGCTCCTGGCAGCCCTGCTCCCCGCCTGGGTCTTGCTCTCCTGTCTGTGTGATGAGGCTGTAACTGGCTGTGGCTGCAAGGTGAGGTCTCCAGGGACAGCTCAGTATCAGCAAAACTCGGATCATTTCCCTCCCCTCATCACTCGCAAGCGAGAGACAAAGAATGCAAAACTGACCTGGGGCAGGCTTTACATGATCGTCTTTTTCTGTTTTTTTGAAAAAGAAAAAAACAGTGTTAAGGAAAGAATATAATCATATGCACCTCCCAAGCTACATGCGAAAAGTTATCATTTGTTATATTTTTTATTCTCGAATCCACGCATCTGTTAGGAGCCGGGAATTATGAAGAGCCAAGGAGGAACCCTGGCTTTTAAGTGAAGGGAATGCTAAAACACTCAGAGGTGAAGCCACATGGGGGAGGGCAGCCACCAAGACCCGGCTTCCATGCAGAAACTCCCAGAGTGCCTTCCATGGAAGACGAGGGGTCTTTCCCCACAATCGTGGTCTGGCCGGGGCATGGGAGCTGGTTCACAGGTGAATGGTGATCAACTATTGTAACATTTCCTTGTGGTAGAGATGCAGATAGCAGGTCCCACTCCAGACCCTCTGGACACATTGCATGAGGCTCTCTGCAGGGTGGACGAGCTCCCTGGGAATCCTGAACTGAGCACCGGCTCCGCAGTGCCGTAGCCATTGCGTGAAAATGCCTCCCAGAGGCACAGATGCCAGAGCAGTCCTCTTGAATAGATGGGCTGAGATGGGGTGGACCTGATCAAAACCCCAGCGTGGTGCAGATGGAAGAGGGGAACAGGGCCTGGGTTCCCTGAGCATGGGTTATTAGTTGTGGGGGGCCATCTGATGCTCCTGCCAAGTTCAGTGAGGAAGAGCGAGCATCCCTTGTCCTAGTCGAAGTCATTACCCTCAAGAGATGGCAAAAACATGGAAATTGCTTCAAATTCCCTGACACCAGATCCGTGGTATATTTCTAAGGGAAGCCGGCAGCCCCGACCTTTGGCGATAGGTCACAGATGGCGGTGGTGGCATCCCTCACTTGTCATCCCGCCCAGCGGCCAGGTCCTGCACTGATCCTGCTGGACATGTCCTTAGCATCTGAAGTGCCCCACAGTGTTGAGAAAATGGCATGGCACAAGTCCACCTGATTCCACAAAAGCATCTATGGGAATGTTTTCAAATCAGTTTCTGCTGGGACATGACCTCTGGTCACCGTACTGGCTGTTGCCATGGTCAAGGTGCTCTGTGTCAGCTTGTTGGGGTGCACCTGTCCCCCTCCTGGAAAGGTGTAACTGCTGGCTCTCATTACCCAAGAAAGTGGCTCTTTGGGGAGGTCCCCATGCCACTGGATTTCTCTGATAGGCAGCATAGCCCTGTGAACCCGCAATGCTGAGAGACAAGGCTTCTGTAGCTGCAGAGCCTGGGGGTCCGATTTGTATAAGCAGATAAACTAGACCCAGTGTCAAGGAACGGTGAGAGGACACAGAGGGGATTGTGCTTCTTCACTTCCCTGATTTTGCTGCCTCTCCTTGTCTTCCAGGCTGGACAGAGTGCAGTGGGAGCCATTCCACCAAGGAAGAGAAGAATATTTGCAACAGCCCCGAGCTGGGAATTCTGCTGGATCTGCTCCACACACCCCTGTGAGCCATGTGGGGAAAACAGAGCCCTCCTTTTCTGTGAAGATAAAAATAGAGGTGGCAAATGTCTCCAGAAGTGGAAATGTGGGTGAACAGTGGGTATTGAAGATGGTTTTTGGTGTGAATGAGAAAGTTAATCATCATGAGAGAATTCAGCTCAGAGAGCAGAACTTTTTTACATACCAGATGCTGGCCAGTCCCGCTGTGTGGTCACGTCAGGCATAAGATGCATCTAACTTGTGGATTTCATTCTGTTTCCAACATGCCTCGTGACTGTGTAGAATGGTGATGGGCACAGAACAGATCTCGGAGGTGTCACTAGAGAGTGCCTACGAAACGGTCTTACTCTGACTTGGGGAAGTCCACCACCTGCAGACTGGATGGCCCAGGGAAACAGCGCAGGGGAGCTCCTGCCTCCTGGCCTATCCCCACAGCAGAGCCAGGTGGGCCCTGGGGTGGCCTTGAGGCTGGACTGGCTGCAAAGGCAAAGCATTGCAGCTTTTCCTTGCGCCCAGCCCTCTAACCTGGTCCTGCTGTGCGGAGCTGCCTGCCGTGCGGCGCTGCCTGCTGTGCGGAGCTGCCTGCTGTGCGGAGCTGTCGGCATGGCTTATGAGGATGCTCCATGCACTGGAGCTTCCTGTGAGAGGAAAGGTGCTCTGTCTGGGGATGCAGGGAGAAGAGCACTCTCAGGATGGAAGGTTCTGGGAGCTCTGAAACCCTATGTAGGTCCCGGAGCCCTGCTGAGGCCACGGCGTCTTCTGCGCGTTATTCACTAACAAAATCCGCGCTCACCCCTCTGTGCACTGCAGTCCCAGCCACCCAGCACCTCTGTCCCCAAAGCCACCGGCCTTTGACTTTGTCTAGCCTCAGGCTCCCGGGTGTTGGCAGCTTCTCCTGTGGCAGTGACCACGGACCCATGGCACCACCTCATAGTGCATTTTCGGCTCCTGTTTTGCTGAACGTTCTAATGTTTGGGTAAATATGTGGCTGACCCCAGCCACACACACACCACGTCTTAGAGTCTAGTGCTCCAAGACTATCGATTGCATAGGAGTCTGCCGTGGAAATGAAACATCTGGGGAAGGACCGGCCATGCCTGCATTATGAACGTACATTGCTCTGTTGGAACAGGGAGGATACGATTTCTTCCCCAAATATCAATTCTATTTATGGCTCTTTTCAATCTCTCTGATTCGCAGTCTTCCTGTTCTCATTGCTTCCTTATAGCTTTGGGTTAAACATGCTTCAAAAGGAAATTATGTGAGCCCCCCTCCCCTAAATGTCAAACCTAGTACGGATATTTACTGAGGATGATTAGATTTCTTTTAAAAAAGGGGGTGCCCTAAATCCTACACAGAGTTCATTCCTCTACCTCCTATTTCCTTTTCGGTGTACCTTTGAGAAAGGGTCCATTTTGCTTCCCCGAAAACATGTATATTTAAAATATTTAACTAGGATATTGTCTGCAGCCTTCTAGCTGGTTTCCATGGTAGCTAAGGATGGACGGAATAAAATGGTATTCAACAAACACACACTAAAACAACAGAACAATATCTACATTCTTTCACAAATAGAACATGTGAGCCATTGTAAGTCAGCATTTGCATGAGTTTCATTCCGAAAAGGCACTTAGTGGATTTTTTTCTTACATCAATGACACCAGTAGGGGCCAAACCCACTCTCCCTGCCCCACGAGCACCACCGAATTTCTTACTTCTGATCTCTCATAAAAAGGCGACATCATTTTGAAAATTCCCATAGAAATAATACAAGGAAAGGTTTCCTGAACACAGTCGGGCAGTTATTTCTTCACTGTGTCCATTTGGAAGGAAAGCCTCAGCAGGGAGGCTCATGGCTTGCTGCCATGGTGTCGGTGCACCGAGGTCTGGGCTCAGTGCCCCCAGGATGGAGTAGGGGCGGGAAGCCAGCACCTTCATTTTTACCCAGGGAGGTTGCACGACCTGCCCAGCGTCATGCTGCTGTCCTCTGGAGGCCAGTTGGAACTCAGGCCATGGCCCCTGGAGCCTGGGCTCTCAGCCCTCACCGTTCCTCCTCTCACAGGACACAGAGCATGGAGGATCACCCAGCACGCTGCAGTCCTGGGACCCCTCTCCCCGCGCACCTGTGGGCAAAGCCGGAGCCTGGGCTATGACTTCTGAGGGCCTGGGCTGTCCTGGGGGAAAGTTTAGAGTTGGTTCTTTAGGCAACTTGTAACAATTACCATCACCCCGTGGAGGGGTTTCATGTTGTTCCTAATTAGCCTCACAAACCACGTAACCACCACGTTTCTCTGGATGAAGATCTCAAAGCCACCCACCCCCTCCCCCTACCCTTCAGCCTTGCCTCCCACCAAAAGCGAAGATACAGAAGGATAAGGAATTGTGGCTGACAAGAGAGCAGGTGGCATGTGTGTTCTGATGTCAGCCTCTTTAAGGGTGTTGATAAGTATTTCTGTCTAGCAGAAGAAAGGAGGTTCCAGAATGTTCTGGTACAAAGAGATCCGGACAAGCTACCGAGCTTGTGACCTCGGTCCTGGCCGGGCTGCACCCCTGGCTTTAGACCAGGTTTCTCAACCTCGGCATTCCTAACACTTTGGGCTGAATCCTTCTTTGTTTGGGGCGTCCTGGGTTCTGTAGGATGCTGAGCAGCATGCCAGGCTGCACCCAACTCACGAGCAACCCCACTGTGGTGACAACCACAGGCGTCTCGGGTCTCGCCTAGTGCCCTGGCTGAGAACAACTTGCTCTAGAGAATCAGGAAAATTATGTTTAGTTAGAAACACCTTAAACAAAATTACCCTCCAGTTTATAGAAAAATATATTCATAGTAAAAAAAAAATTAAATTAAATTAGCAAGTTAAGGGAAAATGTATTACTTTTTCCCAGAGTCATTAGTGGTGGAACTGAATGAAATCGTTCATATTTTGTGCATTAGTGAGAAAGATGGTCGGTGCCATCAGCGTGTGTGATTCGGGAAGACGTTGGTGAGGACCGCGATAAACGCTCCATCCAGAGCCCTGGCGCCCAGACCCTCAGTGACATGTCCTCTGAAGAGTCCCCTGGGGACCTCCGGCTTCATGGATCTGTCGTCCACCATGTGGCGTTTCAGTCTCACAGACACCCCTGTTCTTGCTGGGAATCTTTCTGCCAGCTACAAAAGACTGTGTCCATGACCCCTTTCTCACTGTTTTCACAAAATCCTTCTCCAGAACCACAGAGGGTTTTATTTTTAACCAAATATTAAATGAGAGCCATGGCCTTGGAGTGAAACACAAACGTATTGGTCTGAGAAGTCTGCCTTCAGTTTTACTTTCATCACCTGCAGGAGGGCAGCACTGGCCCCTCACAACTCTGCTTGGGGGGCTCTGAACAGGCTCCCCAAAGTGTGTATATAGACGTGTGTGCGCACACATGCATGCACAAATATGCACATGCGTGCACACACATCCCATGTGCGAACGCACACATGTGCACACACATATACTCACAAGTGGGCATACACGTGCACACCCATGTGCACACCCATGCGCACATGTGCACACTCATATACATGTGTACACCCATGCACACAGGTGCACACACACACCAGCTCTAGTCGAGAGCTAACGGCCCAAGCAGAACCTGACTGTGCTAGAAGCTGAGACGCTGGAGGGCCCGTGTGCCTGCCCCGCACCACGCCTGTGCGCCCTCTCAGCTCCCAGCCTGCACAGGCCTGCAGGGGAGGCGGGCAGGTGGGCTCGTCCCCCGTCAGGAGGCCAAGTCTTGGACTGACTGGCCCAGACAGACATGGAGCTGGGGTTAGAGTGGCCACGGCTCAGGGGGACCGTCACTGTACATGGGACGCGGTGCCACGTGCAGTCCTGAGGTCATGCCCTCAGGACAACTTCACGGACCTCGTGGTCCTTATTTTGCAGACGGATCAGAGACATCCTTGGCTGGGAGGTGGGCAGAGGCAGATTCACCCCGGGGCTCTCTCTCAGTGCCCCTCTGCCCCTAACTCCTCGTGGCAATTCTGGGAAAGCCCTTGAGCCTCCGATTGCGTCAGGACAGACAGCAAATGAGTCAACCATGCAGAACGTACAGCCTATCCACAGCACCACAATACGGGCAGGGCCCAGGGCCCGAGGCAGAGCACACATCCCACAGTGGAGCACTGAGTAATTACGTTGTGACTGGGGCTGGCCTGGCTTGGCTCTTTGCATCTGCTGTTCCCTCTGTCTGGAACACTCCTCCCACGGGAATTTTTTCACGGCTGGCTTCTTCCCATACATCACCTCTCAACTTGGATGTCAACATCCTGCACCCCTGGATGAAACAGCGCCTCTACCCTCTGTCCACCTGTCCCGGGGCTTGGTACCCCTCACCTGACTCTGAATGTGCCTGCACAGCATTTGCCAAACCGCATCTGCCACATGGACACCTGGCCTGCCTGCCCCGAGAGAAGGTAAGCTCGGTGAGGGCGGGGACCACATTGCAGCGTCCTCTGTCGTGTCCCCAAGTCTTAGAGAGAGCTGCTACACAGCAGTGCCGGGACACGTGAATGCCCAGCATCACTCCTGGAGTGAACAAAGACAGTGACTTCCAGATCTTCCCAGCCCATGGGACTCCAAGGTCCTCAGAGGCATGGCTACCACTCAGGTCCAGTCCTGTGGCCATGCCTCTGGGGTAGGAGGTGACACAGAGTCTGTACCACTCGCTCCTCCCTCCACGGCTCACGTGACCAGAGCCTCCCTGCCGGCATGGCCCACTTTTATCCCTGACACCCTCCACATGGCAGCAAGAATCTTCACCAAGCCACCTTCCAGGTCACCACGGGCTCAATCCCCTTCAGATCTTCTTGGGACAGTGACCCTGGCAGTGTCTGCACTGAGGTCTGCCCTTCTCCCACCAGGATGGCCTGGGGAAAATGACCAATAACCCATCAGATTTTGCTCCCTAGGGGGCTTCCCTGCCTGGTCCTGGGGAGTCTGGGGCCGCCCCTGCAGCTGACTGCCCCTGGGGCCCTGGGCACCCCTCTATTTACAAGTGAAGGGCTGGCCCAGATGTCGTTCAAGGCTGTTTGCAGCCTGAAAACACTGGCTAAGTTTGAACTTCTCAGGCCTGAAAGAAGCAAGACCAATTCCAATAGTCACTCCCGTCCTTCGCACCCATGAAGAGTTACAAGCTGCCGTTCCTTTGGGGTGCATTGGACGGCCATGAAACCTAATACTGACGGCCCACCACCCCCGAAACTCGAGCCCCCTGGAGGGGGCTGGGGGGGGGGTCTGTGTTCTGATGTGGAGAAACACGCGTGGAGATACCAATACACGCTCTGCTGAACCCAGGGGCCATGGAATCTGCACCTGAGCAGCCAGACCTCTGCTGGTGACGGTGTCTGAACTTGCAGGAGCGTGGAGGTTATTCACACTCATTAAAATAGCTCGTCATCTTCAAAACAAAGCCAGGAGGTGGACACGTTGTCTACAAGTTTGCCAACGGCACTGTTGCTGTTTATTTATTCTAGAATTGCTGTTTTTCAGTCCCGTTGAGGGCCACCTTTTGGGAGAAGGATAAAACAAACCACCATTTTCTGGAGATGTGAGCTTCAAACTTGGACCCCCACCTCGGGACCTTCTAGTTGCTTTCCCAAGGCAGATATGCCTTCTGCAGAAACAGCTCATGTGGAGAGCCCTGGGGGACCATCCCCTCACTGCCCTGATGACCTGTAGCCCCCTTCAGTTAAAGTTCTCAAATGCTCAGGTGTCCAGGTTCAGATCAGAAACTGGCCAGCCAGCCCTGGGGAACTCACGGAGGAATGCAGTCTGTGGATGCTTCCCTGCAATGCCAGCCTCACTTACAAGGCCTCCGCTCTCAGGGTGAAGGGCAAGAAGTGATTCATATCCAGGCTTCTCCAGGAGATGGGGGGAGGGACCAGGGGATGGGGGAGGGACCCGGGGATGAGGGAGGGTCCAGGGGATGGGGTGATGGGCCAGGGGGATGGGGGGATGGGCCTGGGGGATAGGGGATATGGACCATGTGAGTAGTGGGGGACAGGCCTGTGCAGGAGAGAGTTCACCCTGGCCTAGGCCTCTCCTGAGCTCCCTGCTCCAGCCTTTGCACGTGCTCTACAGTGACACACCTGACGTTTGCTAACAGCTGCCTGTGGGCCCCACCTCCACAGCTCAGCAACCCCTCTCATTCTGTGACAGTCCCACAGCCCCCAGCATACAAATGCAGATCGGAGGCAAGGAGAAGCCGAGCCCCTGGCCAGGGTTGAGAGGAGCTCAGGTGCAGGCCCAGGATGCAGACTCCAGACATCCTGCTCTGAGCTCTGGCACCACAGCCCAGGGGGTGCGTTCACGCTAACGAAGCCTGCACCTCCTCCATGTGCTCTTAGGCTGTCTGTGATTCATCAGAATGTGCAGAGGAGAAGGCATGAGAGCTCGGCCCACAGTGGACACAGTGGCGCAGCCTGCCCTGCAGTGGGAACGTGAGCATGGGGGGCACGGGCTGGGCGTGGTGAACACCCCAAGTGAGCCTGGGGTGATGCAGTTGGGTGGCCGCATCCAACCCTGTGAAGTGCTGGGTCCTTTGCTGCTGACCATACACAGAACTCTTTTTCAGACTGAGTTTGGTATCAGTGTGAGTGTGCAACACCTGCGCATGTGTTTCATGTAGCCGCACGTGTGTACTGTGTGGAATGTGCGTACGTGTAAATGTGTGGTGTGTGTGTGTGGTGTGTATATGTGTGTAGTGTGTGTGGCATGTAGTGTGTGCAGTGTATGTGGTATGTCCATGCGATTCATGTATGTGGTATAAAATGTACTGTGTGTGGTGTATATGGTGTGTGGGGCATGTGTGACATGCTCCGTGTGTGTGGTGTGTGGGGCATGTGTGTGGGTGTGTGCAGCATGCACTGTGTATGTGGTGTGTGTGGTGTGTATGGGGCATGTGTGTGGGTGTGTGCAGCATGCACTGTGTATATGGTGTGTGTGGTGTGTATGGGGCATGTGTGTGTGTGGTGTGTGATGTGCACTGTGTGTATGGTGTGTGTGTGGTGTGTACGGGGTGTGTGTGTGTGGTGTGTGACGTGCACTGTGTGTATGGTGTGTGTGGTGTGCATGGGGCGTGTGTGTGTGTGTGTGTGTGGTGTGTGTGGCATGCACTATGTGTGTGGTGTTACAAGGCAGTGTGTGTGCGGTGTGCACTGTGTGTGTGGTGTGTGTGGGGCGTGTGTGTGTGTGTGGTATTGATATGGTTTGGCTGTGTCCCCACCCAAATCTCATCTTACATTGTATATCCCAGAATTCTCACGTGTTGTGGGAGGAACCCAGGGGGAGGCAATTGAATCACCGGGGCCAGTCTTTCCCGTGCTATTCTCGTGATAGTGAATAAGTCTCACAAGATCTGATGGGTTTATCAGGGGTTTTCATTTTGCTTCTTCCTCATTTTCTTTTGCTGCTGTAATGTAAGAAACGCCTTTTGCCTCCTGCCATAATTCTGAGGCCTCACAGCCATGTGGAACTGTAAGTCCAACTAAACCTCTTTTTCTTCCCAGTCTCGAGTATGTCTTTATCAGTAGTGTGAAAACGGACTAATACAGGCACGCACTCTGTGTGTGGTATGTGCAGGGTATATGTGTGGTGTGTGTGGCGTGCACTGTGTGGTGTGTGTGGGGCATGTGTGTGGTGTGTGGCATGCATCGTGTGTGTGGTGTGTGTGGCGTGCAGTGTGTGTGTGGTGTGTGTGGCATGCACTGTGTGTGTGGTGTGCATAGTGTGTGCGGGGCGTGCAGTGTGTGTGCGGTGTGTGTGGCATGCACTGTGTGTGTGGTGTGCATAGTGTGTGCGGGGCGTGTGTGCGTGTGGTGTGTGGGGCGTGTGTGTGTGGTGTGTGTGCCGTGCACCGTGTGTGTGGTGTTCCGGGCAGTGTGCCTGCACCTGTTGTGTGCTGCTGCCCTTGGAATGGCACCCGTTCCTCATCCCTCCTCTCCCCAGGGACACCCCAAGCCCTGTGGAGCCTGCAGTGGGCAGGGGGACAGCAGGGGCAGTGGAAGGGCCTGGGTAGCAGCAGAGGGACCTGGGGGCTGCCGTGGGCGGGGACTTGTCCTCAACAGCCCTGGAGGGAAGAGTGGCTGCATCAAGAGGATTCAGGGGTATTTGGAGCCCTGGGCGGGACCCCTGGCTGGGGACACTCCTCCCTGCCTTCGGGGATGCCTTGGGGTCTGTCTGCACTCTGCCATCTGAGTCTCCACCTCGGCTGAAAGGCTCTGGTCCACAAGCCAGTGGGCTGAGACAGAGATTTATTCCCTTAACAGCTCTGGAGGCCAGAAGTCCAAAATCAAGATGTTGCAGCACTGGTCCCTGGGAGGCTGTGCAGGAGAATCTGCTCTGGGCGTCTCTCCTGGCTCCTGGTGGTGCCACAATCTTCCCTGATCCTTGGCTTTTGAAGGCATCCCCCAGCTCTCTGCCTCATCTTCACAGGACTTCTCCCTGTGCCTGTCTGTGCCCAAATTTCCCCTTCTATAAGGACACAGTCCTACTGCATCAGGGCCCACGCTAATCACTTCTTCTTCACTAATTACATCGGCAAACCCCCTATTTCCAAGTTAAGTCATGTTCTGAGGTTAGGATTTCAATACCTGAATTTTAGGGGACATAGTTCAGCCCAAAGGACCTGGGGGGACAGAAACACCCAGGAAAGTCCACAGGTCAGCGCCTGGACCCGCCTGGCCGTGGGACATTGCTCGGCCGAGTTCATCCTCATAAACGCTGA
Organism: Homo sapiens; assembly: GCF_000001405.40. Classification (NCBI taxonomy): domain Eukaryota; kingdom Metazoa; phylum Chordata; class Mammalia; order Primates; family Hominidae; genus Homo; species Homo sapiens. The sequence continues at coordinate 61,753,742 of NC_000020.11, read as the reverse complement.
CGTGTGCTAGAAGATACAATATTAGTTTCATAAACAACAGTTTCTTTTTTTGCAAACCATACCCACAGGTCCTATTGCCACTTTTCAGTGCTGCAGCAGCTAGTCAGATGACAACTGGGTGAGAGCTTGGTCTCGAGTGTTTCCTGTGAGGCCAGAATATTGCTCTGATTCCTCAGGGGTGACTCAGCCCTCCGGTGGGAAATATGTGACCTCATTTGCATTTCCTAATTGAATTGCTATCAGCTTTCCTGCAAGACTGCACCAAAAAACAGTTCTTCCAGATTCCAGCACTGCCTGCATTGCCCACAGAAAGGCTGCTTTTAAATAGTTGCTAAGAGAGGGCGACAAAAGAAGGAGAAAAGTTGCCAAATTTTTATGGTTCATCTAACTGTAAAGCTGTCAGTTTTACCCAGCTCCCCAGAGTCGCTAAAATAATGGACAGAGGAGGCGGCACTTGAAGAAACCTCGACATAAGAGAAATGAAATTTACAGAACCAGGAAATTAGGGGTCCCCATGCACCTGCCCTGGCAGAATCTGCTTCCAGGCTCCTCTCAATAAACACTGCCCTGGGACTCCCAGCGCTCTGTAAACTGATGCTTTGAAGGAGGCCATTTGTTTCTCCAGAACCTTCTGCCAGCAGAACTCTTGCTTACCACGTGCCCCCATCAGAACTCCCACCTTCTCTAAACACAGTTAGGTAGCCCTCTGCATGCATTTGTTTAAAAAAATTAAATTGTGAGTAATAGACTATAAGTACAACAGCGTACAGAACACCAGCTAAAAAAATGATGGCAGAATGAGCACCTGTCTTGCCACAAGACTCCCTCCCACCCTCTGGTGTCCCCCAGCATGGCTTCCTGCTGCCCCCTGAAAGGAACCCTCAACCGACTGTAACTCTGCACCTCAGTGCCACCCGAATTTGGACTTCATGGGAGTGCGGTCACTCGGCTGACACGTGTTCCTGCTGCCAGGCACCTGCCTGCTCTCCTTCTTTGGTCTGTTTGTGAGATTCGCTGGCTTTGTTGCTTCTAGCTGCAGTTTGTTCACTTTTACTGCCGTATAATATTCCACTTTAGGAGCCCACTGCAATTTATTGACTCATTGCAATGGTGAGGGCATGTGTGTTGTTTCCAGCTTTTGGTGATTATGCGTAAGATTTCTCTTAACGTCCCGTACAGAGTTCTTGGTATTACCTGCCTATACTGCTATGGGCATACACCAAAAACGAGGCATATGTATATTTGACTTTAATAGTAATTCTGAATTGCTGTCTAAAGTGTTTGTACCATTGTACACTCCCATCAAGAGTATACGAGTGCTGCAAATGTCCTTTCCCAGACTCTGCCTTATTGTCTCATTTTTAAGATATATGTTTTGATGATCAGAAGTTCTTTTTTTTTTTTTTTTTTTTTGACAGGCTTTTGCTCTGTTGCCCAGGCTGGAGTGCAGTGGCATGATCTCAGCTCACTGCAACCTCTACCTCTCGGGCTCAAGTGATTCTCCTGTTTGAGACTCCCTAGTAGCTGGGATTACAGGTGTGCACCACCATGCCTAGCTAATTTTTGTATTTTTAGTGGAGACAGGGTTTCACCATGTTAGCCAGGCTGGTCTCGAACTCCTGACCTTGGGTGATCTGCCCACCTTGGCCTCCCAAAGTGCTGGGATTACAGGCGTGAGCCACCGCACCTGGCAGAAGTTCTTATTTTTAATAAAGTCCAGTGATCATTCTTTCCCGTGTTTCACGCTTCACGTGCCATGTGCGAGGAAGCTTTCCACACCCGGGGGTCAGTTCACTCCCAGCTGCATTGCTTTGCCTTTCCTGTTTAGGTTTTCAGTCCACCTCAAATGGATTTTGGTTGTGGTGTGAGGTAGGGGTCATTTTACTTTTTTCTTAAAGATGCCCCATTGGCCCAGCATCATTTATTGAAAAGACAGTCTTTCCTCTGTTGTTTCTGTAGAAATGGGCAAACTTTCCCCCAAATGGCCAGATGGTAAATATTTTAGGCATCTCAGGTTAAGGGGCAAAATTGAGGACATCGTATAGGTACTTACATAACCCTTTAAAATGGAACCATTTAAAAATGTAAAAACCAGTCTTAGCTTGCTGGCCATAAAAGGCCTGTGGGCTACAGCATGCTGGCACCTGCTCTACAGCACTGCTCTTATAATAAAAAATCAAGCGTCTGCACCCTGGGCATTTGACAAGGCTCATCAGATTGTAAAGATGAACTGGGTGGATTTTGTAGTATGAGAGTTATACGTCCATGAAGCTGATTTTTAAACACATTACATGTCTTTTTCTGGGCTCATTATTTTTGTTCCAAGTGTCTATCTAATCATCTTTGCTTCAAAATGACACCGTTTTAATGGCTGTAGTTCAGTGGTTCTCAAAAGGGGGCAGTTTTGCCCCCCAGGGAACATTTGGCAGTGGCTGGAAAGAGCTTTGGTTGCATATGGAGGTTATGGGGCTTTACCTGGCGTTTAGTGGGTAGAGGCCAGGAGTCTGGCTTACTATCCTGTAGCACACAGGACAGCCCCAACAACTTGTCTGGAAGGATGTGTCCTCCCATCTTTTTCTTGTTCTAGGCTACCTTCGCCCTTTCCATTTCCATTAAAAAATTTTAAGTCAGCTCTTTACTCTTCCCGAAACGAGCAAACAAAAAATCTGCTGGAATTTTTATTGAGGTTGTGTTGACTCTATGGCAACTTTGGGTAGAATCAATATTCTAACATAAGCCTTCCAAGTTATGAGCTCAGCATATCCCTCCATTTTTATAGTTCTTTAATTTTTCTCAACAAAATGTAAGAAGTCTTGTACATTTTTGTTAGATTTATTCCCAGTTATATGATCGTTTTTAATGCTATTGTAATTGGGATCTAGTTCAGATTTTATTTTCTAAGGATTTATCCCTGGTACATAGAAGTACAACTATTACATCCAGCACCCTTGCTAACCTTACTCACGAGTCCCAGTAACTTAGTACAGGTTCTTTTAGGACAGATTACATTTTCTAACATTCATAATCATATAAGCTACAAATAATGTCAGTTTCATTTATTCTAATTTCTTTTTCTTGCCTTACTGCATTGGCTTGTACCTCCAGTGTGTGTATCCTCCCTATAAGGATTTGGGAGGACAAAACTTTGGGAGAGCAATTCCTCTTTTTGTAATCTTTGGATAGGTTTGTGTAAGATTTGTTTTAATTTTTCCTGACAGCTTGGGTAGAACTTACTAGTGGAGCCAACAGGTGTGGACAGTTCTTTGTGATAAGGATTTTAGTTTTGTTTGTAACAATAAAACAGTGCAGGATTTTTTCTTATGTTAGTTTGGTAAGGTGTATATTTCTACACTATTATCCTTTTCATGTATATTTTTAAGTGTATTGGTATAAATTGTATATAATATCCCCAAATGATCTTTCTGACGTCCATGAGATTAGTCATGATGTCATCTTTTCATTCCTGATAAGGATTAGTTGCAGTTTATACCTTTTCTTTTTGCTCAGTCTGATCAGCCTTGTAGTTTAAAGGACCAATTTTGTTATTTCTATTGTTTTCTGTTTCATTGTTTTCTCCTCCTGTTTTAACAATTTCTTTCTTTAGACTTTGGGTCTCATTTTCAGTTATTTTTATAGTTTCTTGAGATGAATGCCTGGATTGTTGATTTTCTGCCCTTTTTTTTTGATAGGGTCTTGCTGTGTTGCCCAGGCTAGAGTGCAGTGGTGCAATCTCAGCTCACTGCAACCTCTGTCCCCTGGGTTCGAGCAATTCTCCTGCCTCAGCCTCCTGAGCAGCTGGGATTACAGGGGCGTGCCACCATGCCTGGCTAACTTTTGCATGTTTAGTAGAGACAGGGTTTCACCACGTTGGCTGGGCTGGGCTCAAGCTCCTGACCTCAGGTGATCCACCTGCCTTGGCCTCCCAAAGCGCTGGGATTACAGGCACGAGCCACCACGCCCAGCCAATTTTCTGCCTTCTTTATCTTGTAATATATGCATTTAAGGCTAAACATTTCCATCTGGGCATGACTTTAGCTACATCCCAGTAGTTTTATTACTCAGTTCAAAATATTCACTAATTTCCATGTGATTTTTTTTTTTCCTGCCCAAGGGTTAATGAGAAGGCTTTTACTTAACTTCTAAATCTATGGGGATTTTCCAGTTACATTCTTTGTTATTGATTTCTAGCCTACTTGCTCTGAGTTAAGAAAACAAACTATGTTTTGATTTTAAACCTTTGAAGTATGTTGAGAATTGCTTGAAGGCTATGAAGTATGTTGGGACTTGCTTGGTTAATATTTGTAAATGTTCTGTCTATACTTAAAAATCATGTGTATTTAGCAGTGGTTGGTTTCTGTGCTTTTATATGTCTCAGTAAAGCCAGACCTGTTAATTGTGTGATTCTAATCTATTTCCTTACTGATATTTTCTGCTTGTTCTATTATTTGCTAAGAAATTTTGTTAAAATTGACCACTGATTGCATAGTTACTTCTCCTTTTATTTCTATCAATTTTGGCATAAATATTTTGAAGTCATATTATTAAGTGCACACAAATTTAGGATTCCTGTATCTTCTTGGTGAATTATTTATCATTACGAAGTGTTCCTCCTTGAATAGAATGCTTTTTCCTCAGATTCTATTCATCTGATATTAACAGAGTCCACTAGCTTCCTTTTGATTGGTACTTGCATGGTATTTATTTCTCTAGGATTTTACTGCTAAACTTTAGCCTTATACCTTTTAGGTATATCTTTTACAAACTGCATATAGTTGGATTTATCTTTATCCATCAATTTTTTAAATTACAACAAAGAGAAATGTGTAGCCCATCTATTCTGTTTTCATTTCTCTTTTTTGCATTTTTTGGCTTGATAATTTTTATTATTCTATTTTTTCCTTTTATTACGTTACTACTTACAGACTTTTATGACTCTTTTAGTGATTTTCTAAAGACTTTATAACAAGTATTTTCGTCTTATTTAGGAGTAATATTAATTTGTTATTTCCATCATTTTTGAGAAAAATGCAAACAACTTCTATCTCTTTGATTCCATTTATCCCTTCTCAAAGTTTATGCAGTTTTTGCTGTAAATTCGAGTTCTCTGTTTACACCCATGAAACATTACACTGCTGTGATTCATTTGTATTTTTCAGTGTTCTTGGCCTTTTCCCAGCTCTTCATTCTTTCCTCCATTTCTGAGTGTTCACCTCAACTTGTTTTATTTTTGTTTGAAGAACATCATTTGGGACAGATTCTTTCAGTTTCTCTTCATTCAACTTTACTTCCTGAAAGACAGTTTTACTGGATGATAGAATTCTATTTTCTTTTAGCACTTTTAAGATATTCCTTGGGAGGCCGAGGCAGGCAGATCACGAGATTAAGAGATCCAGACCAGCCTGGCCAACACGGTGAAACCCCATCTCTACTAAAAATACAAAAATTAGCTGGTCATGGTGGCACACACCTGTGATCCCAGCTACTCAGGAGGCTGAGGCAGGAGAATCACTTAAACCCGGGAGGTGGAGGTTGCAGTGAGCTGAGATTGCGCCACTGCACTGCAGTCTGGGCAACAGAGCGAGACTCTGTCTCAAAAAAAAGAAAAGAAATCATTCAATGGCATGGAATGGAACGGTCTTCCAACCCCCCCACAACGCCCCAGCTCCTGCGGAGAAGTCAGCCTCCTAGTCATTGCTTCCTCAAAGGAATTCTGCCTTTTCTGTCTGCTTTTGAGATTTCCTCTTTGTCTTTGGGTTCTAACTATTTTACTATAAAGCATCCAGGTGCTGTTTTTTTTTTTAAATATTTCTCCTGCATAGAGTTCACAGGGCTTCTTGAATCCATGCCTAAATGAATGTTATCAGTTTTGGAATATTTTCTGCCACTATATTTTCAAATATTACTTCTGCCCCATTTTCTCTCTCCCCCTCATATTGCAAATATACACATTAGACCTTCTTACTGCCTCTCTAATATCTCTTACGGTTGCTTCTGTATTTTCCTTCTGTGTATCTCTTCACGCTTTAGAGCACGAATGTTTTTGATATATTTTGCTTCACTAATTCTTCAGCTATGTCAAATCTGCAGATATATGTATCCATTGAGCTCTTCATTTTGTTTGGTTTAGTTTTCAATTCCAAACTGCCCAACGATTAAGAATTCTGTTTTATACCTTCTAATTATCTCTCAAAGTCTTCTATTTAATTTGCTTAAAGATAGTAAGTGTAGTTAGTGTAAAATCTCTCTGATTGCCCCATGCTCTGGAGCCTCTGTGGGTCTTTTTTTTTTTTTTTTTTTGAGACAGAGTCTCACTCTGTTGCCTAGGCTGGAGTGCGGTGGCTCACTCGGCTCACTGCGAGCTCCGCCTCCCAGGTTCATGCCATTCTCCTGCCTCAGCTTCTCGAGGATCTGGGACTATAGGCACCTGCCACTACGCCCGGCTAATTTTATTTTTGTTTGTATTTTTAGTAGAGACAGAGTTTCACCGTGTTAGCCAGATGGTCTCGATCTCCTAACCTCATGATCCGCCCGCCTCGGCCTCCCAAAATGCTCAGATTACAGGCGTGAGCCACCGCGCCCGGTCCCTGTGGGTCCTTTCTTATCTGCCTCTTCTTTCGATTGTTCTTTCTATGTCTTGTCCCTCCTCATGTGCCCAGTCATGAGGCCGAGTGCTGGACGTTGAATATGAAAGGAGATGGGCACAGCTGAAGGCCTGGGTGACAGTTCACACTGGGGGAGATGCACAGTTGCTTCTGGCAGGCGGCCAGGACACCAGCAATCCGGTGTCACCTTGATCATCTATAGAGGCTGGCATCACGCTCTGTAAGGGCGCATCAACCAGGTGGCCCAGCGTCCCACAGTGACCCCCACTCCCTGCCTGCCTCCTCCTGCCCCCATGCCACCTGGCAAGGCCCAGCACTGTGATAAGCACAGGACTGTGAAGCCTGGAACCAGGCAATGACAGCCATATGCGCTGCTGTTTTCCACCTCCTGACCTCCATAACCTCATGAAATACCAGCACCCTTTGGCTGGGACATGGGTAGCATTACTCTCCCATTCTCCAGAGCAGTTCACCTCAAAGTTGTGTGAATTCTCCCAAAACACCCAGCCAGTAAGTCGCAGAAGCCTTGCCGTGCACCCACACCCTGGGTGGCTGCTCTTGCGCCATGCCGGGCTCTGCCATACCTGCAAAGTCCTTTTCCACTCCTTCCCCACACATCAGTTCTCCTGTGCAGCACAGGGCTGTGGTCACATGCTCAGCACCCTCATCCATGATGTAACAGCACCCACTTCCAGGGGTGTGGAGAGGGTTAGATGAGCCTACACCACTTGGGGCAAGGTCTGAGTGGGTGCTAGAAAGTCAGGAGAGGAACCATTGGCAACAAAAGCGCTGGAGGACCGGGTCTCCTGGGCTGCAGAGACTGCCCACTGTGCCCTGCAACAGTCATGTCTCAGGGACTCAGGGCTGTGCCCCACAGTGACCCCATGGCCCCCATGGGACAGGGTCCTCAGGCTGCCCAAGGGCCTGCCTTGTTCACCAGGGCGTGGCTTGTAATAATCACTCAGGAAAGTACGAAAACGACATACGCCGGACTCACAGGTGGGGCTCACGATTTGGGGGCCACTGCTGTTAGAGGCACGCTCTGCTGCCTGGTTTAACATCTGGGCTCCCCAGGGTGCGCTGAGCCTGGGACATGAATTCAGTGTCCCCTGCTCCGCTGGTTGGGTGCTTCCTGCACCAGCCTGGTGTGGGTCGAGGCACATTCCCACGGGGACTGTCTAGCGGCAACCACAGCTGGGCCTGCCCCTTCTGCAGAGGATCAGGGGATTAAATCTGAAATCGCTTCATTAACATGCCCAAGAAAAGGTGTCATTATATTTTCAATTAGAGCCTTTATCGGAGGCCTTGGAAGGCTCTCAGGGGCTCTGCTCTCGGCTCACAATCGGGGACTTGGGGACAGCTTGGAAGTCACAGGCATGATGGGGATGAAAGTCCCTGCCTGTCAGTGTCCCGGCACAGCTCAGGGAGGGAAGGGACCCCCATGGGACAGGGTCCCCAGGCTGTCCAAGGGCCTGCCTTGCTCACCAGGGCGTGGCTTGTAATAATCACTCAGGGAAGAAGGAAAATGACATACACCGTCCTAGACTCGTCAGGACTCACAGGTGGGGCTCATGATTTGGGGGCCACTGCCGTTAGAGGCGTGCTCTGCTGCTTGGTTTAACACACTCAGGAGGACTCTCAAGACCTCCTTCCCCCGTGGGGTCAGCTCATCATGCAGTGAAGACTGTCCATCTGAGTCACACTTTCTCTTTTCTAACCTAAACCACCTCCGCTTCCATCTCCGCTTCCATCTGAGAAACAAGTCAGAAGAAGACACAGGTCCCTCCCTTCCCAAAGTGGGTTCCTTGGCACACCTGTCTTGCAAGCTTTCCATGGAGAAGGGTTCCTTGGTCAGACAGTTTGGGGAAACTTGCAGACTGGTCTCACTCAGAGGCTTACACAGCACATGAGTCATGAGGTTCTGGGAAACCCACGGAAAGGAATCTGCTTGCCTCTGCTTAACGCTTTACTTCCCGAGGGCCCTTTTCCGAGGGAGTGCCCATGATTGCTAGTGGCCGCCGCCTTGCGTGGTGATTTCCTTTGCTCACCGTATCTCAAACGACCCCATAGAGGCCTCATGTTAACTGGGGGGATCTGGAGGGGTTGGCACACATTCTTTCCACCACTGGGGCCCCTCAGGCAGGCAGCTGCAACAGCTGGACCTGCAGGCTGGCCTTCCTTAGTGCTCTCCCACAGGCCGCCTGGTTGCAGCTTCTTCAGCAGCCTCCACACCTGAAGGCTGGCGCAGTGGCTGCAACCAACGCCAGGACACTCAAGGCGAAGGGGACCTGGCCACTTCCCCGTCAGGCACGGGGAACCTAACAGCTAGAACTGGGGATGAACGCAGGTTGTTCAGGAGCCTGGTGCTGGATTGCTGGAATATGCCAGGATGAAAGGGAGCCTCAGGACAGGGCATGGTGAAGGCGCCCCTCCCTGTCACCCGGGTGAGCCAGGCAGCCGGGTTAGAAGGAGGCAGAGTCGGAGGGCAGCTGGGATCCTGAACAGCAGATGTTTTATGTCTGTGTGAAGCTGTCTGTCTGTCTCTCTCTCTCCCTCCCTTTCCTTCTCTCTCTCCCTCCACCTCTCTCCATCTCTCTCCCTCCTTCTCTCTCTCCCTCTCTTCCTCTCCCCTCCCTTTCCTTCTCTCTCTCCCTCCACCTCTCTCCATCTCTCTCCCTCCTTCTCTCTCTCCCTCTCTTCCTCTCCCTCCCTTTCCTTCTCTCTCTCCCTCCACCTCTTTCCATCTCTCTCCCTCCTTCTCTCTCTCCCTCTCTTCCTCTCCCTCCCTCTCCTTTCCTGTCTCTCTCCACCTCTCTTCTCTCTTTCTCCCCATCCCTCTCTCATTCTCTTCTCCCTCTCCTTTGCTGTCTCCCTGCACCTGCCTTCCTCTCTGTTATTCTCTCCATCGCCTCCCCACTCTCTGGTTGGCTCCTTTCCAACCACACAGTCTCCGCTTGCTTCTCATCCCTCCAGGCTTCAGAACGCCCTGGGCCTGGTGGACTACAAACTTCGGGAGGTAGGAGAGATTCCAGAATTTGCAGTGCCCAGTTTGAAATGAAAATTTGGGGCCCCTTGTTCAAAAACATATGAAGAGCGACAAGACCGTGGCATAGTGTCTGAACCTGAGTGTGGGGCCTGTGTGCCTGCCCAGGGGGCCTTCCCGCAATGACGGCCCTGCCTCAGGTCAGTGCAGAGGGCAGGGGTGCTTGGTTGGCAATGGCCTGAGTGGCACAGCCCGAGGAGGAGGTGACTGTCTGTCCTGTGGGAGCCCTGGCAGAGGCTCTGCCCAGGGCCTGCAGGAGGAACTAGGTCATCTAAACTCCAGCGCAGACCCGGGCGGTCACACCTTACCTTGTGTCCAGAGTGCGGGGACGAGGTCTGGGCCACCAGCAACCGCACCACGGCGTCCCATTTCTCTGCTGTCTGGCTGTCCCATGCAGTCACCGTGAACGCCACCTGCTCGGAGGGGACCTGCAGCTCCCGGGTGGCGAAGACTGTCCCATCTGCCCCAACTTTGAAGTCCATGCTGTTGGTCTCATATTGTGTCCCCTTGGTCCCCACACAGCTGCTGAACTTGACTGCAAGAGGAGGGGGAGAGAGTCAGGGTCGGCTTGGCCAGCAGAAGGGCGGTAACAATGGCAGCAACCACGCAGGACGCCCTACAGGCCCCCAGTGGGCATGAGGGGCATGAGGTTTGCACTGATTTCTCCACCTCCCGAGAAGGTGGTGTGTTTTATCTCAACCCCCTAGAGAATTAGCCAGAGGCCTTTAAAAAAGGGGGGGAAGAAAAGCAACACTGAGCTTCCATTCTATTTACAACACAGCTGCACTCCCTTCTGCAAACGCATCTCTCCCTTGCCGCTGTTATCTCCGAATTCAGCCGGAGTCTGTGAGCGGCACAGTGGGTATTCTCCACCTCAAAAATATTCCCTCAGTTCCCCCCACTCTTGCCTATGCAAATCTTCTTCCTGCCAGCAGAGACTGTGAAGCCACTAATGGACCTGTTTTTCCACTCCAAGAAGGCTAAGTACAAGGAAGGAGCAAGAGAGAGCTGGCATCTGGGGACCATTCCCCCATGGCAGGTGGATTCTGGCAGCAGAACTCGGCTCTGCTGTGTTTCTGGTCCTTTTTATTATTAAGCCAGACCTGATGCCTGCAAATGGCCTTGGGGTGGGCTAGGCAGGTGTGGCCAGGGCAGACCCTGGCCCCACCAAGTGCTTTCTTGGTGAACTGGAAACAGAGTTGAAGTCAGACAGTCTATTGATACCGCTGGGTGCTGAGCATTGCTTCGCTTCCAAAACATTAACCAGTAGGCACCAGGATGCCAACCTCCCTTCACGGCTCCAGCATCATGGCCATCTCTAATTCTGCTGCAGAAAAAGACACCTCCAGAGGCGCAGATTCATCCGGACACATTAGTGCATTTTTTAGACGTGTGCTTTTGCAACTGTCACCTACAGCCGTGGTAAATTACGACGCACCCACAGCCCGTGTCACATTCTGCTCATAAAAGCCACGGATAAAGTTAACTCCTATTTATAAAAATGTGGGTATCTAAGCAATTATGGTGGGAGGATTGGTTTTTCAAGCAATTTTGCTGTCACAGCTTACATGATTTAATTACTATTTATTCGAGAAACCAAAAAAAGCGACTCACTGTTACATTAGATAAAGTGTTTTCCCCTCGCATTCACCTTTTACTGTTGCCTGCCTTGAAAGAATAAATAACGTGTCTGTTCCCTCTTCTCAATAGTTCACTTTAGATATCTTCCCAGCCAATGGCACCTCCTACTTGTGGGTTTCATGTGAAACATTTTCATGTGAAAATGTTTTTAAATGTGATGACACCAGGCATTTCCACCCTGTCTGGTTCAACAGAGCAATGAAACTTCCAGACTCCAGAGCCCCCCGGTGGCTCCTCTGATGGACAGGATCAACCCAGGCAAGGGTCTGCTGTGGCTCCCCGGATCTGTTCCCCTTCTAAGGACGGAATCATTACATTTTTTTTTTTTGAAGTGACAGGAAAATTCCAAACTGCTTTTATAGTACTGTTTGCCCAATGGTAAACAAATTAAAATCAGCAACAACTTAGTGGATCAATCATTTCTGACATCTGATTGTCACTGACAAAGATAAAAATGACAGTGCTGTGATTGCTGAGAGATGAGCACAAACACACAAACAAGCCCCTTTGTTCCCTAAAAGCAAATTCCTAATAAAACTAATGCAATTGGACAGCAGCAGGAGGGTTTGTGTTGTCTTCAGGATTAAACACAGTGTTGTAGTTAAAAAAAAGTACAGGCGGCTGGGCGCGGTGGCTCCTGCCTGTCATCTCAGCACTTTGGGAGGCTGGGCGTGGTGGCTCATGCCTGTAATCCCAACAGCACTTTGGGAGGCCGAGGAGGGTGGATCACGAGGTCAGGGGATCGAGACCATCCTGGCTAACACGGTGAAACCCCGTCTCTACTAAAAATACAAAAAGTTAGCCGGGCGTGGTGGCGGGTGCCTGTAGTCCCAGCTACTCGGGAGGCTGAGGCAGAAGAATGGCGTGAACCTGGGAGGAGGAGCTTGCAGTGAGCCGAGATCACGCCATGGCACTCCAGCCTGCGCAACAGAGCGAGACTCGGTCTCAAAAAAAAAAAAGTACAGGCACACAGCTTTGGTGACATCTTAGGCAAGCATTGAAGCTGCTTTGAGAACGAATGGGCCACCAACGTCTGAATGACCAGGCAGGAAACAGCGGTGGCGTCAGCCATATGAACCAAGGACTTTGCAGGTGAAAGGCGTTCCCTGCCGGAGAGACCCTGGATGAAACTGATGACAGCGCCCTCAAAGGCAGCTCCGTGGGTGGCTTGGGGAAGTGATGCCCGGGGGACCGCACCAGGGCCCCTGCACACTGGCTTTCTAGATTTTGTTGTTGTTGTTGTTTTTTGAGATGGAGTCTTGCTCTGCTGCCCAGGCTGGAGTGCCGTGGTGCCGTCTTGGCTCATTGCAACCTCCGCCTCCCAGGTTCAAGTAATTCTTCTGCCTCAGCCTCCCAAGTAGCTGGGACTACAGGCGTGCACCACCATGCCCAGCTGAGTCTTGTATGTTTAGTAGACAGGGTTTCACCACGTTGGCCAGGCTGGTCTCGAACTCCTGACCTCAGGTGATCCACCCGCCTTGGCCTCCCAAAATGTTGGGATTACAGGCGTGAGCCCCTGTGCCCGGCAACTTCCTAGATCTTTATGCCTTTTCCGTCTGTGTCTAACAGGCCCCGTCCAATCACGAGAAAGCTCCAGGGCTTTGTGACAAGATGCAGTCCCAACATCCTGTTTCAGTCTAACCATAACTTGGGTGTTCCGCTCCAAACACGACCTCTGTGTCTGAACACTCAGCCCACTAGCATTTGTGATTCTGAGTCCTCAGCCGTGGAGAATCAGGAGGAAAACAGGAGTTGTCACTGGTAGAGAAGGAAGCAGCCCAAGGGACAAAGGTCACGATACGGTTACGCAAATGGTGCTGGCCCACACCCTCCTGGAGAGAGGCCTGGAAGATGGGGGGGTCATTCAGAGACCCCAGTTGTTGGGGGGACCTGCTTTCCAGGAGAAGAAAGGAGCTTCAGAACCTTCAATACCTGCTCCTGTGCCCCACCAGGCTGTGGCCTCTTTCATAAGGAAAGAGCAATAAGGCAAGTCTTCTGAGACGCCAGGGGCATTCACAGAACATTAGCACTGAATGTATGAACAATCTGTTTGGAAACTCTGTGAAATGTGGGTACCTATGAACACAACCCAGAATGTTACTAACACTTTGCCATGCTATAGAAACGGCAAGTGAGTGTGCAGGGCAGCCTCAAGGGAGACATGTCTGAGGTCTTGGGATGGGGACTCCTCCCCATATCCTATTTGTCTTTCCTTGTGAATTGCCTAAAAATGGTTTCCCTCTTTACTTAGGCTACTGGGAAGCTCAGAGGCAGTACCGTAGCTGGCTTTTCTAACAATGCTGAGACATTTACTAACCTCAGCACGTTCCATTCTACTTTTCACCTTTGTTTCCTCTTCAACCTGCTTCCTTCCTTTTGCTTCCTTTTTAATTTTTGGAGTCTTCGCCTGTCTCTGCAAGGTTAAATGCATTCCAGGAGGACAACAGAAAAGTGCCCATGTATGTGTGGGTGTCGGCATGCACTGAGGGTCTCCGTGTACAGAGAGGACGCTCCTGACGGTGTTGCCTGGCACTGACTTATTTGGATTCTGCTTTGCCTCTCTACGAATGTGGCTGGAGGCTGAGCCTGAGGCGTCGGCTGGAGAGGCCCCCAACTGCTTATAGAACTTTCTGTGGGCGCTTGGAGTCCTGTGCTGCCCTCGCCTCTGCAGCGGCCGGGAGCGGCCTGCTGTCTGCCTGAACCTTGGCTCTGGCCAGCAGTGGGCAGTCCTTCCAGTTTTACCTTCTGAACTGGGCCTGGGCTCCAAGCCCGCTGTCACTCACCCTCCTCTAGGCAGGAATCTGGTGCCTCAGCCCCATCCAGGACCCGCACTCTGGACTCTGCAGACTGGACACAGAGGTTGTAACTGGTGGTTTCTGGCAGAGCTGGCTCTGGCCCAGTGCTCAGGCCTGGCTGGGATGTTGGCTCCCATGGAAACCTGTAACCTGCCCTACCCCTCCCCTCACATCACCTGTTTTTGTTTCATTCCCTGGCTTCGTACCTGGGATTCCCATGTCCTCCCGTGTCTCCCGCCCCAGGACTGGTGAGTGTGCTGAGGTCAGGGCTGCTGTCCTGGGACCGGACAGCATCAGGCACCTGGTCAGGGTGAAGTAGGGGCAAAGCCTCCCCAGGCTGGTCCGGGGCTCCCATCAGGCTGAGGGCAGAAAGGGGGCTTCTGTCCTGCTTTGTGCTCAGCCCAGAATCTTCACGGGACCCCCCGCAACTCCCTCCCCATGGGAAACAGCCCCCAGAGGAGACTGCGCCAGCAGCCGCCCAGGCGTGAAGGCGAGTGACCAGTGGCACCACCCCGGCTGGAAGTTTAGTTTTCTTATGTATTTGTTTTTGATCTCCCAATTTCTCTATTAGTCTTCAGGAGAGAATTAACATCCAATGGATTCCCAGAAAACTTTTCCCTCGATGTACCAGCAAACACCTACAATGCCCTGAAAAGCCGCCTCTGCGACCCCAATGCAGATCACACGTCCTGTCCCAGCCCCTGCAGCCTCCACGCGGCGGGTGCACTGCCAGGCACGGGAAGGCAGCGCTGGCGAGTAGAACTGGCCCATCTCGCAGATAGGAAGCTGAGCCTCAGGGACGTTTCACGCCTTCGTCAAGGTGGTGAGAGGAGGAGCGGGATTGCCGTGAAGGTGGTGAGAGGAGGAGCGGGGTTTGCTGCCCGACTTCAGGGATCTGTCACCCTCGTCCAGCAGGGTTGGTTCTTCCCGAGGCTGGGAGGATGCCAAGCCTGGTGGAGGATGGGGGCGGTGGTGTGGTGTGGGGAGCTTCTGACTTGCACATCCTGAGGGAACCTTCTGCAGCTGATGTGTGAACTGGACCCCAGGCCGTGCCTCCGAGGAATCCCCAAGGCTATGGCCCCTCAGGTCCTGCTGGGGTGTTGGCCCCCACCTCTGCCTCAGAATGCAGGGGTTCTGCAGGGAAGCCGCAGACCAGCCTGCTGCCTTGGGCCCTAGGGACACTGCAGCCCCAGAAAGTACTGTGGGGGACAAAAGAGTTGTTTCTCGGGGGAGAAAACACCTGTGAGGAAATGCAGGTGCCACAGAGGGAAATCCTCCTGGGGAGGAGGGTACCTGTTCCATCCTCGGCCGACACGGGACTGCCTGGTGCCTGGTACCCACAGCCGCTACCTGCCGCACGCATCTCTCCATGGTTTGCTAATTACTTCCATTAGTTTTAAACAAACTTGACAAGAGACAGAAGGGTCCAGAGAGAAATTAAATCTAACTGTTTAAACATGTAGTCGGAGCCTCCCTTGCCTCTGTCCCCCTGGCGGTGGTTGCTGCAGACCCCAAAGCCAGTGCTGGAGGTGGCACAGAGGATTGGGCCCTGGGGTCAGGCCCGGCACCGCCTGCCCCAAGGAGGTGGGCCCCAGAGGGTGGGGAGGGGAACACCTGCTGTCCTCACACCAGAGCCACAGGCATGGAACCTCAGGGTCCCAGCACCCGCTGCATGCGCTGTGGGGCAGGTATGCATGTGCCCAGCAAGGCGGGTGTGCACCAGCAGCCCTGCGCACACCTACCCTGGTCTTGGGGTGCAAACACCAACCACAGCCTCCTGTCTCTGTGACCTTGAGGAACGGTGGTCCCTCTCTGAGCACAGTCTTTGTTTCTGTGAAATGGGAGTGATGGCAGGGACTCGGGGAGGGGGACAAAGGTAGCATGTTGATCCCTTTGCTCAGTACCTGGCATAGGGCAGGCACTGGGTGGATGTCGGCTGCTGTCCTTATGCTCTGGCCAGTATGCCCTGTGGCATCCTTCAGTGGCATGGACATGGCACCAGGGAGCAAGGCACCCAGCCAAGGTCACACAAGGTCAAGGTCGTCCATCCCACAAACACTTACTGAACACCGGGGTCTGCCGGGAACCGCACAGGCTGAGGCCAGGGTGGTCAGTGGCCAGGTGATGACAGCATGGATGGCCAAGCCCTCCAGGCTGCAGTGGGGTCACACAAGGGCCCTAGTCAGGCCGGGGGTCCCTGGGGTGGGATGGGGAGCCGTGCAGGGTGTTTGCGGCCAGCTGGCTCTTGGGATTCTGAGCCTGTGGGGATC
This sequence comes from Homo sapiens, assembly GCF_000001405.40. Taxonomy (NCBI): domain Eukaryota; kingdom Metazoa; phylum Chordata; class Mammalia; order Primates; family Hominidae; genus Homo; species Homo sapiens. Next base: position 61,737,391 of record NC_000020.11, on the reverse strand, counting down.
CATCTCTTGTTCTGCTGGGGGTCAGCTCCCTCTCCTCACCCCAAGGTGTGGGGTCAACAGATTCTGAGGTTCTGGGCAACCTGGCCCCATACCGCTGGCCTCCTGTTCTGGACAAGATGGATTTAATTTTAAAGCCCATGTTTTCTTCTGAGAAGACACCAGAGAACAGAAGCTGCTCCATCTTTCATCCTCCAGGGACCACCCTCTGTTGCCCACTCTGAAATATGACCAAATGCCAGGCAGGGCTCAGCCCCCAGGGCCAGCATCCAGCAGGATCTGCAAAGCCATCCAAGCAACACGAGGAGCAACGAATGCTGAGGCAAACCTTCCCAGGAAGGGCTGCACACCAGAGAATCCAACAGCCTGGGACTCGTCCCAGGGCGAGCCCCTGCACCTCGACCTTCTCCTGGCAGCTGTAGAGCAAAGCACAGGCTGAGGGTGGTCCGGTCTCCCCTTCCCCTTTCCGGGCTGGGATGCGGCTGGCCCCCGCCTGTCACCCACGTCTTCGGCAGTGTGAATGTGGGCCTTAGTCTCCCTCTGTCACCCCAGTCTTGGTTGTGTTGTGGATGGAGTTTCTGTGGCCCCCGCCCCGGGTGACCTCATGATGGCTCCATCTCCCAGGACTCATGCCAATTCTGCTCCCCTAAGAAGGGACCCCGCCTGTCGTGAATGCGCCTCTGGATATGCACAGCTGAAGAAGGGCAGCTTGCTCCTCTCTCCCTCTCTCTCCCTCTCTCTCTCTCTCCTTCCTTCCTTCCTCCCTCCCTCCCTCTCCTTCCTTCCTCCCTCCCTCTCCCCTTCATCCATTCGCATGACATATCACTGATACCACCAGTCAGCAGACACCAGACACAGAGACTGCCAGTGGAGCTGAGAGTGTGGGGCAGGACAGACATTAACCAAGTCATCACATCAGACGTGCGGCACTCTACAAGGAAGACACAGGTTCTGTGAGAGCCTGACCCAGGCTGGGTGGACAGGTGGGGAGGGCTTCCTTGATAACAGGACCCTTCCGTGGACATCTGGGGAATGAGGTTCCAGAGAAGGCTCGGGTGGGGAGCACATTCCTGGTAGTGCTGATGGCACTTGCAAAGGTCCTGGGGCAGAGGAAGGGAGGAATTCCAGGACCTGAGAGCTGGTGTGACCGGAACAGGGGCAGCTGAGGTGACAAGAATGAACACAGCATGGTGTCAGGAAGACCCTCGGCCAGCGAGATAACCTACACCTTCGGGGTGGGGACTGGCCCAGGAGATGTTGCATGGAGGCTGCTGACCTGGTGACTGCAAGAAGGCTCAGAGATCTGCACAGGAGTGGGGGGCACCCTGAGCTCCCAGGAGGTCCCGCATCCTCTGGGACTGAGGGGGTGTCCTGAGTGGAAGCCACACCCAGACACCCCCTTTAGGGCCCAATGTTAAGAGAGCTACGGCCTTTCCTAGCCTTGCAAACAACTCGGGAGCTGAGTTAGAAGGCTGTTGCGGTGGCTTCAGAAGCACATCCTCAATATTTGGCTGCAAAGAGGATCACAGCCCCCGAGGCAGAAGGCTGTGGCCCCCGCTGCATGCACATGCTCTCAGACACGTCTGCTGGGGACAGAGAAATTCAAGAGCCAGGAAAAGGAGAAAAGAAAGAAGAAAGAAGAGAGGAATGTCAGGGAAGTCGATTCCTCCATTCCTGCAGCAAAGACCCGTTAGCCACGGAGGCCGTGGGGAGGCCCCAACCCTGGGCACCATCATCAGGGAGCACGGGGTCCAGCGGAGGGGGCAGATGTGGCCTCAGTCCCCGCAGTGGCCCCGAAGGCGCTGGCCGGGAGGCAGAACCTCAGGGTCCCTGTGGCCCCCCAGGTTTCCTGTGCTTGGTCCCCGAGTCCCTGGGGAACCCCTTGGGGGTCTGCATTGGGCTGGGCTGTGGTCCCTGCAGGCACCTTCCTGTACCTGCCACAGGTTCTGCCCACCAGGGGGGTATAAGAAACAGAGGAGGGTGGGGGAGTGAGCACTAATGGGGACCAGGTTTCCCTTGGGGTGACGGTGGCCCAGCATTTTGAATGTGCTCAATGCCACTGAATTGTATGCCTGAAAATGGGGACATTTACGTTATGTGAATTTTACTTCAGTTTTAAAAAAGCAGCTTCTGGGGTCCCTAATTCCAGCTGCTGGGGAGACGGGGGAGTCCTCCTGAGCTCTGTGCCCACGGGGCCCCAACCGCATCCTGAGTCTCACACATCTCCCTGGAGTGGGTCCCGAGTGCCGGCCACAGCTTCCTCTCCCCACAGAGATCTCCAGATCAGCCCAGGGCAGGGTCCCTCCTCCACGACCCCTCTCTCTTTCTGGCCCCTCTGTCGTTTTTCCTGTCCCTGGGGAAGACGATGGTGCTTGCCGGGAGGGGCCACAGGGAGGGGCCGCAGAGCAACAGCCATCACCAGGCGCCTGCCCGAGGCCCACCCAGCGCAGGGAGATTCTCGGGAGCGGGGGCTATCGTCTGCGCTGGGCCTCAGCCCTGGGGACTCAGGAGGGAGATTCATAGGTTCTTGAATATCTGCCCAGGTTGATTCGTGTGACTGTGCGCGCTTTGTGTGCGCTGTGTCCACGTGCTGGGTGGGGACGGAGAAAACTGGCGGTACAGGGAGAAACTGCTGAGGCTGAGCTCAGTCTCCAGAGCTCCCCACGGCCCCAAGCCTGCAGCATGCCAGGCTGGGAGGGGCCTTGGAAATGATCTACTCCAGCCCCTTGTTTGGGTGATAGGGAAACTCAACCTGCTGAAGGAAAACTACCTTTTAGGATGAATTCTCACTATTCAAACAGTTTCCCACACCCTTATTGAATCCCTGCACCATGCGGGGCCCAGAGTCACAACCAAGGCCGTCCCTCCCCGTCTGGGGCTCTGGGCACCTCCAGATCCCGTGTAGTAGATGCCCCAATGCAAAGCATGTCACAAGCGCACTGCCACGGTGCTTTTCTTTGAATTGTGTGTATTCACAAAGCTTGCAGCTGGTGCAAACCTCACATACAACAACTCCCCGTTCCGAGCCTGGGAAGTGTGCAGTGGGCCCTGCCCAGGCTTGGGCCAGTTCTGAACTCCGAGGATTACATGTAGCAGTCATAATTAGACCCTCAGCTAAACAGCAGAGCCCGGCTTCTTTTGTTTTTCCAAGATGAAGGAAATAATTTTCTTAGTGTGTGACTTCACATCTCCCCCCAGCCCCCAGTCTCACGCGTGCACGGCAGTGACGGGTGCAGTGATGCGGATCCAAAGCCTCTGTGGAGACTCGGCATCGCGCACCCACAGAGGAGCCGGCAGCTCCCCTCATTAGGAGGCTTCCGGGTTAACCCTTTACCCCCATCTGTCTAATTGCTTCTCTGTGAAAGGGGCCAGGAGACAGCCTGCGCTGGGAACCAGCCCTGAGTGACATGCGCTCCGCTTCCTCTGCGGCAGGAGCCTGCTGACATTTACGGGCGCAGCAGGCTGTGTCTCCCCAAGACGGGCATGCAGGAGAATGGTGCTGCAGTTACAAAACACACCTTTTTATTGTTTTTCTTGTTAGGTGAATTGAGAAAGATCAAATGAGCCAGAGGTGAGCTTGTAGCTGGGACCGTGCTGAGGAGAGGGTGAGTTTCAAACCCTCAGGTTCAACCAGCAGAGGTTGCCAGCTTGCTCTTTCTTTTCTTTTCTTTTTCTTTCTTTCTTTCATTCTTTCTTTCTTCTTTCCTTTCTTTCTCTCTTTCTCTGTGTCCTTCCTTCCTTCCTTCCATTCATCCATCCATCGTGTACCCATTTCCTCCCTACGTACCGTCCTGGGTGCTGGGCAGTCAGCCCACATGGCATGTAGTGTGGTGGGAAGACCATGAGGCAGCCGGCCCACGAACAAAGTCACTGTGACAGGGACAGCAGGGGAGATGAGGGAGCAGAGGGTCTGTGGGGGAGGAAGCATGCATCCCGAGGCCTCTGTGACCGGGGGAGCAGACCCAGAAAGTCGGAGCAAGAGTGCTTTGATGCGGGAACAGCACGTGTGAAGGCCTGGAGGTACAGAACCACTGGGAGCGGCGGCTGTGAGTGGGATGAGGGTGATGGGAGAAGCTGGGATCCAACCTGGTGGGCGTGGACCACAACTGCAGACCCCTGGGCATGTAAATGGCTGCCACTGCCCGGAACTTGCTCTGTGTGGAACATAGAGAATTCCCTTGAAACAACCAAAGACCCTCCTAAACGACATCAGCAGCGGTAGCAACTGAGCACCTAGCGTCCCAGGAGACTGCCCTTCTTCTTTCCCACCCTCCCCTGACCTCCCCACCTCGCCCTGGGCCACTGCTTTCCTGTCCATCTGTCCATGCGTCATCTCACACCTGCTGCCCCCACACAGCCCAGAGCACCCCCGTTTTCAGAGGTGGGAGCTGGGGTCTAGAGGGGGAGAATTAGGCCCCCAGCTGGTCACTCTAGCCGGTGCTGAAGGGGCTCCCAGCACATGTGGCACAGGGCGGAGGCCACATTCAGCTTCTGCTTTGAGATGCCCGAAATGGAACAAGACTACCTGAGACATCAAAGCCTCGGGCAACACAGGGACATGGGGTGGGGGGCTCATCTCCAACCTCCAGCCTCTTCCTTTCTCCCACTTATCCATTCAAGAATCGCCTATGAGCACTCTCACAGGCGTGGGGGACGAGCGGTGCACACCGAGGTCCTCCCCCGGGAAGCTGTCTAGTGGGGGACCATGCGTGATGAGCTGGCAGCTGGACGTGCCTGGCTAGGTAGGGGTAGTGTTATGGAGCCACTGGAGGGAGGCATCCCCTCTCCAATAGGCCAACCTGAATGAAGAGAGGTGGAAGGCTGTGTTGGTGCCTGAGGGAAGAGCATTCCCCGCAGAGGGAACAGACAGTGCAAGGCCCTGGGTCCTGAGGCATGCTTAGTGTATCTGAGGATGGGAGGAGACTGGGGGGCAGGAAGGGAGCGAGGAGGAGGCAGGGAGGGATGGGGCAGTGCCTGTGGGCTCCGGGAGCCCCAGTACGATTTCTGGATTTGATTCCAAGGCACGCGGTCACCTCCACACTTGTAGGTTGGAGAGCTGGGACTTGAACTCCAAAAGCTCCTTTTCCCTGAGGCAGTGCAGAGACTGAGTGTTGGTTTGGAATATCACAGTGTTCATGTCCATCACTTCACCAGGACTTGCTAGGAAGCCACTGTCTCCCATGAAAGATGCTGCTGGGAGGCAAACGCATATGCATATTTTGTACACAGAAAAATCTTGGGTTATTGCAAAGACCTGAGTAATGCACTCGAGCCACTTTGGAGTGAACCAGCCCAGCAGTGAGTCACCGTCACTGCAGCAGGAGCTCCCAGAGGGGAGAGGAGGCTGAGAAGGAGGGAGAGAGAGGACAGAGTCTGAGTCCAAGGTTTCTGAAGGTGGTGGCGCTGGCTCAGGTTCTTGATGAAGGAGAATCTCCTAAGGGGAGTGGGTGGGTAGGGGGACCGTGCAGGTGGGGCAACCTGGGTTCTGATGTTGCTCATCCCAGGGGACACACCCTCCAGTAGAGGCATCCCCGCCAGGCTGTGCAGCCCCCGAGTCCTCGTGGGGGTGACAGTCGGGTGGAGGAACAGCCGCACCCCCGTGGTGCCAGGACACCTGCAACAGTTTGAGAACCTTCTACCCCACGAGCCACTCACTCACGTCTCCAAACCAAGGGAGCATTTCCCAGATGATGTGGCAGCGTCTGCACGGGGCCTGCCCATCCCAACCCACCTGCGCAGTTCTGGGCTTGGCAGGAGGCGTCCCGCTGGAAACGGCGCTTTTCCGATTCTACAAACATGCAGCTGCCTCAGGAATCTGCTGAGCAGCAGGATGTGGAGGAGCTGAGGCTGCCCTGAAGCCTCTGCTTCACCCCACCTGGGGGGGACCTGCCCAGGCTCCAGGTGCACCCTATGGGCCCTGCCCAGTGAGTGATGGGACGGCGTGCACTTTCCAAAGAGATCATCCTGACTGAGCATACCCCTGTGGGGTGGCAGGGATCTCATGCAGGGCTGCAGGGCTGTGCTCAGAACCATCTAGGAGGGTGGCGGTCAGGAAGGGTGCTGCGGGAACACAGAACCTGACTGGGCACGTGTGAGGGGCCGCCGGGGGGCCGAGGGGTGAGGAGAATGTCACGAGGCCAAAATCCCTCAGGAGACCCTCAGAATGGGACACACCACAAGCGGCACGACTGTTTGGCCTGAGCAGAGCCAAGGGCAGGGCTGAGGGCTGAGGGGGGGACTCGGACGCCCTCATGCTCTGCAGATGAGAGGACCCTGCCGTGATGGGCCCCAGGACATCTCCCGGTGCAGATCCTTCTCCTGAACTCCAGACCCCAGGGTGAGGTCTCTGGGGTCTGCCCACACAGCACACCCTTGCTGCCTGAGACCCCCTCAGCTGCTCCTTCCCCTGGAGCTGCCACAGGAAGGGGTGCTACCTTCCACGTGGGAGCCGGAGCCCCTGGATACCCCAACTGGACACCCAATCCATCCCAGACCCCGCCGCCCAGCTCAGCCCGCTGCCTGCATGGCCCAGTGGTCTCCCCAGCCAGGCCCTGCCCCCAGCACCAATCTCTGCCTCACAGAGCAAGTAGATCTGGCGTTTCTGGAAGGCTCATCTGCTCCTGTCCCTCCTGCAGTCACAGGGATGCAGTCGAGTGTCTCCACTGATGGCTGCTCAGGTTGCCCTGGCTGGCTTCACCCTGGCTCCAAGCACAGGCAGGGCCTGAAACTGCCGGCCACCTCCTGCCAGTCTGTGGGCCTGGGGCTGGCAGGCGCTGGGCCTGCCTTCCTCACCGGGGTCTCTGGCACCTTCCAACCAGGTGACTTTGGCACCCAGGAAGTGCTTGAGAAAACTTAATGGGGTAAATGCACAAGTTCCATTTCCCTTAGCTTCAAAAATGGATATCCAATGAGCTATCAGGCCCCCAGACATGGAGGAGCATTAAGGACATGTTGCTAACTGAAAGACGCCCATCTGAAAGGTTGCATACCCGTAGGATTCCAACTCCATGACATTCTGAAAATGGCAAAGCCACAGAGACAGTGAAAGGACCGTGGGAGGAGGGAGGGATGAACAGGAGGGCATGGGGGACTTTCAGGCAGGGAAGCAGCACTGTGAGGTCTGCAGTGGTGGCTCCGTGTCACCATGCATTTGGTCCAAACCCACCATGCATTTGTCCAAACCCACGAATCCGCCACACCAAGACAGAGCCCTCCTGGAGCCTGGACTGTGTCCTAATAACGCGTCGGTACTGACATGTTATTTTTCCATTGTCCGTCAGTCCTAACAAATGCAACACACGAATGCAAGACGTTAACAACAGGGGAAGCTGGCAGTGGGAGAGGGGGGTGACTTCCTGCTCCATTTTCCCATAAACCTAAAACTGCTCTGAAAACCAAAGTCTATTAAGAAATGGATATTCACTATCTATCAGCTGTACCTTCTCCAAAGAAAACAAAACACTCTGTCTCCGGAATGTTAGAAATCCCATTATAAAGTAAAACAGTGAAACCTCTCTCTTGCCGTCTCATTTATGGCAGGAAATATTAAACTTGCGTCTCCCTCTGGCTTTTCTTCTTGATGCATCCAACGCTGTAATCTCACATCCTCATGGACACTGCATCTCTCTCTGATGAGAAAATACCATGGGATTCTTCCTGTCTAAGAAAAGCCAGCCAACATGGCAACAAGTGTGTGCCTTACACTCTCCGGTGTGGCCCTGTCCCCCAAAACTTGCACTCATCGTCTCCACGTCTTTGTTGAATATTTATGGTGCTATGTGCAAACCAGAGACTCTGCCAAGAGGAGACGCAGCTCCTCAAAGGACCTCAGCAAGCCTGTTTGCAGCTCCCTGCTGTGGCGAAAGAGCCTTACGTCGTGAAAGGGCTCTGAGCCTATATAAAGAGAGGAATTTCTCTAGGTTCTGGCACTAATTAACAGTTCTCTGTTCAAGAAAAAAAGTGCAGGTGTATTGGGAGATACAGAAGAGGGGGCCGCAGGGAAGGGCCACATTCTGAGGCAGGTATTTACACAAAAGTTCTTTTCCACAGTGGCCGTAGAAACTGAGCTGTGAGCGCCTCATTAGCCAGTCCTACTGGTGCCCACTGGAACGAAGCACAGTGGCTCTTGATGTGGGCGATGTCGCTAATGAAGTCCTCCCACTCACGCCAACACAGGAGTGAGCAGAGAATAATAGTGGCAAATCCAGCCACCAATGCGCCATGCACCGAGGACTCCTGGGCTTGTGAGATGCCAGGGCCTCTTGTCAAAACACGCTGCAGTCAGCGCTCGCAGAGCAACAGGGCTAATGGGCAAAGCCTTGCTTGTCATTCCCACATGGGCGAGGACGGCTGGAGACTGACATTCTTCCCGGCATTGGCCAGGACATCGGGGCACCGCTGCTGCCCTGAGTCACTGCAGGGAGGAAAGCCCTTTGTCCCTCTCTCCCAGGGCCAGCGGTGTCCTGATGGCTAGGGGTGTTCCTTGGGAACCTGGAGGGGGTGGCCTTGCTGGGACTTTTGCTCTCTCATTCAAGGCTGTGAGAGTCCATTTAACGGTGTGGAGAAGTGCGAGTTATTTTTAGAACTCTTAAAAACGTCACATTTTTATTGAATATCTGGAACTAACATTTCATGAACCAACATGAACCAGTGTTTCCTGAATCTTCACTCATACATTCATCCGTTCATTCAATACTGTCTGCTCAGACATCCTGCTGGGCACTTGGAGCACATTCTCTTACAGAACCCACACAAACCTATATGGAAGGTCATGTTCCTTCCATTTTCCCAAAGAGGAAACTGAGGTACAGGTATCCTGCCCCGTATCCCGAGGTTCCACCGCTGGGGCATGGTGGGCCAGTGCTCACCTGGGGGCATCTGGCTCACTGCCACTCCCCACCCTCACGAGCCTCATGTTGCTTGGCACTCCCCTTTCCTGCTCATTCCAGACATGGCCCTTGAGCCCTTCCTTGAAAGACAAACTCAAGCAGAGTTTTAGAGGATGGAAGGATGAGAATAAGGCACCATCTAAATAACATTGCCCTGTCAACAGTGACGTGATCTTCCACCACCCTGCTCCCTTCCACCCTATGCTTTTGCTATGAAGAGCTTCCTGGATGCAAGACACACACAGATGTCTACTCATAAACAGGTGGTTATGCTTAGATGTTAAGCACCCCCTGCAGAACACAGCAGCCCACTCACTCACAGCCTTGGAAAGCAGAGAGGCCAGGTTCTATGGCTGATGGGGTTTAGAGAGAAAAAAGGTGTGCTGAGGTCTCTGGATCCTCCTAGGGTAGGTGGCCTGCTCAGGCCCTGGCTAAATCTCACTCACTGAGGTGGCCCAAGGGGCCCTGAGCTCTTTCTTCCATAATGAAGAGGCGCAGGTGCTTCCTACACTGCTGGGAGTGAGTCACCTGCTTCTAACCTGGGCAAGGCCTCTCCTTAGCCCTAACAGCAAACAGCAATGCCATGGTGTGGTCATGGTTGGTTTGGCCCAGCTAAGTCTTGTGGAAATTGGATCCCCAGGGTTGGAGGTGGGCCTTGTGGCTGGGGGTGGTCGGGGGGAGGCATTTGGGTCATGGGGACAGATGTCTCATGAATTCCCTAGTGCCATTCTCAAGGGAGGGAGGGAGTTCTCACTCTAAGCTCCCAAGGGAACTGGTTGTTGAAATGAGCCTGGCACCTCCAACTCTCCCACCTCCTCTCTCACCACGTGATCTGCACACCTATGGTCTCCTTTGCCTTCTGCCATGAGTGGAAGCTTCCTGAGGCCCTCGCCAGAAGCAGATGCCCATGCCATACTTCCTGTGTAGCCTGCAGAACCGTGAGCCGATTAAACCTCCTTTCCTTATAAATTACCCAGCCTCAGGTTGTCCTTTAAAGTAATAAAGGTGGACTAAGGTAAAGGATAATAATAACGCATATGATATTGGCAGTGATGATGATGATGGTGGCAGTGATGGTGATGATGACAGAGATGATGATGATGGCAGCAATGGTGATAAGAGAGATAGTGATGGCACTGATGATGATGGTACCAATGGTGATGAAGGCACCGATGATGGCACCGATGGTGATGATGGCTCTGATGGTGATGATGGCTCCAGTGTTGATGATGATGACTCTGATGGTGATGATGATGGCACTGATGGTGATGGCTTCAATGGTGATGATGGCTCCGGTGGTGAAGATGATGACTCTGATGGTGATGATGGCTCCAGTGTTGATGATGATGACTCTGATGGTGATGATGGCTCTGATGGTGATGATGATGGCAACGATGGTGATGGCTCCAATGGTGATGATGATGGCAGCAATGGTGAAGATGGCAGTGATGGTGATGATAGCAGCGATGGTGATGATGGCAGCACCAATGGTGATGGCTCTGATGGTGATGATGATGGTACCTATGGTGGCGATGATGGCACTGATGGTAATAATGGCTCTGATGGTGATGATGGCAGCAATGTTGATGATGATCTCACTGATAGTGATGATGATGGCACCAATGGTGATGCCTCCGATGGTGATGATGATGGCAGTGATGGTGATGATGGCAGTGATGGTGATGATGGCAGCAATGGTGATGATGGCACCAATGGTGACGATGATGGCAGCAATGGTGATGCCTCCGATGGTGACGATGATGGCAGCAATGGTGATGATGGCAGCGATGGTGATGATGATAGCACCAATGGTGATGATGGCTCTGATGGTGATGATGGCAGTGATGGTCATGATGGTGGTGATGGGACTGATGGTGATGATGATGGCAGTGATGGTGATGATGGCAGCAATGGTGGTGATGGCATAATGATGATGATGGCAGTTCTTGCTTACTTGGCCCATACCACATGCCTGGGAATGTACCAAACTCGAGACACAGAGCACCTCACTAGGTCCCCACAATGCCCTTAGGCTGGGACTACTATCACCCCATTTTACATATGGACACACTGAGAAATAAACACCCAGCACACCCTGATTTCCGAAATGTAGTCTCTGCCTTCAAGATGTATCAGTTGAGGAGGGGGTTCCCAAGCAGAAACCACCGCAGGGCACCTCAGAGAATACCCCAGGCTTGGCTCATGGGATAACTCACTCCACCATGAGGCACCTGGCCTGTGCTGGTGCCAATGGTCACTGGCGGCTCCCAGCTGCTTTTCGGCTCCTGTTTCTTCTGTGGCATCAGCCCTGGGCCACTGGGGGTACCCAGACACACTTGTTGCTGCAGGAGTGGAGAGGGTTCACCACAGTCCCCCCCGAGACTATCCCCATGCCATGCTCTCCCCACTGCAGGGCCCTGGTCGTGGTGGCTGGGGGCTGGCTCCTGTCGTCTCTGAAAGCTCCCATCACATATCTGAACGTTGTCCATGTGACGTGGTGAGAAAGATGTTGGAGCTGATAGCTGGGACTCAGGGAAGCCAGGCCCTGGGGTGGATCCTTTCAAACACAAGACACAGGACCGGCCAGGCTATTTCTAGAGCCGCAAGCCTCCCTCATTAGTGCCTTGCACATCAGGACTGAGCTAATGAAATCACTTGCAATTAAGGCTCAGGTGGAGAGACAGCTCTCTTTGCTGTCCTGAGAGGCCACCTCCCCTCCCAGCCCTCCCCTTCCTCGCCTTCCCCTCCCTCACCTCTGGCCTCCTCCCCCCTTGTGTCTCTCTGCAGATGGGAAAGCCCACTGGAGAGGTGGAGGTAGGGGCGACTCTTGACGGGCGTCCAGGGTTGGTTTCTGCTTGCACTCCATTTCCCATAAGTGCAATTTGGGGGTGTTTCTTGTTTTCTGTATTTAAAAAGCATTCCTGTGGCAGTTTCATCCATTCAGACTGGAGGGAGTCACAATTTCCTTTTCCTCTCAAAGCTCTCAGAAACATCTGAGAGAAAGAGAGCTGAGGCCTAGGTGAGCTTCAGGAAGGCAGCTCCTGTTGATACTGGGAACAGTGCTCCCTGCTCCCAGGCAGCGCGAAGCCACAGGGGAAGAAACTCCAGGCAGAGAGACCAGACCTGGGTCCTGGCTCTGGCCCTTCCCAGCTGCAGGTGCCTATGCATGTGCGTGTGTACTGTGCAGTGTGCACTGTCTATGACCAGCTCGGGGAGGTGTGTGCGGGGCAAGGCCCTTCCTACGCTGCGGTGTGTGCAGGTGGACGGTGCCACAGATGTCCCTGAAGCAGGAGGAATGGGTGGAGGAAATGTGTACATGAGTGTCATCAACACACTGACTCCACAGAGGCTCCTCTTCACTCCTCCACCTTTTTAAATTTACTTTTTATTTTTTAGAGACAGGGTCTCACTCTGTCGCCCAGGCTGGAGTGCAATGGCACAATCATAGCTCAGTACCATCTTGAACTCCTGCATCCAAGTGACTCTCCTGCCTCAGCCTCCTATGTAGCCGGGACCACGGATACCTGCCACCATGCCCTGCTCATTTTTAATTATTTTTGTTGAGATGGGGCCATGCTATGTTGCCCAGGCTGGTCTTGAACTTCTGGGCTCAAGCGATCCTCCTGCCTCAGCTTCCCAAGGTGTTGGGATTGCATGCATGAGCCACTATGCCTGGCCCTCTCTCTTTTTTAAATTAAAAACAAATACACAAACAGAAAATATTTTACCCTCTGCCCTTGACTGCAGGTGTACAAATCAGGAGGAAAATTTAGAGGCAAGGACTACAAGACAGAATCTTCCCATCTTGACTGAGGCAAGGACTACAAGACAGAATCTTCCCATCTTGACTGCTGCCCCCAAGTGGACAGCCCTGATGGCCACAGTACAGCCCGGGGTCGGGGCGAAGGGGCAGCAGGAGACACCCTCATCTCTCCACTTCCTGCTGCCTCTTCTGTCTGGAAGGGCCTTTGTTTTGGTAGAGCCAACACTGCAGTCTCTGAGGCTGTGGTTGGGTAAATACCTCTGGGCTCCACGGGAGTGCAGGGGGCAGGGCTGAGCTTTCTCACTGAGCCCACTGTACTCAGCTCACACATTCCAGAGTTTTCTAAGTGAGGGCCTTCATGGGGAGTCTTGGCGGGACACGGGGTTCTGAACTGCGGTACCTACAACACAGGCGCTGGCTATGCTGGCTCCTGTCTGAGGCTGCCCTGCTGCTGGCACGGTAAGTGCCTGGATGCTGCCTTGAAGCAGGGGCAGGGCAGTGAGGAGCCCGCTGGGTCCACCCAACTGTGCCCTGCCTGCCCCCTGTATGGGGACCCACCCCGCCTGCCGCATGGAGCCTCCATCCTGTGCCCCCTGCATGGGGACCCACCCCCCTGCCACATGGAGCCTCCATCCTGTGCCCCCTGCATGGGGACCCACCCGCCCTGCCGCATGGAGCCTCCACCCTGTGCCCCCTGCATGGGGACCTACCCCCCTGCCACATGGAGCCTCCATCCTGTGCCCCCTGCATGGGGACCTACCCCCCTGCCACATGGAGCCTCCATCCTGTGCCCCCTGCATGGGGACCTACCCCCCTGCCACATGGAGCCTCCATCCTGTGCCCCCTGCATGGGGACCCACCCCACCTGCCGCATGGAGCCGCCAGCCGCTTGCACGTCTGGCTCATGTTCACTTCCAGGTTTCTAGGGCTGAATCCAAAGATGACCCTGAATTTTCCCAGCCCAGATCCCTCTGTAAACACACTCTGGTTGGCTGCCAACTATGTTTTCTAGAGTAAATAAGAAGTAACTCAGGAAATGCAAATAGATTTTCTCTTCTCTCTGCACCGCACAGCCCTGCCCAGGAAACCTCTCCCTGTCAGCCCTCTTGTCCCAGGTGCGTTCACTTCTCATGCATTTTTGAGCTGTTCAGGGAACCCTCGAGAAGAGCAGGTGCTTGGGGTATCTGTAAAGTGAGGATGGAAGCTCCTAGGGTCTCAGGTGCCCATCATGCCCAGTCCCTCAGCAGGGCCCAGGCCAACCCTGCCTTGAGCAAAGGGAAGCCAAGCCCGGAGGAGGCTGCAGGCCCTGGGGAGGAAAACGACAGAGCCAGAACCCACTCATTTAAACGGCAGCTGCACTGCTTGCCCCATGGCGCACGGTGCTCAGAGGGCCCCGGGAGGGGCCTGCCCGGTGCTGAGGAGCCAGGACGGGGGTCCGGAGGAGGTGCAGGGGCTCCTCACCCAGTGAGGCTGCCCTTGGGCAGGGGAGCAGCCACCACTGAGACCAAGGGTCCACTTCCCTCCAGGCTGACCAGGGCTCCATGAAGCCGTGTGAGGATATTGCTGAGGACTTCTTCGGGAAAAACAAGGACTCTGATCCTCTGGGAGTCGGGGACACATGACCAGACTCATGGTGATCGGTGATGAAGAGTGAGGTCTGCCCTTGTGCAGAAGGAAAATCACCATTCCACTTTCTAATGTCTTCTACAGCGTCCTCTTCCTCAGCCAGGGGTCAGTCCAAAGCAAGCAGGACCCAGGATGTCTGTGGTGGCCGTTCCTGATCCAAATCCTGTTTCTAAAGAGCACGAGGAAAGAATCAGCGGATACTCTCAGGTCACAACAGCATCGTCCCAGGAACGTCTTCTCTCTTCTTGGAAATTTTCAATGCACATCAGAGGGTCTGAGAAGTCCTAGAGGGGAGGTGATCACGGGACCCCCACAAAATTTCTGCTTTCCTTGGATGAAAGGCATTGTTGGAAATTCAGGGTGTATCTGTCAGTGCAGGCTGGGTTAGGAGTACCAAACTGCTCCCAGATCTTGTCACTTGAAAGAGCAGAGCGTGATGCTGGTCCATGCACATGACATGTCCACTGTGCATGCGTGGGGGGTGGGGGGGCGCCCTGCCCTGCAGAGTCCTTGGGACAGAGTGGAAGAGGCTTGTTTTTCTGCTTCCACGATGGCCAGTGCAGAGACTGGCCACAAGGGATTAGACACAGCCTGGTAAGGCCCCTCCTGGGGGGATGCACCTGGGTCCTGCTTCCATTTCATTGGCCAAGACAAGTCATGTGGTCGCCTCTAACTTCAGAGGCCTGAGGAGGTGAAATCCTTCCTCACTTCTGGAAGGATGAGTGGGCTCTGTGCCAAGGATATGTCAACATGTGTGTAGCAGTGAGTGCTGATGACGGCGGCTGGCATGACCAGCACGCTGGGCTAGAGGTCGTCTCTGTTGTTCATCAGCAGCCCTTCCACAGCATTGAGAGATAGTCCTGACTTTCCAACCATGGCTTCTTTTCTGCAATAAATACAATGTCACTTACAAAGAAAAAAAACCCCAAAGCAGGTCCTGCATCTAAAGAAGTAATTTTAATGGATACTTCCAAAATAATCTGCCATTTCTTCTTGGCCTGGGGCGTGCTTGTCTGTATGTTTCTCTGCAAAGGCTTCCTAAATCTCTGTGCAATCTCAGTTTGTTCTTTCTCTCACATTGGACGGTGAGGTGCCTGAAGGTGGAGGTTGTGAGGTTTCTGTCTTCTGTCCTTGAGCAGGAAAGAGCCCAGGGCCCCCACTCTCCAGCACACCCCATTTCTCTGAAAGGGCCAATGGAGAGTGTGGGCCATGGAGCCTCCCACAGCCAGGGAAGGGATGCCACACAGCGGGCCGGGTCCTGCAGGAATTTGTCAAGATTCCTGCCCATCCAATATCCACTCTGATGATTTAATTTGTGGCTGGGGAAAAAAGCTGGTAATGAAGTCAGTTTGGAGGTGATTGATACTTCACGAGGTCCTTGACCGATCCCCAAGCCTCACCAATGCCCCCTTCCAGAGAAGCATATCACCAGCCCTCAACAACACTGCCCCAAGGGGAAATGTGCATGGTGCATTATGCAAATGAAGCGTTTCTCCTGAGGTAATTATCCCTGTGCAATTCTGACATGAAGTCTTGATAAAGAATTGTTTTTTAAGATAGCAGTGAAAAAGCCCAGCTAAATGCATAAAAGTTATATGACATTTTACCCTTGGGTGTAAATTATAATTTGCAGAAAGGTCAATGAACCAGAAATGATTTTTTTTCTGATGATTTAGACACTGAGAAGCAGGAGGGCTGGAGGCAGAGGGAGAGCCCCTGGTGTCCATCCTCCAGGCCGGGGTGGGCTCCTCTTCTGGAGAGGACTGTCCAGCAGCCTGGCCAACCATGCCTGGCCTTAATTCCATCCATTTCTAGTGAGTTACAGCTTCTGCTGAATGCACATTAGAAGATGGTGAAAGAAAGCTCTGGGCTTTCCTTAGAGAGCAAAGCATGCTCTCAGTGAAGGGCAGCCTCTGGACTGGACCCTTCTGGCTGCTGAGAAGAGACATACTCATCCTGGAGGCATTCAATTCACCTCCCGCTTCAGGTCACTGAGTCCCACTGTGCGCTTAGCTCCTACTCTGTGCTAGAGCTACTGGAGGGTGCAAGAGTGGCAAGCTACCTCGGGAGGAGCTCAGGGCAGGGAGCCGGGGGGACACATGGTGTGGCCTTGGAGAGCTGAACCCTCGGAACGTCGGATCTGACCAAGCACAATGCCCAGAAACCACCAGGCACTCGCCTGTAGCCAACAAGTCAGGTTTAATGACTCACTGGACCAAGGGAAGCCACCAAGCTAATGGTTACTGTCTCATGTCAAAGGGAAATAACCACCTCTACCTGGCAGGGTGTTTGAGACAATTCAATGTGATGGTACAATGAGAGAACACGCCTCCCCGACCCCTACAATCCCCAGCTTTTAGAGGCAGCTGGGAGGTTTAGCTGAATAGGGAGGAGCCTGTGTGTATCCACGGATCAGAAAATCACGCTGGAGAGAAAAGCATGCAAGCAAATACACAGAACACAGACACAAGACGATGGCTTAGGAATGGCACTCTGCACCCCTGCATGCTGCACCCCTGCACTGTACACCCCTACTCTGTACCCCTGTACTCTGCACCCCTGCACCCCTACACTCTGCACCCCATACCCCTCCACTCTGTACCCCTCCACTCTGCATCCCTGCACCCCTACACCCCTGCATTCTCCACCCCTTCACCCCTCCACTCTGCACCCCTACATCTTGCATCCCTGCACCCCTACACACTTACACTTCGCACCCCTGCACCCCTACACTCTGCACCCCTGCACGTGTCCCCTGCATCACTCTCAAGTTGCTGCCCTGCTTCCTGGTGAGTCAAGACCAAGCTGTGGAATCCGGAGCAGGATGGGGGGCCAGGAGGTGCGGCCCATAGAGCACAGAACTAAACCTGGCTGCTGCATCCTTGAGAGATGGGGAGACTTCAGCTCCTCTCACCACCAACGTTCGCCCAAAACATGAGTCAACTTACGTGAACATGCCCTCCACCCGAAGGCAGGAGGGCCCTGCAGACACACGGGCGATGCTGCCAAACAGCAGGCGGCACTCCCCAACCCCCACCGCCGACTGCCCTCCACTACCGCCTCCTTCTCCGTTACTGAGACATGGGAGGAACTTGCAAGAAGGAAGACGCCCGCTCACCCATGAGCATGGTGCAAAGTGGTAACTGCGGTGCTTAAACTCTGGGAGGGAGCACACCGCAATGTCTTATCACCTTTTCTGCTGTTCACAAAAGCAAGGTGCTTCCCCACCAGCCGCGCCTTCATCTCAACAGTCAGGGCTGCAAGGTTTATCTTAATTTAAAAAACAATTACAAGCGAAACAGAAACTGCCAGGAATTATCCACTCTTCAGAAGGAAAGAACAAAAGGAAGTGACGAGAGACAGGGCCCCATCTTGTCGTATGATATTAACACGGCTGCTCGGAAACACCTCGAGAGAGACACCAGCTTTCCCCACGCTCTTCCTTTGGTTTCTCTTCTGGGGGGACATTGGATCGCACAGCTTTGCAGGTGAGCACAGCCTAAACATAGCTCCATGCGTTTTGCATCCATAACTCTAAAGGCTTTTGTGATTTAAAGCGGCAATTATACAGAGGAACGAGATAAAGACTCCCGAGAAATTATCTCTCTTTGGGTTGGGAGGGGAAGAAAAGCCAGCGAAGGTTAATGTAGTTAGTGAAATATTTCCACAGTTATTTCACGCAAGCATTTTGCAATATTGCTAATGTTTTTGCACATTACATGCTCTTCCAGGGGAAAAACAGCTTGTGTTTTTGAAAGCAAGGAATAAAAACCTCACAGGCCTCCGTGGCTGACTCGTACCTTGGAAGATTCTGCAATGAGGCCACACGGCACAGAAATGTTCTTTTACATCCAGACACTAAACAGTGGCTTGCATCCTTCTCTGTATTAGCAATGAACAAAAACTACCAAGACTTAAAAAAAAAAATCTCTGATTAGAACCCATGGATGCTGACAATTATGTGTGGCTTTCAGATGCAAAGCCATTTGGCTGCAGGTGACATGAAGAGGCTGGGATACGATTTTGATCATTTGCTTTCGCCAGCACTTCCTATTAGCACGAGTGTGGCCAGGGAGGGTCCTTCTCTCATCACACTTAGAGCCACTCGTGATGCTGAGTGTGCTCTTTCATCTGGTGCAGGGCAGGGGGCAGGGCGAGGAGAGAAGACCCCTGCTTCACCCACTAACCAACACCCTGGGCTGGAAGAGCTCCAACAAGCAGCAGACAGAGAGTTCCATCCCCAGCCTGACAGCAGGAACAGTGAAGTCCAAGATAGAGCCAGCTGTCGCTGGGAGCCCGGGATGGTGGGTGCAGCCTCCTCCGCAGCTGGTGAGAGTGTGTGTGTGCAGGGGTGTAGGGTGGCCTGTTAGCCTAGTGTCTCCTGCACTCAAATGCCCTGTTTCAGTTGAGTAAGCTAATTCACACAGTGTCATGCAGGCTCCTCTGGCTTCGGTTCAAGTTAATGTCCCATTGAAAGGCTTCTGTTCACCTTAGGACACCCAGTCGGGTAGCCCCTGCAGCGCTCTGCCCTGTGAGCCTGTGCAGGTGGTGCTTGGCTGTGATCGAGGTTGGCCTGTTCCAGGAAGGGAAGCACGGCCTGGGATATGGGACGGCACTGTCCTGGCACTGCCTCTAACCAGCGTCAGCCTTAGCAGGCACCTGCCTCCTTCTGTGTTGGGTGTGTCCAGAGCCAGAGAGGAGCATTCCTTTTCATCACACCTGAATTATCTCCTTCAACACCCAGAGGGACCAGGCTCCCACCCTTGGCATGATCCAGGAAGAACAGTGACTCGAGTGTGGCTTGGCAGCGCCTTACAGGAGAGGCAGGGATGCCGAGAAGGGCAGGTTTGGGCTTCCCCCGGAGGCAGAGTGGGGTCTGGAAGGCAGGGCCCCTTGGACAGCATATACCCTTCACCCTGCCCTGGGGAAGGCAGCAGGACCCAGCGGCTCAGTCTTCCGGGTGGGTCCTAACCAGCCCCACCCCCACAGTGTGGGTGCTCCCTTGCCTTCTCTGGGACCAGGTCAGCGTGGCTACAGTAAAGGGCCGCATCCCTTCACAGGGGACGCTACCCACAGAGGCCAGCATTGGTAGGGTGCTGAGGATGTGATGTGTGAGGTTGTAGGGGACATCAGGGCCTTCTGTGGCACAGGCAGGACTTGACCTCAGGCGGTGGGCTCCTCGGCCTCCCTCACAGTGCCAGAGCCCACTCTCCTGTCTCCATGTCAGTCCCTTCCACTAAACTAGCCCAACACCTGGTTCACGGCTACCTGAGCACACTGGGGGCTGGGGGCGGGGGGCAGGGCGGTGATGCACACTTATTAAAACCAAGTATCAGACATGGTGGCTCACGCCTGTCATCCCAGCACGTTGGGAGGCCGAGGCCGGCAGATCACCTTAAGGTCAGGAGTTCGAGACCAGCCTGACCAACATGGTGAAAACCTGCCTCTATGAAAAATTCAAAATTATCCAGGTGTGGTGGTGTGCGCCTGTAATCCCAGCTACTCAGGGGGCTGAGGCAGGAGAATCACTTGAACCCAGGATGCAGAGGTTGCAGTGAACCAAGATCGCACCACTGCACTCCAGCTTCGGTGACAGGGCGAGACTCCATCTCAAAAAAACAAACAAACAAACAAAAAAACAACGACAAAAAACCAAAAACCAAAAACCAAAAAAACCCCACGAAATATCTGTGGGGGGAAACTGTGCTTCCAGCTGCCCAAGTGATGGGCGCCACTGCAAAGAGTCCCCGTGCTCAGAGAGCAGCAGCGTCTGTGGCTGGTCCTGCCCAGTACTGGGCCACTCTCTGTCCTGTCCACCCTGTGTTGTCACTAGCTCCCGGTGGCATGGTGCTCATGGCCCTGTGGCTGTCCTGGGCTGCTCCCGCTCCCCTGCCTTTGTCCTGTGACAGCAGCAGCAGTGGGGACAAGTCAAGGGGGACTTGGTGCATGTTGAGTGCTTTACTCATCTCTGCCAAGCAGGAGGAGCTGCTCCTGCCACCCTGCCCTGACGCCCTGCCCTGCTCATGGCCCAGCATGCTGAGGAGCAGGGATGGGAAGAAGCTGCTGGCACTGGCAGCCAGTGGGCCATGACGAGGGTGCAGAGGGTTTCCTCTACCTGGTGAATGCCTGCCCAAGAACCACATTCCACAGCCTCAAGGTCAGTTATACATCAAGGACCTTGGATTTTATTTATTATTTATTTATTTTTTTGAGATAGAGGCTCACTCTGTTGCCCAGGCTCGAGTACAGTGGTGGGATCTCAGCTCCCTGCAACCTCTGCCTCCCAGGTTTGAGCAATTCTCCTGCTTCAGCCTCCTTAGTAGCTGGGATTACAGGCACCCACCAAACACCTAGCTAATTTTTGTATTTTTAGTAGAGATGGGGTTTCACCATGTTGGCCAGGCTGGTCTCAAACTCCTGACTTCAGATGATCCTCCTGCCTCGGCCTCCCAAAGTGCTGGGATTACAGGTGTGAACACCACACTTGATCCAACCTCAGCTATTAGATGAAGCGAAGGGCTTTGGTGAGTCTTTCTTTGCGGGACACAAGCCTGCACTATTCTGTAGACAAGCCCATGGGGATTACCTTAGTGGGTGCCTGTGGACAGGTGAAAAGCAGCACTCAGACCTCCAGTGAGGATGGGACACTTCCTCCTGCTGGGTCCTGCCCCCAAAGCCCCAGCTCAGGGCAAGAGGCAGCTCATAGGTGATGAGCGTCCACCCCTTTACAGCTCCAGCCAAGAGGAGGCTCACAGGCGAGGAGCGTCCACCCCTTTACAGGTCCAGCCAAGAGGCAGCTCATGGGTGAGGAGTGTCCACCCCTTTACAGGTCCAGCCAAGGGGAGGCTCACAGGGAAGGAGCATCTGTCCCTTTATAGCTCCAGCCAAGGGGCGGCTCACAGGTGAGGAGCATCTGCCCCTTTATAGCTCCAGCCAAGGGGCGGCTCACAGGTGAGGAGCATCTACCCCTTTACAGCTCCAGCCAAGGGGTGGCTCACAGGTGAGGAGCATCTGCCCCTTTACAGCTCCAGCCGAGCACAGTGACAGCAAAAGAAGCCACCTCCAGAGCCCCAGCTGGCACTGGGGCTGCTGCTGCCTGGAGCCACGGTGAAGTGTGGCCAGGCATGTCTGGCCGAAGAAAGCCCAGAGGGGGCTGTGGAACTTTGTCAGGCAAAGTGGCATCAGGTGGGGTCTCTGAGGGGGCCACCCAATCGCAGGGGCTCTCCAATCCTGCTGAGAGCATGTTAGAAATGCTGGCTCCTGCTATGGCCCTCAGGCCTGGCCCAGTGCATGGGACCTGGGCCGGCAAGCTGCATGTTAGATGAGCATTGCTGTGACTTCCAAGAGGCTGCTGACCTCCTTGCTCTGAGACCTGAGTCACATCCCAGGGCTTTCAGTCTCAGGGGTCCCCAGACTCCGGCAAAGCTGGGTGGTCTCAGACCAGAGGGAGCCACCTATGTCTGTCCCTAGAGGCAAATTTAAAAGGTGCTGTGGTTTGAATGTGTTTGAGTTGGAAACTTAATCCTTCTACCCACATGAATGGATTAATCAGGGCTCTGCCCTCGTGAATGGATTAATGTTGTTATCTTGGGAGTGGGCTTGTTATGGAAGGAGTGGCTTTGTTGTAAGAGTCAGCTCTCTGGTCACCATGTGATGCCTTCCCTCATGGTATGAGGAAGCAGGAGGGCCCACACCAGGTGCCAAAGCCATGGCCTTAGACTTCCCAGCCTCCAGAACTGTCACTCAAATACACTTTTCTCCATAAATTACCTTGTCTGAGAAAATATTTGCAAACTCTGCATCCAACAAAGGACTCATATGCAGAATTTACAAAGAACTCAAATCAGCAAGAAAAAAAGGAACAATCCCATCAAAAGTGAGCCAATGACATGAATAGACACTTCTCAGAAGAAGATATACAAATGACCAACACATATAGGAAAGAATGCTCAGCATCACTAATCATCAGGGAAATGCAAAGGAAAACCACAGAGATATTACCTTTCCCTAGACAGAATGGCCATTATCAAAACGTCAAAAAACAATAGATGTTGGCGTGGATGTGGTGAAAGCAAATGCTCACACATTGCTGATGGGAATGTAAATTAATACAACCTCTATGGAAAACAGCATGGAGATTTCTTAAAGAACTAAAAAGAAGATTTACCATTTGATCCAGCAGTCCCTCTACTGGGTATCTACCCAATGGAAAAGACGTCACCGCATCAAAAAGACAACTGCACTTGTATGTTTATCACAGCACAATTCACAATTGCAAAGACATGTTACCAACCCAAGTGCCCATCAGCCAATGAGTAAATAAGGAAAATGTAGCATATATATGTGTCATGAAATACTACTCAGCCATAAAAAGAATGAAACAATATCTTGTGTGGCAACTTGGATGGAACTAGAGGCCATTATTCTAAGTGAAGTAACTCAGGAATGGAAAACCAAATATTCCATGTCCTCACTTGTAAGTGGGAGCTGAGCTAGGGAGCACAAAGTCATGGAGAGTGGTATAATGGACACTGAAGACCCAGAAGAGGGGAGTGTGGGAGGGTAGCGAGAGATTAAAAACTACCTATTGGGTACAATGTCCACTACATGACAATCTCAGACTTCACCGCTGTACAATTCATCCATGTCACCAAAAACACTTGTATCCCTAAGGCTACTGGAATAAAAATATATAAGAAAAGGTAAATAAAACAAAAAATAAAATATCATGAATACCCAGTCCCAGGTGTTCTGTTAAAGAATAGACAATGGTTCTCGGCGTGGTGGCTCACGCCTGTAATCCCAGCACTTTGGGAAGCTGAGGCGGGCGGATCATGAGGTCAGGAGATGGAGACCATCCTGGCTAACACAGTGAAACCCCGTCTCTACTAAAAATACAAAAAATTAGCCAGGCGTGGTGGCGGATGCCTGTAGTTCCAGCTACTTGGGAGGCTGAGGCAGGAGAATGGCGTGAACCTGGGAGGCAGAGCTTGTAGTGAGCCAAGATCACGCCACTGCACTCCAGCCTGGGCGACAGAGTGAGACTCCATCTCAAATAAAATAAAATAAAATAAAATAAAATAAAATAAAATAAAAAAAGAATAGACAATGGACTAAGACAGGTTTCCAGTGATGTTTCCCATTCAGATAGAGGCTGATGTGCTGAGTCCCGCTGGGGTGAACACACATCTGATCAGCCCACTGCACGGGGAAAGCTGAGCATGGGGGTCCCATGCCCACACCCGCCTTGTTGATGAGAAGGTGTCACTGGTAAAGCCACAGATGGGCTTCTAGTAGTCTCAGTAACCACGTAGGGGCTGCTTTCTAACTTTCCATTTTGAGGTATCACGAAAGGCAGGTGTGGTGCTGCGGCCCATGGGGAGCCCCCTCCCTCGCTGCTCACATGGGGAAACGGAGGCTCATATGATACAGCAGGGCAGTGGGGGGCAGCCCTTGCCCCAGGGCCTCACTCAGCGCTGGCGTGGGAGCACAGACTGTCCTTTTCTGGGGGAGTCTTTGGCCCCTCACACCTGCACATCCACCGTTAACTGTGCTGCTACATAAGCAGAGGAGACGGCTCTCCGTCCTGGGGAGCTCAGCATCCCAGAGACCCTTGCAGACAAGCATGATGAATTCCAAGATTTCCCCACGAACACGTGTCCAAAGTGCCTTTAAACAAAGCTAAGAAACAAAGTTCCACGCTTAGAGTACACAGGACCCATTTCTGTGCATCTTTGAAAGGTGGGCTGCTTGCACGGGACCCCCATGGCTTAGCTCACTCCTTGCAGGAGGTCTGGGGGGGAGTGGAGACACCCCATGCACCTTGAAGCTCAGCATTGCAAAGTGCATCTCCAAAGGGTACAGGATGTGCACCTTGAACCTGGAGGACATGCAGGGGTCAGGACACAGATGCAGTCCATTTTGTGAGGATGTGCAGATACATTTCAAAAGCATCTTTACTTATTTTTGCATATTTTGCACATCTGCCCAGAGAGAGGAGGGATAAGGCTCTTCTGAAATGTCAAGATGGGAAGATGGGGCCAGAACTGGCCACATGAGTGAACGACAGTGGACACTTGACCTGCTTTCTAGAGCTGTGGCTCTTCTGCTCTGAACTGCCAAGTCACGAGTCTCAGGGCCATCCCCAGTGTCCTGGCAAAGTTTCTACTGCTTGTCTCTATTAGCACATTAACATTTCACAAACTGACTTCCTGCCTGTCAACGAGGAGTTCCCACCACCCTCGGCGAGTCAGAGCTTTCACTCTCCTGGGCTGCCCAGGGGACCGCATGGGCCCAGGGCATGGGGCCAGCTCTGAACCAGGGCCCAGCATGAGGCTGGGCATGGGGAGCCTTCCGTGATGGGGGCTGCCCCTCTGAATTCCCAGCCAGCTCGCCACGGCTCCTGCTGCCTTCTGGGCACTCATACCCTGACTTTGGTCTGTCCCTTGGAGTGGGTGCCCCTATAGGGCCAGGGATGTGCCTGTAGGATTGGTTTTTTGCACCACAGTTATTTGATCCAGGCTTTAAGCTGGAGAGAAGGGGAGGAGGAAGAAAGGAGGGGAGGAGAGGTTGGGGAGGGAAGAAGAGGAGGAGCTGGGCAGGGCTGGCACCTTCCCATGCACCTTCCGCCCTGCTTCCTAGGACTCCCATCCTGCCCTTCTCCCCTCTAGGGCAGTGGCTAAGTGTCCTCTCTGGATCAACACTGTTGGCCCTGCCAGAGCTGGTGTGACCTTCCAAACACCCTGTCCCTGACTGCCATCTCTCTCATCAGCTGGTTCTCCTCCCACCTTGGCCAGGCAGCCCACCACAGAGCCCCACTGCCTCCAGGGCTCATGGCTGACCCTTCCTTCCCATCCACCTGGAGGCCCCAAGGCCCACAGGACTCCACCACACGGATCAAGTCCAAAGTCTGGACACAGCTTACTTGGCTTGGTGGAGACGGCCCCTTGGACCACTCAGCCTCACCAGCCTCTCCTGGCTTCTCAGTTCCATCATCCACGTGGAAGACCCTCCGTCCCTGCACCACCATGTCTGGCTGACCCAGTCTCCCTCCAAGCCTCTCTCCAGCCTCCCTCTCTCCTGGCCAAGGCTGCTCAACCCCCTGGGGACCCCTCCTGCACAGAGTGGGGCAGTGTCTGTCACAGGCTCCCAGCAACTCACCTCAGTGCACAGCTATCTGTCATGCTGATGACACCCCAGGACACTTGCACTGACTGTCCCCAGATGTCTCCATGGCTGGCCCCCTCCTCCCTGCAGCTGGAATACCACTTCCTCAGAGACACCTTCCTCCACCACCCGTCCTCACCCTCCACCCTATATCTTGTATGTTTCAGCCCCGCACACGGTGCTACCCAAGCCAGTAGGTGATGGTTCACTTCCCCCAGGGCAGGCAGAATAACGGCCCTCCCCAGATGTCCAAATCCTAATCCCAGACCTGTGACTATGCCACCTTACATTGCAAAGGAGACTTGCAGGTGTGTTTAAGTCAAGGATCTTGAGACAGGAGATTATCCCAGATGATCTGGGTGGGCTCTGTGTCCTCACAGCGTCCTTATGAGGGAGGAAGGAAGGTCAGAGGGAGATGGGAGAGGCTGTGCTGCTAGCTTTGAGGGTAGAAGGCAGAGTCGGAACACAGGTGGCCTCCAGGATTGGGAAAGGCAGGATTCTGCCCTGGAGTCTCCAGAAGGAGCCAGGCCTGCCAACTACTTGGCTAGCCTGCAAGCCTTCTGTATTAGTCCATTCTCACATCGCTATATGGAAATATCTGAGACTGGGTGATTTGTAAAGGGAAGAGGTTTAATTGACTCACAGTTCAGCATGGCTGGGGAGGCCTCAGAAAACTTACAATCATGGCGGAAGGCGAAGGGGAAGCAAACACATCCTCCTTCACAAGAAGGCAGGAAGGAGAAGTGCTGGGTGAAGGGGGAAGAACCCCTTATAAAACCAGCAGGTTTCATGAGAACGCACTCAATATCATGGTTGAGAACTCATTCACTATCGCTGGAATAGTAGTGGGGGAACTGCCCCTATGATCCAATTACCTCCACCTGGTCTCTCTCTGGACACGTGGAGATTAGAGGGATTATAATTCAAGATGAGATTTTGGGTGGGGTCACAGCCAAACCATATCAGCTTCTGACCTTGAGAACTGTAAGGTCGTATGCCTATGATGTTCAGGCCACTGAGCTCATGGCGATTTGTTAGAGCAGTGACAGGAATCTGGTGCACTCTCCCCGGCAGGCGCGCTTCATGAGGGCAGGGACCCCCTTTCAGGACTGCATGGTCTCTCGGCACTTCGAGCAGGGCTGAGCATGTAGGGCCTCAGAAAGTGTTTGTTGAGTGAATAAGTGAGCATCTGGTCTCTTTAGCCTGGAACAGCATCAGCTCACCTTGTCTCTGCAGCACTGAGAATGTCAGGATGAACGTGGCTCTGCCTGCACCCTGCTCCACATGGGCCCTTGCCCCTTCCTCACCAGGGCCCTCCAGCTCTTCTGGAGGCCATCACCTTTGCAGCCCCAGGGCCCCAGAGGCAGGGGCTGTGGAGTTCCCTGGATGAAATCCCTTTTCATCAACGCACATTGCTTTAATTATCAATGGTGATGCAGCTGGTGGACTGAAGTGGGAACGTGCATCTGAAGCTCCCCAGGAGGGGGGCTCTGCCGCAGGAGCGAGGACTCAGGGCCTGCACACAGATAGAGGCTGGGAGGCTTGGCAGCTTGGGAGTTCCTGTACCGCCTTCATCCATAGACACTCAAGCACTCAATGCCTTCACATTGGGGCCCAGAGAACCAATCGGCAGCCACTTAGCCAGGACACCAGGCTCAGAGAGGTGAGCTGACTTCTTTGAGGACACACAGGCAGCTGCCAGCAGAGGGACTTCTGGCCACCAGTTTTTCTGGAAAGTTCTCTGACTTGGTTATCATTAGTCTGGGCTGGGAAAAAACACCGAGTTGAGGCTAGTGGGGGTGATAGTGCCTAGGGCTATGCAGACCCGCCCGGCAGGGCTTTGAGGTTCTCGGTTCATTCTGGATCCATTTATTGAGGATTCTGCATTCCCCAGGCCCACCCTGGCCGCCCACGGACAGGGGAAGAACATCCCACTCAGTTACTGTTTCAAAGTTTTAAACTCGCTGTTGGTGGCAAACTTTTCCCTACAACACACAGATGGTCTTGCCCGATCCCGCTAATGAAAAAAACTCTCACACGGCTACAAAAACAGACGTGATCATCTGTTTTCCAACATTCTGAAAAACATCTACAGAGGTGTAAGGTGCTACACAAATGAGAATAATTAGCTTGTGCCATCTGTGGGAAAACAAGAAGAAAGAACCTCTACCTCCCGCTCCATCCTGCTATTTTGGGCTTCGTGAGGACCAGGGGACGTGGCAAGTGT
This sequence comes from Homo sapiens, assembly GCF_000001405.40. Classification (NCBI taxonomy): domain Eukaryota; kingdom Metazoa; phylum Chordata; class Mammalia; order Primates; family Hominidae; genus Homo; species Homo sapiens. The sequence goes on along the minus strand of NC_000020.11, from coordinate 61,709,724 downwards.
GTAGAGTGGAGCATCACCAATATTGCTTCCATTTATGGGTGCCATTTGCCCTCCTTTACTCTGGAAACCATGCTACCTTCTCTGCCATGCACCTCTGCTCACTCTGTGATTAGCCAGCGATAAAAAAAAAAAAATTGTCATTCAAAAATTGCCAGGCACAGTGGCTCATGCCTGTAATCCCAGCATTTTGGGAGGCTAAGGCAGTCGGATGACTTGAGGCCAGGGGTTCGAGACCAGCCTGGCCAACATGGTGAAACCCCGTCCCTCCTAAAAATAGAAAAAAATAGCCGGGCATGGTGGCACCCGCCTGTAATCCCAACTACTTGGGTGGCTGAGGCAGGAGAATTGCTTGAACCCAGGAGGCGGAGGTTGCAGTGAGCCAAGATCACCCCACTGCACTACAGCCTGGGCAACAGAGCAAGACGCTCTCAGAAAATAAATAAATAAATAAGTCTGACTTTTGCTGACAGCTGTCTTGATTAAATTTGTGGACAGCAAAACCCCTGACAGTGGCCCAGCCTGGCCCCAGTTTCCTGCATTTGCTTGCACTCCCCTGGAGAGAGGGGCAGGTGCGTTGTGGGCTCATCATTTGGGCGGCCGCTACGCCACTGGGACCCGAGGCTTTGGGGTGATGTGAACTCAGCCAGTGTCCTCCACACTCCCATCATGAGCCAGGCCTGAGCTGGGCCGCAGCCCCACTGCCCGTGTAGCCTGAGGTCCTTCGGGGAAGGCAGGGCTGAGCAGGTCTGCTGCCCGTCCGTCTGGCTGAAGGAACAGCCTTTTGTTTTCTAATGTCCAATCTCTGTCACAAGCTGATACTTTGTAAAATACGATAGAACTAAATTACCAGGAAAAGATTGCACGCGGGGTGTTCTGCACGTCTGCCAATGCCCACTATTGATTTCTGTGCTCATCTCTAACAAACAGCCTGCAGAGGAGATGCCCGTCCATGATGCACACTCAGAGAAGGGGCCTCCGCAGAGGCAGCGCCGCCTCATGTGAGGCTGGGGAGGATGGGGCCTCCCCGGAGAAGGCAGCATTTCTCTGAGCCCCAAGGATGGGAAGGGGTGGGGTGCAAACGTCTGGGAGGGGCTCCAGGCACAGGAGGGTGGAGAGGGTCTACAAGGGGCATGAGGCTGGAGGGAGCAGGGCTGGGGAAGTGGGGGGCAAAGAGCCTGCAGCCACCGGCTACGAGTCAGGGCTGTGTGGCCGGGTGTCAAACTGGGAGCCCGGGGCCTGGATTGGGTTTCTCCATAGCCCCCTGACTGTGGCAGGAGGTGGATGCTGCAGTCGCCCTGGCTGGGAAGCCTGTGTCTGTGACCCAGACTGAGGCAGCCAACGTGGAGAGTGGAGGGTGGTGCCCCAACCCAGTTAGGAGGCAGAGGGGACCAAGCTGCTGGGGGTAGGCGGGGGGCGGGGAGTCTGAGTCAGCGGGGTGCTTGGTACATCTGGTTCGGGGTAAAAGTCAACCCCCTGCTGGCCACGCTACACTCAGCCCTGTGTGTGTGTGCAGGTCCAGGCACTTGCGGGCAGCACCAGCCCTTCTTCCTAGGTTTTCCTCCCGGGCTGTTGCCTGAAACCACTGCTGTGCTGGGTGATGGCTATGCCCAGGGAGACGCGCCACAGCCCGGGACCCCCAGCAGAGCCCAGGTCCTGGGTCCAGGGCACAGCCAGCTGGGCTGCCTCCTCTCCTCAGCACTGGTGGATGCAAACTCCACTGTCTCTCCCTCCAAAGCCTGGTGGCCGCCTTCCTAAGCCAGATTTCACACCATGACCCTCCCTGTCATCCGCAGGCATAACGTGGAAACAAACACACCAGACACATTCCCGAGCTGAGATCAGGACACAGGAAGAGCCTCCTGGCAGGTCCTCCGCCTCCTGTCAGATTAGCAAGGACACCAGAGTCTCACGATCATGAACCCTGTTGTGAACTGCACGTGCACGGGATCTAGGCTGCGCGTTCCTCATGAGACTCTAACACCTGATGATCCGAGGTGGGACAGTTTTATCTCAAAACCGTCCCCCCTACTCATGGTCCATGGAAAAATTGTCTTCATTATCTTCCACAAACGTGGTCCCTGGTGCCAAAAAGTTTGGGGACCACGGTTGTGAAGGATTTGTTTTTATTGATCTTTGCATCCTTTCCCCTTTTTTATGGGGTAACATTTTCACTATGCACCAGGGCAGGATGCTGTGAGCTCTAGGCAGGTAAGGATTACACGGCACTCACACGTGTCCACATCCCGCGTTCACCCAGCACCCCAGGGTGCCAGGGAGGACATAGCCAGTGGGGCTGCCTGGTGGGCTGAAGGCCTTGGTTTAAGATGTCCTTTCCCTGTATAACAGGCCCAGGTTTCCTTTACTGTCCAAGCCGCGCAAAGCACACACTGCAGGCAGCAACTGACGAAGGCAGAGTTGGGCCTTTCCTTGTCCCATAAATGTGGACAGAGGGCCTCCATGCATAGGACCATGCCAGGCTCCTGGGCACCAGGTGGGAAGACAAAGCGGGTGCTGTCCTCAGGGAGCTCAGGACCACTGGCTCAGCAGCAGGGCTGGCATCCCCGCCATGCGCTCATGGGGACCCCGGCACTCTGTCCAGACATGGATGACAGCTCATGCCTGTGTAAGGGACTGGCCTCAGCTTCCTGTTTTATCCCAGGGAAGATGGAGAGAGAGTACCGCCACGGAAGCTTCCAGAACAGTGTTGCCTTTGAGATTGCTTGCAGGCAGACCCACCTGAAAGCCCAGCTGAAGGCAATCAGAATCCAGGAGCTTCTAAAGACCAGGGCCCCCACCACGTGCCACAGACGCCTCTCTTCAGCCCTCTGCGGGGATTGCATCTCAGCTGGTCTGGGCATCACAGAGGGTCATGCGGCTAATGTGGAGGTCGGATGCTGACGGTCACATGACTCATTCCGGTTGGAACCTCACCATGAACGTCCTGCCCGAGCCAGTTCCGGTGAGATTCCCAACCACTGTTCCCACTGGCCTGCAGCGGGCTCGGGAGAATTCAGCCAAGGTGGTTTCTACACATCGGGGATCAGGGAGTCGGTGCCACTGTGTGCAGCTCGGGAGAAACCGATCCCTTTGGTCTTGGTTCGCCTCTCTTCCAGCAGATCCCACAGGCCCTGTCCTCAGCTCAGCAAACTCCAACTTCCATTTGGGCTGGCCTTTCCATCCGTTCTTCCTCCCCGGAGTCTTCGTCGTAGCTAAACTTTCTCCGTTCCTGAACAGCTGCCTTTGGCTACAGCCTTTTCTCTCATCATGTTTGTTAAGACCGTGCCCCACATGTTATTGTTGAGAGAAGGGGGTCTGCGGCAAATGAGGCCGGCTGCAGTTTTCTGTCAGTTGTCGGTGCCTCGGGTGGTGGTTGGAGTCCTGGGTGGGGTATCCGGTCTCTCATCCCCCCCGGCCCTCTGAAGCCCCCTTTAGTAAACACACAGCCCCAAAGCCTGCTGTGCCCAAGTCGCTTAGGGGAAAGCTGCCCAGACCCTCTGAGACAGGGTCCTGGGCCTCACGGGAAAGCTGGGAGCAACGCAGCTGGAAAAGTTTTACAGAGAACAGTTGCCGAGCAGGCGCCGGGCAGGCGTCGGGCCGGCTGTTCCTCAGCCAGCCTCACCCAGTTTCATGGGCTAAAGCCACTGGGCACAATGGGGTGGGACGGCTTGCTCTCTGTCTGGAAGGGAAGAACAGGGCTTTCAGATCCCAAGTCCAGTCCAAGCCAGCACCCGTGGGGGAGAAATCCACAGGCGCCTTTAAGAGAAGGAAGCGGCGTGGAATTTACAAGGGGCTCCGAGCTCAGCACATCACATCTGGGAAATCTTGACACAACTGGGGTATTTGATTTGTCTGCTAGTGATGTAATTTTTCACTGTTGACACAAATGTGTGCAGAAGAGCCCGGCCAGCCCCTTGCAAATGGAGCCTGTCGGCGATTCTGCAGGCATCCACCACATTTAAAACATCACTGGGCTCACACTCAAAGCTGTCGTGAGAGGAAGCCAGCTGCCAGCTTCCAGGGATATGCAGCTTGGGTGAGGGGGCCTCCAGGCCAAGCTGCAATGAGTCCCCCTTTTCTACACGCTCCCACCCAGAACTACAAGGGCCAGAGGAAGTCCCATGAGGGTGGCTCTCCTGACAGAGCGTCCTTGGAAGTGGCAGGAACGGACCAGCTGCTGCTTGCATGAATGGCCATGGGCCGAGGACTCTGAGATTGAAAGACACTGTGAAGATGGCCACTGGGGCACCTACGGCTCTCCCACACTGAGGGGTTAGACCCAGTGAGCAATATTTGAGCACATAAACCAAACGCAGAAGCCAGAGATGAAGGGCTGAACGTGCTCCCTCTGCGGTGTGGAACCCCCGGGGTCTGGTCCCCCAGATCGGCTGTTGTACACCATCTCCCCCGCCAGGTGGAAGGGGCCTGGCCGGGACAGGCAGCAGGGTGACATTCTGTTCATTTCATGGGATTCGTAAAACAGCCCCACCTGGGGTCTTGAGTTAGCTCAGGTGCGGATGCCTCCACCAAGGTGAGAACAAATATTCCCTGAAGTTTGTGAGTGAGTGGGGTTTGCAGGAAGTCTGCTAGGTCTAGGCACAAGGCCCCTGTGTCCTAAAGAGGGACATGCCAACGAGACAAAGCGGATGGGAAGCAGCAGCTGGCTGGGTGCAGAAGGACTGTGTGCTCAGGGGACCTTTGAGCCCCAACGCGTTCCTGGGTCCAGCTGGCCATTAGCTCACACCCGGGTCCTTTGGTTGGACTATTAGAGAATTCACAAAATGACAGCCCATACTCTATATCCCTGGTTCTGGAATCTGGGTGCATTTGGCCCTAGGAGACACTTGGCAGTATCTGGAGACATTCCTGTAGTCACAGCTGGGGGTGGTGCTACTGGCATCTCCTGAGTGGATGCCAGAGATGCTGCTAAATGCCTGTGGTGCCCAGAGCGGCGCCACCCCATTTAATGCCCATGATGATGACCATGCCAAGACTCAGACATCCCGGCTGACACCGTAGAGATTAGATATTGGCAAATTCCATATTTTAAAAAAGCCCAGATGTTTGGCTTATCTTGAAAACTCAAAAGCTCTGTGGACACCAGGGGTGAGAGTGACTCTACCCACTGAGACGACACCCCAACTCCTACTGCACGCTGTGGCCACCGGATCCCACCACCCCTGCCAAGCAACCTGGCTCTGGGGGCTTCAGGGCCAGCCGCTCTCCTCTCTCAGAAGGCGGCGCCAGCCAGGCCTCCAGAAAACTTGACTTGGGCTGAAAGGTGGCACAGCACCCAGAGCAGGTTCCAGCTTTAACGAGAGCGCCCCACAAGGCTGCCTGACCTGGGGCCTCCTTCCTCCCGAGTGACCTGGATCAGCACCTGCATTGGTTCTCCACTGCAAAAGCCCATTCTGAGAATGTCAGAGTGGGGAGGCAGTGCTGCCACTACTTCTGCTTGGGAAGGAGCTGGGTTTCCTGTGAGCTGATGCCTTCCTCGCAGCACCTTGAGACAACACAGAGAGAACCAGGGATCCTGTCCCGTCTGCACTTCTCAAACACTGCAACTTCAGGTGCTGGAGATGCCGAGGACTGTCCTGACCCCCATGGAAATGCGTTTCAGCCACTGGTGCCCGACCCCAAGACGGGGAATTCTGCTGCTTCTTCCAGGCTCAGCCAAGAGCGCTCGAGGCCTGGCTCGAGCCAGGGACCCACAGGGCACAGCCACCTGCCCGGCCACTCCCAGCGGCTGTGACTCTGCCACCCTCATCCCAACCACACCCCTGCCTCTGCTCCAGCTCAACCTTTTCATTTTATTGGAAAAATTTAATTGGGAGTTCTGAAAGGTCACAATTAATATTTCCAAATGAAAATACAAGGTAAAGCAGCTCTGAGTAAATATTGTTTAAATCCCATGTGCTTAAAATTAAAATGAAAAGGACACAGTCAGGGGAGGGAGGCTGAATAGTGCACAGGGTCTGATGCAGACACAGAAAGCCTCAACCCTGCCCCGAGTGGAGCCACCTCATCACCAGGGCCCAGATGAGACATGGACAGCTCTTGTATGGCCAATGAGATGGCTGCACACATCAGATCCCCGCTCTCTTTGCAGATTCATCCAGGCACGGGGAAGAGGTGCGACGGGGAAGGGACACAAGCTGGGGACGAGGAGCTTTGATCCCCACACCTGACCTCACTCCTTCCTTCCCCACTAATTTGTTGGTGGGGACAAATGATGTCTTTTCAATATTAGGTTAAATACTCTGCAAATGCAAGGCCGCCCATATCCCAGCCACACTGTCCCCTCCTTATGAAATGCCCCTGCTGCCAGTGTCTCCATTCACGCTCGAGTATCAACTGTGTCCATCCTGCCAGGCCTATTTTCTCCATGACACTCGTGGTGTGTACTGCCCGTCTCCTTAAACTAGGATGAATGCCTCATGATGCTCAGGTCTCTGTGCTCAGAGCAGCCTCTGCCACAAAGCAGGAAATCCACTGCACATAGAAGTCAGGAAAAGACAAACAACCCAAGGCCTGTGTGTTCTGAGCTCGTCCAAGAGCCCCCACTTCTGATCACAGCTTGGTCTCTGCCGCATTTCTAACATCCCGTGGCCCCCTGCCCCACCAGAGTGTAAATTCAGCCAAGAGGGATGACATCCTTTATGTTCATTGCTCTACCCGAAAACATGGCACTGACCACGGCACGCAGAGTGAGATGAAGAAAGGCTTGTTGAGGAAGTCTTCACACCCTCAGGGCCGCACGCACACAGCCTCTGCCAGCTGAGCACACGCCTGGCAAGACCTCCCACACGTAAAAAGCGGGTTGTCACACACCAGGCCTGATTTGCTTTGCAGGAAGGTGACAGATGTAGATCAAGAACTCTAAATTTCAATCAAATGGAACAGCAGATTAATTGCAAAATCCTTCAAAGTACTTTGGAAAAAAATAACACGATAAACTAGACAGAAATGCCCTGTGCTTTTTCTACAGGTGACATTGCCTGTAATTGGATTTACTAAGCACTTTTGAATCTGCAGCTCAAGTACAAACAAAGTTTTTGTGATTTTAAGATGCATACACAGATAAATTAAAAAGTGTGTAATTACAAGCAACCGCTTTACCTTGCTTCAACTTTGACGGCTCTGGCTCAAGGTCGCACTCAGCTTTCATACGCTTCAGAAGAATGAATTGCATCACCAGAATGCCTGCAAGGACCGTAACAACACACAGTGCGAAGCGTCTGCACCTAGGCTAGTGACTTGGGCTGCGTTTGGGAGGGTGGCCCTTGTCGTCTTTTTACAGAGCAATGTTTTGTGTGGAGCGTTCCTGGAGGACAGAGGGACCCATTACGTGGCTCCTGCCTCGTCTAACTCTGCACACACCTTTGTTCGGTCCCATCCTGGGCCCCCGATTCCACAAGGATCGAGAAATGGGCAATTACAAGCCAGTCTTATTTTGCCGTCTTTGTGTGGTTCTCAGCAAAACCCAGTTTGTCAGAAATGGTCCTATGAGGCGGCCAGCTGGGCTTTATGGAGAAAGTGGCAGAGGACCGTGTTTTATTGCTTCTCGGCCAACTCTCAGCATGAGAACCACTCAACAGAGCTGAAGGGACCGGGAAATGGCAGTGAAGAAGACGCTTTCTTCCCATTGTCCAATTTCTGTCTTGCAGACTTGACTGCACTTCGGTGAAGAGGGGCTTTATCAAGACCTCCGTGAGGTCTAGGCTCTTCCTCCCGGCTGCCAGCTAATCAGCTGACGAAGGAGGAGGACGAGGCTTCACGCAGCTGAGTGAACTTCTCTTCGGCCTGAGTCACACCCATGCTTCTGTGATAAGGTCAAACTTGTCCCACTCGAAAGCAGTCTTTTTTGGACTGAAGAAAACTCCATTCTGGGCTCACCTGGATATCCCAAATCTGGAAATGTTTTGCCAATGGACGCTTTGTCCGAATCATTAAGAACAAGGTCAACCCTGAGAAGGGGAGATCCCCGCGTGAGCCGAACCGAGGTTCCAGGAACTGCAGCTCCTAAGCTACCAGCGCTGGAGGCCTGCCTGGTGAGTCCGTTCCTTCTTGCTCTTGCTTTGGTTTGCAATCCACCCCCAACTGATCCGTAGACCCGCTGTGCTGGCTGGAAGGCACCCCATGGCACACGCCACTCCCATGAGGACCCGAAGCCCACAGGGCTGGTCCCCACCCAGTGAGGATGGGCATGTCCTGATCGCTTGGAGGCCATGGCACTGCCAGCTGCACCCAAACCTCCAAACCCACCTATGTGGACAAGCCCAGATGTCCACCAGCCCTGGATGCATGGAACTCACTCACCCGTGGGGAATCTCACAGCCACGACCCTGACATCCATTCACTCGCTTGTTATGGGTTCAATTCTGTCCCCTGCAATTCATACATTGAAATTCCACCCCAGCATCTCATAATGTGACTTTGTTTGGAAATGGGGTCATGGCACATGAAATTAGTTGCGATGAGGTCATATTGGAGTAAGGTGGGTCCCAATCCTGTATGTCTGCTGTTCTTAGAAAACTGGAGACTTGGGCACAGACACACTCCCAGAGGGAAGGCGATGTGAAGAGATGCGGGAAGAAGATGGCACCTGCAAGCCGAGGAGAGAGGCCTGGAACAGAGTCTTCCCTCCGAGCTCTCTGACGGCTTTCGTCAAACCACCCCTGCCGATGCCTCGGCTTTAAGCTTCCATCCTCCAGAGCAGCGAGAGCATACACCTCTGCTGTTTACACCGCCCCTCTGTGGCGCTCTGTTATGGCGGCCCTGGAACACGAATACACCTTTGAAAGTGTTCTGCAAAAAAGGGGGGAGCCGCCGTTCCCTTGAAGATGTCGGTCCGCTGTCAAGATCAGGCACTCCAGCTTTGAAGGCAAGACTCATGTGGCACTCACCCGCTGAGCCGGCAACCCCGGCTCTGCCCCAGGCCTGGGCCATGAAGACAGACATGAAGAAGACATGAAGAAGACACCCATGAAGACAGACATGGCCCCACAGTGAGGCCGTATAGGGTGATGTGTGGCCCCACAGGGAGGCCGTATGGGGTGACGTGTGGCCCCACAGTGAGGCTGTATGGGGTGATGTGTGGCCCCACAGTGAGGCCGTACGGGGTGACATTCTTTCACTGACCAGGCATGCACGGAGGCTGATGACACAGCGGGTCCCTTGCTGGGGTGACAACCCTGAGACCTCTCTGGGTTCCTGCCCTCTGGGCTGACGTGCTACCAAGGAACTTCTGTCATGCGCTGGAGTAAAGAAAGACCAAGTTTCTGATCCACACGTTTTTCAAGGAAGGCCTGACCCCAAGAGTCTAATATAAGCCCAAGGACAGACCAAGAATATATCCCAGATGCAGGAGACGTGACCAGCCACGCAGGCATATTTCCTACCCGGCCAGTCAGAACGGCTGACAGTGAAAAAACTGTCTTCCCTGTCGATGCTGAGCGCTCCCCTGACGTGCAGATCTAGGGAATGTATGTCTGTGGGCAGAACTGGGCCTCCCTCACTGTGAATCAGTCTTTGAAGGCAAGAGCAGGCAGAGCTCACGGCTGGAGTGAAGGGGACAGGACATGGCGCATTCCACCCTCTGGGACCTTTGAGGCACCAGGAGAAGGGAAGCCACCACATCCTCTGACCAGAGGCCCCCTTCCTTGTCCCCGGGGGTGGGGTGTTCCGAGTGCACGCCTGCACGGATACCTGCAGCTCCGGCGCTGTGAGCCTCGTTCCTCAGCAGCCACCTGCTCACATTTTGACACTTCCTGGGCTTGACATGGGGCCCCCCAACAGTGGAAACCCCTGGCCTCACTGTTTGGTTTGTACTCACTCAGCCATTGCCAGCCCATGCAGCTGAGCCCTTGGAAGTGAAGATGTTCTTACAGGCTGGTCACGACATGTGTGTGCCCCGGGTCAGCGGTGAAAGCCCCGGGTCAGCGGTGAAAGCCCCGGGTCCGCGGTGAAAGCCCCCAGCAGCAGGCCTGCTCCCGCTCAGACTCTTTCTTCCCCTCTAATTTGTCTTCAGCTCTGTTTTCCTTTTGACGCTAACGACACAGTGACCTCCACGAAACAACTACACAGGCTCGAGAAAGGTTGAGTGGGGTGATGTCATCCAGCCTGGGGACATGACTTGGCAGGAAGCTGTGTGAGAAGCAATCTGTTGAAAATAACACTTTCTCGAGTGGACAACAACTCGGAGAGCCAGAAAGTGCTGCTGCCACATATCCTAATTAGCCACTTGGGGTTGCTTACCCACGGTGAACAGTGCTCCTGGGCAGAGCTGTGGAGAGGGGCAGCTGGCTGTGCCCGCTGACCTGGCAACCGTGGCCCTGTCACTAGCCCAGGGAGCCCCAGTGCCCGCCCTGCACTGGGGGGGCTTGTGATGACTGGGGGCGTTCGAGGTGTGAGCACCACAGACCCTGCCTCTCTGCCCCCTCATCAGCCAGGCCGCATGCTGGCCAGCATCCCCCCAAATGCATTTACAGCCACCGTGACCTTTACCGAAGGACAGGATGACCAGCTAATTAAATGCAGGGATACGGAGAAGGTCAGAGCGCCTGTGCGCCACCACACACTTCATAGTAAGGTTCTAACAAATCATGTCCATGGCCGAGGCTGTAATGAGAACAGAAAAGTCATCTTTCTCCAGATAAAGACACTGTAAACACGTTCCACATGACCAGCCACTGTGGGGACCTGCCAGCGGCCATTCTTGTGTAGCATAAAGTGGGTGAATCTGTAACGGGATGCAACCACCAAAGGTGGGGATATCCTTGCATATGCGAAGTGAGTAGCTTATCAAGCTGCCCTCAGTCAGTTACTGGTTTAACACACTCCGAACTCTCAGCCCCATGCCCCAAGGCAGCCCGACATCAGGCGGACACAAAAGGCTAAGCACATCCAAGCTCGGGTTCCTTCCTTCCAGCAGTGACCCCCAGAGGTTCTCAATGTCTGGAGATCTCCTTGGTTGTCACACTGCGGGGGGGTCTACTGGGTGGGGACCAGGGATCTGCTGAGCACCCCACAGTGCACGCCCCACAGCTGAGACTCTGGCCCCACATGTCGGCAGCACCAAGGCTGGAGACAGGCTCTAGCGTATTCTCCTAGACCCACTCCAGGACACAATTGCAAGCCCACCAGTCCCAGCTCAGGTGCCTTCCTGGGAGAGGCCTTTGCTGCTGACCGCCTGACCAAGGGCACGTCCCCCGTGCCCTCTGCGGGCACCTGCAGTCACCAGCCCCGGGAATGAGCTCCTTGCCTTGGTTTCTGACTTGCTTCCCCTGAATGGGAAGCACCCGGACGGCAGGGCTGCGGCTCCCACTTTCCAAGTGCCTGGCACAGCCCCACTGGGAGGTTTCTGCATGAATGGAGCCATATTAGAAGACCTACTTGAAGGCTCGACTCTGTGCCCTCAATCGCACCAGCAGGACGGATCTGGGGCCTGGGGCAGACGCCGGCATGGGCTGGAATGGTCAGTGGGGGCTGCACTTGGCTTTGTGCTTGGCTTAGAGAGCAGGCGTGAGGGCGGGAGAGTCTCAGGGACCGTCCGGAGTGGAGCCCGTGCAAGGGGACCCCTCCGAGGGTGGACGACACGTGCCAGGTCTGTGCTGTCCAGCAACGTGCGGCTAATGGCTGCTGTCTCGGGCAGTGTGGCAGTGTGAGACAGGCCCAAGATGGTGCCAGCTCAGTGATGAGCCTGAGCAAAACAGCCAAGGAATGGCCGGCCAGGCCAGAACCCTCTTCTCCTGGCTCCATCTCTGACTTCTGCTGCCCAGCCCTGGCTCTGCAGGGAGGCACTTACTCCGCAAAAGAGAAGAAACAGATGGGAGGGTTGAGAGACCCGGGTGTGGGAATGGGTAGAAGCGTCTCCTGGGCAGGTGGACAGGTGAGGACCTTCCAGCCTGGAGCAGGAGCAGCACTTCTCGGACAGAGGAGACAGCCCTGGGGGATCCGGAGATGGACACCCCTCTGGGGAGACGTCCCTCCGGGGAGATACACCTCCAGGGAGGGCCCATGAGTTTAGATTTCAGTGGTTTGCAGTCGGGAACCCTGCTGGGTTCTGGAACACAGGGAGCTGTGATGAGAGCAGGGTTAGGGATTTCCTTTTTTTTGTTCCCCCCGCCCCGAGATGGAGTCTTGCTCTGTCGCCCAGGCTGGAGTGCAGTGGCGTGATCTCGGCTCACTGCAACCTCCGCCTCCTGGGTTCAAGCGATTCTCCTTCCTCAGCCTCCCGAGTAGCTGGCATTACAAGTGTCCACCACCACGCTCAGCTAATTTTTGTATTCTTAGTAGAGACGGGGTTTTACCATGTTGGCCAGGCTAGTCTTGAACTCTTGACCTTGTGATCCACCCGCCTCAGCCTCCCAAAGTGCTGGTATTACAGGCGTGAGCCACTGTGCCCGGCCTTCTGTCTTATTTCTGTGCCATCTGATGTTCTTTTCCTAAGGATCCAGACTCGCCTGGGTGTGGGCCCTATGAACTGGGCTTCTCATCAGCATCTTCCATCCTTTCCATCTTTCGTCCTCATTCTCAGGCCCCAGGAACCCCTAGGATCCTTCATCCGCACATCCGAATGTTTGCAATTGGGGCCTCCTATGTTAGCTTCCCGGGGCTGCTGCAACACATTCTTGATTTCAGAAGTCTGAGATCAAGGTGTGTGCAGGGCCATGCTCCCTCCGAAGGCTCTAGGGGAGGGCCCTTCCAGCCTCTTCCAGCCCCTGGGAGCTCCGGACATTCCTTACTTGTGGCTGCATTAGTCCAGTCTCGGCCTCTGTCTTCTTGCGGCCTTACTCTCTTTTCCCCAACTGCATTCTGTGCGTCTCTCGTAAGGACCCCTGCCATTGGATTTAGGGTGCGCCTAGATCACCCAGGATGATCTCATCTTGCGATTCTTAATTCCATCACATCTTCAAACACTCTTTTTCCAAGTAATGTCCTATTCATGGGTTCTGGGGGTGAGGACATGGATGTATGTTTTGGGGGCCTCCATTCAGCCCACTCTCCTCTGCCACCTCCCTGGTAGTATGTTCTAGAGCCCTGGGCCAGGGCAGCCCCATGGACCATGGAGGGTAGTGGGTCAGAGGGTGGACTTGGGCCAGAGTACCCCCTCAAGCCTCAGCTCCTGCCCTCCCTGACCCAGGCACTGGCCTGCTGGGATCTCAGCCCCGGTCCCGTCTTAAGGACCATGTTGTGGAGGAGTGAGCTCTGCTGTACACAGCTGGCGCTCAGTACACAGCTGGTGCTCAGTACACAGCTGGCGCTCAGCCAGTGCTAGTCTTGACCACACTTTCACATCCATTCCCGCCCCTCTCTAGCATCCTCAGCCCAAGTCTCACCAGGGGTGCTGCACCTGCCTCCCAGTTCCTCCTGCGCCCAGGAGAAAGAGTCCCTGAGGTACTGGACATCTGGGCCCCAGGCCCTGCCCCTGGCTCAGCCCTGTAAAGGCCTCGGAGCTTCCTTCTGTGCCCGAGTCGGCCTTGTTGGTTTGTGGGGGGCGGTTCTCATTCTTTCCTTCTGCTTCCTTCAAGCATACCTGGTTGGTAGACCAAGGCATGTGTGGGAGGGGCCCACAATCCAGCCTGGCACAGACATGGCCCCTTCCTCTTTAGATCTGTCTCTGTGCTGACATGGATGTGAGGCTTGCAAGAGGGGCTCAGGAAACGCAGGTGGGACAGACCTGTAGGCTAGGAGGTGCAGCCCAGCTGGCAGAACCAGGGCCTGGAGGAGGAGGGGCCTCATGGAAGAGGAGCCTCATGGAGGGGGCTGGTCGGGTGCCTGAGGCCTGGCAGCGGGTGGGTGAGGCCGGGCCTGGAGACCCCACAGGAGGAGCTGCATCCTTTCCTGCTGTGTAGCTCAGTGTGGCGGCCAAGTCACTGGGGCAAAGCCCAGCTCAGCAGTCCAACTGCAGAGAGGGGAAGGATTGGACGAAGGAGGTTGGTGCAAATTCCGAGGGAACCGAGCGTCCCCAGCTAGATGAGATGCCAGGGCTCACCATTTTCCAAGTCGAAGCTCCTCTCTCAGACACTGTGACTGCCTCCCTGCATTTTTGACCTCCCCTGTGGGACGTGCTGGAGGATCCAGGGGTTCACTGCTCTCTCCTGTTGTCCCCAGCACAAAAGCACCGCCATGTGGAACCTCACAAGGTCCCGAGCTGATGGCAGACCTCGGATTCCTCTGTGGCTAGACCCAGAGCGAGACATGCCCTCTCTGTGGTGATCTCAGGCTCAAGGATGAGAGGCACCATGGAAAGGGGCTTGCTGGGCACCCCTAGACTGTACTCAGTTTCTCCTGAGCAACCTGAGCTCCAGGACAGTTCAGACCCTCGTTCGGGTCTGATGGTGTGAGTTTGCAGGGCCCCGTGGAATACATCTGATACCCACAGCAGCAGGGCCAGCAAGAAGAATGAAATGAAGCTGGTTCATGCCTCCCGGGCAGGACGCCTCTGCGGGCAACTGGCCTGTAACCTCCGGCAGAGGCAGGGTATGTGTCTTCAGTTAATCCTCTCCTTGTTCGGTGACCTCTGTGCCTACTGCATAAGTTGCTAATTACTCTAAGTAGGTATTAATTCTGAATCAACATTACCAATCTGGAGGCACGGCTTCAAAGCATTCAAATTCTGCTCTCAGAAAACATGGCTGTTTTGATCCTTCTATGCAGCCAGGCAGTGAAAACGTTGCACATATTTTCTGCACCTATCCAAAGAAATCTATCTTTCACTCCCTACTTCATGCCATATGCTGGGAGCTGAAAGAATGAAGGATTTAGCTGTTAGTCTCTGAAGGCACAACAGGCCTCATTCCAGCTCTCCGGCGGCGCACGGGATCTGAAGCTATGACATTTCACTTCGGCTTCTGTCAGCACTATCTGCCGCGTATCGCCAGCGCTCGGCAGAGCAGGCTTGTGAAGGTGGCTCCCGTGCAGAGGAGAAAACCGCCTGCTAATCTCCTCTTCACGGTGCCAGGAGACAGGAGTGGCTTCTCATCTCTAAAGCACGCAGGAGACTGGAAATCTAAGGTACCCTCACACCCCTGTGTCCAACTGTGGGGCTGGCAGCCCCTCCTCCTGGAGGTGCCTGT
Organism: Homo sapiens; assembly: GCF_000001405.40. NCBI lineage: Eukaryota > Metazoa > Chordata > Mammalia > Primates > Hominidae > Homo > Homo sapiens. Next base: position 61,694,647 of record NC_000020.11, on the reverse strand, counting down.
TTTTAGGAGTTTTTACTTCTATCCCAGAACCCCAGTTCAGCCTTCCTCCAAGTGTGCTCATTATCTTGGGTGAGCCCTGGCATCCCCAAGGTGCACAGCCTCCATCCGAGAAAGCATTCTCTTTTCCAGTTTGAAATCCAAATTCACATTTTATCTGGCAAGGATGATTTAAAGATATGTTTACCTCCTCATTTCCCTCAGTCAAAGGGTCATCTTGAAAGCTGCACCTTGACCACCCTGCGAAGTGATTTTCTCCTCCGCCTCAAGCCTGGGAAGGGGCACAGTCCAGCAGTGTTGATGCAGAACCAGTGCCTGTAGCTCCTCCGTAAAGGAGGGAGTAGAAACAGCAGTGCCTGGTCCATAAAGAATGCCAGGCAAGTCAGTGTGGCTTCCTCCTTCCCACTCTACCTGCGCCTCTTCCCGACACCCTGCACGTTTAGGAAACGGTGCCTTTATGAGTGTCTGGGTCTGGGCATGGTGGCTCACACCTGTGATCATAGCTGAGGAGAGTGGATCTCCTGAGGTCAGGAGTTCAAGACCAACCTGGCCAACATGGCAAAACCCTGTCTCCACTAAAAATACAAGAAATTAGCTGGGTGTCATGGCGGGCACCTGTAATCCCACCTACTCGGGAGGCTGAGGCAGGAGACTCGCTTGAACCTGGGAGGTGGAGGTTGCACTGAGCCAAGTTTGCACCACTGCACTCCAGCCTGGGCAACAGAGCAAGACTCTGTCTCAAAAAAAAAAAAAAAAAAAAAAAAAAGAAAGAAAGAGTGTCTGAGAAGCGTTTTCAGTAGGAAGGTGACTTGGAGCTGTGAGTGACAATTCGTTTCTGATAAATAGCACCAAGTCCTGCCTCATACAATTATGGGGGGCATGATTGTTCGATTCCATGCATGCTCCACTTCTGCCTGTTGTTGGGCTCTAGGTGCTGGGGATGCCCAGGTGGATGAGACCAGGCCTTTGCCCTCTAACGCTGTAGCTCAGGAAGGCTGAAAATTCCAAGGAAATAAATAAACACAATTCTAGAGAGTGATCCACGCTCTAAAAGGCTGCAGTGGAGCGGACGCAGGGCAGAGGAGGCAGGTGGGCTGGGCAGCAGGCACTGTGGAGCAGGTGCTGAGTGGCAGAGGCCAAGCATGACCAGTGCCTTCGGCCTTGGGGACTCAAGCCCACACGTGGTCATCTGCTCGCTGCCCCACCCACAGAATTACCTTTGCTCAAAGATCCTATGCAGTTTCATCAGAAGTCAAGCTAAAGCCGCTCCCCTTACACACTCCCCAGGCCTCCCCCACATTTCCAGCACAGCATTGGAGCAGAGCAGGCAGTCCACAGAATCTGCCTGTGAAAGGAGACCAGGAGGCAGCACAGCCCAGGAACAGGCCCGACGTGGCCCCCTGCACTGGCCTTCATCACAGGAAAGCATCAGGGACAGGCCTGGAGTGACTGCTCGTACCCGCCTTCATCACAGGGAAGCATCTGATATACTGTGGTGTGCCTTGAAAGTGACTGGCCTCTCTGATTGTCACCAGGCTGAGCTGTGACCAGGTGAGCCGGTGATCAGTTAACAGAGTCCCCGTAGATCCCAAAATAGCCATTCGAGACCCAGCTGGCATTCTCCCTCCTCTCCATCCCGGGGCTGGCTGAGCTCATGGATCATTTTAATTGGATAACTGGAAAAAAATTCTCCTTTCATAAACCTCCTCACACAACTAGCTTCAAGGCTTTCAGGAAAATGTGCTAACTTTTGACCAATATCCACACGGGCATTTCTGAGGTCCTATCTAGCATTTGCAAAAAAAAAAACAAAAAACAAAAAACAAAAAAGCTTGCTTGCTAGTAGAAAACAGAGTATTAAAATAGAATCTAAATCAATGTTTCTGATCAATTGCTGCAGAAATGTGTATGAGTAGCCGCAAATGGAGTCATATGGCACACAGATGTGCTTTTGCAATGGTATAAAGTTGTTATAAACTTGCCCCTGCCCCATCACACTTCCGTGCCTGGGGATTTGCTCGCACGGACACAGATCTGAGAAAATTTCCTGGTCCAATTAATAAATGCTTATTAGGAAACGTGGCACAAAATGTGCCCACAGTAAAAGCAAATTCACGTGATTTAAGAGGCCAGGACTTTTTCTCATCCTTTCTCTTTTAAGCCTAAAGGGAGATTAGTCTTATGTCAGTCTATCTATTTCAAACAGATCTCTTTAAGAAGATGTTAACCAGAACAAAAATAAAATACCTTGATGCCTTTGGAAATAATAAATATTCCTCTGATAAATTCCTTGATTCAAGTTGAGCACATAGGTGATGAAAACAAATATAAAAACAAGTTACATACACACACACACAGACACACACACACACACAAAGACACACATACAGACACACACATACACACACATACATACACACACATACACACATACATACATAGACATACACACAAACATATACAGACACATATAAACACATACATGCAGACACACATACATACACACATACATACAGACACACACAGACACACACATGCATACACACAGACACACACATACACACACACATCTTTACCCCTCATTGGACCTGGTTTTACCTAATGTCTGGAAATTTCCTTGCTCTAAGACAAGGTGAAGAATTTTACGTCCTTGGCAAAAACAGCAAGGGTTTATTTCTTTGCAGATTCCGATAATACACAAAAGTGCTCAGTAGGCTGTCATGGGTGCTAGTTTATTTTAAGGACTCAAACATACATGCATATATACACATACACACATAGACAGGTGTGCGATACACAGTCATGTGCTGCGTAAGGACGTCTCCACCAGTGACAGACCATAGACACGGTGGTGGGCCCGTGGGATCAGAATGCTGTATTTTTACTGTCCCTTTTCTGTGTTTAGATTTGTTTAGCTCCATAAATACCATTGTTACTGCTGTCTGCAGTACCCAGTCCAGTCACAGGATGGACAGGTTTGCCGCCTGGAGCAACAGGCTCTACCATGAAGCCGAGGGGTGCAGAAGGCTGGACCATGTAGGTTTGCATCAGTTCACTCTGATGTTTGTACGGTGATGAAATCAGCTGCTGACGCATTTCTCAGAGTATGTCCCTGTCATTAAGTGAAGTGTGACTGTACATATATGTCCCTAATATCTACATCTATAACGTATGCACACACACTACACATGCACACACATACACACAGACACACATGCACACGCACACACACATCCACACATCCACTTGCACACACACATCCACACAAATACACACACATATGCACATGCACACACAAAAATACACACACATACACACATCCACTTGCACACACACATCCACACAAATACATACACACACATATGCACACGCACATACACACACTTGCACACACACACTGAATTCTTACTGCTCTTGCTTCCCCGAGTCCTGGGATTGGTCACAACCCAGTATTTGGAAGTCTCAGGGCAGAGTCAGTGTGAAGGGGCTTCTGGAGACCAAATCTAGCGGTAAATCATGTCCCTGCTGGCCGAGGGGTGGGGAGGGACTCGGTGGCCATGCACTTCCGGGAGCTGTGAGAGGTGGCATCACTCTCAGAAGGAAAAGGAAAAGGTACCAAATGCTAAAATCATTCTGTGAGTTCATCTCGACCCAGGAAGGGCTGGGCCTCTGGAAAGTCTAGAGGGCTCAGCCCTGGGGCGGGGGGTCTGCAAGGCTGTGGCCCCCAAGTGTGCCCCTCTCAGGACATGCCCCTCCCGGCAGCTCCAGAAATGCCTCTGCTTGGACCTGGCTTTTCCCTGAAACCTCACAGACTCTGGAAAACCTAAGGCCACTTTCCCTTGTCTCCTTCAGGAAGGCTATGCCATCACCAAACTCCCCAATGAGGACTCGCAGCAAGTCCATTGTGAGGAGAGGTGGACACTCTCCCTGGTCGGTGGGTGGGGGGTGGTCTTTGAGTTGTCCCCGCCCTCCTCTCATTCTGCCAGGTCCACCTGGAGAAACTCCCCCCGTCCTCCAAAGCTCAGGTCCAACGCTCAGAGCACTCCGAACAGGAACAGAGACATGCAGCAGACCTGCTCCAGGAGGCTCTTCAGTAAAGACAGTGAATGCTTGGGCGGGGACACTAAGTGGGCAGCCGATTGGGTCCACACTCCTTCCTTGGCCTCGGCCTTTCCAACCCAGAACTGCAAACCCTGTAGCCCCTCCCTCCTGGCATCACCTGGGCTACCCTGGGGCTGAGGCAATGGACTCAGAGTTGGTCTTTGAATGCACCAAACTTACTAACACATGCTGATCACACACAATGTCACCACCTCCGGGAAGCCTCCCGGGAGTGACAATACACACGGGTCTCAGTCACAGCAGAGGGTCCCAGCCTGATGACCACACCATCTCACCTAACCACTGTCCCCGCCCAATTACACATCAGCTCACCCAAACATTATCCCAGCCCAATTCCACATCACCTCACCAACCACTGTCCCCACTGGATGACCACATCACCTCACCAACCAGTGTCCCCACCCGAATCCACATCACCTCAGAAACCACTGTCCCTGTCAGAATCCACATCACCTCACCAACTCACCGTCCCTGCCGGATGACCACATCACCTCACCAACCAGTGTCCCCACCCGAATCCACATCACCTCACCAGCCACCGTCCCAGCCTGATTCCACATCACCTCACCAACCAGTGTCCCAGCCTGATTCCACATCACCTCACCAACCACCGTCCCAGCTCAATTCCACATCACCTCACCAACCACTGTCCCAGCCTTATACCACATCACCTCACCAACCACCGTCCCAGCTCAATTCCACATCACCTCACCAACCACTGTCCCAGCCCTATTCCACATCACCTCACCAAACAATGTCCCAGCCCAATTCCACATCACCTCACCAACCAGTGTCCCAGCCCTATTCCACATCACCTCACCAATCACTGTCCCAGCCTGATTCCACATCACTTCACCAAACAATGTCCCAGGCCAATTCCACATCACCTCACCAACCACTGTCCCAGCCTGATTCCACATCACTTCACCAACCACTGTCCCCGCCGGAATCCACATCACCTCACCAACCACTGTCCCAGCCCAATTCCACATCACCTCACCAACCACTGTCCCAGCCCGATTCCACATCACCTCACCAACCACTGTCCCAGCCTGATTCCACATCACTTCACCAACCACTGTCCCCGCCGGAATCCACATCACCTCACCAACCACTGTCCCAGCCCAATTCCACATCACCTCACCAACCACTGTCCCAGCCCGATTCCACATCACCTCACCAACCACTGTCCCAGCCTGATTCCACATCACTTCACCAACCACTGTCCCCTCCGGAATCCACATCACCTCACCAACCACTGTCCCAGCCCAATTCCACATCACCTCACCAACCACTGTCCCAGCCCGATTCCACATCACCTCACCAACCACTGTCCCAGCCTGATTCCACATCACCTCACCAAACAATGTCCCTGCCCAACTGCGTTACTTAGACTTGTCACCAGTGTCCAGTGGCAATAGGGCTGGTGTGAGTCAGTCACAGCTACCCACAGATAGGAGAAATTCATCCAAAGTGGAACATGGTATCCTCCCAAGACACACAGGGAAGGCGAGGAGGGAGCTGCGAAGGCAGGTCCAGTGGGGCTTTCGGTTTGAAAGAATAAAATACAGGATACATGTGTGTTTTTCACTTTCTACAAAGGAGAAGATCTTGAAGGAGGACCACCTAACTAGCGGTGCCTCTCTCTAAGCAGCTGAGATGACAGGGACGTTTCCCCTGCTGGGTTGCACACTCCTGTGTGTGAAATTTTTCTGCATTATGTTACTTGTGTTATCAGAAAAAACAATCAAAAATATAATTTAAAAGATGAATTGATTCCTTAACAGCTCTCAGATTGAGGAACGACTCTAAGTTGGGGGCACTGGCGGAAGCTCTCTGAGCGGGAGAGGCGGCATGCACATGGTTATAGCGTGGGCCCGAGTCAGGGAGCCTGGGCTCTGTGAAGGCTCCGGAGCTGCAGAGATGCTGCGAGTCCCTGGAGGACTCCAGCCTGTGTCCCAGTGCTTCCGGAAGGCGGCCGAGAAGCAGGTGTCCTGCCCAGAGTGCGGTCCAGGGGACCAAGAGTTAGTGCTGCTGTCAGGGCAGGGCACGTGAAGACCCTGAATGTGTTTGCTGCTGTTCTTATCATTATCAGATTGACAGCTATTCCAGAAGTGCTTAATAAACCATCATTCAGAAGGAAGTTCCTTGAGGCACTGGGTGGTGGGTGTCGGTGGGAGGAGGACACAATGGGGAGAGAGGAGGGAGGAGGAAGGTGGGAGGAGGGAGAAAGACAAAGACCCCAGCTGGAGAAATTCCCTTGATCTGGCAGCTATTTGCATGGTATTGCTCAATTTAATGGTGGTGGAAAGACAAACCCGTGGAAGAAGGGTGTTTCTGGTCACGACGTCACCCCTAACATTGACCCCTATGAGCCCAGCTTAGGGGAGGCCCTGCAGAAGCTCAGAGGCTGCTGTAGGGGAGACCTGGGCTGTCGGCGGGGTCCTGTGATCCTGTCCACCCCACTGGGCCAGCTTCCTCCAGCCTAGGGTTGCTCATCTGTACCCGAGACTCCTGCACTTACGACTTATTATGAAGTCATAATAATATCTAAGTTAGTACAAGGTTAATGCTTGTGCTTAAGGAATGTGACTTCATTTCCTGCTGAGAAAGGACCTGAATACTAAAAAACCCAAACCCAAAAGCCCCCAGGCTCCCCTGTGGTCTAAGGTAGGCTAAGTCCTTTTAGTGGAAATATTTTCTATGCCCTAGACACATTGTAATTGTAGTCCGCGGACCACATTTCTGGTTTTTTAAAATAAATTTTTGCTTCATCAGGTGGTGCTCCCTGTGATAAATGCAATCTGTCAAGACTTCCCTTTGATCAGACTTAAGGCAGAAGGAATTTCCGAATCATTTACTTGGGAATTTAAAAAACTTACACGCATTTGTTTAGCAGAGAGGAAACCCTAGCCTGTTTTACATTTTGTCAAATCTATTTTTAGATAAATTTCCTCTTTGTGCTTAAAACTACTCCTAAATTAACTCTTGGGTCGTTTTATGGAATTAAAATAAAGTTACTGATTAAACTCCTGCCTGAGTCAGCAAGTCCCGCCCAGGCTGTGGCTGAGGAGGCAGTGTCTGTGGGTCCCCGGGGGCGCCCATCCACATTTTGGGTCCATTTCACACACCTTCATTCCTCCCGGCACAGCGCTGCCTCCGAGTACAGACGGTCACTGACAAGGGAGACGAGGTTGTGTAAGAAACTCCCCTGAACAAGTTATCCCAACAGGGAAAGGGGAAGAGCAGACACTGTCCAGCTCAGTCCAGTGGATGATGTCTGGTGTCAGAAATAAAAACGGGACAATAGGCTGTGGAGCGGGAGAGGAGGGCACCTCTGCAGCTTTCTGGAAAGGGTGTGGTTGCTTCAGTGGACACCGAACACGCACTTCAGTGTTGCCAGTGAAGTCTGAGGGACTGGCCAGGGCGTGCGGGGAGGTCGCCTAATCAATCACCTGCCACCGTCCTTGGAAATCTTCGGAGCAGAGACTTCCAGCAAGGGCACCGCCCAAGCTGAACACAGGGGTGATGATCACGATGAAAAAACACCTTGCTAGTCGGGGGAGCAGAGTTGCTGGGTCGGGGGGCGGGGGTTGGTTTGGAGGGGAAGCTTTAACCTGACTCGAGAGGATCTGATAGCAAGTTAATCACTCTCCGTCCTGTACATGCACAATCCCTAGCACAAAACCTAACAAACCCTGCACACATGACCACACATGCATGCAAGTGGACATGCACACATGCACACACACACGCGCGAATGCACACGCACATATACACATATGCACACACACGCACGAAGGCACACACACGGGAATGCACACGCACATACACACATGCACACACAAATGCACACGCACATACACGCGAATGCACACACGCGAATGCACACGAGAATGTGCACTCAGATACACACATGCACACACGTGCTCATGCACACACATGAATGCACACACGCGAATGCACATGCACATACACGCGAATGCACACATACACAAATGCACACACGAATGCACACACATATACACACACGCGAATGCACACACACGCACATATACACGCAAATGCACACACACGAATGCACACGCACACGCACATACACACGCAAATGTACAGGCACATACACACGTGAATGCACACACACATATACACACATGCGAATGCACACGCACATACACACATATACACGCACAGTTGGGCTTGTTCTCTCCAGTCTTTCCATTACTGGCACTCACAGGCAGGCCTCCCAGCCACGCAGATGTGGAGACTGGCTAGTGCTTAGCAGAGAGCTCTGCAAGGAAACCAACTGTCATCAGATTAGCAAACAGTTTGTAGAACTCTAGGAGTTTCGTGAAACTTCTGATTCTTTTAGGAAAAGCTGGCAAGATCCTCATTCTCTTGGCAGAAAAGTCTATAAAATCATCGGTACAGATGCCGCTGGTCTATTTTCACTGGAAGAAAAAAAAATCCCATCACCTCTGATGGTGCTAACATTGACATTATTTTTGCCTTCAGTATTTATTGAGATCTTCAAGAACTGCACAATTTTCTCTGATGAAAGGCAGGAGAGGGGTTTGGAAAGAAGAGCTTTCCCTTCCAGAACTCCGCCATCTGGAATGCTAAATGGTGTGCGGGTACCACCCAGTGGGGATCCCACAGCCCGGACTATCCCACCTGAGATTAATGTGAAGGTTTTGAATCAAGTGTGTTCCAGGTTTCTGCAGGGGGCTGAGGGTGCACATGGGACGAGGGGTAGCCCCGTGAGGACTGGAGTCCAGGAGCTCTCCCAGGGCAGGTGCCTCGGATGCTCTGAGTCCGGACAGCGGGAAGGGGTCTGAGGACAGTCTCACTCTGTGCAAAGGGGTGTGGGTGACGTAGTCAAAGCCCGAGACACAGAGGCTGAGTGACCAGGCTGGGATAAGGTGGTGGTCACTAGGACCGAATCAGGACACTGACAGAAAGCGCCACAAACAGCGGGGTGGTGGGGCCGAGGAGCGGCCTTTGCAATCCAGAGGGGAGAGACGGGACTGATGAGAGCAGGCACTCTCCGCAGGGGAGATGAAGGGGCCCAAGCTTTTATTATGAGGCAGGTACAGCAAGAATGGCTTGGTACACAGAGCACTTGCTCAACCCCTGTCATGAGCCTGTGGGGAGGGGCAGTCACCCCGCTTCACACAAAGGGTGGTGGAGAGACCAAGTTGCTTTGAGACATGAATTGAGTGGAGGCGGCTTTGAAGCCAGTAGCAGCGCATGGAGAGTGAGGCAACACAATATATTCCCAGGAACAGACCCAAACCGCATGGGAGACCCTTAAAAACACTGTGCTAAGTGAAAGAAGTCCACCCCAAAGACAATCCCACCTGTAGCAAATACCCAGACTAGACACATCTAGAGACGGAAAGACAGAAGGTGTATTTGTGGCTGTTGGGATGGGGCAGGGAATGGGAGTGGCTGTCTTATGGGTACGGGGTTTCCCTGCTGGGTGATGAGTAAGTTGCACAATTAGATGACAGCAACAGTTGCTCTCTGTAACATATACTCAACTCTACACTATACATGGAACTCTGAATTGACTAAGGACCATTGAATTGTACACTTTAAACAGGGGAATTTCACGGTAAGTTTTTATATCTTAATAACGTGGTTAGAAATAGAGTGAGCAAATATTTACAGATGAATTGTGTGTTTGAAGCTTCAGGAGCAGTTTAGAAACCTCACCCACATCGAGGGGTGGTCACGGCAGGCGGCTGTGGGCTGCAGATTGAGGGAGGCTGCTGTGCTGGGTGGGTGTGGCAGGTCCCAGGTGCTGGCGAGGATTGGGAGCTGTTTGCACAAAAACGCTAAGATGGTTTGTAAGACTTTGAGATAAAATGAAACTACCCAAGAAAGCCCTAAAATTTTAAAGAGCAGGTTAGAGACTGAACCCCCAGGAGCCTTTCAGCCCCCAGGACGGAGCCCAGGATTCCCAGCTGCAGAACAACACAGGGGGCTGGACCTTGTGTGTGATATGGAACAGGCGGCCAGGAGATGGTTGCCTCCGAATTCTGCCCAGGCTCAAGGCTATTTTGTATAAAAGGTCCTGAGATGTCCCTGCCCCTGCATTTTGGCTTGGTTAACATCAGACCTACTTAACCAGCATAAGCAAGACGGAGGTTGAGGCCACGTGCTCCGCGCTTGCTGCTTCCTTAGCTGGGCGGCCCCCCTGCTCTTCCCACAGGGCTCAGTCGCATGGTCGCCCCTTTGCCACCCTCTGAGCACCTCCCAGGCCACTTCCCAGGCCGGCCAGTCCCCCTCATTCACAGCACTCCGACGGCCTCCTTCACCAGCAGCAACGGCTGCATTTATTCCTTTGGGGGTTTCTAGAATGTTTGGCATCCAGAGGGCAGAGGCTTTGTCCGATGCCACTGCAATCCCTGCTACACAGTAGGTATCAGCCAACCCTGTTAAATGAATCCACACACAGGGAAGAAGCACCAAACAGACCCAGCTCTGGCTGTAGTCCCTGCCACGCCCACCTCCCCAGACACGAGGAGCTCCTGGGAAGGGGATGATGTGGTTGTGATGGGGCTACAGTCTCACCCACCGCCAGGAAGAGCCCAGCCTCCCAACTCCCACCCATCCCTCTGGCTGCTCTCTACTGTGAAGTGCCAGCTAGGCGGTGCACCTCACCCCACGGCAGGCAGGCACAGGCTTGTACAAGAACAGACAATGAAAACAGGGTTTTAATCAGGATCGTTTACTTAGCACAGAGCCTGGCTTGAAGGAAGAGGACAGTGAGTGGTAACTGTATGACAGGAAGAGTCTTCTACAGAAAGATCATGCCCCTCCAAGCAAACACATTTTCATATTTGACCTGAACATTAAATCTCATTCTATCAACAAAGTATGCATCTCACTCTGTGGGTGACTGACAAGCTACCAACAAGGTTCTGAACACCTGGCCCATCTGCGGGATCTGAGGAAGCAGATGCGTGCAGTTTGGGGTGCTCTTCTAGCACGGCACCCCGTTCTGGTACCATCTGCCTGGGCCGCACTCCCGGGGCACCTGCCCACGGGCCTCCACGACTCGCGGTTCGGGGGACACCAGATACACCGTGACAGCTCCAAGGAAAGCAACCCGTGCCGTTCACTGCAGGGTACAGTAGATTTTGCTGGAGACTTTCTTTGTGAAGCAGAAACTGCCTCTGAAGTGCATGATTTCCTCTTGTGATCGTTTCTTTCTCTGCCATCTTAATGCCTATTACTCATCCTTCCAAAGATCAGAATTTTATAAGAAACATATGGATCTCAAGACTTATCGTCTGCCCTATACTGCACAGACGTGGAGAGTACAGCTGCGTGCACTTCTCCGTACTCTGCACATTCACACACAGCCTATAAACTCCCATAAACACATTCCAGGGAGAAAATGTTGAATCAAAGCCATAAGCAGCCAGTCCCATTGCCAGGCCCCGGCATGGTGACTTTATATTTATTTTAATAGACTCTGGGCTGTCATTTCCATCTTTATAAAAAGATACAGGATTTTTTGAGAACTAGCTGAAAGAGAACCATTCACAATTGGTTCTTATACATTTTCTCACTGAATGCATTTTCACAAATAAAAGGAAATACTAGATGGGTGAGCAGCTGATCTCTACCTTCAGGGGATTTGCTTACGGGTAGATTGCCCCACAATAAGAACGTTTCCATAACAAATGCCATAAACCTACAAATGTGAGAGTAATACAACATTCCACAGATTAGAATCACCTTGGACTTCCCAAGCTTCCTCTTCACTAAGCCAGAAACATCAGACATTCCTGGCGTGGGGAGGTAAAATCATTCCTGGCATGGGGAGGTAAAATCCATGCTTCCTCCAGTAATTGCTTTATCATTAATGAGTTTTAATGCCCTGTTCTCTCCTCTCCTCCCTTCCACTTTTCCACCCATCTCTCCCTCTGTCCCTTCATCTCTCCCTTCCTCTGTCCATCCATCCCTCCACCTATCCATGTATTCATCCATCCATCCACCTGTGTGTCCATCTCTCCGTCCATCCATCCATCCATCTGTCCATCCATCCATCCCTCCCTCCCTCCCCTTCTCCCACCCCTCCATCCATCCATCCTTCCATCTGTCCCTCTGTCCATCCATCTATCCATCCATCATCCATCCACCATCCATCCATCCATCCATTCATCTATCTCTCCCTTCCTCCCTCCCTCCCTCTCTCCTTCCATCTGTCCCTTTGTCCATTCATCCACCTGTCCATCCATCCATCTGTTCCTCTATCCATCCGTCCACTTGTCCAACCATCCATCCATCCATTTCTCTATCCATCTGTCCACTTGTCCATCCATCCCTCCATCCATCATCTACCCATCCACCTGTCCATCCATCTACCCTCTATCCACCCATTCCTTGGTCCACCTTCCCACACCCCATGAAGGTAGTGTCATAAAGGCAGGGACTGGCCCAGAAGCCAGGACCCAGAATGGAGGCAGACGCTTAGCAGGATACAGCAACTGCTAGCACTGAAGCCATAGGTTCTCCACTAGCAGCTGAAACCCACTGGGCTTCCTTCTGCAATGACAACCCAGATTGCCCTGGGGTCACAGGCAGCTCCTGCAAGTTCACAGCCCTGGCCTTGGCATCACGTCATTTTCTGCTGAACCTGCTTGCTCCCGTATACACCACACACCCTCAAAGACAAATGTGGGGATGCTCTGTCTGTCCCTCCATCACCAGGAAGCCAAAGGAATGTCAGCTGCACGGGCCTGAGAACACAGCAACACCGACGCAGGGCTTTCTAGGGTGGCAGCTCCACATGCACTGAGCCCGGACTTTCCCGATGCCCAGAAAGCTCTTTAGGGGCTCTGCAGCACCCTCAGCTCTGTGCCTGTGGAAGGGATTCCGGGCTTCCTGCAGGGGGATCCTGAGACTCCTCCCAGCTGCTAGATGATGCCCCCTTTTTCTCCTACCCCTTGGAACAAGAGTTCGGGAGCTAACAGATTCCTTAAAATGCACACAGTTATCAAGTTCCAAGGATTGTCTAATTCTCCCACCCCTCAGAACAAGAGCTCAGAAGCCAACAGATCCCTTGAAATACGCACACAGTTATAAAGTTCCAAGGATTGTCTAATCCATTTTTGTCACCTTTTGGGTGATTTCAGCCTCATTTTTATGCGTGGCAGAAAATCTTAACAATTTAGAAAGAGTATTTTGTATGATTTGGACAAAAGAGAAAATTCATACCAAGCCTTGCAAAAAGCTACTTAGTCCTAAAGCACTGTATACAATTTGTAGGTAATTCACAGCAAATTATGCCTCAAATTTGACTGTGTGTGGCTGAAAGAGAAAAAAAGCCATTAGGACGTGAGGGCGGGTGTTTTACCCTTGCAGAGACATTTTCTTGAATTCTGGAGGGCCCACATCCACAATGCCCTCAAGCGATGTGTTAATAATTGCACGGCACAGAGGGATTATGTTAGAGAAGCTACATGTTTCTTTCTGGAATGTCACCTATTTGTCTTCCCAAAGAAATGGGTGGAAAGGGAGGGAACAAATAGGAATTCTAACTCTGCCCTCACTGCCCAGAGAGCTAGCCTCTGAGCCACCTGCTGTGTCTCTAGGGAAGAAATGGTGCATCCTGGAGACAGGCGGCCACCCCTGGCTTCCATCCAGTCCCTCTGAAGGACGCTGGATGAGAAGAAGACACAGGGGGGAACTCAGGACAGAGCTGAGGTTCCAGGGCACTGGCTGAGGCTGTCCGAGGTCCTGCATCCCGGGGAGACGGAATTCTCTACAGAGTCAACGCTCCAACTACCACGATCCCAGAAACAGCCAGGAAAGCATCGAACTTGCTGAACCATGACTACCGAAGCTCTGAAAATCCACAGGGAACCATTTCTTTAGAAAGGACACCAGGGCGCCCTTCTATCCTCGGGGGATGCTCGGCTCTTTGTGTTTCTCCCCGCCCTTCCCCCACTCCTCATTTCTGCCCTTCCTTCCCATTTTTAGAGCCCCTGCCCATCATGCATTGTCCCCTTGACTGTTCTGTCACAGTGGCCCTGAGTGACCGTCTTGTTTCTCACTCTCCCCACAGCCTCCCATCACATTTCACCCTGAATGGAGGCCCTGGCCAGGGACCTTGGGGCAAGGTCACGGAGGCAGGAGCCACCTCCATCAGGCCATTTGGGCCTTGCCCAGCCCAGCGCCCCTCAGCCCTAGTGCGGGTCCCACAGCAGCTTCTTCCCCGTCTTAGTCCCAGCCTGGCACCCTGTCCCTCCTTATGGTCTGGATCCTGACACAGAGCCAGGGCTGCAGGGCTCCTGTGGAGGACAGGGGCAGGGGGTGGTGACTGGGCTATGGTGGAGCCCCTGGTCCTGGGGAGGTGGTGCTGGGTCCTGGGGTGCTTAAAGATGGCGTCTGTTCCTCGCTTCAGGATGCAGGGTGCAGCCCTGGGGCAGGGTCCTCCATGGCTTCCTGCTTCCCCTTTCCTCTCCGCCGGGTGCCCCAGGCTGTGGACAGGCTCCTCAGCTTCCTGGGGGCTGCAAGCTTCACTCGGGTACGAGGGTCTCCTCTTGGGGACTCTCAGGCTACCCGAGGCCCTGGGCAGTTCCCACTGACAGACAAAATGGCTCTCTCATGAGAACCTGGTGAAGAGCCTTGGAAGTCCACCCAGATGGGGGCCCTGAGAGCTAAAGCAAAGCTCCGGGGTCTGCTCCAGGTGGAATTAGCATGTGGTCCAGGTTTCTGCTGCAGGCCAGCGGGCTGCTGAAACCAGAACGTCCTTCCTAAGTCGGGAGCTACACACAGGGGCCACAGGCTCCCTCCTGGGCCTTGGCGTGCTCACAGCACCACCAGTGGCGGAAGATGATGGGGAGGCCCCTGCTCCCCACGCAGCTGCTCACCTGCCCCGCAGATCTTGATGGGTGCTGCTGTTAACCTCAGATGTCAGGAGAGGACCCTGACATCCCCAGCAGCTAGTGGCTTCCTGGGTGTGCACTGGCGTTGGTGGAGCTGGAACTGGAGTGCCATTCTTTCGGAATCTAGAGGAGCCTTCTGTGTTTTCTTGGACCAGTGGTCCTCAACGTGGGGTGCTGGGCCACAGCAGCGAGATCCCCAGGAACTTGATGAAAGTGCAAATACCTGGGACCCACCCCTCACCTCCAGGCCTGGCCCAGCAACTTGTGTTTTGACAAAAGCCCTCCAGGGGCCCTGACAAGCACTCAAATTTAGAACCTCTGTTCTATACTATGCTGCAAAAAAGCTGGAAAATAGAGTAAGAGAGACGAGGACACAGGGATGTGTTTTATGGAGGAAAGGAAGGCCATGAGGAGACAGAGATGGAAGGTGGACGCTGAGTGTGAACTGCAAACACCAGGCCATGCCACGCAGCCACTGACCCACCCAACCTGGTAGCATTTCTGACCCTTGTCACCGTGTGTGCTGTTCGCTCTTCCGGGCTCTGGGTGCGGCAGGAACAAGACAGATCCAACCGGAACCCTAGGCAACCTTCAGAGACACGTGTGAAATCCACAGGGCAAAAAGAAAACCTGAGTCATTTTCATACTCTCCCTCTTGGACACTGCAGGGATGAATAGTGTCCCCCAAATTCATGTCCTCCTAGAACCTGAGAATGGGACCTTATCTGCCAGTGTAATTAGAGGCAAGGAGAGTTGGAGCTCATGCTGGATCCAATGAGAGCATCCTCATAAGAAACAGAAAAGGACATACAGGGAGAAGATGGCTATGGGAGGCTGGAGGCAGGGATGGGGTGAGGCTTCCTCAAGCCACTGGACGCCAGGGCAGCTGGAGCCCCAGAGCTGAGTGGGGCTGCTGCGGACTCCCAGAGGAGCCTCCTGGGGGAGCTAGCCCTGCCCACACCTGGATTTCAGACTCCCGGCCTCCAGGACGAGGAGAGAAGATGTTTCTGTCATTTTAAGGTGCCCAGTTGGTGGCACTTGTTACTGCAGTGCAGGAAACTGACACGGGCACCCAGAAACTGCGTTGCTGAGATGCTTACTTTCCTGGCTACCTGGTGTCATTGCGCCCACCACACTTTCGCATTATTAATGTCTGTGACCTTGTTGATAGCTTTCCTGTCTACTTACTCTCCTTCTGAAGATTCTGAACCAATTACCCAGTTACCATCTTCAGAAAATTATGAAGCTACTTCTATATACCCATGTCTATACTGATCTACGTTTATATTTACCATCCATCCATCCATCCGTCCATCCATCCACCCATCCATCCATCATGTATCTATCTCATCTATCATCTATCATCCATCTATCTATCCATCCATAATCTATGTATCTGTCATCTGTGTATGTGTGGATGCATGCATGCATCTATCTATGTATCATCCATCCATCATCCATCATCCATCTATCTACCTATCCTTCTATCTTCCATCCGTCTTCTAATGTATCATCTATCATCCATCCAAAATATATGTTATGTGTGTATGCATGCAGCATCTATCATCCATCCATCATCCATCTATCTACCTATTTATCCATCTATTATCTATCTTCTGTCATCCATCTATGTATCATCTATCCATCTATCTATAATTTATTATCTATCATCCATTCCTCCAAACATCCATCATCTATCTAATGTATCTATCACCTATCATTTATCATCCATCATCCATCATCTATCCATCATCTATCCATCTATTATCTATCTAGCCTATCATCTGTCCTCCATCCACTATCCATCTATCTTCCATCCATCATCCATGTATCTATCCATTCATCATCTATCTAACCATCCATCCACCTATCCACCCATCCACCTGCCTACCTGCCTATCTTCTATCATCCATCCATCCGTCCGTCTGTCCGTCCGTCCGTCTGTCCACCCACCCACCCACCCACCTACCTACCCACTTATCCTTTTGTCATTAGAATGCATCCCACTAACCTCTCTTAACTTGGATCTGAGGGGGATGTGCCTGCTGCAGAAGGAGGTAGTCTGAATGAGTAAAAAAATCTAAAGTGTAAAGTGCTGTGTTTTTTTGTTTAAAAAAGACAGTTGTATTATCGTCAGGTCTATACATTGACACCAACTATAACACATTAACAAAAAGTAAAAGTGAACTGCATGCTGTGAGGCAGGAGTCTGGAGGGAAGGCCCTCCCACAGAAGGGAGGCCGCTTTCTCTGTGTGCCTGGTGCTGAGGGTTGAGCACGTTTGCTGCCTGCAAATGGCGCTGCTCGTGCATTGCATACAGGCTGTCATCTTAAGTAAGTTAAATGCCCTTTTCCTGTACTTGAATCTGAACCAGGAGTCTGCCCTGCTCGCAGATATCACAGAGGCCAGGGCCCTGCTCCTTCCCCTACTCCAGCCAGCTCCACCCTGGGGAGTCCCAGCAGTCATTCTTCCTGCGTATACTGCACACCCCAGGGGTCCTCAACTCCAAGGCTCCCTACCGCATGCGGAGTAAAAGGTATGGTCCTCATGACAGGTGACAAGGCCCTACGAAGGACCTACTGCACCTGTCCTCTCTCTGTCTGGTCCTCAGCACCCTCCTGGTCTGCTCTGCTGGGGCCACACCACAGCCCCTCCTGCCCCAAGGTCTTGGACCGCTGGTCCCACTGCAGCCTGGCCCACCACCTCACCCCATCAGGTCCTCCAGCAGAGGCCACCCAGTCAGGCCTCCCCTGGCAAAGGCCACCCAGCCAGGCCTCCCCTGACCTCCCCTTGGACAACAGCAACCCCCTTCCACTCCAAGCCTCATCCTGATCCCACTTTCCCTTTCTCGCAGCAAACACCACCTTCTGAAATGCAGCATCATTTACATTTGTATTACATCAAGGTTTATCATCTGGTCACTTCCATAGGCTCCTGGGGGTGTGTGGGATTGAGTTTGTTTGTTGAGGGCATGTGCAGAGAATTGAGAGAATGCCAGGTACACTCAGTGAACCCTGGCTGGGTGCACAGAGCCAGGGCACTGTCACAGCCTGACCCGGGGTCTCCAAGCAGACCCATCCCTGCAGACAAGGAGTTTTCTCACCTCCCTTTTGTCTGTCCCCCTCCACCCTGCTCCTAAAGGGGTAGACCCAGGAGGAGGGAGCCCCGGGCCTCCATTGTTCACACCATCCCTCCCCCATCCACCTTCTTTTTCAGGTAAAGATGGATGCCTTGGAAGATCCAAATTGGAATGGAAAGAAGGTGCTAATGCAATCCCACCTCCTCTGGGGGCCGCAGTATTCAATCGCACTATTCATTTCCTAACCTGAGTTTTATAAAGATTGTCTTTGTGGCTGGCAAATAGACTTGAGTCAATTACAGCCCACCGTTCCTGACCGTTCCTGACACCAGGCGAATGTTAATGGGAATGACGGAAGGATGTGATTTTCTGCACGTGCAAATTCGAACTGGCAGGCCCCATTCAGAGAACCTGGAATTAAGTCTCAGACCTTGGACCCCACACTCGGTCCTCGCTGAGGCTCCCCCCACCGACTGCCCAATTACATTATCTGTGACATCCTGAGGCCGTCTGAGGGTCCTAAGCAGGCAGTGCCAGGAGCCTGAGCCTGTGCTCTGGGCAGGAGGAGGGGAGAGCTGGGCTGAGTGTGCAGTGGGCCTCCAGGTAGAGCAACCCTCCACAGTGCAGGTGGGCCTTTTGGAAAGCACAGTGAGGGGCACCCTGGCCTCAAACTCTGAAAGCACGGGAGTGCTTGGCTGAGCCCAAAGCCTCAGCCCCTGCGATGGTTGTTTCCACGGGAGTGCTTGGCTGAGCCCAAAGCCTCAGCCCCTGCGATGGTTGTTTCCACGGGAGTGCTTGGCTGAGCCCAAAGCCTCAGCCCTACGATGGTTGTTTCCACGGGAGTGCTTGGCTGAGCCCAAAGCCTCAGCCCCTACGATGGTTGTTTCCACGGGAGTGCTTGGCTGAGCCCAAAGCCTCAGCCCCTACGATGGTTGTTTCCACGGGAGTGCTTGGCTGAGCCCAAAGCCTCAGCCCCTACGATGGTTGTTTCCACGGGAGTGCTTGGCTGAGCCCAAAGCCTCAGCCCCTACGATGGTTGTTTCCACGGGAGTGCTTGGCTGAGCCCAAAGCCTCAGCCCCTGCGATGGTTGTTTCCACGGGAGTGCTTGGCTGAGCCCAAAGCCTCAGCCCCTACGATGGTTGTTTCCACGGGAGTGCTTGGCTGAGCCCAAAGCCTCAGCCCCTACGATGGTTGTTTCCACGGCAGTGCTTGGCTGAGCCCAAAGCCTCAGCCCCTACGATGGTTGTTTCCATGGGAGTGCTTGGCTGAGCCCAAAGCCTCAGCCCCTACGATGGTTGTTTCCTTCTCCCCAAAGCAGAGGTGGGCACAACACCGTCTAACCCTGTCCCTGAGCTGTCCTCCACCCAACCTCATGCCACATCTACCAGCTGCAGGGATTTCTGCCAAAAAACAGCAGCCTGTCACACGTCGCTCAGACCTAGCCCCTTCCTGCACTGCTAGAATGAAGACCCCATTCTATCTCTGTCTAGAGCAGAAGGCAGCAAGCATTTTCTGTAATGGATCAGGCAGTACATATTGTGGGTGGGTGGGCCACAATGTCTCTTTCTAATTGCTCACCTGGTCCACAGCAGAGGCAAAGGCAGCCACAGACAATACGTACAGGAATAGGTATGGCTGTGTGCCAATAAAACTTTATTTACAAAATAGGCAGGGGGCCAGACTTGGCTTGAGGACTGTAGGTTGCTGACGACCACAGTCTAGGTTCTAGGGCTGTGCTGGTTCTAACTGGGCTGAGCAGTCAATCAGCATGAAATACACATAAGGCTTTGCAGTCCTCACTCCCCAAAATGAATGTCAGATTTCGCATGAACAATTTTTCATATGGACTGGATGTTGAAAGAACATTTTGGATATATTGGGTTAAATAAAATATAGCATTAACAAGGATGTTGCCTGTTTTACTTTTTTGAATGTGGCTCCTGAAAATTTAAGAATACAGAAGCGCTCTTATGCCATTTCTATGGGACTGTGCTGGTGGAGGTGGCCCCAAGTGGTGGGCCCTGCTGAGCACTGGGCCCAGGGTCTCTTGAGCAGCCGGCTTCTCCTGCTCCCTGTGAACTGTCATGTGTCCTTCCCATTGTCTGCACGAAAGGCCTGCTGCCTGTCACTCCCAGCCTTCTAGTTAATGCCCACCCTCCTTAGCCTGATGCTGCTTCCACAAGGGCCCTGGTCTGGACGCCCTGTGACCAGCACGACACAACATGCTGTGACTCCTGCTCCAAGCTCGGCACCCCTCCCTCCACCTCTCCTCCACCTCGCCCTTGTCACCCTGTGTCTCTCCGCCCCACGGGACTCGGGGCAGCTCAGGCTTGGGGCTCCACTAGTCTTGGCTCTTCCTTGCGTGTGCTGTGCTGGGCTCGGTGCCTGGCCAGGCAGGCTTGGGGAGTATTTGCTGAACAGATTCTGGGCTGCAGAAGAAAGCTAGGGAATAAGGTCTCATTTGCACACCCCCAAAACCAGGCAGCCCTTTCAAGTCATGTGAAAAACAGGTTTGTTCCCGATCAGGCCTTCTTTTGAGGACTTCCATTTGTTTCTCTTAAGATATATGTTAAGACTGAAAAATGTAATCTTTCAATGGGTGCCAATTTGGAGGAGATCGTCACAGGATGCAAATGCAAGGACTTTGATTTCCTGAAGGACATTTTCCCTGACTTCTGTCTCATTTTGTCATATTGTCTAGAAGAGAGATGTGATTTTTATTTCCCCCTTAGCAGCGAGGTAATTTGCGCGTGTTATTTGCTCTGTGGGCATCTCCATAACCCATTTTGAATTTATTTCATGATGTCTCTTGAAAGCACCATGAACCTGAGACATGCTGAATCAGACTAATGAACTCTGCACTCAACCGCCAGACCCTCCCCAGCCTGCCAGGCTGGTCACCCAGGAAGGATGGATAAATATTCAAGAACGGGCGGCCTTCTGGGCCCTGGACACGTGTTCTTGAGATAATGAGACCTTAACAAAGATGTAGCTGCTCCCACGGAATATCAGACCTGACATTTCATCTAAGGTGAAAACCGCCAGGCTCCTCAACTGCCTCCTTGCTTGCTAGGAGCAGAAGGGCAGGGCCCAGGCACGCAGCCTCCCTGTGTGCCCCACGGTGATAAGCACCATGCCCTTCACGTGGGCCTTTAAAAGGAGGCACAAAAAGATTGCCCCGGAAGCAGGTGCTGGCCCTGAGCTGTCCTTGGATTCCTTCCAGGATGGACTCATGCTGCAGCTGCCGCTGAGATTCAGGGGCTCCGAAGTCCTGAGCCTCCTAGGGCTGCTCTGATGATAACCACAAGTCTGGTGGCCAAAAACATCTCAGCGCTCTAGAGGTCACTGTGCAGGAGGGGCAGCTGAAGTCAAGGTGTGGGCAGGGCTGCGTTCTCTCTGGGGGCTCCAGGCCAGAAAGCCCTTCCTTGTCTTTCCAGTTTCTAGAGGCCGTCTGCATCCCCACTCCTGGTCCTGCCTTCATCCTCAAGCACAGCATCTTCCAATCTCTCTCTCTGATGCTATCTTTGTCTTTCTCTCTGCGTCTCTTTCTTTCTCTGTCACTCTCCTGCCTCCTTCTTCTTCTTCTATGGACACTAGTGATGGCATTTAGGACCCACTGGATAACTCAGGATGACCTCCTCCTCTCCCCACCTCTTCCCCTCCCCTCAGGCCTGCGCCTCACCCATTCCCTTCTTGATCCCTGTCAGGTTGCAGTTCCCAGCTGAGCAGGGACACAGGGCCCCAGTCCTTGAGCCCCGTCGGGTTCCCAGGGATGCTCCATAATCTTCTCCCACCCCTCCCAGTGAAGATTCCAGTCTCTGCCAGTGACCCTGAGGGATGCTCAGCACCAACTCCCACCCTTGGCAGATGCCTCACTGTCCACCCCAGAGACTCGGCTCAGACTTGCTGCCCCTCCCGTGGTCTCAGGTGTTGTCCTGACTATGGGCAGTTTCACTCATTGGAATCACACCTCATTTCTCACAGAGCCCTTACTACACAGCAAGCACAGTGCTGGAGGTGGAAGCTGTGAACACACTTCACGGACAGGGCCTACCCTCTTGTGCAACACATACACACCTGATTGAAGTCTGTGTGTCTGACTTTGCGGAGGGCTCCTTGATGGACTGGGCTTTGCATAATTCGTCTTGGAATCTCCAGGACAGGGACAGCACCTGGCACACAATCCTACCACGTACAGAGCACCTGATATGCTTTTGGAGGAATATTCTGTCCATCCACACACCCATCCATCCACTCACCCGTTCATCTGTTTATCCACCCACCCACCCATCTACCGATACGATCATCCATGCATTCATACACCCATCTATCCATCCATCATCCATCCATTATCCATATACCCACCCATTCATCTATCCATCAACCCATCCACCCATATGATCATTCATCCATCCTTTCACCTGCCCATACACTCATCCAACCACCTACCCACCCACCCACCCACCAATCCACTCATCCATCCATCTATTTATCTATCTATCCACCCATCCACCCATCTGTCCATACATCCATACATCCAACCACCCATCTATTCATCCATCTATCTACCCGCTTATTCAACCATACATCCATCCACCATCTATCATCCATCCATCCTGCATCCACCTACTCATCCATCCATCCATCCTCCATCTGTCCATCCACCATCCATCCATCCATTCATCCATCCACCTTCCACCCATGCATCCATCCAATCCACCCAGCCACCTACCCATCCATCATCTATCCATCGATCCATTGATCCATCATCCATCCACACACCCACCCATCATTCATTCATCATCCATCCACCCATCCATTCATTTATCCATCTACCATCTATCCACCCACCCACCCATCCATCCACCATCCATCCATTATCCATCCATTCACCCATCTATCCACTCATCTACACACCCATCCATCCATCTACCCATCCATCCATCCACCCGTTCATCATCCATCCACAAACCTATCATCCGTCTATTATTCATCATCCATCCATCCATTTGTCCATCTATCCATCCACTTATTCTTTTTTTTCTAGAGACCAGGTCTCACTCTGTTGCCCACGCTGGAGTGCAGTGACACGATCACAGCTCACTGCAACCTTGAACTTCTGGGCTCAAGCAATCCTCCTGCCTCAGCTTCCCAAGTAGCTAGGACTACAGGTGTGTGCCACTGTGCCCAGCTAATTTTTAAAATTAATTTTTGTAGAGACAGGATCTTTCTATGCTGCACAGGCTGATTTCAAACTCCTGGCCTTAAGCCATCCTCCTGCCTTGGCCTCCCAAGGTGTTGGGATTACAAGCATGAGCCACTGCACCTGGTCCACTTATTCTTTATCCATCCATCCAATGATCCATCCATTCATCCACGGATCCACCCACCCATCCACCCAACCATCATGCATCCACCCATCCACCTATTCATCATCCATCCACCCATCTACCCATCCCTCCATCTACCTATCCATTCACCCTTATGCCATACACACTCGACTGTTAACTGTGCAGCCGGATTTGATATGTACATGTAATTCACTAAGGGCAGGGACCAGAGTTTATACCTGGACACTCACAGGTTTTTTAGGGCTGAGTCTGTTTTCCTCAGTCTTACCTCCTAGGGGCCCTTCCTTTTGTGGAGAAGGCCTTGGAGCTGAGATGCAGCAAAACCTGTTTGGAACCCCTCACTCCACTGATCCCAGCCCCTTCCTTCCTTTCTATCCCGTATCAACAGGAGAACAGTGCCCCAGACTTCCCCACATTTCCATCCCTTTCCCTCATCCTCGTTGACACCCTGGGCCCCACCCATAAGAATGGCCACAGAAGTCATGGGAATCCTCACAAACCACTTTGATTTTGCTTTTCCTGAACAGCCTCATCAGCCTCGCACTCCCCATACAAAAACAAGTGCTTTGCACTTTTTCCAGCATCCTCCTAGAGTGCTGGACAAAGCTTTGGATGTTTCCCTCCTCTTTTGGCAATGGTACCTCCAGTATTCGGTAGGGAACCACTCCTTTGTTATCTTGGTCCATTTGGTGAATGGGCTGACTTCACCCTTGGCTCCATCAGGGGACACGTGATGCTGGTCTGGCCAGTGCACAGAGGCCATGGCCTAGACCCCATGACCAGGTCAGAGGTGGATATATGACTGAGGCTGGGACAATGACAGTCACTCCCAATATTTTCCTGGAACTATGGGGGAAGAAAACAGTTTTTCTCTTCCTACTGAACTTTAAGGACAGAAGTCAGAAGCTGTTGGGGACCAGCATGGGGGTGAGGACCTGCCTGAGCACAGAGTCAACTCAAAGGGAAGCAGCGAGAGCTTGTTGGTGGTGTTGCAGAGCACCTGAGTCTAGCCATTCCTGAAATCCATATTTCCCTGCATGTCATGTGGCAGCCATGCTGTCCAGCTACTCGGAGCTATGGTTTTATTGCCTGCAATTGGAAATGCCCTGGCCAGCATCTGCCTCCTGTCAGCACCACCTTTGGGGGTCATGCATTCCTCATACTCATTAGATCAGCTCCTGCTAGAAAGGGTATTAATGCTGCAGCCTGGCCGATCCACACAGCTCGAGGGTCCACACTGTCTCAGGCTGCCTCCCATGCTTGGAGCTCAGGTCCACCAGTGACCTCATGGGAGCAGAACCCGCTCTTCTATTTGCTCCCAGAGCCGTGTCCTGCATAGATTTATACAATTTATTTATACTGAAATGTCACATCCCATCCTGGATCAGTCTCTCAAAAATACAGCTGTCAGAAGTTATTTTCATTAAAGTCTTTTGTAGCGGAGGGTACGGGAAGATTGAGAGGGAGGACCCTCTTTTGCCAGCAAAAGGAAGAGCATTTAAAGAAAAAGATCACTCTGGCTCAGTGGTAGATTTGACTTTCAGGAAAGAGCTTCTCTTCTCCAGGAACATTACACACCGGATAAGTTTCTGATGGGATTTGAGCCACCCTTCTTCAGTTTTCCTTCCATTCTTTACTTCCTCTGGGCTTGAAAACAGGGGCTGAGGCATAGGCCACCTAAGTTCCAATTAAATCGACAGCCTCCACTCCTGCTGAAACCCTCAGAGGCTCCCAGTGATGTGAGAATAAACCCTAAGTTCCCTCCTGGGTGCATTCTCCCTCCAAGGCCCTCTGTGGCCTGGGCCCTCCTCCAGGCTCCCATTCCCATCCCGCCGGTCACCAGATGGTGGACCTGCTAGGCTTTGCCCTGGCCCAGGCTTGCCTTGGCACTTGTGGTGCTCGCTGTGTGGGGTGCCGGTGCTGCATCCTCCACGGGACTGGCTCCCTTTAACTCTCCAGGCCCACAGTCACATGTCTTTGGGGAAGCCTGTCCTCTCCATCCCATAGTGCTCTGAATGCCCTTCACAGGGAATTATTGCCCCGAGGTGTGCCCATGCCCGCTCCTTAACTTACTGCTGGAGAACGTGGGTTCCAGGAGGCCCAGGGCTATGGCAGGCACCATCCCCGAGGGTGAAGGAAGGACCTGACCTGCCGCCGGCCTGCCGCAGCCCTGAGCTTCGCTGGACAGGGGTCCTCCTGGAACACCTGTCCCACTGGCTTCCCAGGGTTGTCCCAAGGACAGACTGGAGAGAGGGGCTGGCGGACGGTGCTCTGATGAGAACAGGCGGGTGCTGGTGGAAGGCACCCGGGCCTGCTGGTGGATCCTAAGTACGTTTTCCTTGCATCCTTTCCTTTCTCCCTGGATGATTCTGCAATAGCACTCAGCAGTGGGAAGCAAGAAGCGGTAAGTGGAGGGCCCAGGGGCCTGGAACCAGCATCCCCCTGGAGTGCAGACATGCAGTGCAACCTTCTCTGAAGACCTGGGCTTTGATCCTACAGCAGTGAAGCTCCCAGGCTGCTTAACCTTGGGTGTGCCATTTCACCTCTCTGACCCCAGTCTCTTTTTCTCTCATGGGGCTGGGGGAATGTACACAGGAGGAGTTGCCCTGGACAGCAGTGGCCAGCAGGTGCTGGCAGCCTGGACAACCCAGCACCATCAGACTCCACAGCATGCACATGGGCCCCAGTGGTGAGCACGCCCCACGACAGCCTCCAGCAGGGGCAGCTGGTTCCACAGGGCACTGCTTTGGCTTCTAAAATCTGGATTCACCGTGTGTTCTCAGGGTCATGTGCAGAGGGTTTTGTGCTTCCTTTTCCAGGCAGGTGCATCCTCTGCGGCTTCGGGGCAGCCTGGGCTAAATTCCCCCTGCCTGCACATGCATGTGCGTGTCTGTCTGTCAATAGAGGGATAAACATCCACCCACATGCACACACCCATTTGCACCTACAGCTTCCAGCTCCTCCCGCTAGATAAATACACACTAACACATGGGCGCACACAGCATAAAAGCTCGGCTTCCCTGGGATGATACCCAACCTGACCTCTGGAGGAGAATAGGGCTTTTCTTCTCTTAGGGTTGGAGAATTTAAAAGATAGCAGGGACCTAACAAATTAGGAATGCTCACTCTTTTCAATATAGAAGCACTTAGCATCTCTCTGGTCTTAGAAGCCTTGGGCAACAAAGTGCTTCCAGCCTCTCAAGAGCACTTACTCTAATGTCTGCAATGATCATCTCCCTGGCTGCCCTCCTGACAGCCACATGCGACATTTGGCAGCCTCAGACTTGGTGGGGTCCCTCCGCCTTGCAGTCTTGCTTTTAAGACGTGCATTTCCTGTTCAGAACGAGTTCCTTGCTCCTCTGCCCTTGCATTCATTCACTCTTCCTGGCCTGCTTGTCCAGGAAACTCACCGAGGACCCAGCAGCAAGGTCAGTGGGCTGAGAGCAGGATATAGGGCACATAAAGACCCGAGTCCAGCCCGACCCCTTCCATTGCCTCCCAGGGCATGAGTGTGCATGCACGTGTGCAGGTGTGTGTGTGTGTGCCACACACAAAGCCCAGGCCCTACCCAGTCCTGGGCCATCACCTCCCAGGGTGTGTGTGGGGGCACACGTGTATGCTCACATGTGCAGCTGGTGCAGTGGGGCCGTCTGGGCGCATTATGCCAGCATCTGGTGCCGGCCACCCTCTCTGGAAACAGGTTTGAAAGCGGAAAGATCCGCCTTTGAGTCCCAAGTCACTTTCTGGCTCTGTGACCTTTGACATGCAACCCCGCTTCTCTGTTCCCCGGTTTCCTCATCTGTCAAGAGGGCTCATGGTGGTCCCTGGCTCACAGAATGGTGAGGATGGTGTGCATAGAAATGCTGCATGCGGAGCCCCAGGGTGGGCGGGATGTGCATCGAGGGCTCCGTGAGCAGGGCCATCCCGGCCGACTGTTTCTCCACATACCTGGTTGCCCAAGACCCTCTCAGCCTTCCTGAGGGTGGGGTGGCCCCATGCTCCCTGCCTCCCACACCACTGTGGCTCCAGGTGCTGGCTTGACCGGCCCCTTCTTTGCCTCCATCACATTGTCCCAATTTTCTCTGATCAAGCACATCCACAGGGACCCTGGGTGCAGCTTATGAGATGGTGGCGTCATGCCCAAAGGGCACGGTCCATACAGACTGTGGTGCCAGCACTGCGTGGGCTGCCAGGGAGCAGTCGTCTGGACATACAGACTGACCGGGTGTGCGGGTGAGGGATGCTTCTCACCCTTCTCCAGGCTTTGCTCAAGACAGCACCCCCACCCTGGCAAGTGTAACCACACTCCCAGGG
Source organism: Homo sapiens (assembly GCF_000001405.40). NCBI lineage: Eukaryota > Metazoa > Chordata > Mammalia > Primates > Hominidae > Homo > Homo sapiens. The sequence continues at coordinate 61,666,876 of NC_000020.11, read as the reverse complement.
GAAGCGGAAGCTGGGCCCAGACTCTGCTGTCTTCGGATTCATGCCTCTTTCACCCTTTCCTGACAGTGAGCTGTGAGCAGCTTCCTGCCACTGTGGCCGGCAGATTCCCAACACCCCATCGAGGGTAAGATCTGGTCAGCCAGGAGCTGTGTGTGGAGAGTGGCGATCTGGGGCGGAGGGGGTTCTCAGGGCTCTGCAGGGGGATGGGATCCCTCCTGGAGTCCCTAGTCCTGCCTGGGCTGGCCCTCCGGAAGCAACAGTTCTGCGGATGTGGCCTCTGTGAGCCCTAGGCCTCAGCTCCGTCCTCCATGTGGACTCTGAATTCAGTGGACCTCGGCCAGCATCAGCCATGCCATCATCCTCCCTCTGTAGGGAGTCTGTCCGCCTGAGCCCATGGCTGTTTTCATGGAAGTCATAGCATTGATGCCTGTGCACTGCCAGTGGGATTGGCTCCAGCACCAAGGGCAGAAGTGGATTTCTTCGGGCTGCAGGGACGCAGTGGCCCTGGCTGTGCCGGCAGCAGCTGGTGTTCACTTAGCAGCTTTTCTTCAGGTGAATTTCAAGTTCGTCTACAGGGCCGACTCCCCAGCTCCAGGCACCGTGGCTCTCATCTGTGCAGCCATCTCTTGTGGGGAGGCATGACTGCTGTTGGACAAAGTGTGGCAACAGCCACCCCACTTTTTGGCAGGGAAAATCAAGAATAGCCTGACGATGAGGGCAGGAGGCCATGGCCTTACTTGCAAGCCAGGATTAAGATGGGGCTTGCAGTTTCTGTCTGCCGTTTTGGAAAACACAAGTGGGATTTGGGCCCCAACGTCCATTTGGGTGGGGCTGGCTGGATGGTATGGGATGGCCAGGGTCAGCGTTTGGAGTCCCCAGCCATTCTCCCACCTGGACCCCGCCCAGAACTGCAGGAACCAACCTTCCAACGCGTGACCTTAATATGTAGCCGCAGGTGCCCCTCGGTCCCACCGCTGCGATTTTCCTGGGCTTCCTGACAGCCAATATCGCTTGGCAGATTCCCAGGGTCCAGAGAATGCAGCTGTGGTTTGCTGGAGGACCGTGTACGCTGTGCATGCAGCAGCCACCAGCCTGCCTGTAGACACTCAAAGGTCGGAGATAAATCCGATGTTAGGTGACCCCCGTGTATTGTAAGACAGCTCAGCTGCCCTTGGCTGCGTGCACACCTCATCAAAAATGAATAAACATGAGCCTGCCGGGAGCACTCGTTCGCATCCATCATCACAAAGCGCTGCTGGTGGATGCTCCAGGCCCCTCCGCCTGGGACGTGAGCTTCATGGGGGGAATTTATCACCCACTAGGAGATCTGACGGGGACCTCGGCTCTCCGAAAAGGGAGAACCCAGGGAAAGAAGGCACTCTGCAAATTCAAAGGCAAACCCTTGATGAGAAACTACCCTGGTCTTTGCGGGCAGCCTCCCCTCAACCCACAGTTGCACATCCAGGCTGCTTTTGTTTTTAGCATCGCTTAACTGATGAAAGGTCAAATTGTTGGGTATGCCATTTCACGAGTGAGCATTAAGCACCCTGGCCAAGCCAGAGAACAGCAGAAACAGCTGCCGAATTGAAGGGCGGGAGCCCTGGTGGCAGCTTCCTGGGTCTGGAGGCCAAGGCCGCCCCCAGCCCACCAGCATGGTGCTCGCCTTCCCGTCTGTGATGTGTGACCAAGACGCCACTATCAGCTCAACAGACACGGGCCCTTCAGGCTGCGGCACCCGGATCCGGCTGGATTGTCCTTCTCAACTCGTCCCACCTCCCTTCTGACTCAGGGAGGAGCCACCCGTGCCAGCGACGTCCCCACGTGGTGACATCCTGGCAGCTAGAGATTTTCATTTACTCAATCTCAGACGAATGGGTTGGTAGAAGTAATTTCAACTGTCAAACTTATTTTCTGGGCAGCCTCTTTGTTCAGATATGATGACTGTTGCTAATTTCAAGAAACTTCATTCAGTTCATGCTGCTTTCCTCTTCCAAATAAGTGTTGAAAAGATTGGTCTAAATTGTGGACACCAAGACGCCACATTAGAGCAACAGATTATGGATTTCTTGGGAGTCTGCTGATTTCTCAGCAGGCAGACCCCTGGAAGGAAGGAACTGGGGCAGGGTGTTTGAGGTGGAAGCCTGGGCTCTGAGCCAACGTCCACAGATGTCACTGGAAGAATCTTGGCTGAGAGAACTTCTCTGGGCTGCCCAGGCTCTATCTCTGAACACAAGCATCTCAGGGAGTAGAAGTGTTCGTGTGAGGGTCTTGGGGGCAAGACCTGCTCCTGGGTCTCTTGATGCGGTGTGGGTTCTCAGCTTTCCGCATGCTGCTTTAAAACCAGACTCCTGGGCCCGGCTCCCAGCCCGGCTGATGCAGGCTGCTGCATTTTCGGAGATCTTCAAGGAAGAATGCTGCAAAGGCCGCGGTGTTCAGCCACACAGGAGTGGGGACCAGCTCTCCCCATGCCCCAGCTGTGGTTTCTGCCCCCACCCCACTCCCAGGCCCAGGAGTCCCCTATCCTTCCCATCCTGCTTTTGACTTAAAACTAGCAACAGGAATAAACAAGGGGCCATTGCAATGCCTGGGGCATGTGGATGTCAAGAGGCAGGTGACAGCACAGCTCCAGGAGGGTGGGCGGACAGGCCCAGGGTCTGCCTTGGACTTGCTCTCCCAGTGGGTGGATTCTAGAGGCAAGTGGTGTGACCCTGTGCAGGGAGGCATTTCCACTGGGGAGAGGCTGGGATGGCCCACGGTGCAGGGTCAGTGGAAATCACACATGCAGGGCGTCCTCTCTGGCACTGACTGAGGCCCGGTCAGCCCCCACACAATGCCCTTGGACCCCTCAGCACCTGTCACCAGGCCTGGTCTTCATGGTGCATGTCTACGGAAGGGTCCCGGTGGCACACAGACACCTCAACGTGGACCGGTGCTGGACAGAGGACAGTGTCACTCTAAACTGCCGCGGGCACAGATGCTGGCGCCAGCGGTGGGAGTGTGGAGGGCCAGGGCGGCCTCGAGGGAGCTGGAAGACCCAGCGTGGGAGTGACTGGTGATTGGTTTACCCCGTGTTCAGTGGTGCCCACATTGTGCAGCCTGGACACCGGGAGCTCCTGATCTTCCCCCGACCCCGCGTCTGTCAGCCCTGCCTGGTTCTGCACGTCCTTCCTCAGTACCGCCAGCTCCCGCCGGGAAGACAGCACTCCCTGCTCTCCTCGAGTCCCCGCTTCCCCTGGGCAGCCAAGATGGTCTCTTGGACACACACACCCGGTCCTGCCGTCCCAGCAGCTCCCGACTCACTTGGGATAAAATCCAGCCCCACTGCCCCCTGCCCTGTTCACCTTCCTCCGGCCCCTCTGACCCACTCGGCGGCATCCCCAGCATTGGCATTTCTAGGACCCTCGCCTGAAATGCCCCCGACCCAGAGCCTTCAGAATTATTGTCTTTTACGCAGCTCTTTTTCTAGGTTTCAGCGCAAACACTGCCTCCTCAGAGAGGCCTCCCAACGCTTGTCCGCAGCAGCCCCTGCCCCAGCGTCACCCTCCCAGGAGCTCCGCAGCACAGGCCTCCTGCGGGTGCCACTCCTTTCCTGCGTGGACTCATTTGTCGTGGGCGCCAAGCCCTCGATGAAAGCTCCTCTGGGACAGGGGCTTTGTCACAGAACGTTTACCTCATCAGTCCACACACGGAGGCGTGGACACTCATGGAGCTGCAGGCCCAGTAGCCTCATTTCCATTTCTCCTCCAGTCAATATTTTAACAATGGTTTGCTTCATGTCGACACTGCCTGCGCTGGGCAGCATTGTCATCAATACCATGGTGGAGGGGGAGGTGAGTCAGGGCCATGGGTTCTACCCCGGGCCGCTGTGCCAGTGCCTGTGGGGAGGGGAGGAGGAGAGGCCCTGAGGGACAGGCAGAGTCTCAGTGGACAGAGATGGGTGCTGAGTCAGGGACCGCTAACAGTCCTCTGCTGGACCTGTGTCCCGATCCTGGGCCTGCACCACCGGCTCTACCCTGTAGGCGGACATGGAGATAGGAGGGCAGGGCACTGTGTGAGCCTCCCTGGGGTGCTGCAGGAAACGGTACCTCCCATTTGCGTGCACAGGTACCCTCGCCATCCCGAGTCTTGCTGGCCGGAGTCCAGGTGAGCCGCCCTGTGTTGGCCACGCGAGCAGCTGGGCACAGCTTCACCTCAGACACTGTCCGTTCCTCTCTCTAATCAGCCTGGGGACTGAGTGCACTTGACGCCCTGCGAGATGTCCTTTCCTCACGCCCCAGTCCTCCAGGCACACAGCCACAGCTGGGGACTCAGGGGGCCTCTGTGTGCTCGTCCTGTGCCCCCCAGCCCCCAGCTCCTGTCCCTTTCAGTCCGAGTCTCATTCAGGCTTCTCTTCCCTGTGCCTTTGGGCAGCCGCCCTCGTCCTCCCAAGCTCGGAATGGTGAAGCCGCGCACGGAGCTGAGAACGTTGAGGACAGGTTGTTTCATCATTAATTGGACAGCACAACCTGGTGCTACACTTGCCCTGACAGAGGTTGCGCTGTGCGGCTCCAGGAAGCCAGCGATGGCTCCAGAAAGGGGCCCAGGGCCTACCTCTGCCACGGCCATTCCCACGCGCTCTCACCAAGCAGTCCAGCGCAGGTCCAGTTTGGAAGAACTCTGTCTTTACAACTTCCCTCAAAGCATGGTCTACCAGCATCGATCACACACCAGGCCATGGCAGATTAGGGGGGTCAGTTGGGGTTCAAAGGGGAGGTCTGTGCCTGTGGTGGGGGATGGAAGGCTGCTTCTTGGAGGTAAATCCCAGAGAAACCCAGCTTGGGAAGGCAGATAGGATGTGACATTCCAACACACCTGGGGTTTCACAAATTAACCTTTTAAAAAACATGTACCCTGGAAGAATTTGAGGTTCACAGGGAGTTGCAAAGGGAGGCCCTGTGGACCCTTTGCCCAGTGCCTACAACAGTTGCATGTTACAGGACCGCGGCACAATATCAAGTGAATGAGGTCATTTAAATGGGGATCCATAGAAGGCGCACCCACCCTCCGCACCTGCCAGAGACCTGGCCTGTCATACGAGCCGCGTCAGTGTTTGGTGAATGATGGGCGGACACTCAAAGATGGTCAGTCCAGACCCAAAGTGGAAATGTGTGCGGTGGCTGTGACGTCTTTGCAACAACTTGCCACAAAGGTGACAAACACAAAGGCAAAGGTGACAAACACGAAGGATCCATGGTCCTAAGACCCTCTTTTTAATCCTGGGTTAATTGGGAAGACGCATGTCAGATCATGCCCGTGACGCAGATGGCATCAACTGTAGGCCCTTCCTCCAGCTATTAAAAAAGAAGAGTTTCTTTATAGACCCAACTCTGACATGTATGAGTGTTAAAAAAAAAAAAAAAAAAAAAAGTCAGAAAGCAAAGCCCACTTAAAGGGCTATCTGAGAGCACCACCTTGTTCTAACAGAGACTTAGTTTTGGTTTGCGACATTTTCCCTCCTGTTGTTGAGGCAGAATGATGTGCTCACTTCCACCCTCCAAGCTGAAAACACAAGACTTATGATGCAAAATCCAGCTTTCCCATCTGGCTGAGCTGGCCCTGCAGAGGTGGCCTGGTGAGAGCCTGGGGGGTGCTGGCCTCCCAGCTCCCAGACGGGCGGAACCACCGGCTGACGGTGACAGCCATGGCCCTTCTGGCCCTTCCCAGGTGGAGCTTGGGGAGCAGGTGCAACATGCAAGAAGCTGCCCTACCGCACCCACCTGGCATGAGCCTGGCACTGTGTCTCCCCCCCCCCCGCCATGCCTCCTGTCCATGCCGCCTCCCTCCATCCATGGCTTCTTTCTGGCAATGATCCTGTTAAAGCCACTAGAATTTTTTAGAATCTGCTCTTAGTAGCAATTCAGAGCAGAAAAGGATGGAGGACTCATTAGTGCTGGCCTTGAGCAAAGTCACAAACTCCAGAGGCTGCGGGACCATGAGTCCCGGTAAGGCTGCCCAGGTGGAGCTGCCAGGACTGTGGAAACCGGGCAAAGAGGCTCCTCCACCCCTGCTGGGTGTTCCACGCGGGAGTCCAGGTATCTCCACGAAGCACCTACTTCTTCAATGTAACAACCAGGTATAAAGCAACTGCCAGCCAAACAAAACCCGGGTGGCCCAGGGTGGCTGAGGACTAGGCCTTCTGGGACCCAAGCCAAGAGTGAGGTCGCATCCCACTCAGAGGGTCCAGACTCAGTGACATCCACGAACCCACAGGTCCTGCCGGGAACGACCGCCCCGTCCACCCCTCTGCCTCCTGAGCTGCAAACACAATCCATATTCAAACAGTCAGGCGCACCCACATGTAACAGACTTGCCACGGCTGATGTTTGAAAATGGATACACGCAGGACTTGGGGGAAAGCAGAACCAAGAGTGAGGTGCAAGCGAGTCCCGGCGTCACCTGCCTTCGATGATGAACACTTCGAGGCATTTTACTGCTAACATTCACTGACTTCTGTCTAATATGTCTGATTCATAGGAGCACCAAAGTGAATTAATTATAGTTATTAAACACTCTTTGTTTGATAAGAAGAGAACAGATGCCTTGCGGGCGTTTCTGTTGTAAGTGGAGGGCAGCAGGGCCACGCTCCAAGGCAGGGGAAGACAAGAAGGAAAGACGGGGAGGGGCGGCCTCTGGCTCCCATGGGGGCTGCTGGGCCACCCAGAGACGAAGGTCAGAGAAAGGAAGGTCGCCACGTCACCCAAGGCTCAGCCGGCCGCAGCCACCTGTGGGTGTTTCCATCCTTAGCTCCGGGGTGGAAGACCGCTGGTGCAGATCCCCGAGGAGCTGCCCCCTTGGGAGCGGGTATCACAGCCGGAAAAGCAGGAGTCCAGAACCCTGCTCAGCAGCTTTTCCACCACTGTGCATGGAATAGACAACTCAGGAACAGAGACAGGCTTGGGGAGGGGCCAGGAGACACGGTGGGGACAGACTGAGGAAGCCAAAGGAGAAGGTGGAGCTGCTTCCTTTTCCAGAGGCTGCAGCTGCAGCCCTGCCTCTGCCCGCCCACTTCACCCAGGCCTTCGCTGCAAGCAGCCTGCCCCAGCTCCTGGGCCGGAGGCCCACCCCTCCTCCTGCCTCCAAGCCTCAGATGGCTGAGGCCCACCCTCCTCCTGCCTCCAAGCCTCGGATGCCTGAGGCCCACCCTCCTCCTGCCTCCAAGCCTCAGATGGCTGAGGCCTACCCTCCTCCTGCCTCCAAGCCTCAGATGGCTGAGGCCCACCCTCCTCCTGCCTCCAAGCCTCAGATGGCTGAGGCCCACCCTCCTCCTGCCTCCAAGCCTCGGATGCCTGAGGCCCACCCTCCTCCTGTCTCCAAGCCGCTGAGACCCTTCGCTCACTTGAAAGCCAGGCCAGAGCTCCAGGAAGCAGGCAGCTTCCTCCAGGCCCCACTGAGCAGACCCCTCCCCAGGTGGGGGGCAGCGCAGCCCCTCTCTTCCCTGCACTTGTTCTTTGTTTCTTTTCATTTTCTTCTTTTTCTGCCTTCCCTGGTTTTAAATGAGCATTCTATAAAACTCTGTTTCTCTCCGTAGCGGATCAATTGTGCTTCTTTTCATAATGTTTTAGTGGTTGCCCTAGAGTTTGCAATCTACACTAACCCGATGTACAAGAATCCAAGTCCACTTTCAAACCCCCACGAGTGTCACGGGTGGTGCAGGGCCTCACGTGGCGTGTCCCAGGCCCTCCTTCCTGTCTCTTGGGTGTTGCTGTTATTGATTTCACTTACCAATCAAATACATTCTGGGTGCTACGACCGTGAACAGTTTAGTGTTAGACTGATTGGGAGCTACTATTGGAGTATGAGGTTGATTCTCACCATGAGTTCAAGACCAGCCACAGCAGCCTGGGGGCCTGTTAGAAACGCCTTGAGGGTGAGCCGCTGCTCCGGGGGCCACAGATGTAGGGAGATCTAAGGGTTCACTCTGAATTGTGGGGACACCTTCTCCGCATGTCACTCCCCCCTACCCTGGTCCTCCCTGGGTTCACTAGGACAGGACAACCTCCTCCCTCGGCCTCACCCACCAGGCCTGTCTGCCTCCATGTCCACTGTGGGTGTTGCTGCCTGGGAGTGGGGGGGTGGTATTTCCCCCAGCTCTGACTATCCAGTTCCTTTGTTCCTGGGTACTTGGGCTTTTGACAGCTCTGCCCCAGACCCCCAAGCCCGGGCCCCAGCTGGTGCTGAGACAGGAGGGCTCCTGGGCCAGGACATGTATGGGGTGGCGAGCCCCTGCCCAGGGCCACACTGGTGTGTATAACGACCTGGGCCACCCATCCTTTGCTCCTTGCAGGTACTCGGCCTCCTGAGTTTTGTGCAGGGCAGGCTCCCGGGGTCCTACCCTGGACACTCATCCCACCCGGAGCCTATAGATCAGAGCACCCCAAGTGGAAGGAAGTGTCTCTGAGGTGCCTGGGCACCTGCGAGCTCAGAGGGAACAATGACTCAGGGATTGCAGCTGCGATGGAGCCCTCTCTAATAGAGAGATCTGGAACTCGGAGGGGACAATGACTCGGGGTTGCAGACATGTTGGATCCCTCTCTAATACAGAGATCCGGAGCTCGGAGAGGATGGTGACTCGGGGGTTGCAGGTGCGATGGAGCCCTCTTTAATAGAGATCTGGAACTTGGAAGGGAGGATGGCTCGGGGGTTGCAGATGCATTTGAACCCTCTCTAATAGAGAGATCTGGAAGCGAGAGCAGCCTCCAGGGGAAGCAACAGCCAACAGCGCAGCCAGATCTTAGCACCTGCAGGAAGGCTGGAGCTCCTGTGCCTGGCTGGGGTCCTGGGAGACTTATTAGCTGGTGAAATAATCAGCTGTGTGGGGCCCTGTTCCCTTAATCCACTCTGCTTCCCTCCAGTAAAGGGTCATAAAGCAGAACCACAAGACACACAGTGCCATTGGCTCCCACCGGTGACGAGCCTCTAATTCACTCCACATGTGTCCTTCCCAGGCCCGGCACCGTGACGTAGCACAAATGGGCACAGCACTGTATTTTTAAAGGATTAGGTTATTTTACTGACATGGATTTAACACTATTGATTTTTGGCCCATCACAAATCCCATGTAGCTCCACATTTTACTACGAGGTGAATGCTGCATTTATATTCTTAAGCATTCTGCAAATATCTTCATTTTGATCGACGTCCCTTCAGCAAAGCACAGATGTCAATGCACAAAGCCATGGAAGGCCCATCCAACTTCTGTAGATCTTTCCAGGACAGTTTGTCTTCTCCTTCACAGTAACCTTGAATAGGGCAGGAGAAACTCTGCCCCACGTTTTCCCCATCTGGGGAATTGGAAGACTACTTATCTGCCTCCGCAGAGATCCTTTAGAATGTTTTTTGGTAAATGAGAAAAAAGGGCAGAAGACTAATAGGTTAAGCTCGGCATTATTAAGGTGCTTTGAAAATAGTCTTGTGGTTGTATCTTTATAACCCCTAAACTATAGAAGTTATTCAAAGATACATCTGCGAAGTGTGTACAGGTTACCATTTGAGGTTCTGTGGAAGCAACCCGTTTGGGGAGCAGAGCCTCCTTCTGCGTACGTAATTCAGAGCATGTAGGAGAATCAACCTTGTTTTGTTAGCAGCTAAGTTTGTGTCAAAAACAGATTTGCATGAGATAGGATGAGAAGGAGATCTGACTCCTGAAGAGGAGGGTGCAGAGGTCTTGTCCACGCAGCCCTGGGTGGGAGGGATGATCCCTCTGGGTGGACCCTAAAGGACTGAGCGTGCGTTTGGCATAAGCCCAGTCATTAGATTTGCTCAAATATTGCCAGGCGTCTGCTCTGGCCCAAGAATGGCTCTAGACTCTGCAGATGCTCTAAGACACATGCCTCTGGGGGCCTCAGCTGTACTCAACTGCTTTGAGGTGTGTCCAGTGCATCCCAGGTGGGCGTTTCTGGGCAGTGACAACATGGAGCGCTGATGGTTGTGAAGGCTGGCAGCCTCCACATGCACCTGTGTCCCAAGCCTCTGCACACAGCCTAAGACCTGGGCTGGTTCTGTCCTTTCACAGCTGAGGCACAGGACTTGCCCGCAGCCACACAGCAGCTTTCCTGGAGGAATGGACCCCTGCCTTTGGCATCACCTCCTATTCACGAATGCAGGGGACGATCCTGGGAGGAGAGATTTTCTGAGGTTCAGTTCGATGCAGAATGGCAGGTGACCTGGTCAGACACAGGGAAGCACATCTACCCACCCAGGAGAGTGGCTGTGGAGCCCAGAGGCCCCTATGACCATAGCTAGAGAAGCCTGACGACGCACACTGACCCACGCCTCAGCCAGGGGAGGCTGCGCCCCACAACAGCCACACACCTGACCACACTGGCCATGCACCTGTCCTTCCCAGCATGCACCTGCCCACCCCAACACGCACCTGTCCACCCAATCACAAACCTTTCCACCCCAGCATGCACCTGCCCACCTCAGCATACACCTGCTCACTCCAGTCAGGCACCTGCCCACCCCAGCACGCGCCTGCCCACTTCAGCACGCGCCTACCCACCCCAGCACGCGCCTGCCCACTTCAGCACGTGCCTACCCACCCCAGCACGCGCCTGCCCACCCCAGCACGCGCCTGCCCACCCCAGCACGCGCCTGCCCACCCCAGCACGCGCCTGCCCGCCTCAGCATGCATTCCCAAGCAACATCCTAACTAAGAGTGCAAACCCTGCTGTGTATCCCAAGCAAGAGCATGTCAGAGAGCACGGTGGGTGGTTCGTCTCCAGCCAGTCTTCAACCACCTTCATGTCATCCACACTTTCCACCAAAGCAGGGCTCAGCTCCACCAGCCCCTCTCACTCCTCCAGGGTGATGTGGCTTCATGTGGTCTGGGTCCCTTCAGGACTGTTCACGATATCTGAAGCTGTCACCCTCGAGCCTCTCACACTCTTACAACAAGGTGATGTTCAGAACCACGTCCTCTCCAGGCACATGCAGCCTTGGAGCTCGGCTGCTCTCTATTAGCCACACACTTCACCTGGGCTGTGCCGTTCACCGACTGCATGCAGGTGATACAGGTGACCCTGCAGGTGATGGGACAACCTGGTCCCTGAGGACAGGGACTTGTGCTGGCTGACCCTGCAGCATCCCCATGCCCAGGACAGAACAGGGCCTGGCCCACGAATGAATGAATGAATGACCCACGGAGGCTGCTTTCAGAGCTGACCAACTGATGGAACACACTGACAACCTAACAACAAAAGCCAGCGGAGCTTCTTGGCCAGTGGAGCTTCCTGGCCGGTGGGCACTGCCTTCTGCTTCCCCTTCCTGAAGCTAGGGCCCAGCCAGAAAGTGGGCTTTCATCCCAGAGAGAGAGGAGAACACGGCAGTGGTCAAAGAGGCCCCTTGTCCTGGGACAGCCATGCCTGGAACGATGGCCGTTTCTTTTAACTGGATCCTACTTGCCTTGTCACTCTCCGCAAGGCTGAAATGAGTGTTCTGTGTATGTGTGTGTGTGTAAGTGTGTGTGTCAGTGTGTACTTTAAAAAATGATATTTACATACTTTGTGTCAATGAAGTAATATATCATCCACTGGAAACTACAGGGCACATACAACTTTAAAGCACAAAAATTACACTCACAATCCCAACCCTGAGAAGGACCCTTGGTGATTATTTTCAGGTGTGTGTCCAGCCGTTTTCCCATGTGAAATACACACAAGCAGACATATACACATATATGCCTGCATACATAATTACGTGTGTGTACCTACCACACATACACATGCTATTAATATAGTTACAAACGTAATATCCTTGTCAAGATAACAAGCAAAACTTGACTCAGATGAAGACACTGAAATTCCACCCTGGGACCCAGTGTCGCCTCCTCCCCACAGCAGCCAGCACTGGGGACTCCGCAGACGCGTTTCCATGGGCTCAGGCCCCCGTGTCCCTGTCCAGAGCGAGGCTGGCTCAGGCCCCCGTGTCCCTGTCCAGAGCGGGGCTGGGTCTGCCCGTCTCAGAGGAGCAGCTGGCCCTGCACAGCCCCTTCCCGGGCTGCAGCGTGGCCCCCAGTCTGTGCTGGTGCATGGAGAGCTCTGCCCACTGGTTTAACGGCCACTGGCGCTGGCCATCCTGGGCAAAGCTGACAGTGGTGAGACCACACTCCCTACAGAATTCGTATCCTGCTTTGATTAACTTAATTTCCTTTGTAAACTTTCCTTTGTAAACATTTTTAGGAAGTTGTTTTTGATGCCAAACGAACCTCGGAAATGGACTAAGAGACACCTAATGAATAAAACTGTGGAATAAATTACAAAAGAGCCAGGTGAAAAGTTAAAGAATCTTACATATGACTGTGTTTTGAAGATTATATTGCTTCTCATACAATGTAAATACACAACTAATCAACAATTAAAGTTTCTTAAAAAGTCTTGATTTTTCTCCCTCTCCCTCTCCCCACGGTCTCCCTCTCCCTCTTTCCACGGTCTCCCTCTGATGCCGAGCCAAAGCTGGACTGTACTGCTGCCATCTCGGCTCACTGCAACCTCCCTGCCTGATTCTCCTGCCTCAGCCTGCCGAGTGCTTGCGATTGCAGGCGCGTGCCACCACGCCTGACTGGTTTTCATGTTTTTTTGGTGGAGACGGGGTTTCGCTGTGTTGGCCGGGCTGGTCTCCAGCTCCTAACCGCGAGTGATCTGCCAGCCTTGGCCTCCCGAGGTGCTGGGATTGCAGACGGAGTCTGGTTCACTCAGTGCTCAATGGTGCCCAGGCTGGAGTGCAGTGGCGTGATCTCAGCTCGCTACAACCTCCACCTCCCAGCCGCCTGCCTTGGCCTCCCAAAGTGCCAAGATTGCAGCCTCTGCCCGGCCGCCACCCTGTCTGGGAAGTGAGGAGCGTCTCTGCCTGGCCGCCCTTCGTCTGGGATGTGAGGAGCCCCTCTGCCTGGCTGCCCAGTCTGGAAAGTGAGGAGTGTCTCTGCGCGGCCGCCATCCCATCTAGGAAGTGAGGAGCGTCTCTGCCCGGCCGCCATCCCATCTAGGAAGTGAGGAGCGTCTCTGCCCGGCCGCCATCCCATCTAGGAAGTGAGGAGCGTCTCTGCCCGGCCGCCCATCGTCTGGGATGTGGGGAGCGCCTCTGCCCCGCCGCCCCGTCTGGGATGTGAGGAGCGCCTCTGCCCGGCTGCGACCCCGTCTGGGAGGTGAGGAGCGTCTCTGCCCGGCCGCCCTGTCTGAGAAGTGAGGAGCCCCTCAGCCCGGCAGCCACCCCGTCTGGGAAGTGAGGAGCGTCTCTGCCCGGCAGCCACCCCGTCCGGGAGGGAGGTGGGGGTCAGCCCCCGCCTGGCCAGCCACCCCGTCCGGGAGGTGAGGGGCGCCTCTGCCCGGCCGCCCCTACTGGGAAGTGAGGAGCCCCTCTGCCCGGCCACGACCCCGTCTGGGAGGTGTACCCAACAGCTCATTGAGAACGGGCCATGATGACAATGGCGGTTTTGTGGAATAGAAAGGGGGGAAAGGTGGGGAAAAGATTGAGAAATCGGATGGTTGCCGTGTCTGTGTAGAAAGAGGTAGACATGGGAGACTTTTCATTTTGTTCTGTACTAAGAAAAATTCTTCTGCCTTGGGATCCTGTTGATCTGTGACCTTACCCCCAACCCTGTGCTCTCTGAAACATGTGCTGCGTCCACTCAGGGTTAAATGGATTAAGGGCGGTGCAAGATGTGCTTTGTTAAACAGATGCTTGAAGGCAGTATGCTCGTTAAGAGTCATCACCACTCCCTAATCTCAAGTACCCAGGGACACAAACACTGCGGAAGGCCGCAGGGTCCTCTGCCTAGGAAAACCAGAGACCTTTGTTCACTTGTTTATCTGCTGACCTTCCCTCCACTATTGTCCTATGACCCTGCCAAATCCCCCTCTGCGAGAAACACCCAAGAATGATCAATAAAAAAAAAAAAAAAAATAAATAAATAAATAAATAAATTCAAACACTGGTAACCTTTGGGAGAGTAATAAAGGGAGATCATTTTTTATCCCCCCCCCAAAAAAAAATTCTTGATTTTTCTTTGGCATTATGGGAAAGGAAAATGTATTTTTTTTTTTTCATTTGAAAAAAATCACCCCATGAATTAATTCCTAAGTATAACCCTTGGGAATCTACCCAGGAAAAATTCAATTTCAAGATTCCATGAATTTGAGTGGCTTTTCTCTAATGCCAATGGTGGGGATGTATGGAATCGGGTTTTTCTGAAGATGATATGGAAGTATTTATTAGAAGCATTATCAATGTCCATGCATCGTGACCTCAGACTCCTATTTTTAAGAATGTATCTAAGGAAATAATAGACAAATGCAAAAAAGATTAAAGGTGTTCATCCCCATGTTATTTATGAACTTGAAAAATTAGAGATAACTCAGCCAACCGTCATAAAGGACGCTTAAATAGACGACAGTTATCTCATAATGGTGAATTCAGTCATTTAAAATAGTGATGTAAATGTATAAAACAGCAGGTGTGCATGGTTACTGCTAAGCGACCAAGCCTCGTGCTATTTAGTATGTAGGGTACGGTCCCACTGCAATAAGCGAAACCACATACATAGCTGCGTATACAAAGGAGTAAGAGGGTGGAAGGAACTGTTCGAAGGTGTCACCATAGTTTCACGTGGATACTGGGGTTCTGTAGGATTTTTATTTTCTTTCCAGTATTTTCAGCTCTTCCTATCATGAGTGTATATTATGTACTTTAATAAAGAGACGGTGACATTAAAAGCGCTGGCACGTGCACAGACCCCACGGCACCTGGCTCACTCTTCCTCCTCCCTGGGACCACAGGCTGCCGTCCTGGCCGAGGCCATCTTCTAAATAAATGTGTGGAAGAGAAACTGTTCTTCACCACCCAGTGGGTCCATCACCTCCTCCTGCGGGACTCTCCTCTCCCCTGTGACTTTCTATTGCCTCAGTAGCAGGACCATTGCAGGGCCTCCCTTCCACCCCAGAGCTGGGGCCCTGCCTGGCACGCCCAGCCCCGATGGCTTCCCACCCACAGCCTCAAAGACAGAATGACTGAAAATCGGAATGCCATTTTTTAAACAATTGTGTTTAACATTAAGACAGAGAGAATCCTGAGAAAGATACTAAAACCACGATATCACTAGAAAATAAATGAATATAGATAAAAAAATAATTGGGAATTATTAAATTTGGAGGAGAGGAGGTTGGTGCAAGTCCCCTGCAGCAATGCTGACCAGATGGCCCCCGATGGCCACCTGCGAGGTGGGGCCGCCTGCCTGAGGTAACAGGGCAACTAAATGGAGAAGCCAGAGTCCCGGTGCAGGTGTGAGTCCAACCCACACACTGCTCAGGGCGCCCCGTGGCCTCCAGGCGGGGGCTGACCGCACCTAGGACCCCTGTGAAACAGGCTGCCGGTCATAAGGGGTGGGAAAGCGGCAGAAGGAGAGGAACGCCGCGACAGGCACAAGGGTGCTCCCGGGAGGCCCCTGTACGCTTGACTCGGGGCTGGGACATGTGCCTTTGGGTGACCTGAGCAAGACTCAATATCCCTAGAGTTTTGGAAAATGGCACAGAAGGGGCACTCGTCCTTCCCTGAGCGTTGAGACCCTGCAATCAGAACTCACTGCCATGGCCAAGCACGATGCTAACTCACTCACACAAGCACACCAGTGCACGGCCAAGCATGACGCTAACTCACACAAGCACACCAGTGCGTGACCAAGCACGAGGCTAACTCACTCACACGAGCACACCAGTGCACGGCCAAGCACGGTGCTAACTCACTGACACGAGCACACCAGTGCACGGCCAAGCACGGCGCTAACTCACTCACACAAGCACACCAGTGCACGGCCAAGCACGAGGCTAACTCACACAAGCACACCAGTGCCCTCTGTGCTGCACGCCATGGGTTAAAACCACCTTCAGTAAAGGTTCGATGTTAGCCCTGGGTGGAAATAAATATGGGGCCACTGAAGAGCATAATTATATAGATAATCTGTGTATGGAAGTGTTGATTAAACCCCCTGCTAATATCTACATGAAATACATCTCACACCAGCAAGAGAGACGGAGCTAATTGTTAGCTCTTGGAAAAACTAGCAAAATACTACTTATTTCTGAATTAGCATCACTAAAGACCTGTAATTATTGTTACCTTTAAGTATGGAAATAAACCTTTTAAAATACAATATAAACTCAGTATATGGGTGGATCATCTATGCTGATTCTAGATGTAGTTTTTCTAAAGGTGGGGAAGCTACTTGTCTCATGCCAGGGTGTGTCCTCCTGGCTGTGCACAGGGCCTGATATACAGTAGATGCTTAGTAAGAGGGAAGAAATGTTTAATAGAAAAGCTTCCTGGCTAATATGAAGATACACCGGTTAATGACAGTATCAGCCAGCATTTACCCACGCTTCCAGATACGCAGTACATATATATCTTATGCATATGAACTTATAGAAACATACAGCCCATTAGAGAAGACAAACATGGCATTTATTCCACAAGTAAGTATATACAGATTGCTGCCTCTGTGCAAGACAGCACTAAGCAGTCACTGGTGAACAAAACACAGACCCTGTTTTCACGCAGCTGGAATCTTGAACAGTAAACGAGGTCAGCGGTGACCAGAGCAGGGAGGGCCCCTGTGGAAGAGATTCTTCTGATTTCACTCCAAATGGGATACAGAGCCGCTGATGGATTTGGAGCAAAGCAGTCACATGATCTAATTTTTGGTATAAGAATATTGATGGGCCGGGCAGCGGCATGGAGGAGAATACACTGGAAGAGGCAAGAAGGAGAGGCAGGTAAGACTGGGATAGCCGCTGACTGCCCATTTAGGAAATGTGCCCAGGAGAGTGGAGCTGCTGGCACAACCTGGGGAGACTCAGGGCTCCGGCGCAGGCAGAAGGCCCGGCATCCTCTGCAGTGAGTTTCACACTCTCAGATCCCAGGCCACAATGCCTGGAGCCGGGCCATAGCTCAGCGTCCTGGAGGTCAGACACAGGCTAACAAAAGGTCCTGCCTCAGTCTTCCTTCTTTCAGGTGTCACAGCCCAGGAAATAACGAGTGAGTCCAGGGCCAAGGGACTGTCCTGGGAGTAAGAGATCACAGACCTGCTCACGGCCCGCCATGCTCTTCTTGCAAGCTAATCACAAACACAAACGCTTCCTGCAAGCTGCTCTGCGGTTTCCAAATATCCAATCTTCCAAAGTGGATACCGAGCCCCCGTTCAGCCACGCGCGCTCCCGGCAGGAGTCAAGCCTACAAGTCTCTTCCTGCAGGAAGCGATGCACCTGTCATCAGTGCCGGGCTCCTTGATTCCCTGTCTCCACCGCAGAGATGTCAGTTTTTCACTTTCGAAGGAGAGTTTCATGACAACTGATAAGCGGTGACCTGGATGTACAACTTCCAGAATTTCAAAAATGAATTCAGTGGAGTAGTGTGCAAGGGAAGGTGGTTTAAAAAGAAGTGAGGGAGAAAGTACAAAGGGTTTAGAGGAAGATCTATGCCACACACCTGGCCTACACGGCCCCAGGCAGCGGAGCCCAGCACGCCTCTTTGAACTCTCTGCCAGACGTGCTCCTCTTGACCCTGGGCTCTGGCCACAGGATGGGTCTGTGATGCAAAAGGTGAGCGTGCGTGCTCGGGGGGCCCTGTGGGGTCTTCGCCCTTGATGTAGTTGGAATCTGGCAGCCATAGAAGGGGGAAGAGCCCACTGGCAGACACACGTGTGCAGGTGAGGTTGAACAGGGCTGGAATTAGTCAGATATGTGACCATCACTGTTATCAGCTCATGCTGAAGGCAGAGCTAAAACCATGAAATCACTAGAAAATAAACGAATATAGATAAAACATAATTGAGAATCTTAAATTTGGAGGAGAGGAGGTTGGTGCAAGTCCCCTGCAGCAGGGCTGACCAGATGGCCCCCGATGGCCACCTGCGAGGTGGGGCCACCTGCAGGACAGACTCCAGGACAAACTCCTTCCCATAAAAGTAGGATTCCTGCAAACCTGTAGTCAGCAATCGCAGTGCCAGACACTGTTCTAAGCACTTTACATGTTAACACACTTGGTTTTCGTTATCAAGCTGGGAGAGGTGTGGCCATTGCTATCCCCGTAACACATGCAAATACTGGGACCCAGAGTGGTGGTTTGACTTGGCTCAACATGAACCCTGGGAGCGCGCCTCAAAAAGCTACCTTTATGCCCTGCAGCCAGCAGCTCTTCTCGCCATTCACCCCCTGCAGTGGTTCTGATGGTAAAGGAATGATGAGAGACTCTCCAACATGGGAAATGGGAAAAGGATGGGCGAGAGCAAGCTCATCATAGCATTCACTTCCAAATCCCCACCCCATACTGTCTAGACGACAAAGTGGGGCTCGGCAGAGCTGGCCCTGTGAGGAGCTGCGGACCCGGGTGTGCCTCCAGCTCGGTTGGACCTGAGGTCTGTGTGCCTTCTCCACATCACACTGCCGGCCCTCAGAGGTTAAGTGAGAAATCCTGTCTGCACAGAGGAGTGAGTCCTTATACATAATGCAAGCACAAGCAGGCTCTGATAATCACCAGCTGCGGGTGCCTCTCCAACCCGGGCTGACCCTTCTTCCTCCCTACTGAAAGCCCTGACCTTCTCACTGCCTCCTATTCCCACATTCCATCAGAAAGACCCAGACAATGAATTAGCATCTTGAACAAGTCTTCATCTTCCTTTTCTGTTCCCTGCAATACTCAATCGATGGTGTGGTGTGGCCGGTGCCTTCTGCACCTGCGCTCCTCTGAGGGCAATGGCAGGCAAGGGAAGTCAGAGGTGGCTGGAGCCCACGCCTGCCTGCAGTGAGTCGTGCCCCTAATTGGGAAGCGTCTCCTCTTCTGTCCTGGCACCCAGCAGTCAGGGTTCCTGCCGGCCAACCTGTGTCCATCCCCCACTCACTCGGCAGGCCGCAGCCCCTGCAGGGGTGTGCTCATGACCAGTGTGGCCTGAGACTGCCAGTCTCGGTTTGTGCTTCTGATAATGGCTGCTGTTTAACTGTCCCCTGGGGGCTGTTCTCCCTCTGAGTCTGACACATTGCTGTACTGTCCTAAGCAAACACCCATTCAGAGGCAATAGATGGGTCAGGGCCTGTGATCAACTCCCCGTGGTACCTACAGAGCAAGCACCCCACAGACACAGAACACCAGCCTGGCTCTTCTCCACATTTGGAAAACCAGCAGTAGCCTCCCAGATGGGGATCAGCCTGGTGGGGAAGATCTTCCCCACCCATGTACCTAAAGCCCCTTGACACCTTGTGAGGAGAGAGAGGAGAGGGGGAGGGAGGGAGAGGGAGAGGGAGAGGGAGAGGGAGAGGGAGAGGGAGAGAGAATATGTGTGTGCATACTGATGTGTTTTTCCTATTAGATGCTTTGACTATCACTTTGAGATACAAAGACATAAAAGCATGTGTTTCTGGCATTTGACAATTTCATTTTACTTCTGCAAATCACCCCTTTGGCTTTTTACAATTCTATGTGAATCATGTTTTTGGACTTCTGCTAGGACAAGTTGCGCTAGGGCAAAGCGTGAGGGAGATGCCTCCAGGCAGACAGCCAGGTACCACCCGCAAGGAAGGGTGTCTGCAAGGGGACTTTGGTGGCTCTGGATCCAATCACCTGGGGCATGAGACCCTGATCCTACCCAAGGCTGAGCTGCTGGGAACCCAAGGGAACCTGCTTGGGAACACGTGCCTGGCGCTATACTGGCTGGATGAGGCATCTCCTTCCCTAAACATTCGTGTGGATGGAGAGGACAGGCTGGGTGGGTGTCACCCTCTCTCCCTCCAAGCATCCTGTGCTCAATTTTGCATAATTGTCAAGAACAACAAGAATGGCTGAAGTGAACTCACTAGGCAAACGCTCGAGAGCCCACTCCCTGGAGCCTTCACTTTCCCAGTCTTCCCGAATCACAGACAGTGTGTTTTAACCACACTTGCAGTTTTGAGCCAACGTGGAAGTTCAGTATTCCAGTACACTGGAATCAGAAAATGTTCTAATCAAATGTTTAAGGCTGGATTTAGCCTTAACTCCTTAGCAAAAGCTTTCCTGTGGTTATTTAATTCATAGCCCTTCCTTGAAGTGTTTCTGCAGAATTTTTAGTGCTCTTGGCCTTAATGAACTGGAGGCTGATGTGTCTGGGACTCAGGGAGGCAGGCGAGCAGCCGGGGCGCCGAGGCCTGATCTGTGTCTGTAGCCCTCACCTGCCTGCAGGAGTGAGAGCAGAAGCTGCTCAGAGCCCCAGGGCACGGCCCCTCTTTACCTTCGTCCCCCCAGGGATCCCCCACAGCAACCCCGTTCTCTCTACTTGACAATGAGCTGAGGCCCAGAGGGGGTGAACGGCTGGCCCAGGGTCACACAGGTAGAAGATGGCAGAGCCAGGGTGAGCCCAGGTGTGTCTGACACCCATGCCCACAGCCGGTGATCACTGTGCCCTGGTCCTCTGTGTGTGTCCCTTCAGAAGGGTGGCTGTCAGGTGGCAGGAACATGCCTGACCAGAGCTCTGAACAGGGATGCTGAGCAGGTGCGGGCTGAATAAACACTCACGGAAGATGGCCCAGTGTGTGAAGGCCTGGGGACCAGAGTGTCAGGAGGTTTAAATTTCAGCCGAGTTCCTGAACGGACATCCAGGCAGCGTGAAGAGGCCCCTGATCTAGGTGCCGGGTTCTTTAATGAGCTGACTTCCCACCGCGGGAATCACACTGCATGCTCGGTCCTCTGAGCTGAAAGGGGTATGATTCCAAGCCTGGTGGAAACCATGACCTGGGCTGTGAGTGACCACACAGACTGTTAGAATATTTCTCCTGAGCTCACTGCATGCTGGGGCTGGGCCAGGCCCTGTACACACAATATTGCCTGTGAGTCTCAGACATGTGCACTGCAGAGCTGGAATCCAGACTGGCTGTCTGCCCTCTTATCCACCACCCTCAGGAGGAAGGCGCTATCTTTCCCTCCACCTTATAAGAGGGGGCAGGACTAACTCTGGGGTCAGAAGACCTGGGTTTGAGTCATGGCTCCATCACACAGCAGGCTGTGTGATCTTGGGCAAACTACCTCACCACTCTGTGACTCAGTTTCCCCCTTAGTGTGTGCAGGTGATAACCACAGCACCCTGTGGTTCTGGGTGGTTGAAGGGGGGTGAAATAGAGTGGGTGTGCAGCTCTCCGCATGGTTCCCTGCACTGCAGAAGCACCAGGAAATGTTAGCAGTTAATTTTTTTTTTTTTTTTGAGACAGGGTCGTACTCTGTCACCCAGGCTGCAGTACAGTGGTGTGACCATAGCTCACTGCATCCTTGACTTTGGGTTCAAGCTATCCTCCTGCCTCAGCCTCCTGAGTAGCTGGGACCACAGGTGTGTTGCCACCATACCTGGTTAACTTTTAAAAAAAATTTTTGTAGAGATGAAGTCTTACTGTGTTGCCTCAGCTGGTTTCAAACTCCTGGGCTCAAGTGATCCTCCCACCTCAGCCTCCCAAAGGGCTGGGATTATAGGTGTGAGCAGCTGCACCTGGCCGGCAATCACTTTTTAACTATGAACTTGCTGCTCAGAGAGGTTAAGTAACAGGCCCTAGGTAACATAGCACAGCCATGCAGGGCAAAGCTGGAATTCTAGACTTGGCTGTCTCTTATCCACTGTTCCAAAAGGCAGATGGGATCAAGAGTTACAAGCACACAACAATGGAAACTGTTGGCAACACAGGGAAAGAATGCATCTGAAAACCTAGTAACTAACTTGAGTGTGCTTGAATTTGGAGATGGGGCCTCCAAGGAAGTATTGAAGGTTAACTGAGGCAATAGAGTGGGGCCTTTGTGATGAGTGACCTTGTAAGAAGAGACTCCCGGGAGCTCGCCCGCCATGTGAGCACACAGAGAGCCGGCGCCCACAGCCCAAGCTGAGAGGCTGGTCTGGAGTCGGCTGACGGGGTCCCTTCCTCAGGCCGCACGACTCAGCGACTCCTCCCTAAATGCTTCTCTGTTTTGGATCCAGCTCACAGCATGTGTTTTCTGCAGGCTGGACAGGCCGGGGAGGAGGGTTTCCACATCAGCTTGTGGACTGCTGTTCCTGGCTGACGGTGGGCTGCCCCTTCCTATGCACAAAGTATTTCAGAACTCCACGAAGCCAGGAACGGTAGGGCAGAGCCCCACCACATAGACGGATTGTTGATGTTGTTGAAGAAGCCCCTCTGGCCCTGGCTTTGCCCTGGTTGTGGAGGCAGCGGGTGGGGCCTGGGGAGACCGCCCCTCCTGAGCCCGCTCCGTGACCTTGTGCTTCTCCTCTGGCTGGTAATCATCTCATCCTGGCAGTTCCCCTTCCTGGAAAGCCCGCTCACGTCATTCAAAGCGGGGGCTCTGTGGCTCCTTTATTGCAAGTATCTGGGACCAGGACTTGAGGGGTGCAGGGGGAGGCCAAGGCAGGATGGTAGAGCTGTCGAAGGCACCAGGCGGGTTCACTGGCCTTGGCTTTGAGCCTCTGCTCCCCGTCCTCGAAGGGCTCTGCGCAGCCCTGTGCATCTGTGAGGAGGTGCTGACCCTGTTCCACCCTCAGGAGTGCTCCGATGATTAAAACGCGCCTGTGACGTGGCCTCCCTTTTTGAAAGAACTTCACTCAGTCTCCTCTGGGCCCTCTTCTGGACGGAGCCTTGACCTTGGCCTGCCAAGCCTGGTTTTGGCAAAGCTCAGCTCATTCACTGAAACTCTCCTCCACACTCCTGATATTGGATCAAGTTCCTCATTCCCCACCCTTGGTATCTAACTGCTTGGCCTGCCTTTAGCAAGAATCCCCACCCTTGCTATCCAATCCTGTTCCTGTCTGTAATTTTCCATCCCCTGACCCCTCACTCTGCTCACTGGCTGTCAACCCTCAGCTGTCTTTGCTGTATTCAGAGTTGAATTCTACCACTCCCTTCTAGCAAAATTCTCCCAGAAAGTCTTCCTTGCCTTCTTTAACTAGTGTTGGAA
This sequence comes from Homo sapiens, assembly GCF_000001405.40. Classification (NCBI taxonomy): domain Eukaryota; kingdom Metazoa; phylum Chordata; class Mammalia; order Primates; family Hominidae; genus Homo; species Homo sapiens. Next base: position 61,643,899 of record NC_000020.11, on the reverse strand, counting down.
TCATTTATTTTTTTCTGGACTCATGTAGCAGGGGCTCCGCCTACTGGGGATGCCCCAGTGCCAAAGCACATATGACGAGGGGAACTCAGATGGATTAAGGAAAGGGCGGGTCCAAAGTTAAAGAACATGGAACAGAAAACCGTGAGGATCTGGTGTAGCAGCAGCTGGCTGTGTACAGCATTGCTGATCAAAGAAGAGCCACCGTGGCCAATGACAGCCACAGAAAACAGTTTCTGAGCTGGTGGAGTCCTGAGGTCTCAAGAGGAAGCCTGGTCCGATTACACTAAATGCTGTGTTCTTCAACACACATGGGACACACGGGTGAAGGAGAGATGGGACATGCACCTCTTGGTCCCCTGACACACTCAGGGCATTAGTGCACACGTTTCCCTCTCTCCAGAGGTGTGGTGGGCAGAATAATGGTCCCCCTAGTGGCCTTGCCCTAATCCCCAGAACCTGTGAATTTGTGACCTTACACGGTGCTATGGTTTCAATGTTTGTCCCCTCTGGGACTCATATTGAAACTCAGTTCCCAATGTAACGGTACTGAGAGGTGGGGCCTTTAAGAGGTAGCTGAGTCATGAGGGCAGAGCCATTCGTGGATTAACAGACTAATAGGTTATCACAGGGGTGGGGTCGTTACCACGAAAGTGGGCCTGTTATAAAAGCCAGTCTGGCTCTCTCTACACCCCCCCTCCCTGTGATGCTTTCTCTCATGTTATGACACAGTGCATGGCCCTGACCTGAAGCCGGCCAGATGCATCTGCCTGGTCTTGGACTTCACAGCCTCCAGAACTAAAAGAAAGACATTCATTTTCTTTATAAATTTCCCAGTCTCAGCTATTCAGTTGTAGCAACTGAAAATGGACTAAGACACATAGCAACTAGGACTTTGCACATGTGACTGAGTTAAGGATCTTGAGATGAGGGGATCATCTTGTATCATCCAAGTCAGTCCTAAAAGTAATCACAAGGATCCTTAAAAGGGAAAGAAGGAGGCAGGAAAATCAGAGTAGGAGATGCGAGGATGGAAGCAGAGGTCTAAATGATACATTTTCTGGCTTCAGAGATGGGGGAAGGAGCTACGAGCTGAGGAATGCAGGCAGCCTCCAGAAATGGAAAGGTAAGGAAGTGGTTTCTCCCCTGGAGCCTCAATAAGGAACCAGCCCTGCAGACACCTGGATTATAGCCCTGTAAGACTTCTGACCTACAGGACTGTGTGGCAATCAGCTTATGGTAATTTGTTACAGCACAATAGGAAACAAAAGCAAGAGGACTTTTATTTCTGCCTTCATTGGGGGATTCTTAAGGATCATGCGGTTCGTGTCTGCCTGTGCTTCAAACTGCCCACCAGATCCTGTTGTGCTCCAAGTAAAACCCCAAGTTCTCGCCTGCAGATACAACCTGGCTCTGGCCACCTCTCTGTTCTCATCTTTGATCACCTTCAACAACCCTCCCCCTTAAGCCTTCTGTCCTGCCCACACCTGCTGCCCAGCCTGGTAAGCACTTCCTTCTGTAGTGTAGACCTCTCTGCCACCCACCTGCTGGTTCCCCATTCCACACCCCTCTGCCATCCACCTGCTGGTTCCCCATTCCAAACCCCAGGGTGCCCTAGGACTTCCGTGGGCCTCAGGCACTTTTGCCTTGGTGGCCCCTTCCTCTAGAACAATAAAATTAAGAATTATATTTCATTCATGACCGTATTGGTAAAAAGATGACTACAACCTGGGCTAGACCATACTCATTTTTTCTTTCTGATTTTAAAAGAAAACATTTCAGAGGCTGCTAAATATCACGTGGTCCTGGGTGCTGTGGTGCCTGGTGGGTCAGGCAGCCCCATCTGATCCCAAAGCTGTAGGTGTCCTGGGTGCTGTGGTGCCTGGTGGTGCCTGGTGGGTCAGGCAGCCCCGTCTGATCCCAAAGCTGTAGGTGTCCTGGGTGCTGTGGAGCCTGGTGGGTCAGGCAGCCCCGTCTGATCCCAAAGCTGTAGGTGTCCTGGGTGCTGTGGTGCCTGGTGGGTCAGGCAGCCCCATCTGATCCCAAAGCTGTAGGTGTCCTGGGTGCTGTGGTGCCTGGTGGTGCCTGGTGGGTCAGGCAGCCCCGTCTGATCCCAAAGCTGTAGGTGTCCTGGGTGCTGTGGAGCCTGGTGGGTCAGGCAGCCCCGTCTGATCCCAAAGCTGTAGGTGTCCTGGGTGCTGTGGTGCCTGGTGGGTCAGGCAGCCCCATCTGATCCCAAAGCTGTAGGTGTCCTGGGTGCTGTGGTGCCTGGTGGGTCAGGCAGCCCCATCTGATCCCAAAGCTGTAGGTGTGGTGGGATCAGGGCTTTCTGGACACCCACTAGGCAGCTGGAAACATCTGCTAAACCAAGGGTGCTGAGGTGAGGGATGTATTCTGAGCCAGAATGAACTGAGGTGGCAAAGTCTGATGATTCCTTGAGGGCTCTGGGGTAGCAGGGGGTTGGGAGGAGAAGGCCTGGTTTGTGGGAACAACTGAGAGAAGGGGCCGGTGGGCTGTGGGGAGCTGGAGGGGTGGGCTGTGGGGAGCTGGAGGGGTGGCCCACCCTGCTGAGCTCCCTTGGATCCTCTGTGCTGAGCGGATGAAAAGGGCCAACCTTCTAGAAGCCTCTGAGCAGACATCAATCATGAAATGGGGAAAGGGCTGAAAACTCCCCCAAATCACTGGCACATAGCTACATCGAGGCTTTCCTCTCCCCAGACCCTGTGCCAGGCTGCCTTCTCCCTCTCCGGGGTCCCCTTCCATCCTGCCGCCTTCCTGTGCCCCACCCTGCCCAGCGCCTGCAGCTGAGAGGGCAGCACAGGGCTGGGGAAAACATGGAGGTGCACGTCCCAGGGACCCACCTGGGCCTCTGGCACCCACCTGCCCAGCCACGTGCAGCAAACGTAGCCACCAGCTACCACCCTCCAGAATGCAGGCTGGGCGTTCCCACAGCAGGCCCAGCTGCCTTGCCCGGCACCACTCGCTTCCCCCATCTCAGAGCTGGAACTCGCAGTATTAAGGAGTTATTAGCAGAAACGGAACCAAGAATCACCCAAAGACAGACCAACAGCGTAGCCCACACTCCCGCTACCCTTCAAACATTAATCAGTGTCTCATGTTTAATTAATCTCCGCTGAGTTTGCTGGGTGATGAAAGCAGAATTTTCCATCAGTAGGAAAATCATGTATGGATTCAAGGCTGCTCTATAAATTCTCTGCCAGCAAATTCCTGCCAACTCTTAAAGATGCATCTCCAGTCCGTCTCGAAGCATCCCTCCTCTCCTCCTCGAGGGGTGTGACCCGGACTCCAACCTACAGATTTATTTTTACCTGTCTCATCATGGTGGCAGTATTCCACTCACATGACAATAGCTCCTCCCCTTCTCTAAACCCTCCTCCAATCCCCCTGAACAGCAGCAGCCCCCTCATAGGCCCCGGAAGCCAGCACAGGGCTGGGTGGTTGGTCTACACTCGGAAAATGTGTCTACTTGCATGCTTGTCTTCTGAGTCAGATTCGCATGTATGCACGTGCACATTCATCTCTGCAGCTGGGGCCCTCATGCACCCTGGATGGTGTGGGCTACTGCATCGGCCGTGAGCCAGGCCGCCGAGGCACGTGACGTTGCTGCTGTGCGTGCTCTCTGAGCTGGCTTCCAGTCTCACCAGGCCGCAAGGCTGGCCTGGGTTTCCCTGCTGATAATGTCACAAAGACCAAGAAGAGTCAACGACTTTGAGCGCACGCCTTCCTCCAGTTAGAGAGATCTTGCTATTTTCTCTGGGATTTTATATCAAAATATACCACTAACCATCAGAAGCTGTGGAGCTTCATGGGGAAGCCAAATCTATGGCTTTCTTTTTCCCATCAGCTCTCCCAAGTGAACTATCCACTAAGATAAAACAACAGAACTCCTATAAGACAGTAATTACTTCAAAACTGAACAGAAGGCAATTATGACGAAGCCGAGCTGGGTTTGGGTTCAGCATCTGACACAGCGGCTCCAAGATGACAAAGATGGGCATTTTCATTGTGAGATAGCCAGATAATTTTCTGTTCACAATGGTATTCTCACTATAAAAAGGACATAAAATAATCGGCCAGCTGACCTAAAGCCCACCAAGAAATAAAGACGCTGTTCACAGATCCAAGAGTCCCCACAAAGCTCGAGCCTTCTGCGCTGCGTTAAGAATATAAATAGCCAGAGGAGACCCAGGTTAGGGAAACAGCCTCTTTCTCTTTAAAACCATGCAGAGTCAGGGCCCGTGTGCAGGCAAGCACTGACGCGATGTATCCCTTCTGCCCCACAATAATGTTGCACTCCGGGTCTCATCAAGATGACCTCTTAGGCAAGGCTTTCATCAAGTCCTTAAAGAGGTTATGTGGAGAAATTAATATCGTAAATGATTTTATTTCAGGTTAGGAACTGTAAGCATTGAACATTAGCCAGCATACCAAGGAAATGACAGAGCAGCCATCTTACACAATCAAAGCAAGAAATCAATTATTTCAATGGCACTTGCCATGCTGAGCCGCCCTGCTGGCAGAGGGAGTCAGTGTCTGCCAGTCTGATGCTTGCCCCCCGCCTCCAAAGGAGGACCAATGCAGAGAATGCCCTGGAAAGCCCTGTATGAATGGTGGGTATGTAACAGCACAGACTATAATTGCACAGATTACCACCACTGAAATAGGGGCAGGCCCTACATGATACATCCCTGCTGTGCTACATTTTCAATTCACCACCTTGCACGGACCTCAGAACCGTCGCCAGATACTGTGGGACGTCGTTTATCCCGCACACAGGCTGGTGCTGCCCCTTTCTTTCTCTTGTCATTCACTTATGCACGTGTTCATTCATTCTACCGGCAGTAATAACAGGGACTGACATTTGATGAACATGACTAGGCAGCCTTGGCTGCCCTCCACATGGCGTCATTCATTCCGTTATCACAACGCCATGAGTGACTATTGGCCTCCGTGGGTCCCTGGAACCTGAGTTGGCTTCAATTCCCTACCCTACACTGTGCGGAATCTGAAGTCTCACTGAGATCTTGGGGAATTTTCAGGGTGCTTCAGTTTTCAGGGTCACCTTTGCTTCTGTCCCATAACCCATCCGTCATCCATCCATCTCCCATAGAGCACCTCTGTTTTGCATTGCATCTACCCAGATGTCGAAGTAAAACCAGAAACCAACCCATTTTCAAAGGATTTAACTCACAATGTGGGCAGAGAGGAAGAAAGGAAAGGTTTACGTGCACATTGTGCCTCAAATTGAATGACAGGTATCTTTATATTTCACCAGGTTCTTCAGCCAATACCCTGGGAACTACCAGGGCCCTTCCCATTGTTGGTCTCCATGTCACCCGGCTGCCCTCCCAGCTCTCCTCCATCCATTATACTTCCTTCCAAAGTGTCCCCCCAGAGAGTTCAAAACACTTCCTGCTCTTCTGTTCATATCTCAGCAGTTCTCCTATGCTTTTAACACCCTTGCCATATTCAAATCCATTAGGATATTCTACAGAACACAAGGGGTTCCCGTTTGCCAGGACACACTCTCCCTAGAAAGCCACCACACAAATCTCATTTCTCCTTTAGGATTCATTCATTCAGCAATGTGGTGAGCAGGAAATACTCATCGAGGTAAGTGTTTACTCAGGGCTGCCATGAGATCAGGAAGAAAGTGTGAAGGGGGCAGCCGATCCATAGATCAGCACCTTATATGTGGGGCCTTCCCTCAACAATGTGTGCCCCCTTCCACTCGTCTATGGTGGATGCTGTTCTTTTTCAGATTTTTGGCTGTCTTTCAACTTCCTAATTAGCCTCATGTCTGTGATCTCACTCCCCGACTCTTCTCCTCTCCTCTCTTCATTTTTTTTTTAGACGGAGTTTTATTCTTGTTGCCCAGGCTGGAGTGCAGTGGCACGATCTCGGCTCACTGCAGCCTCCGCCTCCTGGTTCTGGGCTCCTTCCAGCGATTCTCCTGCCTCAGCCTCCCAAATAGCTGGGCTTTCAGGCACCCACCACCATGTCCGGCTAATTTTTGGATTTTTAGTAGAGATGGGGTTTCACCATGTTGGCCAAGCTGGTCTCGAACTCCTGACCTCAGGTGATCCGCCCGCCTCCGCCTCCCAAAGTGCTGGGATTACAGGCATGAGCCACCACACCCGGCCATATTTTCATGTCATTTTTCTTACCATGTCACAGATGCTTTATGCTAGAAGAGAACAAAGCTAATATTTTATATGGTTTAGATGCTTGTTAAGGGAGAATGGGAGCATGACATGAAGAAAGTACGTAGAAGTAAAAATAAAAAATAAAAGAGAAAAAAAGGAAGGTGAAATTCACAGAAAAGCTGACATAGGGCAGTGACAGGACAGCTTCTTGGAGTTACTGCCAAGAGCTGAGACACAGGGGTGAGAAAGAGCTGCAGCTTCAGGTAAAAGCAGGTAACCAAGGCAGTTCTTAAGGGCGCCTCCAACGTTCACACTGGGATGTTCAGCTTCACAGATACCCTCAGAGGAGATCCAGGGTGGGCACTGAGCACCCAGATTCAGCCTCAGGGCTGCGGGTAGGGGAGGTCTCTCTGGTCGTGGGAGCGGCTATGCAGCCTAAGAACGGTTAAACAGATACACCCGTGTGATAAACGGCAGAGTCAGACACACACGCGCATCCCCTCACTAGCTTCCTCGTGCCCCTTTCCTGGGAGAGGGTGCTTGGGACCCCTGTGCTATCCTTACAACTCTCCATGAATCATGATTACATATTTCAAAATAAAAAGTTAAAAAGCAGAACTTGAAGAAAAACAAACAAAAGCAAAAAGCAAAGAAGGCAAAACAAACAAAAACCCCAAACTGAGGCTCCCCTGCCTGCCCCCGAATGGACCCAGGAACCTTTGCTGGACTGGAGTCCAGGTGATCTCTGCACGCCGAGGGGTGGATCAGAACTGGCAGAGGCTGCTGCAGTCTTTGCAGGGGACCATCAGGGGAGGTGAGTGGCCCGGCCCTGGTGCAGCTCAGGGAGGGTGGGCCCCCAGCTAGCTGCCCTCCATGCAGCCTGGTGGTAGAATCTTCCTGCAAAGCCTGGCATTCTACCGCCCCTGTGGAGGCTTCCTGGGCTTCCCTCTGGGGTTCAGGCACCTGGTGCTTCACAGTGACGGAGCGACTCAGGAGTCTGGGGCACCAGGGGAGGGCGTGGAACTCTGGAGCCTCCAGGCGCTGGGAGAAGAGCAGGTGGGACGGGCAGCCTTGTCTCCTGCCTTCCATCCTAGGCCACAGCTGGGCTGAAAGCCCCGTGGAAGAGAGGCCAGAGCCTCGCAAAGATAGACAAAAGGCCACGCTCGCTGGGCTCAGAGACAAGTAAAAGGCAGCAAGGCTGCCGGGGACAGCCCTGCGACGGGAACAGGGATTGATGTTCCATTTTAGTTGGTAAATGATAAAACGAATTATTCAAGCAAAGATCCTCATTTAAAAATCACTTGGCTTATTAATGGAACAAGAGCCCTAGCAGGTCTCTCTCTTAAAAAGAAACTTCTTTTCTCTCTTTCATTTTTAATGATTGGAGCCAAACTCTCCCAGATTAAATAGGAGCCACTTTCTGCCTTTTCACACTGGCTCTGCTGTTGCCACATTCCATTGAGAGGCTCTGGGAGTGCTTTTTCTTATGCGATTCATGGTCTGAAGTTTAAAGAGAAGTGAATCCGCAGAAGGTAAACTGCCTAAAAATTTCAGCAACGGCCATTAGCCCAGTTGCCAAAGGAAGGGCGGGGCAAGCTTTCTGTATTGGAAGTGAGATGAGGAAAAAACTCGGAAGAATGACCCACGGTGGACCCCCACGCGTGTGGAGCCCCCCGCATTCATCAGCAGGCCCAGCCGCTGGCGTCCTGCCTGCCTTGTACTGGAGAGGACTCAGGCCTGCTGCTGTCACGGCCACACTTTCTGGGGCTCAGGAAAATGCTCTCTGCCCCTCCCTGGAAGACTGCGGGAAGCCCCCACTGCCACTAAGTCATTTTCCAAAGCTTCGAGGCCTGTGTCCTGCCCCCTGCTCTGGAGTCTAGCAGGACCAACTATGGGCGGGCAGGCTCTGGGAGCACAGTGGGGAAATCCTGGGGGCAGGCGCGGACCAGGAAGACGTGCTTGCAGCCCTAGCGCTCAGGCAGAAGTGGGTGGCAAGTGTGTGCAAAACTGGTCAGCCCCCAGAGAATCCTCCTCCTCCTACTCCAACCCCCAGAATTCCCAAGCAGCTTCCCTGGGATGCCCTCTCTGGTGGTGATAGCCCAGCCTCTGTTGCCCGGCCCCTGGGCCCCTGCCCGCCCCTCGTTCCCTTGTGCCCTGTCCTTCTCAGGGGACCATGGGGATGCCTGCAGTCAAACAGAACATGGAGGGGACACAGAAGAGCCAGCTGAGACCCTGAAGGTCTGCCTTCAAAACGCAGGCAAAAGGCCCTCCCTCTGCCAGCCCCTCTTGGGCACAGGATGGGTGAGGGCACATCACCCGCAGCAGCCAAGTCACCATTCTCCCAGGGGCGGTGACTGGGTTGGTTATATTTGCAAAAAGCCCCAGCACCATTTCACAATCCTTAGGATGGCTATTATAAAAAAACAGACATTCACAAGTGTTGGCAAGGATTGGGAGAAAGGGGACGCCTTGTGCATCGCTGGTGGGGATGTGGAACCGTGAGGCCCCTGTGGAAAACAGCTTGGAGTTCCTTACACAATTAAACCTAGAGTTACTGCCGGGTCCAGCAATTCAACTTCTCAGCAGACATCGTAAGGAACAGGAAGCAGGACCCGAAGAGAGGTCTGCACCCCACGCTCACAGCAGCACCGTTCACATCACCAAAATGTGGCTGCAACCAACCCAGTGTCCACGGGCAGACGGGCACGAAAGCAAAGTGCCGCCTCTACATAGAATGGCAACCACTCAGACTTACAAAGGAAGGCAATTCCGACACACGCTTCGGAACATTATCATGCTAAGTGAAATAAGCCGGTCACAAGAGGGCAATTATTATAAGGTTCCATTTATGTGAGCATAGTGCAGTCAAAATCACAGAGACGGACAGTGGAACAGCGGTTGCCAGGGCCTGGCAGGAGGGGAAGTGGGAAGTTTGTGTTTAATGGGGACAGAATTTTATTTTAGGAAAAAGAATTCTGGAGGAGGTGATGTCCGCACAGCTATGTGAATACACTAACGCCGCAGAGCTCTGCGCTTCAAAGTGTTAAAACGAACGCTTATGTTAAGTGTAGTTTACCACAGTGGGAAAAAAGCTCCCAGCAACGGGCTGGGGCGGCCCAGGAGTGCTGGGTGCCACACACACATTGCTGCGATGGGCACAGGAGGCCACAGATGCTTCCTGCAAAGTCTGCTCCAGCCCCCAATGATCCAGGTGGGGGTCCTGCCCCGCAGCCTCTGGGATTGTTGCTTTAAAGCTGCAGATCTATGGGTGTGGAGAACACTCGCGGAAGTCAGGGTCACCGGTGTGGGGTGCTGTGTGGGGTGACTGCTCTCTGCCTGAGCTGTCGTGGTGTTAGGCACCTACCCCGAGCTCCACGGGACTGTCTCATCCTCCCTTTGTTTCACCATTCCTTCTGGGGGCTCGGAAGGTGCTGCGTGTGTGTTCAGTGCGTAAATGAGCCCATTTCTGTCCACACACAGGAAGGAGGGGTATACAGGGTGAAGAGGCTCTCCCTGTCCGTGTGGCTGGGGGTGGCCCATGCCCTGAGCTGCTTACAGAGCTTTACGGTTTGCAGAGCCCTTTCATGAAATGTGTCACTCGTTTAATCCTAAACAACCCACTGAGTTGGATCAGGTAAATAATAGCACCTCCCTGTTAGAGATGGAAAAACCGGGCTTTAGCTGGGTCTGAAACACTGACTTGCCGTAGGTTTCACTTGCAGAGAGAAGCAGAACCCGCCTTGAAAACTCATTTGGGATTGGTGGTGGTGTTTTAAAATCTGAACTGGGATTTTCCATCAGAGTCTCCTGCTATTAAACAACAGAAAGCCCTCGTGTTTCTGAGAGCAATTAGATGTCTCTGTGTTTAAAGAGCACAGTATGGACAGCTGGGGGGGAGATGGCACTCAGTGCACATTAACTGCAGGCTACATCACTGAGCACCAGCCCTGGACTGAGCTCTGTGCAGGGGCATCACATTGACGGTCTCGTCAGTTCTCCCCAAAACCCCAAGAGGCAGGTGCTCCTGTCACTTCCTTTCCCAGATGAAGAAACTGGGGTGCAGGAAGGTTGTACAACTCACCCTTGCTGCCAGAAACCATGCTTTTTACCACCATGATAGATGGTCTCCGGGAAGATCTAGGCTGTCTTACATGTTTTGGAACTTGGTGATGGGTGGATGGGATGAATGGGTGGATACATTGATGGATAGATGGACAGATAGGTGGAAGGATAGACAGATGCATGGGTGGATGGATAGGATGAATGGGTGAATAAACTGATGGATAGATGGATGAATGGATGGGAGGATGGATGTTTGGATGCATGAGTGGGTGGGTGGATGGATGGATGAATAGATGAATAGATACATGGATAGATGGATGGATGAATGAATGAAGAGATGGATAGATGAATGGAGAGTTGGATGCATGAGTGGATGGATGGGAGGATGCATGAGTGGATGGGTAGATGGACAGATGAATAAATAGATGGATAGATGGATGGATGAATGAATGAATGAAGAGATGGAAGGATGGATGAATGGATGGAGGATGGATGGGTGGATGGATGGGTGGATGAATGGGTGGATGGATGGGAGGATGCATGAATGGGTGGGTGAATGGACGGATGGATGGATGGATAGATGAACAGATAGATGGATAGATGGATGGGTGAATGAAGAGATGGATGGATGGATAAATGGATGGAGGAATGGAAGGGTAGATGGAGGAATGGATGGGTAGATGGATGGGAAGATGGATGGGTGGGTATATGGTTGTATGGGAGGATAAGAAGATGGATAGAGAGACAACGTAAAGCCAATAGGTAAGTTGATGGATGGACAGGTGGATGGGTGAGTGGATGGAGAAGTGAGTGGGTGGGAGGGTGGGAGGGTGGGGAGAGGAGGAGAGGAAGAGGAAGCGGGTGGTGCACAGGGGAGTACAGATAGGCAGACGGGTCAGTGGGTGAGTAGAGGGATGGATGGGTGAAGGGTAAAAGTATGAATGAGTGAGTGGCTGGTTGGTGGCTTGTCAGGTACATGGGGGAAGTGAGAGGGGAGGAAGGGTGGGTGTGTGGGGAGATGGAAAGAGAGGTGGGGAAATGGATGGATGTGAGCAGACGAGTGGGTGGAGTGGGTGGAGGGTAGAGTGGGGGCTGCCTCTACAAAGGAGAGACCACCCAGCCCGGGAGGGGGAAGCCGGGCTGGTATGCCTCCAGCAGCCTTGAGGTTCCCTGTGTGAAAGTCATTTCCCGGAGGCCCGGCGTTAACGATGCTTCCATCCTTTAATGGGGCAAGGGTCACACTTATCCTGGCACCTGTGGGTGGTGAGTTGGAAGGATCGGTGACACTGTTTTGCTGAAAAGCACAGGGTCGATTGTTGGGGGTGATATAGTGGGTATTGTATAAGTGCACAGCTCAGGAGCCACACTCCAGATAGGCAGGGCAAGGCCTCCAACTGAATTTCTGTTTTCAAGCAAACAAGCCCCATCCCAACATGCTCCTTCACAGCCTGCACTGAATGCATGTGCCCTGCGCTTCACTCTCCGCCCCAGGAGCATTTCTTCTGAAGGTTGCACTGGTGGAGACTCCAAACTCAAGCAAGCAAACTCAGAGCCTGCCCCGGTGTGCTGTGCACATCACAGGAGGCTACACGTGTGTGCCAGCGCATCCCGGATGATCTGACGTGTCAGCAGAGCCTGGCATCATCCCGACAGCCACTTGCGCAGCCTTCACGATGCACTGGATGGTGCCCCACTGTCAGATGGAAATAACCTGCGTGGCTCCACCCACACCTGGCTCCTTATGGCAGCGGCTGGGTGGGGAGGCGCCGTCTTGTGGTCTGCAGTTGCAAGGGAGGACACGCCTCCTGAGGGCCCCATTCACTTACTACCGGCCGGAGGACGCGTGCCACCCCCACTGCTGTCCACACCTTCAGCCACTTCCCAGTAGAACAAAAGCTGCTGTGGCAGACAATGGCAGAAGCCAGCCAAGAGGGTGCTCCTCAGGGGTGGTTCATGGAGTCTGAGTCAGAATCTCAGAGGTGCACCTGAGAATGCAGATTCCTGAGCCCCACTCTTTTTTTTCTTTTTTAGAGATGGAGTTTTGCTTTGTTGCCCATGCTAGAGAGCAGTGGCGTGATCTCGGCTCACTGCAACCTCTGCCCCCGAGGTTAAGCGATTCTCCTGCTTCAGCCTCCTGAGTAGCTGGGATTATAGGCACATGCCACTACACCCAGCCTAGCTAATTTTTGTATTTTTAGTAGAGAGGGGTTTTCGCCATGTTGGCCAGGCTGGTTTCGAATCCCTGACCTCAGATGATCTGCCCTCCTCGGTCTCCCAAAGTGGGATTACAGATGTGAGCCACTGCACCCAGCCATGGCCCCACTTTTAAACAAAGCAACCAAGCCCCACCGAACTTGAAGCCCTGGCTCCAGTCCATAGTTTTCTTCCAAACGGGACAGCTCTGCGTCCCCAGCACTATGGTGACATGCACAGTGGACACAGACGGAAACGCCTAGCAGCCATCACGGTGGGAGAGTCAGGGGCCTCCAGGGGAGCCACGCTGTCTTATGCTTCCCCTGTGCATCCCCAGTCCCAGCTCGAACACCTTGGACACAGCGGTGCTTAGCAGGCAGAACTGCAGACCACTGGGAACCTCTGGACTTCTCCTCTGTCCTCACACGTTAGATCCTGTCTCATTCCTCAGTCAATGTCACCTCCTCAGAGAGGCCCTCCAGGATTTCCTGGGGCACGCCCACCTCCTATCCCTGCTCACTTCCTTCTTACCTTGTGTCTCCCTTGTCAGTAACTGTGGGTTTCACCCGTCTACCTTCCCACGGGCACAGAAATGTAGCAAGGGCCCCGTTCATGCTCTACCCCAGCCCCAGCAACTGAAGGGCTCTGGACGGGTTTGGTGAATGAATAACTGAACCCTGTTTTCTACCTATTTCTACCCAGAGAGTCATTTCAGTTTCAAATGGGTATCAGGGAGGATCTGAACATGACCAAGAATTATAATCCATAAGTTGGTTCTTGCCAACACTAACTTTGGGATCCTGGAGTGTCTTGGACTCTGGGAGAATTTTAAATCACAATATAAGCTAACTTCCAACCAAATGTGACTTCTTCCCCAAGAGGAGGAGGAAGGCGCTGAAGCCCCATGCAAGAGCAGTGCAAAACGGGGAGCCTGGATCCCACAGCCAGGGGCCTGCAGGTGTGGCCGTGCCCTTCCCAGCAGGTGTGAGCCCCAAACCAAGGCCCTGCCTGACCTGCCCCGCTGAGCGTCCCATGTTGAGCTAAACCACAAGCCCTGAGCCAAGCAGAGTCCTGGGGATCTCTGACACTTCGCCCTTCCCTGCTGACCGTGGTCAAGAGCATCCTGGGGCCCCAGTGGCTGGTGTGAGCGGGCGCCCAGGCAGACTCTTCAAGCCCAAGTCCTACTCCCAGGTGTATCAGGTACAGCCATGAGGTCACAGTACAGAAGTGTTAGGAGGATGCAACATGCGCTGCACACACACCAAGGCATAACTGGCAGCTGGCAGACGCCTGACTGGGCTGGCTGGGGATGGTGGCTGAGGTCCAAGAGGGACTGGGGTGGATTTGCCTCCGAGCACTGCTCTGCATCCTGTGTTCATGGCTGTAAGCGGCGGCACCTTCTGGGGCTGATGCTGCCTCTGCCAGGCTCCCTGGGTGTCAGGGAGCAATGTGAGAGGCCTCACACCGCCTCGGAGCCCGGGCAGAGGTGGAAAGCTGGGACAAGGCAGTCAGCTGTCCTCCGAGCCACAGGTCATGTCTCCCTGACTCCTTGCGCTGAGTCACAGGGGACTCCCTGACTCTCACCCTCTGCCTCCTGTTCAGCTGGTTCCATTTGCAGAGGCCTGAAGACCATCTAAGGAAGGCGCCGCATCGGACTCAGGCTCCAGGCTGCAGGGAGGACGGAACCTGGACACGCTGGGCACCGAGCACCTTCCCATGGGGGCAGGGAGCCGCGTGGGACAGTTTTTGGCAGGGACAGGGCAGCCTAGCTTGTCTGGGGCTCCTAGATTCTTCTCCATGGCTCTGGCCACCTCTGTTAAGGCTGGAAAAACCGCGGCCGCCTTAAGTGATCATTACTAACAGGTTTCCCTGTCACTGGAAGATCAACTGTCCAAGTTCGCAGCTGTCTCAAATTCATCTTTAACTTAAAAAGAAATATCAATAATTAAAGCCAACCACACGTGCCAGGGCGACAAGTGTGGAGGACAGATAACAGCCCACCATTCCTTTGATTACAGCTCATTTTTGCCTTGGGGAATTTTAATCCCTAGACCTTTGGAGTCCAAGCTCTTAATTATTTTTTTTTTTATTTCATTTCTGGCATCAGTGAGCTCTCAAAACATCTGTCTCCAGCTCTCCCTGCCGGCTGCTCCCAGGGACTCTGGCTGGAGTCAAAGCTTTTGGCCAGAGGCTTCCTGGAGGGCTCCGGCTGGGGGGCTGGGCTGGGTGCACAGAGCCACAGGGGGCTCCCTGGCCTGCACCGCCTGGCCTTCCAGTGGCCATTTCTGACCTGCTTCACAAGACAAGCACGTGCCTCCTCCCAGCCCCTCTCTGCTCTCCACGGCGCAGCTATGCAAAGTGGCAGCTGCTCTGGGGACTGCAGCTGAACCTGCGTGGCCAAGCTCCTGCCTGCCTGTGCAGATCAGAGGCGGCTCCCGCAGAGAGAGCCTGGGAAGCTTGCGAGATGCCTTGGCTGAGAGGCACTTGCCGGCACACGCTCATTAAGCATTTATCAAGCCTCCACTGTATGCAGCGCACGGCCAGGGATGGTGATGAGATATGAAAGTGAGACACCATCCTACCCTAAAGGAATGTGCAAGCCAGGAAGGAGAGGGGCCCATCATCCATTCCTCATGTCCCCACACACTTGTCTGTGCCCATGATGTGGCTGGTGTCCAGAGACGACCTGGGATGCAGAGGCAGGGCTGGGGAGCAGGCTCTGTCTTCTTGGCTGCAAGTCTCTGTGTGACATCCCAAGTCAGTGGGCGTGAGTCTAGCCTGGCAGCTGCATTCAACAGACCCGCTGGGCGGGGTGCACCCGGGCCATCCCCCACAGGACCTGGAGAAACTCCAGATGCCCGGCCTGTGGGGCTGGAGGCCCTGCTGCCTGGTGGACGGCGTTCTCCTGTAGCAGGAAGGGCACCTGACCTCCTGGCAGGGCAGGAGCTCGGCCTCATGCTCTCTGCCTTTAATGAATGTGGAGAAAATACGAGTTTGTAAAGCCAGGCTTAGAAGGGCAAGCAGAGGAATGAATGAATGAATGAATGAATGAGCTGGCAAACCCAAAGTGCAGTGGGGAAGCCAGCTGCAGGCAGGTGATCCCTGAAGTCGCTTTGACAGAGCAGTGACCGGCTGAGCACAGGGGTGGGGGTGCCCGGTTCCATGTGCAGAGGGGTGGGGGCGGCAGTGAGGAAAACCGTGGCACGGCAGGCGGCACCATCTCTACGAGACCTCAGCACCTGTGTGTGTTTTCAGGCCGACGCAGCAGCCGGGGGTCCTGGGAAGGGGAAACCGCACATGTGAATGAGACACAAATAGCTCAGGAAGCTGCGGGCTTCGGGGCTTGGGTCAGCAGGAGGATGTCTGCGGCGATGCCAGAAGAAACCCAGCCTCCTCAGGGTTGTGTCCACGCGTCCCCACACGGGAGAATGGCTGGGCCACAGGGGTGAGGTGGGAATTCCTGGTGGGGCACGTTGGCTTTGTGCTGTGTGAGGAGGTAGGGCGCAGACCCCTGAAAGGCCATGGGGAAGGCCAGGGGGCCCAGGAGGCGGCTGGCCTGCAGGGAAGGGAGGGGTGAGAACAAGTCCTGGGCCTCGCTGGGGGACACCGACACAAAAGGGAGAAAGGACGAAGGGCTAGAAGTGGCCGCCTCTCACAGAACCACCCTGCCCCACCCTAGCGGGCAGGGACCCACCCTCCTCCACATCAAAGGGATCCTGCACCAGGCCGTCTGGACACCCCTGCATGACACCAAGTGCCTGGGCCTCAAGTCGAGTCGGGGGGCGGGAGGCACTGCTGTCCCAACCAGGGGGCCTCAGCTCTACCAGGCACACAAAGGACCTTCCTGGGGTGCCCTCTCTGCCCGTCCGCTTCCCCATTTATAAAAACAAAAAGCAGTCATGGTCGACACAAAGAGCTCTCCATGCGGGCACATCTGCTCCGCAGGGGACACTTGGCGATGTCTGGTGACCTTTTTGATTGTCACATTAGGGGCAGGGTGCTCCTGGCATCCCCAGGGGTGGAGGTGGGGAGGCTGCGGAACACCCCACAGAGCACAGAGGTCCCCACCCCAGCCAATGAGCGGAGAACGTCTTGAGCATTCACTGTGCCAAGGGGGAGACCTGAGTGTTCCCTGCTGTCCCACGGGCCTGAAGCCGGCAGGCAGGCTGGCACCTAAGTGCCACCAACACCCTGGGAAGTTCTGGGTGGAACTCTGGCACAGTCAGGTTTCCAGCAGACGGTTCCCTGGTTTGCTCACCTTGAACCACTGGCCTGATCCCCAGAGGACACACCCCTGGAACGGGTCCTCCAACCTGTGTCTAGACAGAATTTATCATGCGTGTGCCCCTCTCCTGCTGCCCCCAGAAGCCGCTGAGCTGATAGGCCTTTCTCAGCACCCACCCACCCTCCTCCAAAACACGCTTCTTCTGACTCTTTTCCCCTAAAGCTTGTCTGGTTCAGTGATTGGAGCTGAGGCTCCTCTTGCCACCGTGTGAGCCAGGGTAGGGTCCGCCCTCCTACAGGATTCGGAAGAGGATTCTGAAGCCCTGATTTTCAGTGGCTCTCAAAGAACCAGGAGGCAAGGGCAGAAAACAAACATGTTTTCTAGAGTTGCTCATTCTCTGGCCTGAATTCAGTGCTTCTGACCCTTCGAGCGCAATTTAAAAAATTCAGGAGGCTCTGAGTTACAATGGCTGCCTTCCTATCATTCTAAAATCTATAGGTGGAGGTGACAAGTTACACATTCCTTCCTGTTCACTCAACACGAGCAACCAAGCTGTCTCCGGCTCCAGGACCACCTGCTGCTGGGTGCAGAAGCAGACCTGCTGCCCACGTTAGCTAAGCCCGGGCGTGGAAAAAGGCCTGACCCAGCAGAATGGACTGGCAAGGCCGGGCGCCAGCCAGCTCACAGAGGAGCTTCTGCCCTGTCCCTGTTAGGCAGTGAACCCGTCCATCCTCTCCAACCCCTTCTGTGCCACCCCCACCCCCCACAACGCACTGACTTCGGGAACACGGGTGCTTCTCCTTCTGCTTCTGCAAGTCACGTGCACACACACACACATTCTTGGCTCATGAGCCCAAAGTAATGCCCCCACATCAAGGCCAGACAGAAAACGCAGGTGACAGTGCAATGAGACCAGTGAAACTGGCCTCTGCAGCTCCAGGTCGTCTTTGGAGGGTGCAGAGGTCGCCTCCAGCTGATTCCCTCTGCTCTGACGTCCCATTTAAAACTGACCCCCACCCCTTGGCCTGCTCCGCCGTTCCCTGACCCAGTCGACAGTTCAATTCTGGTTAACAACTCTCCCACTGCCACCTCTAGAATGTCCCCTTCCCAAGGGCAGGGTCTCGGTCTCTTCTGTTCCCTGCTACAACCCCTGAACCCAGGACTCGGCCAGACACACGGTAAGTGCTCAAATATTGCAGGGGCTAAGTGTGCCTTGCTGTGCAGTGAATGGCCCATGCCAGCCCAGCACTCAGCAGGGGCGCTAACGTGGGTGCAGCACTTCCTAGCTGGTCAGGTCCTGTTGGATCCTCACAGCAACCCTACGAGGTGGGACGAGAAGTCAAGGTTACATGATGTGCGAATGGAAAACTCGGGCCAAGTGATAGCTCAGCTATAGACCCTGGTAGGTCACAGTCTCCTTGAGCCTTGGCATCCTTATCTGGTAAGTACAGATGATGTGGTATAACTGCCCTGTGCTGAAGGTGAACACGGGGCTCAGAAGATGAACCCATGATGGTAACTCTTGGGTCTGTTACGACATTAATTTTGTGAAGTGTGGAGGCTGCAAGCATCTGAACGGTGTCTGCTCATACAACCAAGTCTAAAAGCAATCCTGAAAAACAAAATTTAAAAACCCTGTTTTTTCCTCTTGAAAATCATGTTGTTTTCGCTGCTTTGAGATTTGTTTTCATTGATCTGCTGATATTTGTTCTCATGATAAGCAGATGATCGTTATTCCTGACCCTAATATAGCCCTGTGTTTGTCATGCTTCCGACTCCCACATGCGCTCTTTGGAACAAACTATCACGCAGACTGCTCAAAACTGTGGACGCCTCACATCCAAATCCATAATAAAGATGCCAAGCTGGTTCAGCAAATGTCAGAGATTTCTGATGTCATGGAGAAAGAAAAAAAAACTCCTTAAATATTTGAATGTTGAATGAATATACTAATTAAATCCACAGAGAAACAAACTTGGTCAAAATGCCTCTCCCTCCCTGCGGTCGAGTGAGCAGACTAGGATCACGCCTGGGTCCGGGTGCCTCTGGAGACCTCACAGATAGTCCATGCACAGCTCGGGAGAGGTGCTTCCCTCTCGTCCCGCCCTGGTGAGTTTTGTGGGGATTCTTACACGTCCTATTAGACACTTCAGCCTCAAAGGGCAACACGAGAGGCCCAGGAATCTCCCTAGCCCCATGACTCGGAAACAAAAGCCCCTCTTGCTCAACTTGGGTTCTGGGCCTTACAATGTGTCTGCGATTATAATTAACTGGGTTCAGCTCACCTGCCAGTTATTCTGTGGCCCCAGTCAACTGCTCTATCTGTTTCCTGGCCTCCTATGCTGCAGGTTCTGCAGATGGTGTTTCTGGGATCAAGGGGCGCCTGGCAGGCGGTGAGGGGCTCTCCGAGCGGGTCTGTACTATCCCCCATGCCAGCGTCGGCTCCCTAGAGCTCAGAATGCCCCGACTCTTCTTCCTTCTGCAAACATGCCCTGCAGCTCTTTGTAAACCTGGCTCTGTTTTCTCCTCAACAGAGAATTCACCACTGCTTTCCCTGGGCCCCTGGTCCAGTTCTTCTGAAGTCTTTTTGCCCTCGAAGTTGACTTTGTCTTTTCCTCTCTTTGTCCCTGTCATCAAGCTGAGGATCTCGATTCCAGAGATCCCAGGTTTGGCCACTGAGGCTTGGTCTCCTGGCTGCCTGGCCTTGGAGGCCATTTGGTGGACACAACCCTTCAGACATCCTCACTCCTGTCTGGATCAGGGGGAGCTGGGGAAGGGAGAAAGCCAGGTTCCTTGCTGTGAGCTAAGCCTCTCTCCTGGGGTGCATCTGTGATTCCAGAGAGGGATTCAGTGACCAACAAGCCCTGACTCCATGTCTGCCCGATGCTGGGACTTGGTCATTGGATACCTTGGGTCCAACAGTCATTGCTATGGCTTTCAGGATGACTTGTGGGAAAGAACAGTAAATTGTGGGACTTATTTAGACCTCTCTCAGTAAGCCACTTAGCGACTGCTAGTATCTTCCCGATTCCTGAGGTGAGGTCCCCAGGTGAGCATGGCCTAGCACGACGGCTTTGGGGAACACTGACCGGATGCTTGGGTCATGGAGTTTTACCCTTCTAGCAGCCTTCTGAGCTGTGAACCGTGCTCACTTCACTTCACAGATGAGGAAATGCAGCTCCAGAGAGAACAGGATACTTGCCAAAAGACAGGGAGCGAGAAAACGTTGGAACCAGATTTGCACACCAGCATCTGATGGTGGATGCACTGTTCCTCGCTCTAGGAACCGTGTCTTTCCTGCTCAGATTCTGGGGTGTTCCTCGCTCTAGGAACCGTGTCTTTCCTCCTCAGATTCTGGGGTGTTCCTCGCTCTAGGAACCGTGTCCTTCCTGCTCAGATTCTGGGGTGTTCCTCGCTCTAGGAACCGTGTCCTTCCTGCTCAGATTCTGGGGTGTTCCTCGCTCTAGGAACCGTGTCTTTCCTGCTCAGATTCTGGGTACCTTTTATTTTCTGATTGCAAAAATACTTTGCGCTCAGTGATGCACTAAAACCAGCCTTCTCCTGGGGATGGCTGGTCCCCAGGGCTGCGTGGTGACGTCAGAACCTCCCTCAGAATCAGCTGTGATGCACTTTGCACGAATGATGCTCATGTAGAGGAAAGACAACACGGCCGCTGGGTCTAGCTCTTGATGACCCTGCGGGCTCTCTTGATATGGTTTGATTAATTATACTTTTTTAGGTATTCAATTTGCTCTTGAAATTGTTTTCATTGTAATGGTATTTCTGAAGGCTTTGGAAGGTGTAATCTATATAAAGAAGACAATGTGAAATTAGCACCTTCAATCACTGTTCTAAACGGGAGTTTAAAGGGGGCTTTGTGATGGGGTGGGGAAAGGTAACAGACAGGAAGCTGTCACCATGCTCCCCTAGGAAGGCAGCCACGGAAACCAGCAGCTGTCTGCTGATGACAGACGTCCCAGATGCTCAAGGAAAAAGCAGGCGCCGCAGTGTGGTGAGTGGGGTGCAGCGTGGCAGGTGGGGTGAGCCAGCGGCTGGCATAGGCAGGGTCGAGATTTGAACCCAGGCCCTTCTACTCCCACCTCCACATCCTCATCTGGAAACTCCACTTCTCTGCATCCATCTCCAACCCACACGTCTTATGTCATTATTTTAAATGAAGCTTTGCCTCTAAGGCACCTCCCCGTTTGTTTCCCTGACTGTCTTAAATGACTGGTTGTGGTCCATGTTGGTAACAGGCCTATCCCACTGTCCCAAGCAGCTTCCGAGTGAGGGCTCCAGGCCTCCTGGGCCCTCAGTGAGCACCCATGACTGCGAGGCTCTTAAACTCCGCAGCCACCTCCCCTGATTCAGGTCCCCTCTAACTCAAATGCAGGGATTCTCAGCTGGGGGCAATTCTGTCCCCAGGGGATGGGGCAACGTTTGGAGATGGTCTTGGCTGTCACAACTGGGCAGGGTGGGTGCTACTGGCATCTACTGGGCAGAGACCACGGATGCAGGTAAGTACCCCACAATGCACAGGGCAGCCCCTACAGAGAGTTATCCAATCCCAAGTGCTGAGGTCAGGAAACCCCACTCCAGTGGCATGCTGTCCCTGTCACTGACGTTTTCTGTTTGCAGAGTTTTAGGTGAGTCTTCCGTAGCAAGGGCCTGGGCCATGTGCAGCAGGAGGCTACTGTGCTGGGGCAGCTTTAGGACCCTCTGTCTCCCTGTCAGACTCTTTGGCATGGGCCACAAGTGTCTGGTCCTCGGATGCTGCAGCCAAGCTCCATCATGTCCTGACATCAGCTTCTCAAACACCAGCCATCCAAGAAATGTCTCACTTCTTGCACCCGGGGTATGCCTGACAGACTGACACCTCTTAACTCTCAGCAAACTACCTGCCCCAGGGAGTACATAGCAGGGGCCTCTCCCCTTTCTGAGGGAAGGAGGTGGCCCCCGTGCATAAAACTCAGCGGCCACCTAGGTCCTTTCCATAAGCACATTACTCCATAAACACATGGGTGGGGAGGAGGCGGTGGCACCTTAAATGCAGCCAACAGGAGCAGTCTGCGTTTCGCAGTTACAGACGTGGAGCATCGAGACCCAGCTTCTCCTTTTGTGGCATGTACTGCTGCTGGATGATATCCCTGGCATTCAGTGAGCAGCCAACCCTTGAGTATTGATCCTAATAGGAGGCCTGCCGTGATAGGG
Organism: Homo sapiens; assembly: GCF_000001405.40. Classification (NCBI taxonomy): domain Eukaryota; kingdom Metazoa; phylum Chordata; class Mammalia; order Primates; family Hominidae; genus Homo; species Homo sapiens. The sequence continues at coordinate 61,622,044 of NC_000020.11, read as the reverse complement.
CAAGACGCAACTGTGAGGCGATCGGCACAGATTAACAACCGGCTGCTGGGACCTGCAGAGCATGCTTCCTACATGGATGGGAACACAGAGCTTTGACAGGAGCCTATTTTAATAATTATAGTTTATGCACTTCATCTGTTTTTATTTTTAAATTAAACACCTATGTATATTAGGGATCTTCAGAGAGAAGCACACACACTTCATTCCAAAGAGCGTTTTCATCTGTGGCAAATTAAGTAAAATATAAAATTAACAAATGTAAATAGTATCAACAATCTGAATTAAATATTAAAGCCATCTTATGTCTCAGTGGCTATCTTTTACTTACAAAAAAGACCTTGAACTATAAACTAGCCTTGCTAGTGCAATGCCCAGCTGTTGGGTGCTTTGCTCTGGAATAATATTTCCCTCTGCAGCTGATGCTCGTGTGTGCTGTATTTCTGCCAATTCGTACGAGCCAGCGATGTTCTCCCGGAGAAGGACGGTGATGAAAGCCCTGCCTGACAGAGGCAGGCAGCAACAACTTTGTTACTCTGATTGACTGCATGGTATTTTAGGCAAATTAACCTATCCAAAAAATTCTTTATTACCATGCTCATGCACAGATGGAAATATGAACTTGACAATTCTGGGTTCTCGCTTTGCAATTAACTGAAATGTTTCAATAGACTAATGAACTTTCATCCGAGGCATGTTCGCTGTCAGCAGAGGAGACAGGCTGTTGTTGGAGAAAGAGTTACAGAATGTCAAACAGATCTTGACAGCGCGTTCTAGGAAGCAGGGCAGTACAGAAGCAAATAGCCAACACTAGCAGCCGGCCCTGACCGGAACCGCGGTCCATTGGAGACTTTCTTACATGCACACTCCGCCTGATGGTCAGCTTTCTACAGAAATCTCAGTTCACAATGCTCACCTTTGACTAAAGAAATACTGACGGCGCCATCTTAAGATATGTTTCACTAGAACAAATATTAACAGTGTGGTTGGAAAACAGAAACAGATGCCAACGCTTATTTGGACACAGATAAATCTCCACAAACCTGCAGACATGATCGAGAGCAAACAGCCTGACTTGGGATGAACCAGAGACCCAGGAAAGCTGAACCTTCCCGCGTGGAAGAAGCGCCTCTCAGCAGTCTGGGGGCACTCACCAGGGTGGTGGAGGCGCTGGGAAAATGGGCTTGACATTCCTGTTTGATAACCGGGATGGCATGGCCAGGGAGAATGTGTCCATTTTCTACCTGATTCGTATTACAACATATGAGACCAGCCTCTGCAAACAAGTAAACAAACAAACACAAAGAAACAAACATTGCTCTCCCAGGAGCCTAAAGGGAAAGATGTTGGTTTCAATTAAATGAACTAAAATTAAAATAATTTAAATATCTTTGTTAATAAATTATGGAGCATGTTGGTAAGTAGCAATTTTCACCACTATTTTTCCTGCTATAGCAAGATTTGTCTCTCTATCCACCTCTTTATTTCTCCATGTATCTCTGCCTATCTATCATGTATGTATGTATGTATGTACGAATCTATCATCTATCATCCATCCATCATCCATCTATCTATCCATCCATCATCTATCAATCATCCATCCATCAAGCATCTATTATCTATCCATCCATCATCCATCTATCTATCCATCCATTATCTAGGTATCTATCATGTATCTATCATCCATCATCATCATCTATCTATCCATCCATCTATCCATCCATCCATCTACCTACCTATCTACCTACCATCTATCATCCATCCATCAACCATCTACCCACCCATCCATCATCTATCTACCCATCTATGTCTGTCTGTCTGCCTACCAGCCTGCCTGTCTGTCCATCCATCCATCCATCCACCCACCCACCCATCCATCCATCCATCCATCCAAACCATCTTTCCAAGTGGTACCCAGTGCACCCTTTCTTTCCTGACCCCTCTGGGCCTTTCATCTCTGAGCTGACTCAGGAAGCCAGGGAGGACAGGCCTTGCAAGCAGCTGTGATCCCTGCCTGGCTCCCCCTGAATGCTGGGCCCATTACCAGCTGTAGTTCTCCCTTCTGCCGATGTCCCAACAGAAGCAGAACAAGCGTCATGGAGGCCCTGGTGCAGCTGTGCTTGGCTCGGATGTGCCTGGCGCTGATGCTCGGCCGTCAGGCCCCAGCGCTGCCATCATCAGAGGCCCTACGGCAACTTCCCCTCTTGCTGCAAACTCTGACAAGTGAGTGCCAGCCCCTCTTCCCTGTTGTGTAGGTTCCTGAGTGCCCTCCCACCCGGGCATCGGCAACCTCTTTGTGTGGAAAACTCAGCCCCGTCCAACAGCGCTCACGTGAGGATACAGATCACAACGGCTTGACATAGTCACCACCCCAAATTGAATGCTGGACCCTGTGCTCTCTGAGAATGGAGACCAGGAGAGCCTCACACAGCCTGAACCAGACTTGAGCAGACATCGCTCTGTCCTGGAAACAAAGCTCACTCTTCTTCGGTGTGAGGGGTGGCCCGGGGCCAGCAGTGGATGGTTCACATCTACTGAAGCTCTCACTCTGTGCCAAACTCAGAGAGTTCTAATCATCATTTTGCTTTTAGGTATAGTTTAGGGAATGAAAAAAAATTATTTGCGTTTTAAAAAATAGATACTGGGGCTTCCCACAAGTTCCAGAAATCATTTGATTGATAGTTATCCTCCTTCTAACTCCAGGAGACCACATCACATAGCAGGAAGCACAGAGGTGAAGGAGTGGGGGGCACGCGGAGGTGGAAGAGAGGCGGGAGGGAATGGCAGCTGGGGCTGGGGCTGGGGCTAGTTTCATCCAGCAAGTGTCCAGTCAGGGTGACCGAACCCAGCAGACATGCCCCAATCTGCTCCTCAATAGCAAAGCATCACCTGTATCTGCAGGGTGGCAATGTCTGAGACCTGCCAAGCACATAGCAGGGCTAGGTGTGCAACTGCAGCTGGGCCAGGCCTGTTTCTTTATTCACTATCACTGGGCAGGGGCCACGCCAAGACTTGCTGCTCTGGAAAGGAAGAGGGCAGTGAACTGGGGTCTCTGCTGCCAACTTCAGATCTCCTATTGTTGAGGTATCTGTGGGAGGCACATCCCGGGCCCTGGGTGCAGCGTTGTAAGCCAGCCTGCACGCTCTTCTTGGCTCCAATTTCAGAGCCACAGAAAGAACAGAAGGCTGGAAAGTCACCCCGTTGGCCCCTGGTCTCTACCCCTCTCTGAATTCACCACTTGCCATAGAAACCTCAGTCCTCAGGCAATAAAGAGCAACACATCTGCATTGCTCACACGAGTGAATTCTCAGTTAACCGAAACAATAGGGGCCTCCACAGGGATGCTCTGAATCTCAGAGTACCCGTGATACAGCGAACTCTGAGATCCATCTGCCCAGCACCGCTGAATTGCTCCATAACCAGGACCATGCCGGGTGCTGGATGCACCTCCAGTCATTGATTTGGGGGACTGGATCCTGGGTTCCAAGGGCTGAGCACACAGGCCGGGGTCCCATTCCCAGGCAGCAACACCAAGGTGGAAGGGCCCGCTCCTGCCCCCGGGCATCTCTGTGCCACCATCAAACCAGTCTCATGAGGCCCACTTGCTTCTTTTGCTTGTCCTTTGTTGATTCATTCAGAGAAATAAAAATAAAATCCCCTCAGCCAGCTGAACGGACCCCATCTCAGCCAAGGGGACCCCAGAGAAACCTGAAAAACAACGCTCCCAGCCAGGATGGGATGGGAGGCCAGACTCCCCTCAGTGAACCCCTTTCTCACGAACATTTACCCAGGATGCTTTCCTGAGGAGGCAGCGGAAACTGGCTCCGGAAAACAAGAACCGGGCCACCCATGCCTTTGTTGCCTTCAGCCACCCAGCCGAGGCCAGCACCGGCCCTGTATTAGTCTGTTCTCACGGCTGCTGATAAAGGCCTGCCCGAGACTGGGTAATTTATAAAGAAAAAGAGGTTTAATGGACTCACAGTTCCACATGGCTGGGGAGGCCTCGCAATCGTGGCAGAAGGTGAAAGGCACATCTTACATGGCGGCAGGCAAGAGAATGAGAGCCAAGCAAAAGGGGAAACCCCTTCCAAAACCATCAGATCTCATGACATTCACTCACTACCATGAGAACAGCATGGGAGAAACCGCCTCCATGATTCAATTACCTCCCACCGGGTCCCTCCTCAACATGTGGGAATTATGGGAGCTACAATTCAAGATGAAATTTGGGTGGGGAGACAGCCAAACCCTATCAGGCCTCTCCTCCCTCTTTGCAGTTTTGGGGTGACAGTGCACCTGTTTCACAGGTATCCCTCTCTAAACCCTGAGCACTCTCCCTGGACCGGTTCCAGCTGATTCTTGGAGGATTGTGCTCAGGGCGTTCATGCCCCCTGCTTCACCTTTTCACGTCAGAGGCTGAAAACTTCACCCTCAGACCACGCTGTCGCCCCCAGATTTCGAACCTGTGACCCACGAAGGGGCACGAAGCTCAGCTGTGCCTGTGCATTTTCTCCTTTTGCAAGTATTTATGCTCCTCCTATGACTTCTTGAAAACGGGGAATGGGGGGACGTTCTCAGCCTGCAATGGGGGCTTCACTCCCCAGCCTGTGGGATGGCTGTCTGCAGCTACAATGCTTTGTGAGAAATAGAGCTCTCCTCTCCAAACGCAGGGACCTCGGGAGTCTTCAGTTGACAATTCATGCCTTAACTGCTCACTGAGCACTGCCCCACACCAGGCCCCAGGTGCTGGGGACACATCTGCGGATAGAGTGGAGTCCCTGCCCTCCTGGGGCTTAGCTTCTAAGAGGAAAGACAGGCAGACACGACACAGCGTGGGAAGTATGGGTTCAGACAGGCTGCATGTTCTGAAAGAACAAAGCAGGCAGCAGCACAGAGGGCGGTGGTGGGTGCGGTGGGAGCCAAGGCCGATGAGCCTCTGCAGGATGACTCTTGAGAAATGGACCAAGTGCCAGTTCTTCCAAGTCACTTGTGGGTGTTCTTCTGTCCCATAGTGACAGGGGCAGGCTCAGAGGCACATTTCAGGAGCTATTTGTTCCTCTGTTTTCCACTGAGACACCTTCGCACAGCACCCGGTCCAGTCACCCCCCTCCACCCAGCAGCCCCCCATGGACCCACTGCCCCAGGACCCAGGAAGAACCCCTGGATGTGCAGCGGGGACCCTGACCAGGTCTACGTGCTGGGCCAAGGCCAGGGCAGTGGTGCGTTTTCTGGCCTGCGTCCCTGCAGAGTGGGAAGGTCAGCCCTGAAATCAAGAACATTTGGAGAGAAACGCAAGGACCCACCTGGCTATGACCATTTTTGGGGTCCAGGAAGAGCAAGAATGGAGAGAGCCCATTGTGGTGGCCATGATGACAGCAAGCTTTGCTGAAAGAAAACTTCCAGGGAGGCTGAGCTATGCTTTGCCCTAAGTAAGGTCCAGCCCTGCCCTCTTCATCAATGCTCAGATGCTACCAGTAAGCTCTGACCCTCCCTGGAGCAGGAGAGAGTTCTATTATTTACCCCACTAACCTGCCTGGCATCCTCTCTTACTGTGGAGGAAAAAAGGGCCTTCCCCAACTCCCACAGGGTGGGCTGCTGTTTCCTGTGGTGGAAAGAAGGCGCTATGGACTGTCCTCCTCTGTGGGCAATGCAGGAGTGGGTCTCCAGAGTCCTCCAGAGACTGACGTCCCCCAAGGTGCTGCAGGAAGGGCTTCAGATATGAGAACCCTGATGGGCACCTCCACCCGCCCCACACAGAGGCTGGCTGATTCCCCGAGGGAAGGCAGCGAGGCAGCATCCCCAGGGCCTGAACCTGCAAATGGGACCTCCCCTGTCACGGCCTTTCTGGTCAGAGACGGCAGTGCTGGTGCAGTGTCAGGGAGGAAGTTCACCAGCTCTGCAGTCTCCCTGCCTGTGCCCCTGAGCTTCTGATTGAGCTTTGTGATCTCACCCACTGCTCTCTGTGCGGAGGGCTCACTCTGAGTTCCCAAGGGCAGGACGACGCAGGGGGCCCGTGGCCACGAGGCGGCTCAGCAGCCACGTCCCTCATCCCGTGGCCATCGCGTGGCCTTCACGGGGGCCCGCTCTGCTCTCTTGGCCTCTCAGACAGGAGACAGGGCTGAAAATCCAGCCAGCAGCGAGGCTGACCCCACCGAAGGCATTTGACCAAAATGATGATAATGGCAGAGAAACTTCCACAACCTGATATTCTGTTCTATTCCCAGCTCCCTTTGTCCTCACCATCACCCAAAATCCGGAAGTGCAAGATTCAGTTACCCTCACTTTTATACATGCTGATTTCATAGAAATCATTAATTCTCCTAACCCTCGCATCCCTACATTGATAATGACAATGTCTCTTGGGAACCACAGAACTAGCTGGGCCTAGATATATGCTTTTCCTTGAAGACACTGCAGAGACTAAAGGAAATGTCAAATCCTGAATCATCAGAGTCACAGGCAGGAAGTTTCCAACTCCCCAATATCCATTAATTTATTTTTCTTTACAAAATATTAATGCTGGAAACTTGAAAGTTGGCAAATAAGCTGCACGTGGGCACTCTGATGCTTCAGTGATTATCTATGTTTTCATTATGGGACATTCCTCACTTAAAAAATGCAAAATAGGCCAGGCACGGGGGCTCATGCCTGTCATCCCAGCACTTTGGGAGGCCGAGGTGGGTGGATCACCAGAGGTCAGGAGTTCAAGACCAGTCTGGCCAACATCGTGAAACCACATCTCTGCTAAAAATACAAAAATTAGCTGGGCGTGGTGGTGCACACCTATAATCCCAGATACTCGGGAGGCTGAGACAGGAGAATCGCTTGAACCCAGGATGTGGAGGCTGCAGTGAGCTGAGATTATGCACTGCACTCCAGACTGGGTGACAGAGTGAGACTCTGTCTCAAAAAAAAAACCAAAAAAACAAAAACAACAACAAAAAAAGCAAAATGTATGAACACATTTCCAATGCAGAGAACTCTAACTTGGCCAGAAGAGTGGCCTCCCAGCAGAGGCCTCTTCCACTGGAAGTCAGGGTCCACCTGGTTTCTGGTGTTCTGGGGTGGGTGGGATTCACTGTTTTCACATGAAACCTGGACAGCAGGGCTGAAGCAGCTCTCGCAGTGCTGGGAGGCTGGGCTGGGAGTCAGTGCTGGGAGAAAGTGGGTGCTGGGAGGCTGTCCCACTGCCCCATCCCCTGGGTCTGAGCAGGTGACCCTCATCCCCATCCTCAGGGAGCCTGAAGAGCGGGCCCCCATTAGTGAGTCACCCCCTCACTGAATTTTGAGAAATGGGTTTAGCTCTGGCCACCTACAAAAACAAGAGGCTTTTCTTTTTCCCTTGCTTTTTTCTTACATTCTCTGGGGTGTTTTCTCTGACACCAACCAATTCTCCAATTCTCCAACACCCAAACTAGGTGTCCAGAATTCAATTCAATTCTGACACTAATTGCCCACGTCAGCGCAGACTCCACAGATAAGGGCTGGGTCCCACTACACAACCCCCACTGCAGGCCAGTCCCACGCACCGGCCACCTGTGCTTCTGACTGACGGTTCCCAGGACACCCTCCTCAGGCTCAGTCTGTTGCTAGAATGGCTCCCAGAACACAATTTGCTTAAGTTTACTGGACAGACAAATGGAGAGGGCAAAGGTGTGGGAGGCGCAGGAGCTTCCCTGCCCTCCAGGTGCCCGCCCTCCTGCTCAACAGCCTGAAAGCTCTGTATCTTCCTGTTCAGGGGTTTTCACAGGGTTCAGCTTCCAGCCCCAGCCCCTTTCTTTTCTCTTCCTGGGGTCAGAGGGTGGGGCAAAAAGTTCCCATAATCTCTAGGTCTTTCTGGTGACCAGCCCTGTCTGAGAATATACAGGGGTCCACCCTAAGTCACTTCATTAGCATAAACTCATAAGCATAGAGACACTCGTAACACTTGCTAAATCCCAGGCTCTGGGAGCCGAGCCAGGAACCTGGACAAAGACTAAGTCAATTTCTCATTCCACCACACGTCCGTCCCTGCCACCTCTCCTCTCATACACCCACCTGCCTCTGCAGGACGAACATCTGCACCAGAGACTTAGTCACGTTTGTCAATCACAAGGAACCCAAGACATACAAACATTTAAGCTGCATTTGGAAAAATCAAGCGCCAGCAACCACTGTGGGGAAACAAACGAGCTCCTCCCCAAAGCCCCCCCTCCCACCAATTTGAGCTTCAGGATGTTGGAAACAAGCTCCAAAGAGCAAGAAGTCTGTAGAGTCGATGGCTCCACAAAGAGCTGTGGACTGCATGCCCAGCTCAAGAATCAAATTCAAGGGCTCAAGTAGAAAGCAGTGAAGGGGAACACAGCCAATGACTTCCCCACATCATCCCTCTGCTTCTTTTACCTTCTTGAAATTAATTATTTCCCTAGTGGTTTAGGTATCCAGTTCACTAGATCTTTTTTTTTTTTTTTTCTTTTGAAGCCTTTTTTCCAGATTTTGTTTTTGGAACCACATCCTAGATTCTGCACACAGATGGACAGTTTATAAATGACTAACACCACTGTGGAGGTGATAGAAGAAAAGCATACTCCACACAGAGACAAGCATGTGTCTAGGGCGATATTAGGAGGTGAGAAGATTGTTACCTGGCACTTGGGGTTCCTCCACTGACTGACCTACGCACACGGCCCTGGGCCAGATCTGGCAAGAACTTCTGCACCACTTGGAGATGAGCTACTTCAGAAACTCAGAATGAAGCCTCCCAGCTCACTCTGCCTGGAAGGCAGCAGCTGTGTCTCTCTGGTCTTTAAACGACTTTAAAGTGTGTTTGTTTTCTGAAGCACTTGGGTAAAGACTAGGGGCTGTCAAGGGGACAGAGAGTGTGAAACCAAGAGGGGGCAGGAGAAGAAGAAAAGCCCCTGTTTTTTCCGAGGAAACTTGTGGAGGTGAGAAAAGATGAAGAGACGAGGCAAACACCGCTCTCGGCAGGGGCAGGAGAAGCCTCACACTGCAAGCTTGTCTCCCTGGGCAAGCAGGGACCTCTAATTCACACCTTTATCGGCCCTCCTGGAGGTGTGGCTGGCTGTTCATGGTCGTTTTCTGCTTTGTACACAACACAGAGATGATGGAAGAATGCTCCTGAGGAGCTGAGTTCCCTGTAGTAGACATTAGGCAGAGAAACGGCCAAAGACCAAAGAGACCAATGAGGAGAATGCAGAGGTGTGCAATCCCTACCTCACACCAAATGCCAAAGCCAAGCCCTGTGGGTGACAGGCCTAAATGCAGCATGCAAAACCGTCACATTAGCAGAAACTAGGAGGCTGTTTTCAACTCAGCAGCTAGGTAGAGAGTCCTTAAATTAGACCCTCGAGTCTAAGCTGTAACATCGGAATGAAGGGCTTTTCATTCGGGAAAGTCCATAATTGGCCATGGTTACATCCCCACTCTGGGCCTCAGCAGGAAGGATGGTCTTAACAAATCCCACGGCAAAGTCAGGTTTGATGGAAAAGTGACCATGTGGACAGCTGTCCTTGGTTGGGTAAGTGTGAGTCCAACCACAGCATGCATATGGCACCCTCATTAACATGGGATGAGAGGCACAGCTGCTGATAAGGAGGAATGCCCACAGCATCCTATTATGAGAAAAAGGCAAGTCCACCCAAAATACGTCAGGCCTCAAAAATAGACAAAAGTACCAGGAAGAGAGGTTGATTATTGGTTACAAATATACAGTTTGACAGAAGAAATAAGACCTAGTGTTTGACAGGTCAGTAGTTAACTACAGGTTATAATGATGTATTGTATATTTTGAAGTAGCTAAAAGAGAATAATGTGAATGTTTCCAGCATAAAGAAATGATAAATATTTAAGGTGATGGGATATCCCAATTACACTGATTTCATCTTTACAAATTATACGAGTATATTAAATTATTGCAAGTACTTGAAAATATGCACATTTTTATGACTCAAAAAAAATTTTTAAATTCCATAATTGTACTAGATTGGAGACTTGCTATCTGGCAAAATCAACAATGTGCGTAATATCCAAGAAACCTTTGCAAAACCACAAGAAAAATGCATGAGCTGAAGATGTCACCAGGATGGTGACACAGAAGGTGACTCGCCCGTATCCCCCCACACAACAAGAAGTTTTCGCCCATCCACAGTCACAAGTCTCTCTGCAGGAGCCTCCAGATTCAGGCAGGAGTTCGTGAAGCCCTGGTGGAGCCCAAGACGTGGGAGAGTCATTTTTGAGAGCTCAGATCCACACCCAGGTGGCTGATCCACCCCACTGAGCTTGCTTCCCGGTTCAAGCCTGGAAACAGCCCTGTCCCCCAAGCGGCTTGGCTACAGCCTCGTTTGGCCTGAGCGTGCAACCAAGACATTTGCCAAGTCCAGGAGGAATCGCTCATGCTAGTGGGTTGGCAGAAAAGCTCTTGTGACCTCTGACATGAGTCTTGGCAGTGAACCCAAATGTGGCCCAGAGGTGCAGCTCCAGCCCCACTCAGCTGAGGTCCCAGCAAAGAGGTGCTCACACAGGAAGCCAGAGGGAGCCTTGCCCACATCCCGCAGGCTGGGAGTCTGAGCCTCCCTGTCAGGCTCAGCAATCTGGGATCACCAACCTCATCCCATGGCAGATCCTCAGGGATTGACTTGGTCTTTGCCCAGGTTCCCGGCTCAGCTCCCAGAGCCCTGGGATTTCACAAGTGTTAGGAGCGTCTCTATGCTTATGAGTTTATGCTAATGAGGTGACTTAGGGTGGACCCCTGTATATTCTCAGATGGGACTGGTCACCAGAAAGACCTAGAGATTATGGGAACTTTTTGCCCCACCCTCTGATCCCCAGGGAGAGGAAGGAAAGGGGCTGGGGCTGGGGCTGGGGCTGAAAGCTCCGGCCCCACTCACTGCAGTTGGGGACTATCCCAACCTGCTGGGAGACGTGCACCCTCTGAGCCAATGAGACCAGGCTCTCCAGCCTCCACCCCACCGAAGAGCCTGAGGGGGCCCAGTCTCAGCTGCAGCCCCTCTTGCTTTAGGCAGGGATCCATTGTGCCTGTGCAGAGACCTGCTGGGAGGCATGGCCGTCTGGGCCACCAGACGGTCTTCTGGATTCTGAGCCCTGGCCAGCATTTCCACACAGCTCCAGCACCCTTACTGGGTCTTCTGCAGGTCCACTCTGGAGCCCTTGATAGCCTTGTGGCCAGCCTGGACTTACAGTATCCTCTAGTGCTGAGATGGCTGCAGGGGTCACAGGCTCAGGAAATGGATTCGTATCTGAAGGACAGGCACAAGCAAACCTGACTGCAAAGACTAAAATAGACACCTAATCCCTCAACACGGACACTATCACATGTCCACAGGCATCAAGAACACTTGGGGAAATATGACCTCACCCAACAGAAAAAATCCTGCCGGCAAGGAGGCAGGGAAAGGGGAGCCCTCATATGCTGCTGCAGGGAACATGAGGTAGGACCACCGCCTCCAGAACAGCACGGAGGCTCCTCAGAGTCTACGAATGGAACTGCTCTATGACCCAGCAACCCCACTGCTGGGCACTCATCCTAAAGGAAGGAAAGCAGGTGTCTCGAAGAGATAGCTACGCTCCCAAGTTTTTTTGCAGCTGCATTTGTAATAGCTAAGAGATGGAATCAACTTTGGTGTCCATCAATGGACAAATAGATAAAGACAATGTAGTTCATGTACACAGTGGAATAGTATTCAGCCATAAAAAAGAATGAAATTCTGTCATTTGCAGCAACATGGATGGAACCGGAGGTCATTTCATGTAAAATAAGCCAATCACTGAAAGACAAACACCACACGTTCTCAGTCCCAGGTGGGAGCTAAAATGATGGACCTCATGGAGGTAGAGGGTAGAATGGTGAATGTCAGATCCTGGGAAAGTGGAGTGTGTCTGGGGGGTTGAGAGGAATAAAGAGAGGTCGGTTCATGGGTACAAACATCAAGTGAGACAAAAATAATAAGTTCTAGTGTTTGATAGTACAGTAGGGTTACTATAGTTAACCATCATTTTTTGTATGTTTCAAAATTGCCAGAAGGAATTATGATGTTCCCAAAGCTAAGAAAAGATAAGTGTTTGAGGTGATGGGTACCCCGATGATCCTGGTTTGATCACAGCACACTGTATACATGTAACAAAACATCACATATCCCCAAAATATGTACAACTGACATATTAATGGGAAAGAAAAAAATAGAAGAAAAACACAGGAAAAACAAATTTTAAATGGCAAAGGATGTGAGTGGAGAATTCGCAGACAAGCTCATTCAAATGGCAATCAAGTGCATGCTGAGACGCACATGTGCAGAGCTGCTGCAAAGACAGGCCATGCACACCCACTGGATTAGGGAAGACACGAGGTGACCAAGCGTGGCCACCTGCTGCCTGGTTCAGGCTCAGCCGACAGAGAATGAGGAGCACGTGACATCTCCTGGAATTTCCCTGTGGAACTTGCTGCGTGTCGTGTGCTGGGTCTCCACCTTCTCTCCAAGAGGTCCCTCCCTCAGGGGAGGGCCACCCCATGCACTTCTTTTGGAATTTGTTTCAACTTGGGAAGGAGCTGCCGAAAGTACTCTATAAACAAACACACACACACTGGAAAGAAAAAAAACAACCTTCTGCAGATCTAGGCAGCCCTGGACAGAGGCCGCTGCATTGCACGAGGCCAGTGCTTGTCGCAAAATCACAGGAAAAGCACCAAGCAAAGGCTGCCCGGTGGAGCACACACTGGAGGGGATTCTGCAACAGGAAAGATGAAGTCTTCTCTGTGGTCATTTTCTGGCCATCACATCAGCACGCACCAGTGATTCCATCACAAGCAACGGGAACACGTCCATGTGTTTGGTTTTACAACGATGATTCAGAGAGACATACTGAGATGTCCTTCCTATAATGGCTTGATTGCACTAATGTTATGCCACATTCGTATACCCTAAACACATGATGCTTGAGGGGGTCCCTGTAGCCGCAAAACCTGAGAAGGAAAACTGGCTTGTGATTCAGGAAAAGATGGAGGAGCTGGGCACTGAGCTCAGGGTCTTGTGCTTCCCCAACAGCCCTCCCGGAGACGTGAGGCTGCAACAGCCTAGCCTCGACAGGGCAGTCTTGATGCAGGTGCCACAGAGCAAATGCAGCAGCGTTGGCCAAGGCCCCAGCTGCCAGCATGGCTCTGCATACGGAAGGTGGACATCTGCTGTGATCTAGGAGGTCGTGCTCACCACCCCGCGTTTGGCTGATCACATGACAGCTTCATTGGCAAATACCTCCAGATACCCGTGGCAGTGACGCCTGCAGCCTGCTGACCACCACCACCAACCACAGAGCAATGAGGAAGTGCAGGTGGTGGGCCAGTGACCAGGAGAGCACAGCGTCCAACATGCAGAACTTTCTGAACAAAACCAGGGGAGCAGTGCGAGCTGTGGTGGACCACGTTCTTGGCTGCGTTGAGCACTCCCATGCCATAAAGCAAAATTGAGAGGATCAAGTAGGAAGAACAAGTGCAGTCCTTAACGCCCAGTGGGGCAGAATCGTCCATCACCACGCATGAGACCTGGAGAACTGTCCAGGGTCCTGACGACTCTAGGCTGCAGGGCCAGGTGCTGCTGGACACGTGCTGGGGTCGTAGCAGTTCCACTTGGACAGGGATGCTTTGTGGGCTGTCTCTTCATAGACTCTTCTCTTTGTTCTCAGAATGATAGCTGCAACTTCTCTTTGACTGGACCCATTTGGTAAATTTATTAACACTTTCTAGATAACATCAAGATATTTCCCTGCCAACCTGCGTGGCTTAGAAATAAATTTGCTCTCAGCCAAATTATGCATGCTGGTTGGACTGGTTAATCAAGCGTTATGACAAGCAGACACATCTAGGCTAGAACTCCGCAGCGGGTGTGGCTTTACCTTGTCCTGCAGCCCAGGATCTTCTCAGAAACACAGGAGACACCCTGGGGTCTGGGGGCGAGGGGAGAATGATGGAAGGGGGAGATGCAGAGAGGGGAAAGGCTCAGTTGTAAACTGGTGGAGTGTGAAATCTAACAAGGGCAGGGTTCTAGGAATGTGGATGAGGGAAAGGAGAGGAGGAAGCCTCAGGTGTAGACCCAAGTGTTGGGGTTGAGAGGGTAGGGAGACTCTGCACTGTGAGACACGGGCAAAGCCTGGCAGGCTCAGGTTCCAAACTGTCCATACAACAAAAGCATCAAACCAGCCTCCCTTCTGTCTTTGGCTACTAAGGACAGCCGCTTCCTATTCCTGCAGAAACCTTCCCAAGGCAACCTTTGCATCATCCAGCAACAACTTGGGCAGGAGCTAAACCAGTCTCTGAGGGCAGCCTGGCCCAGGTAAAGACAACACTGGCCCTGGCAGGTTGTGGGTCTTTGGCCCTGGCTTGATGATGCTGATTCCTCTTCACCTGGGACCTCTAAGATGCTATTGCGAGTCCACGTAGGTGTCGGAAAAACTCCTTAAAAAGAGATGCTTTTTTTTCTAATCTTATTACATCGTTGCCTGTTTTGCAGCTGCCAACCATTTCAGCCTCATGTTCCCTCTTTCTGCACTAATGTGTTGGGCTTTCCATTTTTTTAAGTCTATAAGAAAAATAATTTAGGAGAAAATCATAAATAATGGGTATGAGACATCAAGTGTATTTTCCAAACAGGACCTTCTCATCTTAAGTGGAATAAAAAGGCTTTCTGAATTAAAAAGAAAATCTATTTGCATTTCAGAAGGTCATGGTATTACCTAGTGCTTTTATGAAAGGAAAAAAGCAAACAAATATTAGCAAGGAAAACATCTCAGTTAGTGCACCCTGGGGCTAGGGAAAAATCCACCTTTATATGTGCGCAGATTAAAAATCTGTCTGGTCCTACATTGAGGGGTGTGTTTGTTTTTTCATCCAACTTGTATATTCAGGTTGGTGCCTGGGTTTCAGGTCTGTGTGGCAAAGGCAGGTTAGAACGGTGATGGTGTTACCACAAGGTTGTAAAGGTCAACAGAGCAGGATATGGACACATCACTGTCACCCACCACAGACCGGCCAGCAGCTCTATCCCTCCTCAGCCCTGTCCCAAGCTACTCAGCAGACCTTTGACTCAGTTTCCTGCAGGCCAGTCGGAGAAATCATTTCTGGCCACCCTGGGCTCACCAGGACATCCCGGCGGTAGCCTGGAGCTGGTCTGGAGGGGACAGTGTCCCGCACTATCCATCCCACCAGGGACCTTCAGGCAAGGCCACACAGAGTCATTTAACCTCAGGCAAATTAGAAATTTGCTTTGTTTCCACTTACAACATTTAGACCCCAAAATGTCACTGGCCCTGAGCAGGTGTGTGCACGACACAAGCCATGGCAGCCAAGGAGGCCTCCAATCTACACAACTGAGGAGCGGCGGGGTGCACTTCCCAGGACAGGCCACTGAGGCCACACCAGGAGGCAGCAAATCTGCCCACTTCCTGGGGGTCTGGCCCCTTTGCCAACAGCAATCATTCAGATATGCAGAGGAACTGGGAGAGGGAGAGGGACCTCTGTGTTCACAGGACAGGGCACTTGTGGGCCCTATTTTAGCTGAGAGACTGTCAGGCTTTGCGACAGAGGTGAGCTCTGGAGTCAGCCTGGGTCTGGGTTCAAATCCCAGCTCCCCCACTTGACCTGCTGTGTGACTCTGGGGAAGTCATTCAGCCTCTCTGTGCCTCAGTGCCCTCGTCTGTAGGATGGGTGATCACAGCAGCTCTCCCCCATGCTGTGGAAGGAATGGCAGCACGCAGAGCACTTGGAAGTGAGCCCGGCACAGAGGTGGTGCTTATCGGAATGGCCGTCTCTCTGCCATTCTCTGTCTGCTTGGCCACCTTCTATCCACATCTGCTGCGTGGACATTGAGCCACAGGGGGAGGTGCCCTGCAAACCCTGGCTACCACTCTTTGCCGTTCAGCCCGGCCTCAGGACTCTGCCATGCCCATCACCTGCACGGGCAGCCCTGGCTCCAAGGCACCCTGGGCCCATGTGTCCTCAGAGTCAGCGGGATGCCATTGCCCAGCATTGCCCAGAGGTTTGGCTCCAGAGTCCATCCACCCAGGGCCTCCTCATCCCAGGGGCAAATCATGCTGAGGTCCTTGACTTACCAGCTTATCACTCTCTACCTGGTTTCCTGTTTTTTTTTTTTTTTTTTTCCTCCACAGCCTTGACCGCTACTGGGAACAAAATTTTGCCCTCTCTGTACAAGGATCCAGATTCTAGATGTTGCAAGGACCTTCACTCATGTGCAAAACCTGAATTCTGCACCACAGGTCACAGCTTCTCACGGCAATCTGCTTACTGTTTCATGGAAAGGAGTTACAGAGGAAAAGCAGGGTTGGAGAGGCAGGAAAAGAGTGAATGAGAACAAGCCAGAAAAAGACAGAGATAGAGACAGAGAGAGGGAGAGACAGGGAGACAGAGAGAGAGACAGAAACAGAGACAGAGGGAGAGACAGGGAGGCAGAGACAGAGAGAGGGAGAAACAGGGAGACAGAGACAGAAGGAGAGAGACAGAAAGGGAGAGACAGAAAGGGAGAGACATGGGGGGAGAGAGACAGGGAGAGACAAATAGAGAGACAGAGACAGAGAAAGAGAGAGAGGGAGACAGATATACATAGAGAAACAGACAAAGAGAGGTAGAGACAGAGAGACAGAGATACAGAGAGGGAGAGAAAGACAAATAGGGAGACAGAGAGAGACACACAGAGAGAGAGAGGCAGAGTGGGCCCCACCAAGGACCCACCCCACAGGCAGCAGGGCCCTGGGCCTTGCTTCACAGAGGGGCCTTCGTCACCCCTGCACCCCGAGGGCATTCATCCAAAGCCACATTTCCTCAGTGGCAGATACCTCGCTGCCTACCTGTGCCCAGTGGCAGGCAGGGGTCATTACTTCCAATCACAGTAACTCACACTCATTGCCTAATCTTAAGGGTGACGTCTTCCCAAGTGCGTGGAATTGCATTTGATGGAGACTTGAAAACAGGCACCACGAGAGGCCAGCCTTCCACACTGTCTGCACCAAAACTTCCAGCTTGAAATAATGGAACCATTTCACCCAGACCCCAGCAAGCCTGGACGCAGCCCCTATTCAGGGAGGTGGTGATGGTGACAGCAGGAACCTGTCCTTCCAGGCCAGGCCTCTCTCTTCCTGTAGCCATTTCCTCAAATTATACCAGGGTCCCTGGCCTATTTCCATTTCTCCTGAAGTGACGCCCATAGCAACATTCACCAGGAGCTTCTAATTAGACCATTAGTGCAAGCTGCTGGATGGAAGAACGGCCCATTTATCAAATGACTTGTCCAAGAAATGACAGGAAAAACAAATCTACACGTGTCTGTGTGTTAGAGGGATGCATGTGCACGTGTGCTCTCAAATGTGTGCAGGAAGGAGTGCGTCAGTAAGAACAAACATCAAACACCGAGACACCTCCCAAGCCAGGGCACCCCTCACTTCCCTTCCCTCCCTTCTTACCCACGAGGTGGGGAGATGATTTCTACAAGACTTGAAATGCTGAAAATACCCTAAAAGCAAATCTCATCTCGGCTGGCCTCTCGCCTGGGAATATGCTGAAAGGAGAGGCCAAGGAAGCATTTCTTCCACTGCCAGGTATGTTCCCATTTGGAGTCCTGTGCTTTTCTTGCAATTATTCAAGCTGCATCACAGTATTAATAACTCATCGGAGATCATCGTCACTGTCCAAAAAGGCCCATTAGGTGCAAAGACAGGCGCTGCGGCTGCCGCCAGGGCAGATACTATAATGAAGTTTGCATCTCGGCCTCGACTGAAGCTTTTGGGCCTGTTACTCCGGAGACAGTCACTGACTCAGGATTCTTCCTCCAGGGCCTAAAAATATTGTATTCTTAGCTTTGGACACAAAAGCTAATCGGGAAGGAAACAATGGCATCAGCACTTTGGACTGGGAGTTAACAGCATCTAAACAACACCCAGGCTCTCTGTTAGGATGTGGGTAAGGGGAGGCTCGGCAGGGAGCTGGCCACGGGGATTGCGGTAGTTCCCTGTGGGTTTTAAAGAAGGATCAATCACGTGTGTGTGTGCATCAGCGTATGTCCCTGCTCATGTACATGTGTGTGTGCCTATGTGCATGCATGTGTGTGTACTGCATACCCACATGTGTATATGAACACTCCCAGGGCTTACTATGTCCCTGATGCTTTTCCCACATTATCTATTCCCCTATTTTCCCCTATTTTCTCATTTAGTACTCAAAAGGTCACAGGCATTGAGCCCTTTCCTATTCTACCTGGAGAACACCTAGGCAGGCTTCCTGACCCAGCTCAAATGTCACCTCTTCCAGGAAGCCTCCACTGGCACCCCAGGCACTTTGCTGCTCACTTCTCTGTGCTCCATTGGCACTTTGCACACTTGAGAGCCTGCCCTGGGCAGACGGGGTGGGCATGGAGTGAAGGGGACAATGGGACCTAGCAGGTGAGGGCCCGGGATGGGCCCTTCTGCTCCCTGTGCTTTGGGTCTCCCCTCCCACACCTGGTAGGGCACACCTGGCCTCCACAGCCTGGCCCTGCCTCCCTTCCAGCAGGAACCCTCTCCTGGCTCCCAAAACAGCCGCCCAACTGCCTGCCTGCATTTGTTTTCCTAGAGTCTCCTCGTCCAGATCTGTCTGCAGCCAGCTTCCCTAGGGAGCTGGGTCTCTGCAGGGGCCATCCGGAGTGGTGTGGGGCCCTGGTTGCCCCACCTTGGAGACTCCACCCCATCACCTGGCTTTGTTTTCTCCATGACACTCACCATTCCTGCAAACACTCTCCACGGACTTGACTTCCCTATCTGTCTCCCAACCAGAGTGGGAACTCTGTGACACGGACTCCGTGTCATCCCTGGCCACACCCCAGTGCCCTGAGCTGGACTCGGCTCACAGGGGTGCCCAGAGAATAAAAAACTGTGCTTCTGTTTAGCCACCTCTTGAACTAGACTGAGAGCTTCTGAGGGCAGGGGCCATGGCGCTCCCAACGTGTATCCTTAGTGCCTTGCACGGTATAAGGTGCAAAATGGTTGCTTAATCCAAAGCTTCTCTAAGACGCCTGCAGATCACGCAGGAGCTGGTGAAAATGAGTCCAGGGAGGGGGCCTCAGGTGCTGCATCTCTAAGGCTCTCCATTCGCTGGTCTGGAGACCACACTGAGAAGCGAAACCGTAACACGTTCATCAAGTAAATGCCCTGCGGGCGTGTACCCCAGTAAGCAGCTCCTCTGTGTGCGCTCACCAGGCCAGGCACAATTCCGAAATCATTTCATGATGTTGGTGCTGGCCTGGCACACACAGCACCTGGGAGACAGGAGGTGCTCAAGTTTTTTTTTTTTTTTTTTTTTTTTTTAATAAAGTGAATGTATAAACCCAGCATCAGAAAGCGACGCAGAGAACGGGCTGCAGCTTCAGGGTTTTTCCCCAAAGAGCTGGAATGAGCTTCCCTCTGCTCCTCCTTCCAGCTCACCAAAACATCCCCAAAGAATGAGGCTTGCAAAATTCAGAAGTGTAGGCTGTGTTATGGCTATTTTTACTGTTATTATTATTGATTTGTTTCTTTTTCAGCTGCTTCGTTTCCCTCCTAAGCAAGGCCTGTTACACCAAGATGTCCATCCAGCTGTTCATGACAGTGGAGTCCCGGAAGTTAAGACATGTGAGTTTCCTTTGAGGACCTGGTCATTTTCAGAGCAAGTTTCCTTCTGGAAGTTTAAGGTCATCCTCTCATTTTCCACCCTACTGGGGACCGGGTGTCTGCCTGCGTGATGTAGTGAGCCCATCGCTGAAATGCAGCAAGAACCTTGCGATAAAATGTGTGCTTTGGGGTGTCAGCGAGGGTGCTGGCAGCATCCCCTAACCTGGGAGGGCTCAGCTGGACACCCTCCGAGCCCAGCACATGATGAGGACCTGCTGCATTCACCAGAAAGCATCGCCAGCAGCCCCCAGTATGGGCCAGGCAGCAGGGCACGGCGCAGCTCCACCCCCGGAGAAGGTGCATTCTTGGGAGTCAAACGCTTTGCCAGCCCCTACCTTGGCGTCCTGCAGCTTGGCTCTGGGCGGCACTGTGGGCATGCGTCAGGGCAGACGGTGTCCTGCCATTCTCCTCCCTCCTGGTATGCTCCTGTCTCTCATATTTATGGCTGACTTTTCTACAGAGCTGTTTCCAACTGAACGCGACACTGCTTTCTGGATGCTGAGGAATGGAGCTGTGCAGCCCCTGTGGGCATCCACGGGCACCAGGACTGGTGGACTGAGCTTGGCCTAAACAAACGCCCATAGAAGGGAATGCATCCATCTCCTCTGCACAGACCTGGGTGGTGAAGAATGGGCTGCATGCGCCCCGCCAGGTGCAACTCAACTGAGACCAGGGAAAGGCCAGACAGGGCCCAGTCTCTGCCTTCCCTCCCCTGGACTCTGCAGCATTGTGGGAGAGGTGGGCACACACACAGGAGGGCAGAGGGTGCATGGTGGGCAGCGGGCGGGCATCTGAACAGGCCCCGGGAAGAGCAGGGCCGAGGGTTAGGCCGGGGCTGACGAGGAGCACCGCAGTGTTGGGCCGCAGGCTGCCCAGGTGACTCCGGAGATCTGCAGGGAGGGCACAGGTGAGGGGTGTGGGGCACTGGGCACCAGAGGAGGGAAGCCAGGGGACACAGGTTAGATGTTTGTCCTACCCAAATCTCCCGTTGAACTGTGATCCCCAGTGTTGGAGGTGGGGCCTGGGGGGAGGTGTTGGGTCATGGGGATCCCTTGTGGCTTGGTGCTGTCCTCACCACAGTGAGTAAGCTCTCATGAGAGCCGGTTGTTTAAAGTATGTGGCACCTTCCCCCTCTGTGCTCCCCTATCACCATGTGAGGTGCCTGCTCCCGCTTTGCCTTCCATTATGAGTAAAAGCTCCCTGAGGCCTCTCCAGAAGCTGAGCAGATGCCGGTGCCATGCCTGTACAGCAGGACCATGAGTCAATTAAGCCTCTTTTCTGTATAAATCACTCAGCCTCAGGTATGTCTTTATAGCAACACGAGAACAGACTAACACACAAGGGAAGCTGTTTCAGGGAAGGGCACTCAGGCAAGGTGCCTAAGGCTGAGTAGGAGCTCGCCAGACAGCAGGCAGGACTGGAAACAAGTCCACAGGGTCATGGTAAGATACAGCTGGCTTTCCACACCCGCGGGTTCTGCACCCGCAGATTCAACCAACTGAGGACCGAAATATTTAAAAAAATATGAAGTGACAATGTAATAATAAAAGACACAGTCTAACTATTTACATAGCACTTTGATTATATTAGGCATTATAAGTAATCTAGAGTTGATTTAAAGTATACAAAGGATGTGTGTAGGTTACTTGCATATACTATGCCTTCTTATACAAGGGACTTAAGGATCCTCGGATTTTAATACCCCTGGGGGCGGGCCTGGAATGAATCCCCTGAGGGACAATAGTTGTGAAGACAGCAGTGGCTGGCTGAGTGCTTCCTGGGCTGAGGCACTGCGCAGGGTGAGTTGCGGGCATTCATTTCTGAATTAGATTCTCACCGCTGTCCCGCCACCTGAGCACCACTATGGCTCCCGTTGCAGAGATGGCTCAGGCTCAGCCACTAGAGTGACTCCCTCAAGGCCCCAGAGCCAGGACCCCGAAGGACCCTGCCAGGCACCGAAGCCTGTGTCCTCAATCACAACATGCCTGTGCCTCGCAGGAGATGAGCTGCAGAGAGGACACTGGGCCATCCCCACCCTGGGAAATACGGCACGCTCACAGCTGGGAAAGCAAGGAATCCCGGAATCCAGGTGATCATTGACCCCGACACCCTCTGTCTCCATAACATTCTTCACTAAAATTAGATGCACAGGCCTCCGGTTCTGCAGCAGCGGCCTCACCGCCACGCCCTCGCGCGGGACCTGTGCTGCTTTCTCACGGCTTCCCCATTTCATTCTCAGCAGCATCCGAGGAGCCAGCTGGTTTTGAAAACCATCCCCGGAGAGTCAGACAGTCTGTTCAAATAGAGAGGCTCTTAAATTATAATAAACCCTTCACACTTTCCCCATCATTAGCACGGGGTACCTGTCACTTCAGCTCAGCAGCAGCAGCTTCTCTGTGGAGAGGCCGTTCCTCTACCCTGTGGCTGGGACTCCTTCCTCCCTTTATTTTCCAAGCTGTGAGTGCACGGCTGAGAAGATTGCTCCTGTGTTGTGTGCGGCGAAGGGAAGCGGGCTTCAGCTTCAACCAGGAACAGGAAAGGGGCAGCATCATTAAGGCAGAGGGAGAAAGAAGAAAGCCAGAGCGCCAGTGCGTGGGAGAGGCAGAGCCGCGTCAGGAGGAGGAGCGGGGCCTCGGCAGATGAAGGAGCCCAGACGCAGAGACCACGCGAGAGGCTTCTCCACTCTGTGTCTTTCACTGGGACAGGGCTATTGTCTTGGAGGGAAATGCCGCCTGCCTGCGCTGCTGAAATGTTCCTGCACTGATCTGGGGGCTGCCCCGCCTGGGAGGCTGGCCGGCTTAGGTCTGTCTTCCACGTATCCCCTTGCTGCTCCCCACACCTCCAGCCACAGTGGGGTCAGGGGGGTCAGGAGGGTCGGCCTTTGGAAAGCCCTTGCTGAGTGCACACTCAGGGTGCTGATGAATTCACATTGTGGGTGAGAAAGGGCAGGGCCGAGGCCTGGCTCTGCCACCTGACACTTGCCTGTCCCTCAGGCACATCCATCCAGCGTGCCCCCTCTTGTCTGCAGAGTCCCCCAGCAGAAGGAGGTCCCCAGTCCGACACCCGGCACAGCTGCCCGCTCAGCCGGGTGAAAGAGGGCACAGCCCTTGGCTGCAGAGATGGTGAATGGCATGGCAGGGCGGGGTGGGAGTGATCAGCAGGACATGGAAACGAAGCCAGCTCTCCAAGAGCGACCTCTAGGGGCAGCACCATGGTGGGAGATCCACCAACCTGCAGGGGCGGATTGGAGGTCCCTGAAAAGGAGAGTGGGAACTTCCCAGGGACGTGGTGTCAAGAAGTCAGCATCGTCAAATTTATTCAAAAGGGAGAGGCAACACTGACAGAACCTGAGGCTTCTCCCATGACCACTGAGGGACTCGTGTTAGCCCAACGGACCTCAAGATGCTCATAAAAAAGGCGACCCTCACTGACCGCAGAGACGCCCAGGCTGCGCAGTGTCAGCCCTGGAGGAGCCATCCAGGGAAGCTTGGCGGGCAGTGCCTGCAGTAGGGAAGGGGCCTCGGGTACTCCGACCACACTTCCATGGAGGACCCCGCCATGTGGGGTGCCCCGCAGCCAGTCCCTCGGGTGCGTCAGCAAGCCTGGCCTCTGGGACGCGTGGAGAAGAGGGTGAGAAACACGATGAGATCTGGCCTGTGGCTAAGGCACAGACGGCAAAGTCCCCGTTCTACAGGAAAACTGGTCCCAGGGTCGGGTGGGAGGTGGGGGCTCCCTCTGCACATCCTCCCCACACGCGATTCTGGAAAGGGGTATCTCCACACCTTACTGCCGGCACCGCAGGGGTCGTCACTCCCTGTTTCGGCCACTCAGGTCCCTTTTGTTTCAGGAGGGGGTGTGGCTCTGGCTGAAAGGCGAGTGCTGAGGCCACAGATAGCAGGAGCCATAGTACGGAAGGAGGGAGGAGCATGCTCTGCTGAGGTCCTGGGCTGGGGGTTTTGGGGGGTGCATGACCTCTGGAGCAGCCCCTGAGGTGACAGTGGCCGGGGGGGTGGGGTCCCAGTAGGGAGCAGGGGTGGCAGGGGCTGGTGTTGGAGGCAGGCATGGGAAGCAGGCAGGCCGGTGGGTGGGAGGGGCTTGGAGAGGTCCCAGCAGCCAATTCCTGGAAGGTGCTAGAAGGAAAACATCCCAGCAATTCAGCAGATCAGAGGGCAGTGGGGTCTTCCCATCCAGCATGCCCCCAAGAGGCAAGTCCCCGGCGGGTCACCATCACCCCCACAGTGCCCGGCGTGTCTGGCCATTGACAAGAGCTTGGCATGTGTTCACTGAGACGGAGGTGGGAAGGGGCTTGGGATTTAACCTGCTGACAATTCAGGAGCCCTAAAGGGGCTTTTTAGGAAAACATATTCTAATTACAAAATGAATAAGTGTTTAAAGCAAAAACTTGGAGAAAATAGGAAAAAGGAAAGAGTTCTCTGCTGGTCCACCCTGCCCTTCAGTCTCTGGTGGGTTCCGTCCCTGCCCTCTGAGGCTCACTCCACGCCCGGCTGCATCTGAGGCTTGGTCTTGTTTGTGGTTGGCTCTTTCATTGTTTTGTCCACTTTGGATGAACATTTTTGACCTCAGGTTGATGTGGCTCCTTCATGGGCCACCCTGCCCCTCTCCTGTGAGAGTCGCTGAAGGCGCACCCCTGCTGAAGCTGCCCCTGCCTCCCACCCACCCAAGGAGGCCCTGCCTGTCCTGTTTGGGCCGCTCTGCCTCTCTGCCCCTCCCTCTCCTCAGCAGAGCCCTGCCTGCTTCGCCCGGTCCATCCTGTGCAGATGCATGAAGTAACCGGCCCCTCTGTTCGCCCTGATGCCCCAGGACAGGGCTCTCTGGATCTGCCAGAAGGTATGGGCAGCTGGGGTATTGGGGAATCTGTACTGGGGAAGGTGGAAGGTGCAGCCAGGCTGGCCAGGAGGCAGAAAACAAATCCAGGCAGAGGGTGGTGAGGACGATGTGGGGACAGGCACAATCCTTGTATACCCCAAGGTGAGCGGGGCTTGCAAAGATGCCAAGGAAAAGGAGCGCAGGGGGCACAGAGGCAAGAGGTGGGTGCAGGGTGGAGGGAACAGACCTTCTGGGCCAAGGGTTCTCAGTCTGTAGATCGGGGGATGGAACCCAGGGCTCTGTGAACTTGGACGACCAACAAATTCACCTCTTTTATTCCCCTCTTACTTAATGTTTCCTTCTGTTATGAATGTGGGCACCACGCCAGGAAAACAGCAGCCTCCTGTGAGTGCTCATCTCCCAGCACAGTTGCAGATGATCTGACATTTAGTTTATAGTTGGCACCACCTTGAAATCACCACATTTATCAGGCCCACTGAAGGCTCTTGTTACTAATCGCGTTAATAAAGATGCTCCTACCTCACAGACTTGTTTTTAATGTTTTGATAACTACATGCCAATATGATTATTTGCTTCTGTGAGTCAATGTGTTTCACTTTATGCATGTGAGGCATTATTATGTAAAGGTGGGCGGGTCACAGGCTGCACCAGGCTGCTAATAGGATCAAGGGCACAAAACAGCTTCAGAAGAAGACATGCAGATGCCTGGGTGGGAAGGAGTCTGGAAAGGAGTCCAGGGCAGCCCCACGGAGGAGTGATCAGCCCCATCCATGATGTTATTCATCATTATTATTATGAAATCTGAGCATTTCCAGGACCTCATCTGTTGTGTTCACAGCTGTATCCCAAACCCAGACCAGAGCTGGTGTTCAAGATGTGGTACAACCCGTCAGTAAACATTAGCCACTGTTTCTATTACAGCCAGGGTGATCACTGCCCCTGATCTTCCACCACCTCTTTTCTTACAGACATTGGGGACCAGGATGAGCACCACTCATGGCCCAGAGACTTGCTGCTTCCACCTGCATAAGAGCCATTGCCCTCCCCATGCACCCAGCAGTGTGCAGGGGGCCTCTCCTGACACCCTTCCTTTCTGCACACGATGAGTTGGGTGTGTAGGTCAGATGATGCAATCCTAATAGTAACCCCTCCTGTGGCCCTGTGAGCCAGTCCATGCCCTGGGCAGCCACCAATTGTGCACCACCCTCTCCTACCCAAGATGCCTTTCAGAAGTGCGCGTGCACCTGTCAATAGCTACATCTTCCATTCCTTCATTTTCAGGGGGCGGGAAGTCATTAGGGGAAAGAGGAAAGAAAACTTTACAGGTAAAGACCAAAAATACTTTATCCCAGCACTGAATGCCATTCCCATGCCTGGACACTCCTTAACTCAGCTGGGTCCAGCTTGGCCTCATGCTCTGAGGACAGTTGGTCCCGGCACTGTCTCTGTCATGGAGAAGCTGTGTGTTCCCAAAGGATGCTCCATGACAAGCTTGCACATTCCAGCTGCCCAAGGGGCAATGTGCAGCTGAGAGCGAGTGGCCCCTCCTTGCCCTGAGCCCAGGGAGATTGACTTTATGGACAAACGTTATGTGAGGCAGGGTTTTATGGGAAGCCGTGCGGGAATCATTCACCCCCACTGTGCTCATGGCTGCCTCAGGTCAGCACTGGAGCCTGGTCCCTGATAGTTCATCTTTCCCACCCACGTGCTCCCAAAATGTAGTCCACAAATTCATCCAGTGGCCCAGCTCTGCAGTGTACCAACAACACACCACGCTGCTTAGACAGACGGGCCGCCTCTAGTATCGAAACGAGCCTCGCTACTTTCATGCACGTGGTGCCTCGGAACCATGGCTAACGTTCTCTAAATGACTACAGAAGAATCAACAAAAACATTTTCTAAAAAAACAATAAAGAAGTAACAGAAAACGTTAACTCCTGGGCAGTTCTTATTGTTTGTTCCAGGGGACACAAAAGGGAGGGCCCCACGGGGTGTTCCCACACGACGCAGGGTTGCCACAGCCCGTCCTTCCGTCCATGGA
Source organism: Homo sapiens (assembly GCF_000001405.40). Taxonomy (NCBI): domain Eukaryota; kingdom Metazoa; phylum Chordata; class Mammalia; order Primates; family Hominidae; genus Homo; species Homo sapiens. The sequence continues at coordinate 61,595,463 of NC_000020.11, read as the reverse complement.
CTTCTCGGACAGCGTTTGGTGGGGAAGGATCCCGCAGTCAACACAGGCAGCTCATTAGGCTGTCAGGAAGGCAGCCCTGACGGGCACACTCCATGCAAAGGGAATCTGCTCAGGGCAGCAGCCACGTCTCTGCTGTGACCTGACACTCAGGTAGGGCAGGCCCCATCTGCCCAGATGCACGTCCTTCCCGCCCACAGGTCACAGCAGGGCTTGGCTCCTCACACATGCAGGGCTGGGTAGGACATACCCAGACATTGGCAGCAGAGGGAGGTTCACTCAGGAATGCCTAAGGGCCTACAGTTTTGTGCTCAGGTGGACCCAAGGGTGGGAGGTCCTGGGGCGCTGCACAGGTCCTGATTCTCTGCCCACAGGCTGCGTGACCTGACATGTGACCAACCACTCTGTGCAACACGAGCTAATGACAGCACCAGGGTGCCCGGATGGAGCCCACGGTCACTGCACCCTCAGTGCATGGCCAGCGCTGGGGTAAAGAGGATACTCAATAAACAGTGAGCGAATGAATGAATGAATGAATGAAGAACTAATAAATGGCCACACTGAGGACTTCATGAGATAATGAAAGTAAAGCCCTGAATATCAGCTATTGATGTCATCCTTCTATTTGTCTGTCTTGAAAAAGCCAACAGTGTCTGTGGGTCAGCGAAGATGTCTTGATTTCCTCAGGTATCTGTGTGGGGGCCGAGGGGACCCAGCGCTCTGCAGACACGGCGGCGTCTTCACTGCCTAACCTGGAAGTCTAGGCCCTTTCTTAAAGACGCACATTTATTCTCCCTGCTAGAAGCACGCACACAAGCAGAGTCACAGGGCTGTGGCGTCTTCAGCAATTTAGAAAAAGGCGGCAGCAGGTGTCTAGGGTTGGAAGGACCCTCGAGCCCCACTGAGCTGCCCCACTCACCCTCCCAGGTACAGTCCTTCCATGCACAGCATGCCGTTTTGGAAACCCCGGCTGCTGTTGACGTTGAGGGGACACACATGTGATAGTTCTGTTCTCCTCTCTTGGCAGTGACAGGAGCCAGGGCAGACCCAGGTGGGCCCGGTGGGGGCTGCCCAATGAGCGGCACACTGTCCTCCCTCCGCATCTAGGGCAACAGTGTCTGGCCTGTCTCTGGGCGTCAGGCACCAGCACTGGAAGTGGCCCCCAACCTTCTTCCCTGCTCAGCTCAGCCCCCCTTCCCTCTTCCCCCCCACCCTCTTCCCCTGCTCAGCTCAGCCCCCCTCCCTCTTCACCCTGACCCCTTTCCCCTGCTCAGGTCAGTCCCCCACCCCCTTTCCCCCCTCTTTCCCCAACCCTCTTCCCCCCAGCTCACCTCCCCCTCCCTCTTTGCCCTGACCCCCTTCCCCCTCTCAGGTCAGTTCCCACACCCTTCCCCAACCCTTCCCCCTACCCTCTTCCCCGCCAGCTCAGCTCCCCCTCCCTCCTCCCTCTCTCCCACCTCTGAATCTGTATTTCCTCATGCGTCACAGCATTTCATCCATGCGTTCACCAGGTTCTGAATGTCGACTGTGTACTGGGGAGACTTCAGCAAACAAAACCCCAATCCCTGCCCGGGAGGTGCTGGGTTCTGCTGGGGGGACCCTTGGTGAGCAGCACGCACCTCAACGAATGTTACAGCTGCATGCCAGGCACGGCCCAGACTCCCGGGCATCCCCAGGGGGTTCTACTATGTCCAAGAATCTTTACAATAACATTCAGATGTTGCTTCAAGAGACTTCCAGAATGGAGGCATGAGGACTTCCACAGACCTCGTCCCCAGAGAAACAACCATAACTGGTGAAAAGTCTTAAAAAAATCCACCATTCAACATCTCTAGAAATTGTCCTAAGCATATACAGCAAACTGAGTGACTCTCATTCTGAAAAATCTACTAAATCACAATGTGACACTGCTGCACGCCCCTGGGATAAACTAAAACATGAAACTGGAATATAGCAAGTGTTGGTGAGGATGTGGATCAACTGCAGCCCTCATGCATTGCTGGTGTGAATGGAAAATGGCACAGCCATGCTGGAAAGCAGGCTGGTAGTTCTTGAAAATGCTGAACAGTGTGAGTTATCCTATGACCCAGCCACCATTCCAGTTCCGGGGTATAACCAAGAGAAATGAAAACACATGTCCACACAAATGCATGCACACTAGTGTTCACAGCAGCTTTACTTCTAACAGCCAGGAAGTGGGAGGACACCCTGTGTGCATCAGCCCAGGCAAGGACGGACAAAGTGTAGCCCATGAGCGTGTGTGAGTTTACTTTTGCTGCTGTAACAAATTACCCTAGTCTCCAAGGTTTAAACTGACACACAAGCATTACCGTACAGTTCTGCAGGTCAGAGTCTAAAGTGCCCCTCTGGAGGCTTCTGGGTAGAATCATTTCCTTGTCTTCCATGTCACCTTGACCTCTGTTTCCACTGCCACTTCTTCTCTGACCTGACCCTCCTGCCCCCCTCCTATAAGGACCCTGTGAGTGCACTTAGGGCCCACCCAGGTAACCCGGGATCATTTCAAGGTCCTAAACTTCGTCACCCCCACGAAGTCCCTTTGCCACATCACATGCCATATTCACAGGCTCCAGGGATCACAACGTGGACATCTGGGGGGTCATTATTTTTCCTTCCTCACCACACTATGAAGTGATTCTGCAATAAAAACAAAGTGAGTACGAATGACACTGGACACATGAACCATGACGGCAGTGTGCTGGGTGGCCCAGAAGACTGCGTGGGAGTGACTCCATTCACATAGGGTATCCCGAAAAGGCAAATCCACAGACAGAAAGTATACTGGTTGTTATCTCGGGCCTGTAGGAAAAGCAGGGTGGAGGGGGAAAGGGGAGTGACTGCTTAATAGGGATGGGGTTTCTCTTGTGGGGTTCACTTTATTTTGAAAATGTTCTAAAATTAGATTGTGGTGGTGGCTGCACAACTCTGAATGTACTAATCATCATAAATTGTACTTTCCAAGTCTGAATTTTAAGGCATATGAATTGTATTTCAACCAAGTTGATTTTAAAAAACCATACCATTGGCCATTTTCACGGTGGCTACTTTTGCATGGATGACGGGCGCCCCTGTGGAACCACTGCAGGGCCCTGAGCAGTGCCCAGTTTTCCTCTTGCTCTGCCTCACCATGCTGGGGCCATGGGAGAAACATCATTCCACTAGGGAATGTTCTTAGTGAAGTAGAAGTGGTGAAATCAATTGTACCAAGTCTTGACTTCTTGACTCTTAAATATATTTCTTATTACTCCATGTGACAAAATGGGAAGTACAGACAAACTCACACCAAAGTAAATGGCTGGGGGAAAGCACCTGAACCACTGTTTTGAGTTGCTAGCTCAACTAGCCACTTCTTTGTGGAAAACCTGTTTTTGCTTAAAAGAAGGATTGACAGACAAGCAGCAGGTAGTCATGTTTGACTGTTAGGCAGATAGCTAATTGAAAAGGAACGCGTCAGTCTGTTGCTTTGAGGCAAACAGTTGGCGGTATTTGCTGCAAGGACAAACAGAGCTTTCAAGCAAAACTTAGAATTTTGGAAAGTTTGTGTCTGCCATGGCAAGCTCAATGGCTTCCCAATAATGAAGGACTTTTCTGATGAGGCTGGTGGTGATGTTAACAAACGTCATTTTTTTAAACTGCCGTATAATGGAAGACCTGCGTAATTCAGAAAACCAATTGCATATGATGAATCCATGATGCTACAAAATTATGCATGGGTTAAAGATCCATTCAGAGAACAACAGAAACCAATAGGGTTTAGCAGAACAGAGCAGAAGTTCAATGACACGACTTCAGCTTTCATGCTGCAACTAACGTTTAAGAAACAGGAAACTGCCTCTTGTTGACTTTTGAAGTAACATCGAAGAATAACATCCACAATCATCTGAGGAGATTAAAATGACCCTCCCTTCCCATCTACACACCTGAGTGAGGCTGATTTTTTTTTCATCTATTTCAACCCAAACAATGCATCACAACAGAGTGGAAACAGAAGCAGACCCCAGAGAACCCAGCCAGCTTCTGTGACACCAGACACGGAAGAGATTTGCAAAAATGTAGCACAATGCCAATGTCTCACTCAGCTGGTGTTGTTTTGGAAAACACAGTTTGTTTTCATAAAATACATTACTTATGTTAACATGGAATAGGCTTATTGCTGATAGTTTAAAACAAATTAATCACTACTTTTCAAATGTCTGGGTTTTGATGTCTCATATGGTAATTATCAACAGGTTTGGCCCCGGTACTTGTCAATCAATAGATCCAGCCCTGGTACTTATCAGTGGGTCCGCCTCTTGTACTTATCAATGGGTGCAGCCCTGGTACTTATTAGTAGGTCCAGCCCTGGTACTTATCAATGGATCCAGCCCTGGTACCTATCAGTGGATCTAGCCCTGGTACTTATCAGTAGGGCTAGCCCTTGTACTGGGGAATAAAGTAGCCATCTCCCTGGGCCTCTGAGGGTGCCATCTGGATGCTGTTCATGGCTCAGCATTGGCGGTGGAGACCAACTGCCCTCATGTCAGGAAGCATCACATGGAGCTGGAGCCTGGAGACCCGGGGACCCCCCCCCCCATAGATTTAGGGAAGACAAGGCTTTGGCAGGCACTCACTGTAGGTTGTTTAGAGTGCCCACTTTAAAAGGTCAGGTATTTAAATTATATCCCCAAATCCAGACGACTGGACTCAACACCATCACGAAGGTGAAGGGTGTGATAACTGCAGTCCCGTCTCTGACTCGGGCCCACTGAGCCAAACGTGGGCTCCCAAACCCGACCCAAGTCCCCAGGCTGGGAGGCTGCCTGAGGTCAGAGCCTGGCAGAGGGAAGGTTCCAGGCCCTGTCCAGCCCCCTCTCCTCCCTAGCCATGGACGATCTGCTGATTTCAGCAGCTCCACTGTTCCGGACTGCAGCACGCAGACACGTGTTTCTATTTTCTATAAAGAAGAAAGACTCTTGTCAAAGAGTCAGCCATGGGTGCTGGGCTGACTGTCGCAGATCGGGAGAGAGTGCCCTCCTTCGGGTGTGAGTAGACGCCTGAACCTGACCCTCCTGCTGCAGGTGCAGGAAACGCCAGGGCTGCCCCCACCCACTGGGCCATCGCAGCTCCCTGTGATCACGAGCAAAAGTATATTTAAATCTCCCATCAGAGGACTCAGCTCAGGCTTGTATTCTAGGTGTCTCCTCCTTTGTCGCCAACTCTAGGCCACTGGCCCCATCCCCATCCATTCCTGTCTCTGGGGATCTCCTTGAAGGAGACTTCTCTGTCCTCCTCCCCCCACCCATCCCTCCACGTCCATCTCCCTACAGCAGCCAGAGGAACCACAATCGTTTAAGCTCCTGTGCTTCCTGTTGCTCCTGAAATAACAAGGACAGGCTCAACTCCCCTCTGTCCGGGGAGCCCACCGAGTCCTTCCCCACCCAGGGCCTGTGTGCTCACCCTGCCTGAGACTCCCTCTCCCAGCTGGGCACGGCTGCTTCCCGACCCTGGCCTCCTGGCCGCCCCCTCTCAAGGAGCACCATTCCCATCGCTCCTGTTAATCCTGTTGATTATCTGTTCTCTGTTTGTCCACGCAATGTCTGGGAGCTCCCTGGGGCTGAACCTTGTCTTTCTTTTTTTTTTTTTTAATTATTATTATACTTTAAGTTTTAGGGTACATGTGCACAATGTGCAGGTTAGTTAAATATGGGGGGAGAGGGGAGGGATAACATTAGGAGATATACCTAATGCTAAATGACGAGTTAATGGGTGCAGCACACCAGCATGGCACATATATACATATGAACCTTGTCTTTCAATGTCAACCATGAATCCTTGCCATCCAGCACATTACTTGGCACAGAGTGGGTGTTCAGCAAACACAGAGTGAAGGCAAGAGCTTTGGATGGTTCTTGTGGGACTCACCCTGTTTTTCTGCATGCCACTTGTGGAATTATGTGAGGATAGGCACATCATATTCACCAAGAGGAATTTTCTAGCAGAAAAGCATCTGAAAATTTACACATTAGAAACAAAGTGAAGTGGAGTAAAACAAAGCCAGCTCGATCATTACCCTTTCACAAACAATTTAAAATTCAGACCAAGAAGAAATCACTCCTGATTAATTTCTGTCTGTCTTAAGTCTAAGTTGAACCTTTTTCGTTTTAACATCTCTTCATGCTTAGACAGAAGGAAGCCTCGTGTTTTTTAAACAAATGCTTTGAGTCTTGTTTATGAGTCACCACACAAGCATTCATCACTCTGGGAAGCCTATTTGGCAAAAGTTAATCAGAGATCAGAGATTTACTATTATGCACACATTTAAAGTTATGAGGAAAAATTCTAAGCAAATAAATCATGTTTTACAAATTACTAATACCCAAGGAACAGATTAAGAGGTGGCCTGAAATCACGCTCCAGCCTCAGATGTAGGGGTCCACACACAGCTCTGATCTGTCGTCAAACGGCTCCAACTAAAACAATTATCGATGTTTGCATATATTTATCTCCGCGTGTGTTTTTACGAACAGAATGCCAACAGTGCGCTCGGAGCGGTACAGAAGATGAAACAGGACGAGGTCTCAGCCCTCGAGGCTTACAATCAAAGTAGGACAGATAAAACAATTCAGACATGAAATACATCAGTTGGAAAAGCTGTTAAAATTTATGAGGTGCAAGGTTTTGTCGGCTTTTCTCGGGAAAGACAGAACGGAATCGGAGGCCAAATGGCTGAGAACCACCTTGGGCTGGTGGTGTTTGCGAGGAATGATGAATGAAAGATAAACGCACTGGAGACAGAGGAGAAAGGGGGATGGTGAGCAGCGGGCTAGTGTGGTCTCGGGAGGGGGAGGGCCCTGGGGTGAGAAAGCCAAAGGCCACGGGCTCCACAGATCTCAGCATGACTACGTTTCCCCTCAGCGGGGAATGAGTCATTGGCCAAGTGTGTAAAACACGGCTACTCGTGTCTGGAACTGGTCACTCCACTCAGAATTCACGATCTTTCTTTTTTTCTTTCTCTCCCTGCAAAGGGCCTAGAGCTGGTCCTTGGTACGAGCTGAACAGAACAGAGAAATAATCGGCCTTGTGCCTCTCTCCCGCTGTGCCCAGACCTTCTGGAAGCAGGACCAGCGTTGCAAATCACTTGACTGATGGAGGCTGCGAGACCTACGCCTTCCTAGTTCTTAGATTTGGTGTTATCTTGGTTTAACCATCTTGGAAACCAATTTAAAAATCTGGAGTTTTCCCCAGTCTACAAATCCCAGTTCAGCCTCTTTCCCAATTTTGGCTTGCTACAATTAATAATAATAACAGGTAACATTTCCAGAAGGGTCGTGGCAGGCTAAGCGCTTGGCTAAGTCTCTGCACGCTGGCTTCTCGGAAGGCCCTCGAAGGCACATTATTCAGTGTGAACAGCAAGTTCTGCACAGCTGCACCAGGACATCATTTATGTTTTTAAAATGCCACGGAAAACAAATCTGTACACTTTTACAGACATTTTTAGCCACACAGGAAAGTAAACACATGAAGCAGAAAACGCCGGTTGACTCCGAGGTGAGAATCAATTTAACGTGGGGCCTGGGCGGGGGCGGAGTGGGGGATTATCGCTTGAACTGTACACTTTGAGTTTTCAGTGATGAGAAGTCACTCATGTGTTGCTTGTGCAATTAAAAAAACAATAAATAATAGTGAAAGTGGCTGCTTTCTGCTGCTTAATTTTCCTTCAGAAAAGGTGCTGAGAACACGGTGGGTGACTGTAAGGCCGTCCGCCTTTGAGTTACCCTACAGCCAGGGTCCCTTTGGAGGCCACAGAAACACAATCGCTGTGGAAGACGTGGTGCCCCAGCTGGTTATGGGGTCAGCTGGGGAAGGAGCGGAGTCAAAATGGAATCATTTTGTCCCTGGGCCCTAACCTCCCCGCGCTCGGCCTGGAACCCTGCCTCAGGAAGCAGGACTGCAGTTTCCGACGGGATGACCCAGGACTAAGAGCTCTGCAGGAAGACCCAGGCCTCAGATTCAATGTTATCTTGGTCAAACTGATTTGGAAACTAATTTTAAAATCCAGCAGGCTGTGCCCCTGCTGTCCCTCACTTAGTGTGGGCAGGCGTCCCAGGGGCTCTGGGAATGAGGAAGATGGTAGAAACCAGACGGCAGAGGTGGAGAAAGAAAGAGCATCCCCCTTGACAGTGTCCACCTGCCCGGCCCTGTCCAGTCACTCAGTGGCCCCCCTTCAAGCGCTCAGCCTTCCTCACCTTCCCCGTGGGTTTCCCACTCTCCCCTGCCCCGAGCCTGGAGGCTTCCTCCTTGTCCTCCCCACTGGGCTCTCTTGGATTCTCGGCCTTTCTTCAGCACTTGGATCAATGGTACTGATGCTGAGAAGCAGTGCCCACCATTTCCAGCCTCTGCTGACATCCCTCCTCTGACCTGCAGATATTCCCAGCCACATCTTCTTCCTCAGCACGGCTCACCCCAGGGGCTGCTGGGAGAGCAGCCTCTCCCTTCTGCTTCCAAGCTCTGTGAAGGCATGGCTGCTTATCTATGATTTTATCCCCAGGCTTAGTACACAGTAGGTACTCGGATGTTTATGGAATGATAAATTAAATAATGTGCCTCAGTGGATTATTTTTTGAACTGTTATTTAATTACTCTCTCACTCTGTCTCTCTCTGTGTGTGTCTCTTGTCTCTCCATAACCTGGTGACTTTTCCAAGGGCAAACAGGATGGTGATTGAGAGTGTGATCTATAGTCCCAGGTGGCCTGGGTTTAGATACCAGCTCTGCCACTCACTGGCTGAGCAACCCTGGTAAAGTCACGCTGATCAACTTCCTGTGCCTCAAGTTTTTTGTCTACAAAAGGATCAAATGAAGGATCAAATGCTGCTTAATTTTCCTTCAGAAAATGTGCTAAGACCTGGGTGGGCTACTGTAAGGGCATCTGCCTTTGAGTTACCTCACGTCCAGGGTCTCCCATACCTTAACACCCCCTCAGGCACTCCCTGGCTGGAGGCCACAGAAACACAATAACTGTGGAAGATGTGGTGCCCTAGCTGGTTATGGGGTCAGCTGGGAAAGGAAATGGAGGATCAAATGAAGTTAATGCACATAAAGAGCTTGGAACTGTGCTGGGAAACCCATCAGTGCTGGAGAGTGTTAGGTGCAGTTGTCACTGTTATTGTCACTGCCATCCCTATCCCCACTATCACCATCACCACCATCACCATGATAATTGCCATCATCATGACCATGATCATGATTAATATCATTATCATCACCATCATGATCATCACCATGATCACTATAAACATCATCATCATTTCCCCATCACCACAATCACCGTCATGACCATCATCCTCCCTATCACCACAATCATCACCATCACCATCATCTTCATCACCATCATCTTCCCCATCACCACCATCACCATCATCCTCCTCATCACCACATCATCACCATCACCATCACAATCACCATCACCATCATCATCATCACCATCATCATCACATCATCACCATCACCATCATCCTCCTCATCACCACCTCATCACCATCACCATCATCCTCCGCATCACCACAATCAGCACCATCACCATCATAATCACCATCACCATCATCTTCATCACCATTATCCTCCCCATCACCACCATCACCATCATCACCATCCTCTGCATGACCACAATCATCACCATCACCATCACAATCACCATCACCATCATCATCATCTTCATCACCATCATCCTCCCCATCACCACATCACCATCATCACCACCATCCTCCACATGACCACAATCATCACCATCACCATCACCATCACAATCACCATCACCATCACCATCATCATCACCATCACCGTCATGACCATCATCAACTCAAATGGCTCCACCAAGTTCGGGAGTATCCAACAATAGATTCTCAATAAATTCCTATTAAATTGAATTTGACCAAATAATCAGAAAGATAAAGCTTCCTCTAAATATGGAGACTGAAAATTAAGACAGAAATGGCACAAAATAATAGGCATTTTATAAAACACAAATATCTGTACATCAAATAATATAGGCCTGCCCTAAAACAGGACCCTAACAAATGAAAGCAATCTTGCTGGTGGGTTTAGAATTGAAGGACAGGAGAAGATTGTAAGAGGGATGGTGTGGCAAGAAAGACTGAGGGTGGGAAGGGCTTCCCCAAGGTCAAAGGAAAACGCTGGAAATGACCAATAGCCCCTCGGCTGGAGTGAGCCTTGCTGCTCTGCACAGCACCCATCCATGCTGATGGTGCTTTTCAGCAGGATCGTTTTATTGGAACGTTTCAGAGCAGACCTGTGGCTGGGATCCAGCTCTGCCACTTACCGTGTTGGTCACCCTGAGCCAAGATTCTCACACTCTCAAGCCTGGTTTTCCTTATCTGTCACATGCAGGTGGAGAAGCGGAGGGAAGCCAGGCCTGGCGAGCTCTCAGAGGCAGCAGTGGTTGCCCACAGGCCTGCAGGGGCGGTGGAAGGAGGGGCCTCACATCGGCGATGGCTTTCCAGGGAAATGCCCCTGCTCCTAGGAGCAGGCTCCATTCAGACACCTGCTCATCTCACTGGGTCTCACTGTGACCTGCAGACGACAAGTGTGCAGTGCGGGAGAGCTGCTGGCCCAGGCAGCGCGCCCCGTGCGTTAGCCTCGCAGCTGTCAGCCCCCTGCAGGCTCTGGGTCCCTGCTTCCTTCCCCTTAGGGTTATCTTTCCCCCTAAACTTGATCCTGTAGCTTTCTCTAATCCACATGCCCCACCCCCACTAAGCACACATTCTCACAGGGTTATCTGCTGAGCTCGTGTTATATTTTATCATTGTTTTAGCAAAAATCTATTCATGCATTTATTCAACCGAGGTGCCCCCAGCACCCAATACCTCCAAGGCTGTGGCCAGGTACCCTGCTGTCCACTGGAGACAGCAGCGGATGTGACAGGGGCTCTCCCACTCCATGGAGTGGGCTTTCTAGTGGGAGAAAGCAGCCACAGGTCAATTGTTAAACAGGCAGAACTGTTAGGGCGAGAAGAGCTAGGAAGGAAATGCATGCGGTCTGGGATGAGCAGAAAGGGCAGGGATTCTAGTTTGTGAGGTTGTCTGAGAGGCTTCTCTGAGGGAGACCTTCTCAATATTGATCTGCAGGGGTCGACGATGCTGTCTGTCAGTACCCAGAAGCCAGGACGAACATTCCAGACTCTGGAAGGCACGTGCAAGAGCTGTCTGAGGCTGCAACATTTAGAGACTTGATGTAGGAAAGCCACTAGAAGGAGTTTAGCAGGGAACCTCTCTACTGACGCACATATATTTTTAAGACAGGGTCTTGCTCTTTCATCCAGGCTGAAGTGCAGTGGCGTGATCTTGGTTCACTGCAACCTCTGTTTCCTGAGTTCAAGTGAGTCTCATGCCTCAGCCTCCTAAGTAGCTGAGACTACAGGCATGCAACAGCACACCCGGCTAATTTTTGTATTTTTTTGTAGACACAGGGTTTCACCATGTTGGCCAGGCTGGTCTCAAACTCCTGGCCTCAAGCAATCCACCCGCCTCAGCCTCCCCAAGTGCTGGGATTACAGGTGTGAGCCACCGTGTCCTGCCCCAGTGAATATTTTAAAAGTCACTCTGTCATCTTGAAGGAGTGTGTGGCTGTACGGGCTGGTCCATCCAGCGACACGCTGTCCACACTTCAGTGCAGGTGCAGACACATGTGGGCAGGCAGGAGAGGAGTCTCATAGACACTGAGTAATAAGATATCAAAGTTGATAACCCCTACATGTTAAACGAGGAGGGAACGAAGGATGGCAATGTGATGTCAACGAGGAAAGTGGAGAGAGATCAGGCCAGGCACCCAGCCATGTGTGGGGTAGTCCCTCTAGGGCACGGGCTCCCAGGGACAACCCCTCACCCCAGCCTTGTCCGCTCCCACTGGATGCCAGCTCAGCTCCACCTCGCAGCTGCCTCTGTCCCCTGCCCCTGGATGCCTTCCATGGGACCCAGGGAATGGTCTGCACAGAACGCGTGTGTGACAACCCCCGTCTCCCCTCAAACATCTGATGCTCCTCACTGCTCTCTGCACAGGGACAGGCAAGCACCCAGACATGACCATGGGGCCAGCACCATCTGGCCACCTGGCCACCTCTTGCGTCCAGCCCTCTGTCCCCCCACAGAGCCCTCTGTCCCCCCGCAGAACCGTCTGTCCCCCCGCAGAGCCCTCTGTCCCTCCTCAGAGCCCTCTGTCCCCCCGCAGAACCGTCTGTCCCCCCGCAGAGCCCTCTGTCCCTCCGCAGAGCCCTCTGTCCCCCCCGCAGAGCCCTCTGTCCCTCCGCAGAGCCCTCTGTCCCCCCGCAGAGCCTTCTGTTGCACGGTACCCTCTTCTCTTCACCTCCCCTCTGACCTCCACCACAAACACCAAGAACATCTGGAAAACCAAGAGTAGGACCACACACTGTACAATTCTCTCATGCGCAGTGCCCAGAACAGGGAAGTCGACAGAGACAGAAAGTAGATTAGTGGCTGCCTAGGGCCGGGGGCCATGGGGGCGCAGAAGGCGGACAGCCAAGGGTGTGGAGTTTCTTTGTGAGGCGATGAAAACATTCTAAAATGGACTGGGGTGGTGGCTGCACAACTCTGAATGTAGACATCGTTGATTTGCACAGCTTAGATGAGTGGAGTGTAGGGCATGTAAATTACACCTTAATAAAACTGTTAAAGAAACGAAGGGCAGGCGTGCTGGGCACCAACAGGACATCTGGGGAGAAGTGGAGCCTGCAGGGCTGGCTTGTGTCCCCAGCCTCAGAAGACAGGCTCCTGACAGGTGCAGGGAGCACTGCCTGGGCTCCACCGCACCAGGCCCTGCAGGGGACGGAAGAAGCTCTAGGTGCAGCTCTCAGGGCACTGGGTGCAACTGGGGAGACTCTCCCCGGAAGCACTGGGAGGGAAGTCTACAGGCCAAAGGGAACTGCTGGTGCCCAGAAACCAGGTTGGAACATTCCAGAGAGTTAGCCTGGAGCCCAGGGCCACAGGGACAGGCACATGGGATGGTTCTGAGAAGGACTTGCGGACAGGGCCCCAGGCAGGGGGATGGCCCTGGGAAAGCCCCAGGGCTCACGCTGCCTTTTTCACTGCGCTTGAACAATAAGGAGGAGAGCGGATCCGTGCAGGGCACCTGGCTCATGGAAACAGATAAGGAGGCAAACATCTCAAAAATCAAGGGCAAAGCCGCGTGTGCCTCTGTGATTGGAGGTGGGGAGGCGGCATTAGGAAGAAGCTGCAGAGGTCAGGCCTGGGATGACCAGGGAGGGGCAGGTGGACAGGAAAGTCTCCGTGCACACACAAGGCATGGGCAGCATGCCGCCAATGGTAATGATGGCCACGAGCAAAGTAAAACAGGGAGTGGATCACCCGCAGCCAGGCTGGAGGGCTGGGAGCACCCTCTTCCCACAGGCTGCCCTGAGGAGGCGCCCACATGATGGCTGAGACTTGAGGGCAAAGCTCAGCCATGCCGAACGCTGGGACCCTCAGGCAGGCCAGCCAGGGCCGAGGAGGTGCCTGTGGCTCAGGTCTACCGGCTGGGGAGACGGCGGGAGCTCAGCAGAAAGGGCTGAGCTGCCACATTCCCGATTCCACCTCACGGTAGCGGCTCCAGGCATTCCAGACAAGCATGGTGTGGGGCTGAAAAGCGGTCCCTAAAGGTGTCCATGTCCTGATCCCTAGGACCTAGGAACACAGCTCAGACAGCCAAAGACCCTGGCAGAGCTGATGCAGTCGGGGCCTTGGGATGGGAGATTACCCTGGGTCACGGAGGCAGCCCAGGCACAGGGCATCATCACGGGTCCTTACAGGAGGGAGGAAGCAGGGCGGGTCCGAGGAGGAGGTGTGACTTCGGAGCACACAGACCGGAAGAGGCTGCCTCACTGACCATGAGGGTGGAGGAGGGACCATCCCAGGAGGAGGGGTGATGTTGGAGTAGAGAGGGACCAGAGCAGGCCGCCTCACTGGCCATGAAGATGGAGGAGGGGCCAGGAGCCCAGGAACACGTCTCCAGAAGCTGGAAAAGGTGAGGAAATGAATTCTCCAGGGTCCTCCAGGAGGAGCCATCCCTCCTGACCCTCTGGCTGTAGCCCAGTGAGGCTGATTCTGGACTTCTGACCCCTAGAACTGCAAGAGAACAAACCGCTGTTGTTTGAAGCCACCTGGTTTGTGCTCATCTGTAACAGCAGCCACAGGAAACTAATACATATGGCGAGACATCATGCACGGATCCCTGGAGCCAGGCCCTGGCAAGTACATCCCACTGGTCCCCTGCCTGGGTGAGCCTGCTGCCTCCTCTGCAGACCAGGCCAGCGGGAAGCAAGGCGACTCCTGGGAGGAAGACCCTACCTGCTCCCTCCCCTGCCTACAGCACACAGAGGCCAGAACCCTGGCTCCAGTTTCCTTTTGGATAGTGCCCTTGTCCATTAATTTGGGAGAAGCCCTAATGCTCATGAGGTCTGGAATCCATGCTTCAGGACGGACTCTCTTTAGCAGACTCTGACTTATCCTCAGGTCCTCGGGTCCTGCTGTTTGTTGGGGTGTGGGACTTGCAAGGCCTCGGGCTCACATCCACTCCTGGAGGAGTCATGGTCCTAGTGCTTCATCATCCACGTGAACACAGTTGGGACTGGGGTCGGCCCACTTTGTAAGCCCCCATTAGGCGCCACCCATTGCTAATGGCTCATTTCGTGCGCCCAACGCCTGTCACCAGTGGTGGTCTGGAAACAAAGACGCCAGAGCCTTCCATAACACGGATCCCTGCTTCAGCCAGCAGGAGTCATAAGGGGGCTAATTTCCCCCCCTAGAGCGTCAACCTGAAAAACCAATGGGCTGCCTTCAGCGCACAGCAAGGCAGCTGAGAAGGGCCATGCACGCTGCTAGTTAAGGTGTGAGAGGTCTACATGCATCAACCAGAGACTTACGAAGGTGTCAAAAAACACATGCAATTTTTTTTTTAAAGTAGAGGTTTTATTTTATTTTATTTTTTGAGATGGAGTCTTGCTCTGTCACCCAGACTGGAGTGGAGTGACAATAGCTTGGCTCACTGCAGCCTCCACCTCCCGGGTGGCCAGCAATTCTCCTGCCTCAGCCTCCCTAGTAGCTGGGATTGCAGGCATGCACCACCACGCCTGGCTAATTTTTGTATTTTTAGTAGAGATGGGGTTTCATCATGTTAGCCAGGCTGGTCTCGAACTCATGACCTCAGGTGATTCACCCGTCTAGGCCTCCCAAAGTGCTAGGATTACAGGTGTGAGCCACTGCGCCTGGCCAGAAAAGCAGAAGTTTGCCTTGACTTTATACAGATTCCTTTTTTTTTTTTGTAGCAGTGTAAGAGTCCGTAAGTCCAGGCCTTCACCTGGGTTGCACTGTAAACAATGAGGGCACGTTACCTACTGCAAAGTCAGCTGCTTCCTAGCTGATAAACATGTGACTGGCGGGGAAGGTGCTGGATGCGCCTCAAGTGCACAGATGTTTATTTTACAGCTTTTTTTTTTAAATTCAGAAAGTGTATGCAATTTAATTAGCCATCTTATTTTACAAAAAAAGGCAGTACATTTTTGGCTCTAGGAGCTTTTGAATAACTATAATATAGAGGGACGTTTGCATTCATACTTGGTACTCAGCCTTACACTTCAATTTTACTGAAGTTTCAGTGGGGAGGCAAATGTCATCTAGTTTTGCATGGAGATTCGTAGCTCAATCCAACTCCACAAGTATTCATCGGGTGCCTACTCCGTGCTCTGCATCGGGGCAGAGTGGGGGTTGTGGGAGATAAGCCAGATGTGGCCTCTGTTTTCAGGGAACACAACCTGGGGCTGGAATCGCTAAAAGGGTAGACTTTAAGATCTCCATCTGGGCCAGGTGCAGTGGCTCACACCTGTAATCCCAGCACTTTGGGAGGCTGAGGCAGGAGGATCATCTGAGGCCAGGAGTTTGAGACCAGTCTGGCCAACATGGCGAAACCCTGCCTCTACTAAAAATACAAAACTCAGCCAGGCATGGTGATGCCTGCCTGTAATCCCAGCTACTCAGGAGGTTGAGGCAAGAGAATCACTTGAACCCGGGAGGAGGAGGTTGCAGTGAGCCCAGATCACGCCGCTGCACTCCAGACTGGGCAACAGAGAGAGACTCCGTCTCAAAAAAAAAAAAAAAAAAATCTCCATCGAGGGAGATTTAGAGGCAACTCCCCGACTGCCTGGCTGGCTGCTAGTAGAGTCTCCCCTGCTCGAGTGGGGTAAAGTGAGTTTTGAGGAGTCCTGGAAGAATTGTGAGAGTGTGAGTACCTACTTGTCCATTTGGGACCCTGGATTTCCTTTGGGAAGCCCCCATCCTCCACCCTCAGGTGTGGGGTTTGAGTGGGAGGACGCCTGTCTGTGCCATGCATGGCCCCGCAGGACTGAGGATGATCACGGCTGCTCATCCCTCAGCACACGGTCAGGGTCGGGGATGGAACTCAATCCCAGCCCAGGGGTACTGGAAAGAAAAGCATCCTTTCCTTCCCACAAGACCGAATGGATGAGAAAGAAGCCCTCTCTTCCCTTGGATGGGGCAGGGTGTCTGTTGTCTTATTGCTTGACCGGAGGATCTAGACTTGTCCTGGGCCACGTATATGGATCTGAAACTAAAGACTAAAAACATGATGTAAGGCAGAATGGACCGGATGAGAGAAGCAATATTTTTAGTGATGTTAGCTCATATCAGTTGGATTGGGGGTTTTGTTTGGTGTCACTCACAGCCCAGACTTTCCATGCACAGCAAGTGCAAGGCTGAGATGAGATGGAGGAGAGGTGGCCAGGTCCTTGGTGAGAATCCTGGCCGACCACCCCTTGAGTCGGCTCTGTGAGTAGCTCCAAGTACTGAGAGGGAACCATCTTCCTGTGGTTACTGGTACATGTGGAAAATCATGAGCTGTAGAGATGTTTTCTTCTTTGATGAACTGTAAATGATGGTTCTATAATTTTCACACATTGCTCAGAGTTCAACCAGTGGGACGTGAGAAAATCCCCAGTTATTTTGCACTAATTTGTAGAGAAAGTCAACAGCTACATCCAGTGAAATCACAGAATGCTATGGTATGAGAATCTTCTGACAAAAGCAAAAAATTAAAGACCCTTAGATTACCTGGGTCTGCATAACTCTCAATGGCAGTGTGTCATTCCCCCCCAGTGCCCTGGCCTCTCCCTGGTGCCCAACACATTCTCAGTAGCCATTCTCTTTGGTGGGTAAAAGGACCTCTCTCTTCACCAACAGGGGTGGATCATACAGGTAACAGGTCCCCTGGGAATTGCTCTGGCCCTTCCCAGGTGACAGCTGGCAGAGAGGACATATGGGGAATGACACCTTAACTTGAGTAGAGCTGAGGGTCGGGACACAGAGAGATTTGCCAAGGAGGGGCAGAGGTTTCCTGGCTGGGCAGGCAAGCTTGGCAGTCCTGCATGGTGGGGAGGCTGTGTGGGGACAGGGGGCCTCAGGGAAGGAGTGGGGCTTGAAGGAGGGAAGGAGACATTAAGGAGAGAAATGAAGACAAGCTTTCCCTATGCACAGCTTTGCCTCAGGCTAGTTTGCTTCTTAGATGATCCACAGGCAGGGAGCCAGGGATCAGAAATGTTCATTATGTCAAGACATAGTCTTGGTATTGAGCATCAGCATGTTTTCCTGGGGCTGCCCAGGGCCGCCACCCAGAGATTTAATCAACCAAGGAGAAGCACCTTCTCCCTCCAATGCAAGCATCTGGAACACAATAGAACCATAGGCTGCATTTCAAATGTGTAGCCCCACACAGCCCACCCACCAACCC
Source organism: Homo sapiens (assembly GCF_000001405.40). Lineage (NCBI taxonomy): Eukaryota > Metazoa > Chordata > Mammalia > Primates > Hominidae > Homo > Homo sapiens. The sequence goes on along the minus strand of NC_000020.11, from coordinate 61,577,644 downwards.
ACCCATCCTTCCTGGGACCCCAGAGAACCCAGGCCCATGGTTGTGCCCAAGAAAATCAGAGATTCAGCTCAGCTCTCATGGACCATGATTGAGTCTTTTCCCCATGCAGACCCTTCAACATGAAAAACATCCATGCATCCTTCAACATGCAAAAGATCTATGCATCGTTCGATACACAAAAGATACAATCATCTTTCAACATGCGAAACATCCACTCATCCTTCAACACACAAAATATCCACTCATCCTTCAATATACAAACATCCACTCATCCTTCAACACACAAAACATCCACTCATCCTTCAACACACAAAACATCCACTCATCCTTCAACACACAAAACATCCACTCATCCTTCAATACACAAATATCCACACATCCTTCAATACACATACACTCAACCTTCAATACATATCCACTCATCCTTCAACACACAAACATATACTCAACCTTCAGTACACACACATACACTCATCCTTCAACACACAAAACATCCACTCATCCTTCAACACACACAACATCCACTTGTCTTTCAACACACAAAACATCTACTTATCCTTCAACATGCAAAACATCCATGCATCCTTTAACACACAAAACATTTATGTGGTGACACAAGTGAATGTTTCCATGCACTCCTACAGCCATCAGCTGGGGTTCCCTTGTTGCTTTTTAATTTCCTACTGCACTTTATGGCTCTTGCAATGACATTCTTCTCTGGCATTAAAAATAATGAAATCTCCCAAGACCCTAGAGTCCCAAGGATTAATGGGGCTAACTGTGGATTGGTGTTTTCAGTCTTCCAAACAAACTGTGGAGAGGTACACATTTTGCCACAGAGAAATCCACGCACTCATACAGGCCCTCTTACTTCATTCGCCTGACATTTCTGAGCACCCAGCATTAGAGGGGTGAACACGCTTCTCCTGGGTGCTGAGTGGCAGCAGTGGCCATTAAGAGCTCAGAGCTGAGATAACTCACAAGGCTCCATCTGGCCCAGAGGAGAGAACAGCAGGGTTGATAAGTGATGTCTGCCTCACGTGAGGGATAGAAGAGAGTGGGATCGATTAGTGATGTCTGCCTCCGGTCAGGGAGGGGATGCAGTGGTACAGACATATTTTTGCCAGCCTACTCCTACTCCAAGCCAGGTGCTGTCCTAGATCCTGGTGAGATGGGTAATCAGCTTGGTTTGTCAAGTAGGAACTAGTGAAGCCAAGACCAGGGGTTAGGGTGGTCAGTTAATCTGTATTAGCCTGGGTGGGTTTCTCAGCACAAGGAACCTTTATTCTCTCCTAACCCTGACCTGCCAGCTGCAAACACGATCAGCTGGGGAAGCATCATGACAGAGAGGGTTAATGGCTCTGCTGGTGGGTGACCCAGCAAGGATGAATCTGACACGTCGCTGTCTTGCTGCAGGAAGAACTGTTTTATGTTCACACACAAAAAATAAAAGTCAAAATAAAGCCCACACTGAGAAGCCACGCTACCAGGAGCTGTGCTCCAGTTCTTTCTGGCAGCTTTGATTCGGAGCCCACACTGCGTGCCTCCGAATGGGGAGCACACCCTCTGGACCCCCTCTTTCATCTTCCCCTCCACTTGTCCCTTCTCCTTCCCTCCCTTTTCCTCCTACTCAGAGTCAATCCTTAGACCATGTCTTAGACCAAAACCCAAGGACGAAGCCCTTGAGGTAGCCACCTTTCCTGTCTTTCCAGCCCCATCCCATGTCATCAGCCTCTCCCCTACTGGCAGAGTTGAATCCTATTTATTCCTGAGACTTGGGTGGCTCACATGTCCCCAGGGAAGCTGTGCCTACCTCCCATCTGGGTCAATTTCTTTTATCATATGCTGCTCAGCAGGAGTTGGCAAACATGTTCTGTAACGGGCCAGATAATAAATCTCTCAGGTTGGGTAAGGTCACTACTACAATTACTCAACTCTGCTGTCACAGAATGAAAGCAGTTACAGACAATATGTAAATGAATGGGTGTGGCTGTGTTCCAATAAAACTTTATTTACAAATACAGGCAGAGGGCCAGATATGGCGTGTGTGCCAGGTTGCTAAGCCCTGTTCTATAGAATCATGATCCCTTCTCTCCATTGCCTTTTCTTCATTCCAAGATTTTATTAATAACTGTCACGAAGAGATTTAAACTCCACGAGTACAGGTCTGTGTCTTTCTACCACCATTATAGACTACCCAACAAATATTTGTGAAATGTGTCACTGAATCTGACAGGAAGAACCTTTGTTTTATGGTGTCTGCCATAAAACTGGAGCTGTGTGTAACCCGTAAGTATATACCCTGGGATTAGTGTTAACAATACCAGGAAAAACCTCTCTCCTTTCTCCTCAACTTAAACTTGGGAACACACAGGCTTAGACCTGTCGTTGCCAGCTTGCTGCCATCATGACTGAAGAGTCAACCTAGAGGTAGTGGAAATAGAGAGAAACTAGGCCCTGGTAATGGCTTCAGCCTCTGGATCAAGCTGCTCCTGAAGCTGACCCTGGATTTCTCTGGCACTTAGCTTTTTTGTGTTGGCCGCTTTGAATTCAGTGTTGTCACCTGCAGATGAAAGAGCTCTACCTGCTAGAACCTCATTAACAAAACCCCGAGCTCAGACCCTGTGCCGCACCTTCCCAGCGTGGTGTTTCTTCACACGGCAGCACTCTTCATGAGTTTATCATCAGGTGTGCAAACTGCTTTAGCTTATCTTTGCTCTGTCCTGAGAGAATCCTTCCCAGCAAAGGTGGAGTTCCACTCACTGGAACACTGCTTGTGGGCATTTAACTCACTATGGCTCAGGCATATGGCAGCTGGCACTTCTATGAGAACCCTGGACTTGGTCCAAAGCTTTATAAGGGGTCCAGAGCCCACAGAGAAGAGCTGAGGATCCAGCCCCTAAAGCAGAGATGTGACTCCCCCAACCTGTGGAGAGGCCGGAGCACTTCCATCCAGGCAGCCTGTCCTGGAACAAGGGCTTTGTGGGGAGGTGGCACCTTCTCAGTGGCCGGACGCAGTATTTCTCACATTGGGTCCTCTGCAATATTTTTATACTTACACTGAGACCATTTTTTTTCTCTGTAATTAAATAAGATCCACAAGCTTGCAATGGCATTCACAAATGGGGAGAAGGCAGGAAGGAGAAAGGGGGGTGGGGGTCAGGTTGAATCTGTACGTGTGAACTGTGTAAACTCTGTCTCTGGCAGCAATTTAAAGGCTGTGCCTTCTCTCCCCTCGAGGTGCTCCATGACTCCCACTGCAGTGAGATGCCTACGTCCACTTCATTTCACGTTGCACACGGGGCCCACGGGGCCTCTACCAAGCACATCCTTGCATGGTGAGGCACACAGGCATTTGCTGGCTGGGCCAGTGAGAGCAGGCCCCAGTAAGAATATTAGCCTTGGCTGGGCTACAGCATGGTGCTGCTTGCTCTTTTGAATCTATATGTGTGCAAGGTGTGGAGATGGGGAGGGAAGGCACCTTTGTGGTCACCACGCCCAGCAAGCTCCAGGCGAGGGGCCCAGGCCACGAGGCCAGCTGGGGCCAGCTGGTGAATGGGTTCTTGAAGCCACCCCAGGGCTGTGGGTCCTCGCTGGCCAGAAGGTCCACTCGCAGGCCCGTGGGGCTTCTGGGGCCCTCACAGGCACTCAGATCATCAGCTGGATTCAGGAGCTGCAGCAGCTACAAGCCAGAGCCTACTGTTTCTCCTGAGGGAGGGAGGAAGGGGCTGCAGGGAGGTGAGCGAGGGGAGCTCCTGGCAGGGCTCAAGATGTTATCAGCACACAGCTTTCCCTTCCATCTGTCCTGTGTTTGAGTTTATCAAAATTGTGTTTATATGCAGTTTATATACACAGCCGTAGCTGCCATGTGATGGGATTTCTGCCATGGGAGGGCCCAGAGCACATCGGCTGTTGCCCCTTCCTCTTGCTAGGAATGGCAGGAACCCCGTGTGGATGGGGGGTCAGCTCTGGCTTCAGGCTCATGCTGCTCAGCGGAACATCAGGGCCACTGTGCTGCAAGCCAGGAGGCCCCGAGGCTCCTGGGATGGCCCTGGGGTGCCCACGCTGGTCAGGACTGTGGGACACGACCCCCTCCACCAAACATGCCAACAGGGACCCAAGGACCCTCAGACATGATGGTGCGCTCTCCATGCCCCACTTCCGGATGCCACCCTGGCAGGTGGTCTAATTATAGCAACAGTCCTTCTGCTTCTGGAGATGCCAAAGCAGGTGACATTTCTACAAAAACCTCAAAATACTCAACTTGTGTTTCTGAAATGAGCAAATCTCAAGGCAAATGCCAATAAGAGCCATGGGCATCCACCAGGCCAGGGACTGTGCAGTCGTTGGACTTTGACTCTCCTTCCCAGACGTGAAGAGGCTGGTGTTCCCTTTGCTTCAGTTCCCTGCTGGGTGGGGTTCTATTCTCTGGGCTTTAACACTCAGCTGAAATAGGACGCTCCCACCCCATCAGCTCACTCTCTCTGAAGAAAGGACTGTGCAGGGGTAGGACCTGCAAAGGGAAACCCACATGCCACCCCATCCATCCGTCCAACCATCCATCCAACCATCTATCCATCCATCCATCCATCCATCCATCCATCCATCCATCCAACCATCCATCCATCCATCAATCCATCCATCCGTCCGTCCGTCTATCCGTCCATCCATCCTTCCACCCATGTCTGTACACCCATATGTCCATCTGTCTACCCATCCATCCATTCATCTGACCATCATCCATCCGTCTGTCCATCCATCTCTCCCTCTGTCTGTCCATCCATCCATCCATCCATCCATCCATCCATCCATCCATCCATAGTGTTCTGAAAGAGGAATCATCTGTATAAGACTGACCCCTTGGGGCTGCATATTCCTCTAGGAGCTGTCTTCTCTGAGGTCAGCCTTCAATGCTAAGCTGAGAAGGACTCCTCTTTTGTGTGACGCAAACTGATCCAGATGGTGGAAATATGGAGCCTTTCATACAAAGACGCGCTGTCCTGGGGGCCTTGTTCAGGACTGGGTGTCCTCACCATGCAGCGTGGATCTGCCCATTGCCTATGTGGGTCCTGAGAGGGGATGCTTCCTAAGAATGGCAGGGCAGGAGTTGGGAGGACCTGCAGTTCCCCCTCCTCCAGGAGAGAGGGCAGAGGCTCACCCCAGCCGGCCGTTTCCCTCAGTCCTTCAAGACGTGCTGACTGCACCCCAGGCCAGCCCTTCTTTGAATCCAGGCAAACATCCTCTGTCCCTTCCCTTGCGTCTCCCACTCCAGCTTTTGCTCTGTCACTTGGGAAACTTCAGCCTTCATTCCCATGAATTAAATAATATTTGTATATTTAGATATAACACATATAACATCATGTATTATCTATCTATGATTAGTCTAAGGGACACACACACTTCAAGGAAACAGGAAAATCCATTTTAAAGTGAAATTGGACTTAACACGGAGCTGATATGACTGGCCCCAAGCCCAAGAGAGGCCCCCCAGATCCCCACGGCTGCCAGTTCCTTCGTAAGTGAAGCCTGCATTCTGGAGGCAGCAGCCCTCAGGATAAAAACTCTGGCTGGCTCAGGCTGGCTGCTTCTGTCTCACTCACGCGGGAAGGGCCTGGGCTCTAAGGCAGAGGTCCCTGGGTTTGAATCCCAGCTCCTGACCTTTTGTCTGTGAGACCCTGGGGAACTGAAGTCTCTGTGCCTCAGTTTCCTCCTCTGAAACATGGGAACAAAACATGAGCATGTACTGCACAGAGCCGAGGTAGGGACACCACATGTGATTCGGTGATATTGCATGGTGTGGTGCCTGGCGCAGCATGATTCTGAGAGTTCCTGAGGATCTGGGGGCAGGGAGGGGAGGGGCGGGAAGGGGTGGGGAAGGGTGGGAAGGGGAGGGAAAGAGTGAGAAGGGGAGGGGAGAGGGAGGAGGAGAGGCAGGTCCTTCCTGTCCACCACAGCCATGTAGTCTTATTTCATTTTCAGCTCCTATAGAAGGTCCTTCAGTGGGAGCTGGGGCTTGCCAGGCTTCTGGGAGCTGGCATAGAATGCAGGGGCGGTGAGGACCCTGTTGCTGCAGAAAGACCCATGCCAGTTCCTGTACTGGTCCCTCACAGGTGGGTTTTGGGGACAGGGTTTGCCTGTAAAGTGGGGCACCTGCCGTGCTCTGATCACGTGGCCCACGGAGCTGGGTCCTGCAGTCACTCCCTGCCATGGCGCCTGGAAACCTACAGCCCAGGTACCCTCTGGGCATCAAGGAGATGCTCACCCGATGTCAAGGCCAGCACTGTCTACCTTCGGCTCATGGCGAGTCCTTCTGCACCAACATCAGCCACGCACCTGAGTGTGCCTGAGGATGCCAGGGTCCTCCCAGACATCAAAAGGCTGTGGAAGGACCAGGGTCCAAATTCTGTTTCAGACCACTCCTAAGGGAAACACCACAGAGAACAAAAGACCAATGCATCCTCAAAGCCGGTGTCCCTGGAGGAAGAGGCTGGACACAGGAAAGGACCCTGCAGGCGGGTTATTCACACAGCCACGCCGAGGATGTGGGGGAGAAACCCCTGTTGGACCCCACCACCTTGCACAGGCCTTGCCCCCTTGGAGATGAGCCAGGTAACAGCTAGGTATCCACCACACTCTCTGCATCCCCACACACAGGCGGCGAATCTTCCAGCTACAAAATGTACTGCCTCCCTGCAGCCCTGCACCCACACAGACCTACTTAAGCGCCTCCATACTGACGTTTTCTTAGGAGAAGCTGACAAACTTCTTAACAGCCACTACACATCCAAACGCAACACACTTGGAAGGGGAAGAAAACAGCAGCAACCCCCTGGCGCGGCAGAGAAGGTAATTAGCATTTATTACAGTGGCATCATCACAAGCCGTGGCTCAAGGATCTTACCTCCTGCATTTTCCCTGCCTCCGTGAAGCATCCCTGTTGACTTTGGCATCGCTTTCCTCTGGAACTTGAGTTCTGGATCCACAGCCCAATACCATTGTGAAAAACAAAATTGTCTGTCCCATTCCCAAACACACCAGGACCCTTTAAAGGGCAGAGCAATGGGGTAAAGGAAGCCACAAAAGTCAACGCTTGGATGTAAAGCAGAGGTGCCTTGTCATCGACCTTCTCATTCCCATCCTTGAGAGCAGGGGCTGCGAGGGAGACCCAGCCTCTGGGAAGAAGCAATTCGGGTCAAGCTCAAGGCAGCACCAGGGCTGCTGAAGCCCAAAGTGTACGTCTGCAGCCAGGCCCGTCTGGTCCCAACCAGGGCACTCTTTCCTGTCTGGCCTGGGAAGTGGCTTTTCACTCTTCACCAGCCTCACAAGTAATTCTGGCACCTGAAGATTTTCTTTCTGAATTTTAAGTAAGGCACGTACATACAGGTGCATACAAACAGCTTCTCTTGCTGTACCATAGAATCTAGGTAGCCCAGCTCATTAAAGTAGAATTATAGTCTCAATGCCTTCTCCAGAACCTTCTACAGTGCTCCCCAAGTGACAGGCCCAAGATAGTTCTCAATATTTTCCTGCACTTGTTTTAGGCAAGAAGCTCATTTTCCCTGGAACTCCCCATGCGTAACGGCGCCATAGTAACCATTCATGTCACTCCAGCAAGCAATGGGCCATGTAAAATCGGTGCCGAGACAGTGAGCGGCCAGCTAAAGAGAGGAGTGTTTTACCCAGAAAACCGGCCTTGTACTTTTCGAATGAGGCCCTCAATTCTGTAATGATAACACTGATGAAAATAATAAAAGTGTCATCAAGAAACATCAGCCGCGCCTAAACTGCAGGCATTCTAGAAAACAACTAGCCTGGGCTCTGCAGGAACAGCAGTGTTAGGCAAGACAAAGAAAGGCCCAGGAATCTTTCAGACTAAAGAGATGAAAGGGCGTGACAGCAAATGCAATGACTGCTCTGGGATGGCATCTTGATTAGCGGGAGGTCGCCGCCTCAAAAAAAAATTTGGGGGGCAGTTGGCAAAACTGGAATATCTAGATTAGATATGAATCTCGTATCATTGGTACATTTCCTGAATTTAGTAATTGCATTGTAGTTAAAGTATATCCCATTCTTAGGAAATACATGCTGAAGTATCTAGGGGCAACAGGTGTGATATCCATAACTAATTCTCAAATGATTCAGGGAAAATATTGTGTGTATTCTGAGATAGATGTGAGAGAGAGAAAGGGGAGACAGAGAGACTAGAGCAGACATTGTGTATAGAACCCATGGGAAATAACAGGTGATGAGTCAGTGAAGAAAATCAGAGACTTCTTTGTCTTATTCTTGCAACTCCTCTAAGTTTACAATTATCTCCAAATAAGAGTTAAAATGAGAATTACAAGAGATGAAAATCAGAGCTAGCATTAATTGAGCACTTACTATGTGCAGTGCAGTGTTCTGGAAACTCCACGCCTCTCATCTCAGTTAATCATCATGGCCACCCCAGAAGGCGAGCAATATGAGGCCCATTTTTCAGATGAGAAAACCAAGGTTCGGGGAAGGCCAGTTGCTCACCCACAGCAGGACAAGTGGCGCGGCCAGGATTTGAACCCCAGGGTCTCTGAGGCTCCAGAGAGCACAAACTGGCTTGCTGCCCCCATGACCCATGCAGTCCAGTGGTCCCTCAACTGGGTCACTGATTTCAGATTTCAGGTTTGGGCTTTCATCTGTTGAGTCTTGAGCGAGGACCTACTGTGTGCCAGGCACTGAAGATGCACCTTTGACTGAGCAGAAAAGTCACCTCTTCCACTCTCATTGGGGGAGAAAGCAGTGAAGAAAATCCACTCATGCAATGCAGGTGCGTGAGCTGCAGCCTCCCAGGAAGGAACATGGCTGCCAGGAGACCCAGTATCTTGGAGGGAAGAGCACAGCTCAAGCCTAAGGCTGGAAGTCAGGAGAGCCCCATTAAAAGGCGGTGTCTGAGCCAAAACCCAAAGGAGGCACAGGATGGAGCTGGGTGGGGAAGCATGTTCTGGGCAGAAGGAACAGCAAGTGCCAAGGCGCCAAGACTGGAGCATAGCAGGAAGGCGGGAAGACCAGGAAGAATGCATAAATTTGTTGTAGTATCCTCCAGACATCATCAAAAAGATCCACGTGTCTGGCTATATGCGCTAGTCAGTTCCCACGCTGCTAATACCTACCTGAGACTGGGTAATTTATAAAGGAAAGAGGTTTGACTCACAGTTCAGCATGGCTGGGGAGGCCTCAGGAAACTTACAATCATGGCAGAAGGGAAAGCAAACACATCCTTCTTCACATGGCGGCAGCAAGGAGAATGAGTGTGGAACGAAGGGAAAAAGCCCCTTATAAAACCATCAGATCTGGTGAGAACTTACTATCATGAGAAGAGCATGGGGAAATCACCCCCATAATTCAGTTACCTCTCACCGGCTCCCTCCCACCACATGTGGGGATTATGGGAACTAAAATTCAAGGTGAGATTTGGGTGGGGACACAGCTGAACCCTGTCACCGTATCTGCAACACTATATTCTCATGAGAAGGGTTCATCTGTTTTAAAGGGGACCCTGCCACGGCTGCCTCTAGACCTTTGCTTTTCTTTCCTTAGGTTTCCATAAAAAAGTAATTAACAATAAGCATTAATTCTGTTATTTTGATCTCCTCTATGACTACCTAAAATTTTTAAATATATTTTCTTTTCTTTTTATTAGAGATAGGGTTTCACTCTGTCATCCAGGCTGGAGTACAGTGGTGCAATCATAGCTCACTGTAGCCTTGAACTCCTGGGCTCAAGGGATCCTCCTTCCTCAGGCTCCCAAGCAGCTGAGACCACAGGTGTGTGTCACCACACCTGGCTAACTTTTTAACATACGGGGTTTTGCCGTGTTGCCCAGGCTGGTCTCGAACTTCTAGCCTCGAACAATCCTCCCGTTTTAGTCTCCCAGAGTGTTGGGATTCTGGCATGAGCCACCACACCTGGCCTATTTCTACATGCCTCCAGCTCATTTCCCCTCTGCCCTGCTCCTTCCAGGGGAGGACCCGGCATGGTCTGCAACAGTCTGTTGATGCTATGGCTAAATGTTTGTGCCCCCAAATTTCGAATTTTGTGTGTTGAAACCTAAGCCCCAAGGTGATGATGTCAGGAGGTGGGGCTTTTGGAAGGGGCCCAGGGTGGAGCCCTCCTGAATGGGGTTAATTACATTATAAAAGAGGCCCCAGAGAGATCCCTCTCCCCTTGCCATGCCAGGACACAATGAGCAGGCACCAGCTATGAATGAGGAAGCGGGACCTCACCCCACACTGAATCTGCTGGTTCTCTGACCTTGGACTCTGGCCTCCAGAACTGTGAAAAGTACATTTCTGTTATTTCTAAGCCACCCAGTCTGTCTGCAGTTGTAGCAGCCTAAATAGACTAAGGTAACTTCTGCCGTCCCCAGCTAGAAGAGCTTACAAAGGCCTTTCCTGGGGGGCTCGGAGACAGGTGCCCAGCTGCGTGCTGTCAGCTTTCGGAATTTTCTGTGCAATTTGAAACATGCTACTTTTAACAGATACACTAAACAGTGATTTTTGGATGGCAGCTTGGTGGGATGTAGGGTGACAGGTTGAGTCCCATGCTAACGGATATGGGCGTTTGGAACAGAGCTGCTCTCCACCTCACAGAGCTCCTCAGTGTCCACAAAGCTCCCCCTCCTCCCATCAGCTCCCCCGAGGCAGGCAAGCCCATCACCGCCGCTGGCAACAGCCGTGTGCTGAAGACACTGGGAGGAAGACACGCAGTCCATTCCCGCATTATCTGTGAGCCGCGTGCCATCGGCAGCCTCCCGCGCAAACCCAGAACTCCCCGAGGAGGCGCAGCCCGGAGAGTGACCGATAAGCGAGCTGTTGAGTGTCTCGGTGACCCTTTCTCCCGGTAGAATCGGCCCTGCTCAGTTCTTTGGGCTTCCAATCTTTCCGGCCTCTCAAGCAATGACTGGTAAATTAGAAAGTGATTTAGTGAAGTTTGGGTAAATATGTACCACTGCTAAAGTTTTATGGGCACCCCGTGGGCACTGACGGGTCCTCGGGGCCACCTTGTCCCGTCCTGCAGGATGTCAGAGCGCTGCAGACACAGAGACCTCCTCTCTCCCCATGTCCATGTGCGGGGCCTGTCAATCTCCATGGAAGGAGACACTTGAAGGAAATAGGGTTAATAAAAATGAGCGTTCTACGCTGGCAACCACTGAAAGTCTCCGGCTCGTGGTAAATAGGTGGATACTGACTCTGCCAGTTTGTAATTCATTTTTACTCCAACTCTTCATCCTTGGTAGAGAAGCTGAAAATGGTCCCTGAGAAAATAAGAATGTTTTCCAACCACTTTCAAAACCTTTGGAAGAACCAAAAGCAACGGAAAGGCGAGAAACACTTGGTCCAATCTGCTTTCCTTAAAAAGGCGGCTCATGGTCAGACATGGTGGGAAACAGCAGGACAGCGGAGGAGTCAGCCACATGGGCCCGGCAAGGGCAGGAAGCCCTGGGACCATGCAGGGGTGGAAGAAGTGGGTGAGTCTGTCGGGGACGAGAGCAGCCCAGTGATGCCCCAGCAGGAGACTCAGCCCGAGGCACCAGGGAAGCAGAGGACCAGCGACCCACCGGCTGTGGCACTGTGCACCCGAGAAAGGGCTGGGGCCACTGTCGGTGGCAGGCACTTGATGGGCAACGGGGACAAGACGAGGGTCCTCCCATCAGGTGGGAGGCAACAGTGTACATGGGGCTGGAGAACCCCATGAGGACAGAGGGGGTGGATGCAGACACCCTCACCCCAGGCAGCTGAGCAACCCCGGCAGCAACCTCATGACAGCGTCCAGGCAGGCATGTAGCCTCGGCTGGCTCCTGGCAGCAGCCCTCTGCAGGCAGATGCTGTTCCCTACGTGGAAGGAGGCTTCTCCTCTGCCAGGGTCTGCTGGAGCCTTTCCCTGCATTGTGTATCTTGGCACTGCCTTACTCTGTTCTCAGGGGTGAGCAATCATTTTGGGTAGGGGTCTGTGGCCCCAGCTGCAACTGCATGCAGACATTGGATCACCTGTTTGGGTAATTTATCTACCACCCATGGAGCTTAACCTCTGCATGGCATGGGACCTCATGGGCCTCAGGTGTGCAAGTGGGACACCTAGATGCCAGGGAAGAAATGCCTGAAACAGCCCCAAGGAGGTGGCTGAGCTCTTCCTCATAGCCTTTCTAGGGTTGTTACATGGTCTGATCAGGCCTCACAGAGAACAGCAACAACAATAGCAAGAGCACCGCCACCACCATCACCCCATCACCAAGAGGACCACCACCACCATCACCCCATCACCAAGAGGACCACTACCACCATCACCAAGAGCACCGCCACCACCAAGAGCACCGCCACCACCATCACCCCATCACCAAGAGGACCACCACCACCATCACCAAGAGCACCGCCACCACCACCACCACCACCTACCACCGAGAGCACCGCGACCACCACCAAGAGGACCACCACCACCACCACCCCATCACCAAGAGGACCACTACCAACACCAAGAGGACCAGCACCACCAAGAGCACCAGCACCACCAAGAGCACCACCAAGAGCACCACCACCACCACCACCACCACCAAGAGCACCACCAGTGGCAGCAAAGAAACAAATCCAGCAGCAGTGTGTTGGGTACCCGCTGTCTACCAGGTGGCTGCTTTCCTGTGATATTTTTTAATCCTCATGAAAACAAATGGTAACATGTTCACATTTCAGAGGCTCAGTACGAAAACCAAGTGGAGTGAATGCTGTGGATTTACAACTCCCTATGCTCCCGCATCTCCCCCGGGGACCTCGCCTGCTATGGGAAGGGCTGCTTGTTTGAATCCCTGAGGGAGGGCTATGTCCACTCTCAGACCCACCTTCTATTCCTTCCCGATCCCAGCTCGTGTCCACTGGAATTGCAGGGTGGGGTTATCTACATGTGTTACTCCGTTCTTGCATTACTATAAATAAATACCTGAGGCTGGGTAATTTATAAAGAAAGAGGTTTTATTTTGGCTTGTGGTTCTGCAGGCTGTACAGGATGCATGGTGCTGGCATCTGCTCCTGGTGGGGCCTCAGGAAGCTTCAATCATGGTGGAGGGTGAAGCGGAGCCAGGGCATCACATGGTGAGAGTGAGAGCACGAGGGAGGGGGAGGTGCCACAGTCTTTTAAACGACCAGCTCTCCCGTGAGCTCAGAGCGAGAACTCACTCAGCACCGAGGGGAAGGCGCTAAACCATTCATGAGGGATCTACCCCCAAGATCCAATCCCCTCCACCAGGCCTGCCTCCAACACTGGGGATCACATCTCAGCATGAGATTAGGAAGCGACAAACATCCCACCCAGATCACACACAAAGCCACACACACTGTGCTTAATGGCCAGAGTGGGGTGAACAGTGCCCCCTCCCAAATTCACGTCCACCAGGAACCTCAGATATGAACTCATTGTGAATAAAGGTCTTTGCAGATGTAACTCAGAGTCTTAGGATGAGGTTGTCCTGGATTTAGGGTAGGCCCTAAACCCAACCACTGATGTCCTTATAAGAGAAAGGAGAGGGAGACTGAGAGAAACACAAACGCTGTCCTCACAGGAGACTGAGGGCAGTGACGACAGAGAGGAGGTGCATTGAGGGACGGACAGAGAAGTGAATGAGGGAAGGAGAGGGCAGAATTAGTCTCATTTCTGGGTAGGTTGAGAGGCCAATGGAAGAAAGCAGAGTTTTGCCGCCAAGAAGGCAGGTTGTAATCCAGGCCCCACTACTGCACGCATCACCTGTTAATACAACAGGTGCAGAACCTGCCTGGGTTTCAGCTTCATATCTACCAAGCAGTCAGAATATAACGCACCCTATGCCCATTACGGGGCGAAAGGACACAGCTCCACAGAGCCACACAGAGGGGGCTCAGCAAAGGTGAGCTGTCCCTGTGTTCCCAATGAGGGGTGCCAGGCACTTCAGCTGGAAGGGAGCTGCATTTGCAGGCATGTGGAGCAGGGTGGCCTAGCGAGGACCCATGGAGAATCTGCTGCCTGGCAGAGTGACCTGGCCCCAGTTGCTGGACTCCACGGGTAGTGGAAGGAACTATTTCATGGAATGCTGGTGAGGGGGCAGCCCCTGGAGCAGCAGCTACCACCCTGCACACCCCTGCTGAGTGTGAATGTGTCGGCCCAAAAGAAAGAGAACAATTAGGACCAATGTTTTCTAAAGGCTGACACCAAGCACCTGGAGCAAGTGAGGGAGAAGGAGGGAGACATTGGGGCTGGATTCCTGGGCCGGCCAGCTCTCCACACCCTTGGCACTCTGCACCTACAAGGGTCCTTCTTCCCAAGGCGTTTCAAGGAGCAGAAACGGAAGCTGATTGCTAACATGGTGAGTGCCTGCTTTGTGAAAACGGCTACTTTCACATTGCTTTCCTGGAGCCGGCAAGGGGACTCCAGAGCTAAGAGCAGAGCTGCCGCTGGGCAGTGCCAAGCCTGGGCTCCCCGTGGGCCCTTGTGTAGAATTCACAGGTCAAGAGAGGTTGTTCCGGACTCTGGAGCTAAGAGCAGAGCTGCCGCTGGGCAGTGCTGAGCCTGGGCTCCCCACGGACCCTCGTGTAGACTTCACAGGTCAGGAGAGGTTGCTCCGGGAGCCGCTGGACAAGACTGTGAGCACAGTGCAGGGCCACTGGTGCCCCTGGACCCAGCCGTGCTCCTGGGAGGGCTTCAGTCAGCATCCCTGGGCTGAGATCCCAGGGGGTCCTGTTGCTGCTTCAGGAGCCGTGAAGACTCAGGGACTGGGGTCCCGGACAGGACAGTGCTCTTCCATCCGATGACAGTGTGCATCTGGCAATGTGTGATAACTCACTGAACCACGATTTACATATAAAGAGAGCCGATTTAACTTTTTAAATTAAAGCTTAAAAGCCCTTAATTAAAATAATAAATCAGAGAACCATTCCCATGGCAAGGTGGGAGCAGCTGGAACAGACTCCTGTATTGCTCTGTTCAACCACAGGTGGTCTGAACAGTGGCATTCCATGGGGACTCTCCCTGCTCTGCAGGCCTGGCAGCCGGGCTGAAGCAGGCCGTTCTGTGCTCAGATCCTGCAGGGACGCACCAAGTCTGGGGTGTACAAGGTGGGTTCGGACCAATCCCCCCAGTTTCCCAGGCAATGACTGTCCTGAAGATGAAAGAAGCGACAAACCACCTCTGCACACGGAGGCCCCTCTCTCTCTCCGGGAGTCCTGGGGTCCACCTCTCCACACGAAGGTCCCCCTCTCTCTCCGGGAGCCCTGGGGTCCACCTCTCCACACGGAGGTCCCTCTCTCTCTCCGGGAGCCCTGGGGTCCACCTCTCCACACAGAGGTCCCTCTCTCTCTCCGGGAGCCCTGGGGTCCACCTCTCCACACGGAGGTCCCTCTCTCTCCGGGAGCCCTGGGGTCCACCTCTCCACACGAAGGTCCCTCTCTCTCTCTGGGAGCCCTGGGGTCCACCTCTCCACAGGGAGGTCCCTCTCTCTCTCCGGGAGCCCTGGGGTC
The DNA here is from genome assembly GCF_000001405.40 of Homo sapiens. NCBI lineage: Eukaryota > Metazoa > Chordata > Mammalia > Primates > Hominidae > Homo > Homo sapiens. The sequence continues at coordinate 61,562,138 of NC_000020.11, read as the reverse complement.
CACCTCTCCACACGGAGGTCCCTCTCTCCGGGAGCCCTGGGGTCCACCTCTCCACACGGAGGCCCCTCTCTCTCTCCGGGAGCCCTGGGGTCCACCTCTCCACACGAAGGCCCCTCTCTCTCTCCGGGAGCCCTGGGGTCCACCTCTCCACACGAAGGTCCCTCTCTCTCTCTGGGAGCCCTGGGGTCAGGATTTCCAGACACAGCATTACTGCCATCATATGGTCACTGCCCAGAAACATGGCGCATGCAGCCACTGGGGCCCAGAGAAGGGCCAGCTCTTCAGCACAGGAAAGGAGCTATAAACCTTTGTGGGTTGTTTTTCTCTTCTTGTCCATGTTCCTAAAGCAGGGGTCAGAAATGTTTTCTGTAAAGGGCGAGATAGTAAACATGCTCATTTTGTGGCTAAATTAGCCCCTTGCAACTCTGCCTTCATAGCACAAAAGCAGGATAGGATGCCAACAAACAGGCATGGCTGAGTTCCAATAAAACTTTATTTGTAAAAACAGGCAGCAGGCCAGATTGGGCTCACGGGCCACAGTCTACCTTTACTGGAACCCACTGGGACAAAGGCAGAAACCCACCTGCCATTGTGTTTTCTACCAGATTCTCCTAAAGCATCATTCCTTTTCTAAGTACATTGGACACACGCAGGCCACTTGGAGGAGACGGGAAGAGGGACGGCCCAGGGCCTCCAGCCCTGGCTTGGCCTGCACCCGCCATGTGGCTGGGAGCAATCACCCACTGCTCGTGCTCTAGCATTTCACATTTCATCTGCAAAACGGGGATGACGCCTGTGCTTCCCCTTAAGGCTGTGGTGAAAACACAGGGCCAAGCCCTGTGGCACATCTGGCAGGCCCTCTGGCTCAGTTCCCATCCTACAGGAGTGGGTTGTGTGGTCACCAGATGCAGAGGACATGAACAGAGGTGATACTGGATTCCCCATATTTACCACAATGGCGAAAAGAGATAATTCTGAATTCCTGAGTCTGTGCACCCAGGTCTTGGGGGTGGTGGGGTGGGGACAGCTATGTGGAAAGCATGGTGACAGGATGATTCCTGGAGTGCTCGGGCACCTCAGAGGCTTTGCCTGTGGGTGGGGACCTGGGCCCGGGGCATAATCAATGGCCTGATCACCAAGATCACAAAACTGCATCCCCTGCCTGGTCATCTGCTCATCTGGGTATAAACGGCTGGTCACAGCGGTGACCCCGGCCCGTCCCTCTCATCCGGGTTGGGGAGAGTAAGAGGTTGGCTGGTTCCATGTCCGCTGGCTGGGGGATCCAGTATGGAGGTCCAGAGCTCCCGCTGCGAAGGCCAGGACTATCCCCGGATGGACAGACTGAGGGCCCCCAGGCTGAGACCCGGGCTCCTTCTGGGGCACTGCCTTCATGGCGAGGTGGTCACCAGGACCTGGGGATGGCTCACGTTCCTGGAAGCTAAGCCCTGCTGGGCAGCATTCCAAGGCCTCTGTGGACTCAGGCACTCAGCCCTCGCCAGGGCCCCGCGGGTGGGGCTGCTGTGACCTTTGTCTTCCACATGAAGGCGCTGGAGTGCAGGGCGGGGTAAGTAACCCGCTAGGGAACCTTGGCCAAGGACTTGGCCCAGGGCCGTCTGAGCTGTGGCTCCTAAAAACGTGGCTTTGGCATCTGGAAGCATCTTCAGGATAACTTCCCCCACAACTGTGACACACACCCATAAAGTTTCAAATAAGCTTAAATCAATGCAAAACTCCTCAAACAATGGTTGCGAGTCACATGCCCAGAAGAATATTTGCTAGGTTTGGCTCTAGGATCTTCATAGTTTGAGGTTTTACATGTAGACATCAGGCAATAAACAAACCTGCACATGTACCCCCTGAAACTAAAATAGCAATTTAAAAAGTCACGTGCTCTTTAAATCTGCTACCCGGGCCTTGATAAAAGTGGGGAGCACCCGCAGGTGGGGGGATTCACTGTCTGGGATGCTGATGACATTGGTTCCCAGGGTCTGCCACAGGGGGTCTTCCTTTGTCTCCGCCGACCAGATAAGCAGAGCAAACAAGCGACTCCGAAGTTCGAGTGGCAGGGTCGATCTCCTCTATGCACTCGTTGCTGGGAACTTGGGCTACCTAATGCCTGATGGCAGAATAAGTTGGATGTCGATGGACAGAGGGTCCATGGTTGAGACGTGGTGCTCTGAGGTTGGCAGTGCATGCAGCCGAGGGCCTCCACTCTTCCGAGGAAGGCCAGGTCAGCTGGTGCACACCGCACTGGCAAGCAAGAAGCCCCGGGAAGCCAGCGGCATGGCCAGCTGGGACATGCAGGGAGAAAGGAGAATCCGGCTGGGTGCAGTGGCTCACACCTATAATCCCAGCACTTTGGGAGGCGGAGGTGGGTGGGTCACTTGAGGTCAGGAGTTTAAGATCAGCTTGGTCAACATGGTGAGACCCTGTCTCTACTAAAAATACAAAAATTAATCAGGTGAAGCAGCACACGCCTGTAGTCCCAGCTACTCGGGAGGCTGAGGCAGGAGAATCTCTTGAACCTGGGAGGCTGCAGTGAGCCGAGATCACACCATTGCACTCCAGCCTGGGCCACACACAGAGTGAGACTCTGTGTCAAAAAAAAAAAAAAAAAAAGAAAAAAAAATTAAAAAGAAAGGAGACTCTAACTGGGTGATCTTTAACTGCTGGATCAGACCAGTGAAACCGCCTTCCTCCCGACAGCGCGCCGTCTCTTGCAGGTGGCTCCCGGAGGTCCTCCCCTTCGGTCCAGCCCCAGTGATGGCCATCAGCATTCCAACGAGCAGCAATACTTTTTAAAAATTTTTTTCTTCTTTTTGAGATGGAGTCTCACTCTGTCACCCAGGCTGGAGTGCAGTGGCACAATCTTGGCTTACTGCAACCTCCGTTTCCCAGGCTCAGGCAATTCTCCTGCCTCAGCCTCCTGAGTAGCTGAGATTAGAAGCATAAGCCACCACACCCAGCTAATTTTTTGTATTTTTAGTAGAGATGGGATTTCACCACGTTGGCCTGGCTGGTCTCAAACTCCTGACCTCATGCTCCGCCCACCTCAGCCTCCCAAAGTGTTGGGATTACAGGTGTGAGCCACTGCGCCCGGCCCAGCAGTGCTTTTGTTTCCCTGTCAGGTTTCTTTCAGGTCTGCCTAACAGGAAGAAAATAATTTAGTCTTTAAAGCCACTTAGCACAGCTGGTGATTCATCAGTGAGGGATCGCAAGGCTGGGGCCAGCTGGCAGGCAGCAAAGCCATCCAGCGGCCCCACGGTGCTCGCCACGGGGACCACGGCATGCTGGCCACTCCGGAGGTGAGACCTTCTCAGGAGGCTGCTGTGTGTGTTGCAGGGACATTTTGGTAAATGCAGGCAATGACTTCTTGTTACTACAATGAGTATTGACATGTGTTGAGGGTAGTGGGCAAAGACGGGACGCACGGGATGCTATTCGCAGCTCTCCTGGGACCATTTTCTTGTGCTCTTGTGATGGAGCCTGCAGCGTTTCTCAAAACATGATCACTACCACGACCTTCATTCTTTTGCCTGATACGCATTTCCTGAGCATCTCCTGCACTGCGTGAGGCAGTACTGGTGAGATGGGGGCAGGTCCAGAGGCCGCAGGCCAGTGTGGGCTCTAGGGATGGCCAGGTAGCCCCAGAGAGCTACAAAATCCTCTTCTATCCCCTTTGCATTAGAAATAAGATAAAGGATTTACAAAGTTACCTACACTTTTGCCGCTGAAAAGAATTTCTCCATGGGTACTGATGGCATCAAGCATGAGTAAGGGGGATGGAAATGGGACTTGGGGGGCAGGTGCCACTAACATGAGGATTTTGAAAGGATGGTCCTAGATTTGGGACCAACTCTGCCCAGGGACAGGGTTCTTGGTGTGAATTCTTGAGTATTCTCTATCTTGAACATAGATAAGAACAGTGTAATCTTAGACCAAAAACCACCCAGCAGCTAAATGGGGTGAAAGACATACCCCTTCATTATTACCCAATAATCACAGTTTGTCCAAGTCTGATATGATCACATTAATAAAAAATTTGTTCAGAATTTAATGAAAGTGAGTCAGCCTAAAATGAGTCCACCAAAACTCGAGCTTGAAAACATAACTGTTCTCATTCCAACTGGCAATTTCAGCACAAACCCCAACCTACTACAAGAACCATTTTATTGTCACAGCTTGAAATTTGTTTTGAATTACCTTGATAATAATACAGCCATTCATTCAGCGACGGTGCACCACACAGCTAATGGATCTCAGAGGCCTAATTCCTAAAATCCAGCGCCGCGTCATTATCGTATAACTAGAATTAGTGATGCTCCACCAGCACAGAATGGCCCGAGTTTGTCTTTGAGTGATTAAAATGCAGGTGGCTGCACGTTCACGCCCTTAACGAGCCTTCTCAAGAGGCGCTCCGTGGTTCCCTCTCCCGCCGAAATCGAAGCATATCCCAAAAGTGTGGCCATTCCACTAACACAAAGATGCGATTTGGAGCAAGAATGTAAAAGAGCGGCATTTTCACTCATGAGTTTTATCTCTTCTCATTCCTCTAAGCTATCCAAATAACAGCTATCACAAGAAGAAACTCAATTAATCTATACCAGAAGTCTGCAGTGAGCAGACCAAGGTCCTGGAGGGCATAAAATTTACTTCCCACTCGACGGCAACCATGGAATGGAATTGGCTTTTGCATGATCTTGTGTGGTCTTAGTGAAAGTCACACAGACCTAAGAGTCCCTTGGATCAGCCAACGGTCGGCAAACTCTGGCTCTCAGCTGCAGGGGACCTGCCGCTGGGTTGTGCGAATATTCCTGCAGGAGGGCAGCCTCTTCCATTGCTTGGGTGTTGCCAACAGCTGCTTTTGTGCTACAATGGCAGTGTGTTGTCATTGGGACACAGGCTGCATGGTGATGATGCCTAAAATACGTACTCCTTGGCCCTTTAGAGAAAGATCCTGTCTTCGATCACAGAACGTGTCCACTCCAGCATCAATCCCGACCTTTTTAGTATTAGCTTATGGCTTGCAGGATGCCCACTCACCCATGAACCCAACACCCACACACCCAAGAGGAAGGCTAAAACTGAAAAGCATTCTCTCCAACTCATCAAGGGATGACCTCACATTTGGAAAGCCCCAGAGAGAAGCTTTTCTTTCGATTAAATTGAAAATCCATCTCCAGTGACATTTCTATTCATCAGGCCCCAAACTGAGGCGGGGATCAGCCCTGGTGTGAGGATGGCGGCGCCTCACGTGTTCTCGGTGTTGTTGCCCCGGAGTTGTGGTCGGAGGACGGGCCGACCACAGCTCCCTTTCACCCTCCTTGTCTGACAGCAGCTGTGCAGAGGACAGCCACTGGCCACCTGCCTCAAGGCAGAGCACCAAGGTGGGGGGCACCAAGACTGGGGGACCTCCACTGGGGGCACTGGAGAAGCACGCGGGCTTACACGGGTGGCCTCTAGAAAGCATGATTTTGATGCATAAGTTGCAGACTGCATGTCGTCAGGTGGGACGCTATGAAAACGGGAATTTTGGACCACAGAGTCTTCGCCGTGTGATGGCCAAGAGGCCCCCTTGTTCCATTTGTTCTCAATTGTGGCACAGTTAAGAAAACACTCAAGCTTCTGTTTGGACTTTCATTGTTTCTCTTAAAAGATCCTTCTGCTGTTTAACAAAAGTCTGTGTGCAGAACACCCAGATATACCAGTGGTGATTATAACACAGTTCCTCTGCCTGGAGGACTGTGTCATCCCCGTCTCCACCCCTGCCCCCCGGAGCCTCTCTCTCCATGATTTCTTTCTTCTGAATCATAAAAGGCCTGAGAGATTCTCCACTATGTTCTGAATTCTGGTGACACATACAGTGGGAATTCACAAGAGGACAAAGCCTGCATTTGCCCAGATCATCCTGGCCCTGGGTGGATAGATTTTCTAGAACAGATCCAAGCTTTGAAAACACCAATGCACAAATGCACATTCTTGTTGCTGAAGTTCAAGGCATCCCTGGCAAACTTCTGTGGTCACGGCTGCTCTGACCGAGAAAGGCAGGAGAACATCTGTGTCTCCCACATGGGGGGTACACCAAGGCGAGCCCACCATGGGGTGCACCGGAGCAGAGAGAGGGCGGCTTCGTGCTCAGAGCCACAGGGCGGTACATACACAATGTGCTGTCTTTCTTTAATACCATTTTTAATGTAGAATCAATCTTTATGGGCTGTCCCCATAGGGAAGACATAATGGAATCACATTGTCACACGACTAGAAACCGTGTGAATCCTGCCAGAAACGGGATTGTATCATGTTTCCTGGAGCAATACTGATGACTCCTTAAAGGTAGGTATGAATTGTTTCTAAAAATGAACATTATGTGTGATTTAAATAAACTTAATATGATAAAGGAATGTGCTCTGCTACTCTAATGAGCCCATAACTCACCACATGGGTCCAATTCATTCCAAATGGAATCGCTATTTATGTGGAGTTGTCGAATAAAGGGTGTGATTTTGTGATTCATCACATCAAATCCGTTTTAGTCTCTGTGCAAATGGCTGCAGAGGTGAACATAACCAGAAAGACAGAAAGGGACTGCTTCTCCCCCAGGTGTGGGGCATGATCGTCATGGCAAATGGACCGGGCTGGAGAGTGAGGGAGGCACTGGGAGGATGAGACCCTGTCCTCAGAGGGTCCTGCTCCAGGTAGCAGGACAGTCCTGCACATCCTGCGAAAGGTTACCCTGGTGGGTCCCACCCAGTTACCTGCACCACACTTAGCTGTGAGGTGAGAAAGCAAGGCTGATGCCAGCAGGCCCCACTGCCCTTACTGCTTCACTCCGCATCCTCGCCAAAATTAAAGATAAATACATCTTCACTCTTAAAATGACCTCTGCACACACTCATAGAAACCACTCACAAGGAGGCTGCCTGGTTCTCAGAAACAAGCAAATGAAGCAGCAGCTACAACTTGTATTGTAAGGGCAACCCCATGCATGTGCCCTGTATACACGCCTATGTTCACATACACACACACACACATACGGCTCATACTGGAAGAGCACTCCCATGGGCAGACATCATATACAGATACACTCACATATGCTCATACATGCACACAGGTGTGCACACACATGGGCAATACTGGGAGGGCACCTTCACATATATTTGCCATGTAAACACACTTGCACACCTAAATACATGCACAAGAATGCATGCACACACGAGCACACATGTACATGTCTGCACACATACATGTAAAACGTGAGCTTACTCAGACACACAAACATGCGAACTCACGCATACATGCACAGATGCGAACATACTCTCACACGCATGTGCATACATGTGCACGTGTGAAAACATGTTCACACCATGCACATATGCACATATATGTTCATGCATGTACATGTACATGTGTGTACACACAGGAACACCCACACAACAGATCCACAGTGTTTCTCCTGCTCTGCCGGCTGACCCACCCACTGCAGGCTCAGCACTGGTTGCGGCTCCCAGGCAGCCGCTTTGAGAGTCTGTGGGTGACCTGTTGTCAGCCTGGCTGGGTTTCTGCAACAAATCCCAGTTCCATGGCTGGGGCCCTTTCCAGACTGCTGAGCCCCACGGGGAAAGGCTCCTTATGGCTCTCCCAGCACTCACTGCACTCTGATGTACATGTGACTTTGAACAATTAACTTTAAGAGAAAATAGGGCTTGGACTCTTGGGTCCTGGTCAGTGGCGACATAATGTTTCAAGGGCAGCCCTGTGGCTCTGGGTCTTTGCCCACCAGAGCCTGTGCCTCCTCTACTGCCCCCTGCCTCAACCACATCACAGAAGCAATTTAGCTTCATCAGCTGAGAGTCCGATTCACCTACGGGAGCTGGGAGTCCAAGGGCAATGTGAACCAGAAGGAAATGGAAATCAGGGCTCTGACCCTAACAAAATCACCTAAGAACAACAGAAAGAAATGGACCTAGTGCTGTGCAAATATATCATAGCTCTGTCTTCAAATGAAACCCTCTACAGAAGATTTCTGAAACAGAAGGTAGAGCCAGGCCAGGCTGTCCTGGCCAATGGGGTGGGGGAGAACCTGCCCCTGCCCTGGGGAGTCCTGCTCTGAACCGTGGGTGCTCCTCAGAGCAGATGGAAATCACTGACCAGCTCCTAGGACAGGGACCTGGCCCCTGCAGGCACAGCTTACCACAATGCTGTAAATTATTAGTTGCATCTGAGGCTCACCTTGAAGCTCACAGTTCTGGAGTCATGACTCATTTTGGAGGGAACTTGCCTCCCGGCTGTCCATATTTGATGCACATATCTACCAAGCGAGGTCCAGCAGCAACACAGCTTTGGGAACCTCATGGGACAGGGGATAGGGAGATAGAATTGGAAGAAGTTACAGTTCCCTCTAGAATAATTAAAATGGAAAAGATAGATACTCTCAAGTGCTGGTGAGACTGTGGAGCAACTGAGATGCTCATGCAATGATGGTGGGATGATATCTGTGCTGCCATTTGGAAATCTACCACACTACATCTATAAAGCAGGGTGCAGGCATTCCCTATGACCCAACAATCGGACCTGCAAGACAGATGCATACACATGCTCATCAAGGACATGCACAAGGATGTTCACACGTCTTTATCTGCAATAGCCCCAAATGGAAACACCTCAAAGGCTGGTTTTTAATCTTTGTGAAATTAAGATACACTTCGCATACTGTAAATCCACGCATTTAGGTGGATAATTCAATGTATGTTAGTAGAGTCACAAGGTTGCACGACCATCTTCACTTTTAACCCAGTACATTTTCATTGCCCCCAAAAGAAACCCTGCACCCATTAGTGTCTCTGTCCATTTTCCCCTTCTCCTTATTCTCTGGAAACCAATAAAATACTTTCTGTTTCTGCAGATTTGCCTATTCTGGGGATTTAGAATGAATGGAATCATACAGTACATGGGTTTGTGTCTGTCTTCATTCACTTGGCATAATGTTTCCAATGCTTATCTATGTTGTAGCTTGCATACGGACTTCATTCCTTTATATGGCTGAATATTCCACTGTCTGGATGCCACCTTTGGTTATCTACTTTTCAGGTGATGGACATTTGAGTTGTTTCCACTGTTTGACTACTATGAATGGTACTGCTATAAACATCCATGTACAAATTATTGTGTGGACACACTATTTTGGGCAGATCCCTAGGAGTCACATTTCTGGGTCATATGCTAATGCTAACTCTATTTTTAACTTTTTGAGGAGGTGACAAGTTTTTTTTTTTTCTTTACAGTGGCTGCACCATTTTACATTCCCACCAGTAATGCATGAGGGTTCCAATGTCTCCACATCCTTGCCAACACTTGTTATTGTCTTTTTAATTACAGCCATCCTAGTGGGTGTGTAATCTCACTCTTTTGTTTTTGTTTTTTTCTTTCATTTTTTGTTTTTGAGATGGAGTCTCACTCTGTCACACAGGCTGGAGTACCGTGGCATGATCTTGGCTCACTGCAACCTCCACCTCCCATGTTCATGTGATTCTCCTGCCTCAGCCTCCTGAGTAGTTGGGATTACAGGTATGTCCTACCACGCCCAGATAATTTTTGTGTTTTTAGTAGAGATGGGGTTTCACTATGTTGGCCAGGCTGGTCTCGAACTCCTGACCTCAGGTGATCCGCCCACCTCGGACTCCCAGAGTGCTGGGATTACAGGTGTTGAGCCACTGTGCTTGGCCTCTCACTGTTGTTTTGATTTGCATTTTCCTACTTACTAATGACGTTACACAGATTTTATGTGTTTATTGGACATTCGTATGTCTTCTTTGGAAAAAATATTCAAAACTTTTGCTCATTTGAAATTGAGTTATTTGTGTTTTTTATTAAGTTGTAAGAGTTCTTTATATATTCTTGATACTAGACTCTTATATATACAATTAACAAATATTTTCTGTCATGCTATGGCCTTTTCACTTTTTTGATGGTATCCTTTAAAACACAGACATTTTTAATTGTGAGGAAGTCCACTGTTTATTTATTTTTTGCTTGCCTGCACTTTAGGAGTCATATCTAAGAAATCACTGCCTAATCCAGGGTCACAAAGACTTACACCTATGTTTTCTTCTTAGAGTTTTATAGTTTTAGATCTTACATTTTGGTGTTTGATCCATTTTGAGTTAACTTTTGTATATGGTGTGAGGTAGGGGTCCAATTTCGTTCTTTGCATGTAGCTGTCCAGCTGTCCCAGCACAATTTGTTGAAAAGGCTGTCTTTTCCCCATTGAATGGTTTTGGCACCTTTGTCAAAAAATCAACTGGCCATAGAAGTATGGGTTCACTTCTAGACTCTTAATTCACTTCTATTGGTCTATATGTCTATCCTTATGTGAGTACCATGCTGTCTTGATCACACTAGCTTTCTAGTAAATTTTGGAATCAGAGTCTAGAAGATTCTTCACAGTAGTGTGTTTTCATCTGCAACAGGACACTATTGTGCAGATGGGAATGAATGGACCACACTCCCACCAGCTGGATGAATCTCACAAGCATAAGGTTAGGTGGGGGAAGTCACGTGGTTCCCTGCATAGGAAGTTCCCCAATGGCAAAGGTTCTCTGAGCTGTGAGAGGCCAGGAGAGTGGCTGCCCCTGGGATGGGAAGAGGGCAATTGAATGAGAGAGATGAGGGGCTTTGGATGCTGGGGAGGTTCTGTTCCTTTATCTGCGTGCTGATTACACATTGAACTCATTTTATGAAAATCCAGTGAGCAGTACACCAGTGATTTGTGAAATTTTCTGTATGACTTTATACTCCAGTAAAATTTACCAGATAAAAGAACAAGACCAAGTTGATGTGACCAAGGCGGAGACAAGACAGTGAGGACAAGGCATCGCTTACACATCCGGCACATCATCCAGCTGTTATATATGCTGTGGACTGAAACGCACAAAATAATAACTACATATTTATTAGCTACTGATTATTGAGTGCCCATGACATGCCATGTGCAAATCTAAGTGCTTCATAGACATTCTTTCATTACACCTTTATCGATCCCGAGGAGAAGGGAATGCCCGTTACCTGCATTTTGTATTTGAGGAAACTGAATTTAAAGATTAAATGGTTTGTCCTAAATCACAAGACTAGTGGGTGGCAGAGCTGGGATTTCAACCAACTGTCTGACTGACCAACTGCAGAATTCACTCTTCCCACTCTCCCCATCAGCTGCAAGAGGAGATTCTGTCTGCGCACTGGCCTGTGCGCATCTGGCCAAGTGTCTGCCTCCTGTCCAGTGATTCCGCTCCTGCTCAGCCCTGCCTGCCCCTGGGTACTGCAGGCTCTGGGAGCATTGCTGTTCCATCTTCCACCAGGAGGCCAGGTCCTAATCCAGAAGGCAACACAAGAGCACAGACACCACCATGTGGCTCTCTGCACTGCAAGGAGCCCAAAGAAGAGGAGGGCTCCGGTGCAGGTTGTGGCATCCAAGAAGGGCCTTGGGTGGGTGTGGGAGGAAGGTCTAGGGGTCCTGCAGGATATGAACTATCAGGGAGGAGGACAGAGGTCATCCCCGTGAGAAGGATGAACACAAGGGCAGGGTCCCGCAGATATACTGGAGGGGTGGGTAGATGGGGTGGGACCAGTTACAGGGAGCCCTGGAAGCTGGCAGAGGGAAGAGATTTCCTGTGGTGCCAAGCGGAGAGTCAGGAAGGCTTCCCAATGGCCTGAGAGGGGAAGCAAAGGAGGCAGTGGCTGAGAGCAGCCAGGGAGGCAAGCTAGGAAAGCCAGAGAAGTTGGGGCAGGGAGGCCAGGGAAGCAGGCTAGGGAGGCCAGGGAAGCAGGCTAGGGAGGCCAGTGAGGTTGGGGCAGGGAGGCCAGGGAGGTAGGCTAGGGAGGCCAGGGAGGCAAGCTAGGAAAGCCAGAGAAGTTGGGGCAGGGAGGCCAGGGAAACAGGCTAGGGAGGCCAGGGAAGCAGGCTAGGGAGGCCAGTGAGGTTGGGGCAGGGAGGCCATGGAGGTAGGCTAGGGAGGCCAGTGAGGCAACCTAAGGAAGCCAGAGAAGCTGGGGCAGGGAGGCCAGGGAAGCAGGCTAGGGAGGCCAGGGAGGTTGGGGCAGGGAGGCCAGGGAGGCCAGGACAAGGAGGCCAGGGCTGCAGTGAGTCCCGGGGAGGATGGGTGCCAGTGGGGAGGAAGGTCTTCTCCAAGGAGTGGCCAGGACTCCAGGACCAGCTGGCACCTTCACTGAGGGGGGTGGCAGCTGACCACAAGCACAGGAAGCGCCCATTCTGCAAAGCAAACCTGTTGCCCCAGCCCTGGGCTATTCCTCAGTCCTGGCATCCTCTTTGTGATTTGGGGAATGTTTCCCATGCGCTAAGCGCTCATGTATCTGGACTCTGAGAACCATGAAGGCAGCACCTCTGTCTAATGCTGCAATCTCGGCATCTCTGACACTGCCTGGCCCCCAGCGGTGCACATAACATCCCGGAGGCTTCGCTGTTTAGTCTCCCAGCACGTGCTTGACGTCCTTTCCCGAAATGGATGAGGGATAAAGAGGCTGCGAGCCCTCATGGACACACATCCACGGAACACACGAGGAGCATCTGGACTGAAAACTTTGTACACAAAGCAAGCAAACCATGGCCAGAGCTCTCCCTTAGCATCCTGCCCCCTAAACCTCCCTTTGAAGCCTTCTAGTAATTTTTAAAAAGACGCTCCCAGTTTAGCACTGTTGCTTTGTATGTGGATCTTGAACAGACACCAGCAGGATGGTGTGGGTCTGAAGAGCCTTTGTAGGCTCCAGGCTGTTCCTCATCAGGTGTTTGGGATGATGAGAGGGGTGACATGGGAGGGAGTGAGGTACCCCGTTCCTTACCCATGTTTATGCCCATAAAACTCCAACCACTTTAACCAGCGACTGTCACTGCGTATTTCACGCCAATTGCTATTGGTTCAACCTTGGGGTCAGAAGGACTGTTTCTCAAGACTGCAGGAAAAGGACTTCTCACTGTAACATCAAGAAGCAGGGAATGACATTGCTGTTCATCTTCTGAGATGAGACACGTTTGCAAAGTGGAGATGTGGCAAGACACAGAATGACACTGCTTAGATAACATCTGCCTGCCCCCGTGGAGCCCCATTCCCTCCGTCCCAAAGGCGGCTTCCACCCGCCTCTCCCCCCGAGACCCGAAGGCATTTGTAGTTTTATATAACAAGATACATGACTTGCACTCTCTGAAGGCATCAGCTCTGTAATCTTCCTAATTCAATTCCCTGAACGAGCCATCTTTTCTCACTAGTTTTTGATGATAATGTTCCAATCACCTGCCAATTCTTCTAATATTCCTATCCTTCCTGTCTCCAACTCCTCATTTGTGACATTTCTTTTTAGAAGAATAATGGTCACGGTGTACCTGTTAACTGTTCTTTAAAACCTTCCAAGGTTGTGCTGCACCATCAGACACTCCTAATTTCTCACTCTTCTCTTTGAATTACTTAAAAATGGGTGCTTTTAGAGGCAATTTAGTTGCTACACCCTGATAATTTAAGTTTGTATAAACATGCTTTAATTTTTTAATGACATTTTAAGCCACTAAAATGCAACAAATCTGAATAAAATCTTGCCCCAAGAATTCTGCTTGATAGTTCCATATTAAATTTTAAAATATTCGAGGGCTGTAATGGGGGGGCGGGGAACTGATCTCAACATCTGAAACAAACACACTGCTGCTCTCCTTCTCCTCTTTGTACTCTGTTTACCTTCTCTTCTCAGGGTGACCCTGGCTCCTTACTTCCAAGTCAGAAGGTGGACAAGTTGGGCCCTTTTCCCTCCTTCCACCTGCCTGCCCGAGCCTCAGCCTGGAGCCCTCTCAGCTCCCCTCTGGCCCAGTTCTGAATTGCTTGGAGTCTTAGAGTGAAACCACCCGTCTGCTCGGAACTGTACAGGTTTTTGGGTATTTCTCCCCTTACGTACCCATGCACAGAAACCTCTTATATTGTTTTCTAACTTTAAAGGGGCCCTGGGGACTGGGCCTGACTGGACCTCCAGCCCCACTCTCCAGCATGGGACACTGGGGTAGGGCTGGGCTCAGACACAGACTAGGAGCCCTGCCCTGAGGGTTTGATGCTGCCGCAAAGAGCCAGGAGGAATCACAGGAAGCAAAGGCCTCCCCCTCCCCTCAAGGCCAAGGGCATGTGTTACTTTGTTTTTATTTATTTCACGCTGTTATCTAAAGCTTACTCTATGCCAGCAGACTGTTTGACATAGATGTGCGAACACGGATACAGTCGCTCTGCCAGCCCCACGCGGTGCCGCTTTACACATATGTGCGTGTATGTGCAGGCATGCACACATGTCCATGCATGGGAAACGATTTCAGATGCTCAAGTGAACACCTAAGTGGCAACAGGGCCATTCCCAGAAAGGCAGCCTCAGGTGGGAAAAGGCTGCTCCTGCGCTGTCTGCAGGGGCAGGAGCTCGGGAACATTCTGACTTCAAAGGTTCCTTGTGTCATCATTGGCCAAGGAGTGTGAAAGCATTGAGGCCAGGCTTGTATTTGGCAGTATCCCCCCACCCCCACCCCCACCCCAGGGTCAACAGTGGCAGGAGACTCACTACGGAGAATCACAGGCCAGAGCAGAAAGTACTCTGGGCTGGGCACGGTGGCTCATGCCTGTAATCCCAGCACTTTGGGAGGCTGAGGTGGGTGGATCACAAGGTCAGGAGATCGAGACCATCCTGGCTAATGTAGTGAAACCCCGTCTCTACTAAAAATACAAAAAAAATTAGCCGGGCGCAGTGGCAGGTGCCTGTAGTCCCAGCTACTCGGGAGGCTGAGGCAGGAGAATGGTGTGAACCCGGGAGGTGGAGCTTGCAGTGAGCCGAGATCCAGCCACTGCACTCCAGCCTGGGAGACAGAGTGAGACTCCGTCTCAGGGGGCAAAAAAAAAAAAAAAAAAAAAAAAAGAGCTCTGGGGCTGAGTATGTGAGAGACTGAATCCAGTAAAAGCTACTTGCACTTGGGGGTCTTGGGGAGTTTGATGGACTCAGTGATGGAGTACATGGCCCACTATGGTAAGTGAGGACACCATCAACGTGGAAAGGATATAGAAGGGAGGGAGGCAGCGATCTGTCAGTTTCCTAAGTCACCTTTACCCAGCAGCATCCTAAGAGGCACCGCCCATCACTGCTGTCTGCTTTCTGAGCCACCACCTGTCCTGGAGCGTGGGCACGGAGACGGAAGAAGAGATGCCTGCCTCCAAAACTACCTGCCTGTCTCCCGTGCAGCCCCCCAGCCAATCAGTGGCTCACTAAAGGATTATCCCGTGGCACCGCGTCGGCGCCCAGCCAGCCAACCCGTTCCTGCCTACACTCCCAATCAGATTCCTATCCTGAAAGGAAAGTTGCCCTGGGTCCTCCTGGTGAATTTCTCTTCTGTGTTTCAACCTTTCAGACCTAGGCCAGCTTCATCACATTCAGAGCTGGATCTCCAGGCAGCATGTAAACCACACACAAGCCCTGTTCTCTCATTTCATATCTGCTTGTCTATTGTAGCAGAGAGGGAAACACACACCCCCCTCCCTGCCCTGATTTCTGGGCACAAAACTGCCTGAGAAACATTAAGGACTTCAGAGGAGTTGAGTTAAGGAAGTGCTTGAGGCGAGGCCTTTACAAAATGTTGCGAGTCACTGGATCCTAGAAGCACTGAGTCCCTAGAATGTCACTAACACAAAGTGTGGGCATCTAACGCACACACACACACGCACATGCATGTGTGCACACATACCTCACCCCTACACCCACATGCATACCACACACACGCATATACACACCTCACACACACACCTCTGCACACATGCATACTCATGCACACTCGAGCGCACACACCACACACATGTGAACACATACTGTATCCCACATACCCCCACACACATGCACACACCCTCCACACACACGCACGAATGTGAATACCGTATCCCACATACCCCCACACACAGGCACACACCCTCACGAATGTGAACAAATACCGTATCCCACATACCCCCACACACATGCACACACACCCCTCCACACACACACGTGTGAACAAACCCCCTCCACACATGCACAGACAGCCCTCCACACACACACGAACACACACCGTATCCCACATACCCCCTCCACACATGCACAGACACCCCTCCACACACACACACACACACACGAACACACACCGTATCCCACATACCCCCTCCACACATGCACACACACCCCTCCACACACACACATACGAACACATACCGTATCCCACATACCCTCTACACACATGCACACATACCCCTCCACACACACACATACACACATGTGAACACGCACCGTATCCCACATACCCCCCAAACACATGCACACACACCCCACCCCCACACACTCACATACACAAGCACACTGTCTCGGTGTGCAGGACAAAGCTGCCTCCTGCCCGCTGGCGCCAAGCATGAGCGGCACCAGTTGCCAAAGCCTCCGGTTCTCTTGACGGCTCTGCCAGCAGCTCCAGTGCTGGACAGTGAAAGACAAAAAGAGAAATGAATTTGTAGGGTGATCATGAAAAAAAAGTCCACGTCAGCAGTAGCTTTTCCAAGAAAGAGGACGGGACAGAGTGGGGAAGATGTGGGTGCCCAGACAGTGACTGAACGCCAGACGCCAGCAATGAGGGACACCGTGCAGCCTGGGGAGCGCCGGGGTCAGCGTCCTTCCCGTGACAGACTGATCGCCATGACCTGAAGGAAAAGCATCCTTCACTCCGACAGGCTGGCCAAAGTTCCAGCCCACGGCCGGCAGAATTGTGAAATGTTAATTGACGTTGCATGGAATTTACCGCCACTTCCCAAATGTACGCATGTTGGACATGGCCACAGCTTTAGCATTTTAAAGGTAATTTTTAACACAGAAAACTGCTCGGTCTTTTTAAAAAGCTGTGGTTGCTCCCACATGGGAGCAGTAAACAGCCACGTTGTCCCGATGCTGCGTGGCAGAGCTTGCTGCCTTCTGGGATCTTCTGTTTGCTGAACGACTTTGGTCTCAGAAAGCACCCTGGAGACACTGTCTCCGCGTCAGACCCACAGAAGCGAGGGCGCTCCTGCCATCTGAGAGGGCCCAAGGACAGGGGCCTGTGGTTTGTCCACTCGGGGCCCCAGTAGGGCTGCTCAAGGGTCATTTGCTAGTCACCCTACTTGTCTACCTGGATATCTAATTACTTATCACATACATTTGATTGTACCTAGCACCTGTATGTACCAAGTTCCAAGACCCCCTAGTGCATCCCCCCTCCCCTCAATTAAAAGCTCAAGTTTTATAACCGAGGAACAAGGTTCCTTCCTCGGGGGCAGGGAGGGCTGTCGGGGGAGTCAGGCTTCCAGTCCATGGACCAAGCCAATTCATTCAGGTGGTTTTACAACTTTCTCCACCAAAATTATCCCAAACTGCAACTGTGGCAGAAGGCAGGAGTGTGGTCAAGTACAGGCAGGGGGGCCGGTGCGGAGTAGAGCAGCGTGGGGTCTGGTGGGCCCTGTCTGCCCCCGGCACATCCCATCACACACGGTCATGCCACCGTCAACGCAGGGATCCCGTCACCGTCTCTGCTTGGCGGCTGCCATTGCATGGACTGCTTTAATTCCTGGATGCATAATCCACGGGCTTTCCTTCGAAGACCCCGATGCCCTGCGGCTCCCACTGCGCTCCCACCACAGAACAGCTACGAAGTGAACACCAGGAGTCCCACCCCTCTCTCCTGGGCAAGCTGGATTTCTACGTCGGGTTTCTCGGCCTGGACACGAGTGATACATGGAGCTGGATGCTTCTGCTGCGAGGCTGTCCTGGGCTGTGGGGTGTTTAGCCGTACCCAGCCTCCACCCGCTCGATGTCAGCCGTACCCCGCCATATACATACACAACTGTGGTCTCTGGCATTGCCGAGGTCCCCTGGGGAGACGGGGCAGCATCATCTCTGAAAGAGAACCGCAGATCTAAAGAGACCACATGGCCGTGGGACCGGACCACACAGTGTAGTGCCAAGAGGCAGGTGTGGGGCCAGGGGGCGTGGGGCAGCCTCCAAGGACCTTAGTGCCAAGAGCCAGGTGTGGGGCCGGGGGTGTGGGGCAGCCTCCAGGGACCTCAGCTGTGACGAGAGAAAGCTGTACCACCACACCCTCTTAGCTCTGTGGAGAGCCTATCTTTGCAGATGACAGAAAAATCCCCAGTCAGAATCTGAGCTGTTTCTAGAATCCTAGGGGAGTCCAGGGTCCTGGGAGGAGGGCCACCTGCCAGCTCCATTCCATCAGGTCAACAGCCTTGGTCCACCTTTGCCTCAGTGGCCTGAAAGCAAGGAAGGCGCCATCTCAGAGAAATGAACGTTGCAGGAGGCCAATTTACACTTGTGAGATTACTTTAAGAGAAGAGCACTTTACAGCTGCCATTCACGAGTCTTTATGCAGCCTCCTGGGGGTCACCTGGTCACACCAGCCCCCTGACTGAAACCTCAGCCCTTGTCTCAGCAGGGACAGATCATAAAGGCGCCATCAGCTTTGTTGCTATTATTATTTTTTAATTGTATAACTGACTATAGAAAGATAATGCTTGGTTTGGCAATGTCATAAGTAACAAATGAATCCTATTAAGGTTGTGAGATTAGCAGAGTTAAGTGACATTAGTGAATTTAGCGACATTTTTATCACTCAACCAAGTACTGCCAACCAAACTTTTACTAACAAAAGAAACTGTCACTTTTCTAAGTCACGGGAACTTCAACCATAGTTTACAGAGTCACGTCAAACACTTCAGCATTTCCATTGCTCCGTTCCAACTCCCATCTAGAGATAACAAGTATAGACATTGCAGAGGGCCTGTGACAGCTAATATGGAGTGTCAACTTGATGAGATTGAAGGATGCAAAGTACTGCTCCTGGGTGTGTCTGTGAGGGCGTTGCCAAAGAAGGTTAACATTTGAGTCAGTGGACTGGAAGAGGCAGACCCAGCGTCAATGTGGCTGGGCACCATCTAATCAGCTGCCAGCGTGGCTAGAATAAAGCAGGCAGAGGAACGTGGAAGGACTGGACTGGCTGAGTCTTCTGGTCTCCATCTTTCTCCCGAGCGGATGCTTCCTGCCCTGGAACATCAGACTCCAAGTCCTTCCGCTTTTAGACTCCTGGCCTTACACCAGTGGTTTGCCAGGGGTGCTCAGGCCTTTGGCCACAGACTGAAGGCTGCACTGTCGGCTTCCCTACTTTTGAGATCTGGGGACTTGGACTGGCTTCCAGGCTCCTTAGCGTGCACACAGCCTATTGAGGGACTTCACCTTGTGATCCTGAGGGTCAATTCTCCTAATAAACTCCCCTTCATAGATTCATCTCTCCTATTAGTTCTGTCCCTTTGGAGAACCCTAATACCGATTTCTAATAAGGCCAGAGCTATTTATTAAGAGGAAAAGGAGACCCTTTCTAGGAGTTCTGATTATAAATATTCCCTTGTGTTTCCAAAAGTTTACTTGGCTGTTAGGGGCTTTTGTTTTCTTATGCTAACTTAAAAAAATTCCCCAATATAGTGGAAAATACGATATTTGTTCATTAAAAAGTTTGTTGCTCTCATTATCATGGAAAACCCTAGGATTTCAAAGCCTCATAACTGAGACTGCAT
This sequence comes from Homo sapiens, assembly GCF_000001405.40. NCBI lineage: Eukaryota > Metazoa > Chordata > Mammalia > Primates > Hominidae > Homo > Homo sapiens. The sequence continues at coordinate 61,542,498 of NC_000020.11, read as the reverse complement.
CTGTGAAGAGTTGTACCCATTGCAGATTAAAGCGATGAAATAACCTCACTCCTCAGATCAGAAAGTGTGCAGGATCTAAACGAACATGCCAGAGATAATGTGAGAAACCCTCTCTCAGAGGCTGCGGGAGGGACTGAGAACACATTGCAACCCCAGGAAAGTTGAAAAAGCAGGTGCCCTTTGACTCAGCAAGTCCAGGAATCCACTTTAGAAACCTGGCCACATGTGAAGGTCAGCACTGCACACTGTTTATAACAACAGAAAATCGGAAGCAGCCTCTATCAGTCAGGATGGGGTGGGTTTTGCTGAATTAACAACCTGCCCCCAAATCTCAGTAGCTTAACCCAGTATGAGTTGATTTTTAGAGCAGGTGGAATGTGGTCTCTGGACCAGCTGCCCTCTGGGTATGGGCTCAGCATTCCCGGCTGCTTTGATTTTTGGATTTTCACATGAGAAAGAGGGCCCAGAGCAGGCTCAAGGTCAGTTAAATGGTTCGGCATGTGGTGGCAGGCACCACTTCCACTCACCTTTCATTGCTCAAACCAGGCCACACAGCCATATCCAGCTTCAAGCAGCAAACAGAGCAATCCTGCCAGGTGCCCTGAGGGAGGGAGGAGGTGGGAATATGGCCAGAAAGTAGCAAGGGTCACACACAACCCCAAGTCCTCAGGAGAGAGAGGGATCCTGGCACACTCACTGGCTGGAGAGTTGCTGAAATGAGCTAGAGTAACATGGACCCACGGGGAGAGGCTCACAGACGCATTAAGTGAGAAGAAAAAGCCATAAAATTCTAGCATAATTTCTGTCTATGCACAAAAGAGCAAAGCCACAAACACATGGCGAAGAGATGCTGCCTTCCACCGGGATGCTTCTGGAGAAGGCAGGAGATCACGGGAACATGACCTTTTCTACACCGGTCTTATTCCTTTTACAAACCTGCAGCTCACGTGGTAAAGTAGTGACATCGGCTAATTCTAGATGGTGGACACCCCAGTGCTGGCTACAGCATGTGTCCTTTTCAGAGCTCTATTCAATATTTTTAAGATAGAAAATTAGCCAGTGTGCTTGCTATTAATAAAAACAGAAACACACCCTACATGGAAAACACACAAATAAAACATCAGCAGAGGGTGCCGACCACCAGGCTAAAACCGTCGTGGTGAATCCCAGGAGGAGCTTCGTCCTTGCTTGGAGATGTGGCCTCTCCTCCTCTCATTTCCTCCTGGCGTTCTCCGCACGTTAATGCACGTGCACAGTGGATTGATGCCAGTGGGAGGGCAGCACATGAGCCGGGATTCAACATTTTTATTAATAACCTGGGCAGATAGTTCTGGAATCAATGACGACTGGGGTGGTTAATTATTTTCTGGAGAGGGGCAGAAGAGACATGAACAGCTCCCTTCTGGAAGTCTCCGAGCACACGGGTAAAATGGCAGCTAATAAGCTATTTTAGTTAGCAATGGGGAATCGTCAAATTTTTCCTCTCACCCACTCTTCCATCTCTGACAATTTATGATGGAACATTTCAGAAAGAAATTCAAGGATGGCACGGGCTTGAACAGCTTATGGGGTCGCAGGGGGAGTTTGTAACCAAATGGCCCTTTTGTTTGCTTCCTGCCTTATTGGAGGGTCTCAGGGTCGCCTAATCACTGGGAAGCACCAAATTCCCCCACAGGGTCTGTCAGGCTGCAGAAAGAGGAAAAATTCCTGACATTGCCTCTGGCCTTGAAGCTGCATGGAAGAAACTGGCATCCAGTCTTACTGCTTGGATTCTAGAAAACTTCATCCTAAAGTCAGATCTTAGAAACAGAAAAATCTGTTGAAAGTGACATTATTTTGAATCGTCACCACTCCTTCATGTGGCTTTATAAGATCTTCCCTGGGACAGGAGATCACCAGCCACCAGGTTCTTCCTGCCGGCATTTCGTATGGCACGTGGAACCCACCAGGTAGGATTTTATGAGTTGCTCCTAAACCCCAAGACCAGCCCCTGAAGTTATGTGACAGAAGGCACCACCTTGTCTCAGTGATGACAGGTGAGCTAATTTTCCAGGAATCAGATATCAACATCTGGGCACTTCCCTCCTATCATGTGAGGTCATCCCTTTCAAACATGGCTTCCGGTGCCGTCATGAACAGTTTTCAAGACTGTTCCAACTTCTAGAGCACAAGAACCATGTCAAAGGATACATTTTTGGCTGGATTTCATAGGTAATTTTTTTTTCTTTCAATAAAGGAAATTCTTCCATTGTGATATGAGGTCTTCCTAACGGCAGTTTCTAAAATTGGATCAAGACGACGCTGCCGTGCATTCGTCCGCCCATCAGGTTTGTCGAGTGTCCATGTGGTGCCAGGCCCTGCTCCAGGAGGACCTGGGAGAGCTACGGTGCATGCACCCTATTCAGCCCTCTTCATATTGCTCCCCCTCCACCCTCAGGTCTACACCTGACCACCAACCAATCGGATCGAATTGCCTCCCAGGTGAGGCTGCTCTGAACGCTGCGGGCATCGGGGAGGAGAACGGTGGGAAGCTGGGAGGGAATTGGACAGGGAATGTGGTGAGCACACAGAGTCCACACAGTTCTCCAAACACTCTCTTTCAAATCCTGTGTGCACAGAGATCCACTCGGCAAGACCCTCTGGAGAGGCATAGTCATGTGCTCAGCTCCGGCCAAGGGAATATGCGCAGAAGCCATGGAGGTCAAGAGCTGGCGTGTCCCTGCTCTGCTCCCTCTCGTCCTGTGACAGCAGGGCTTGGGGGGGACACCACCAGGAGCCCCAAGCCAATGCTTGGCGGACCACTGCCCAGGGCAGACTGTGCTCTGTGGCTGCCTTGCTGAACAGCTTGAGCTCAACTTCAACTCGGATTCCTAGGCTGAGTCCTAATCCCGTCAGAACATGGCTGTATTTGGAGCTGGGCCTTTAAAACGGGGTTAAGGCAAAATCAGGCCATTAGGGTGGGGCCTAATCCAACCTGGCTGGCGTCCTTATAAGAGGAGGAGGTGAGGACACAGACACACACACAGGGACGACTCCGTGAGGACACAGGGAGAAGATGGCATCTACAAGCCAAGGAGAGAGGTCTCAGAAGAAGCCAGCTCTTCCCACACCTTAGTCTTGGGTTTCGAGCTCCTGAATTGTAAGAAAATAAATCTCTGTTGTTTAAGCCCCCAAGGAGTGGTGCTTGGTTGGTCCCAACTGACTAATACACCTACACTGTGGACACGGCCCATGCAAGAAGTAAGCTGGGGCTGGGTGAGACCCAGAGGCTTCAAAGCAAGGTGAGGAGAAGATGCTGAGAACAGGAGGCCAGAGGCAGCTGTGCACTCCTGGGGACTCCTCCAGGGCCGTGGGTGCACCGGCCACGGTGGGCAGCAGCAGAGCGTGTGGAGTATCTCAAGTTCCCTTCCCCCTCCACCTGACCCGCTGCGGATCTGCTGTGGATCCCAAACCCTGGGATCCTCCTTTAGTCCTCCTCCCCTGCCTCCAGCGGCAGAGACCGAAGCAGGTTTCTTGATGGCCACAACCCAGGCCCAAGCCACCTCCTGTACCTGGCATCAGGCAGGAAGCCACGGTGCCCTGGGGCAACCTCCCCACCCCCTGCACAAACATCAGAGCCTCCTAAGAGCCTGACCCCATTAGCATTTCCGCCCAGCCCCATGCCTGGCCTGCAGCAGGGAGCCAGCAAGTATGTGCTGATTAGACGAGAAGTGGCATATCTGGATGGGGGTGGCCCCCAAATCACGATGTGACCCAGGCCTGGGGACAGTCGCACCCAGTGGGAATAGTGGGAGCAAGTGTCCCATCCACCCTCCTGGGGACAGGGAGGACTGGGAGCTGTGCCCAGCCACATGGCCTCCCATGAACGCACGAGGGGCAGGAGGTACCAGATCCTGGGAAGGAGTCCTCACTGCATCCACCCAGGAGGCACCAGCAGGGACAGGCGGATGTTAAAGTGTTGGCTCCAGGAAGGCCAGGCGAAAGTACACAGAGTAGGAGGAGAGAGGAGGGAAGGATGAGGTCAGGAGTGGGGGCCTGGGTTTCCGGCTCTGGGTTGGGGCATGGATATTAGTTCTGTCCTTTGTGTATCAGAGCAGAACAAATCTGTCTGTGAGTAAACCTCTTGACTTGATGCGATTCCTCTCCTACCAATCTCTGGTGCACCAGCCCCTGGGGAGGGGAGATGGCAGGTGTCCTTCTCCCAGAGTGACGGGCACAGCTGGAGGGATAAAGGACACTGCTGGATCAGCCCTAGAAAACGCTGCTCAAACCAGAAGAGGTTCAAAGGAAAGCCCATGGAAAACGGGTGCCCACCACATATCTCAGACAAATGGGTGTGTGGGCTTTCCTGGAAAATACAGCTTTGGGTGGACTTGAACTTGGCCTCTCGGACAGCTCCTGTGTGAATGCACCTCCTCACAGGCCGGGGGCCTGGCTTTGTACATAATTAAGCAGCCTAGGGGTTTGGAGGGGCTCACTATTGCTCAAACAAGTGGGAGAACTTGGTCTTCATAGCAATGTGGCCGGGTTGGCCTGACCCCACCATGACCCGGTGGTAGTTCCCAGGGATGCAGACACTGCGGAGAGGAACTGGAGACAGCAGGCCACGCAGCCGACTCGCTCGGCCCCTTTCATGGCGCTGTGATGTTTCTGTCACTCAAGGGGACCATTCTCTCCTAGTCTAACTCCAGAGCCCCTTGGCTTCCAACTCAATGAGGCTTTTCAAGCTCTCCTTTGAAAGACCCGGCTTGTTAACTCCCAACAAGGCATCTGCCTTTTGAGTCTGCACAGAAAGGGAGGAGAATGGCTTAAAAAACACCCCTCACAACGCCTCGTGAGTGGGGAGGGCAGTGCGTGCCTGTCCGCGAAGCCCGCTTCTGCTTCTAAATCACTCCTGGCTCCTTGAGTTCTAGACCGGGGTAGGGCGATTTCCTTCCAGGTTTGTGTCTTCTTTTTATGTTTACCGTGGAGAAAGTGGTAGGCAGAGAGCTCTTGATGAGGGCACCTGGCTGTGAGGTTGCGGTCCCCAGCTCCCTGCCCTCCCGAGCTGGCCTGGGCCTCCCTGATGACCTGGGACACATCACCGGCCACGTGCTCAGTCAGTCAGCCTCTCCCTCTCTTCTCAGGGCAGGGATACCTGGTTAGTGCTGTGTGATGCTTCTCTACACAATGGCTACTGAGGAGAGAAAAATTGCAAGCAATGAAGGATAAGTAAAATGTCGGATTTCAAATATTAGACCTCTAAGGGGCCCTAAGAAAAATTATTTTAACAATTCCACTGACACATTGTACCATGTGACAAAGGCAGCAGCAGATAGCTCAGGGGGAAAGAAAGTGAACAGTCAAAAGCAATGATGTAGACCTCAGCCTTTAAACAGGTGAAATGGCATGACGCCTGGCATCCCCAGTGAACGCCTGTCTACCAGCCCTGCAGGGAGGGGACACTGAGTCTCCAAGTGGTTTCTGGGGGTGCTCAGAGCATCATTTGTCCACTTGGTCATTCGTTCATTCACACCCATCCGTCTTGAGCCAGACACTCCCAGGCACTGGAGCATAGGGTGTACCTGCAGCTAGGGCCTTCCTGGGACCCACCGGCCTCTTCTCTGGAGGGGAGGGCCAGCCCCTGCGCTGAACACACTGGGCCTGGCCAGCTCTCTGCTGTGCCCTCCTTCCTTCCTCTCGTCACTGTGGGGTGTGTAGCGGCATCCCCAAACTATACCCACCAGATGCCAGGGCACTGCTCCCAGACGGGGCAACCGAAGCTGTCTCTAGACATGTATGTGTATATGTATGTATGTAGGCCTAGACGTATGTATGCACATAAAATAATGCTGCGGTCAGACACGCTAATTAAAGTTATTCTTTTATTTCGTGAGACAATGCATCATAGAGTCCTGTTTTTCCTCTACCGTATTAGTGTGGCCTCGCAATGGGGGTGCCTGGGGAGCATCGGAAGGGGTGAGGGGCCTGGCTTGAGTTTCGTGGGTTATCAATGCCCACGAGCCTTTTCTCCCTCCCCCTCCCTCCCTGCCCCACTCCCTCCCCTTCCTCTTTCCCTCCTTAGTAATCATGAACATTATCATTTGTCTCATGATGGAACTTTCCATGGGTTGTTCTGTTTGGGTGCGGCCTCTTCCTTTCCACCACCACCCAGTGGATCCATCTTCCCAGTTAAGCCATGTCTGTGCCCTCAGCCCTGTTGGCAGAGCCTCCCAAGTGCTTAGGGACTTCTGGGTTCGGGGGGCAGGAGGGGAGCCACGGCTTTGGATCTGAGATGTGTTTGTTGCACCCGTGGAACACACGAGGGAGGCAGTGAGGCTTCTCCGAGCAGAGCCCTTCCCTGCGGCTGGTTTGGGCCTGGCTGGCCTGGCCGGGTTCTGTGCCTGCAGGTAGCCTGGGCCACTCACTGGGCCATTCCCATGGTCTTCCAGGCTCTGGTGGGGCTCCGGGGGCACTCCTAATGCCATAAGAAGTGCAGAGTGGAAGCAGGCAGTGTGGGGTCTGCTGGGTTGAAATACTGAGGGAGGTAAGCACCCCAATCTTTCAGGATGTGGCTAGATTCCCAGCTAGGCACAACATTGCTTGCCACCTTGAAACCCAAAGGGCGTCTAACCTAGAGGAGCACAGTGCAAAGGGGCAGGAGCGGGAACAGGGGGTTCGAATGCCCAAAGGACCGGCACTGAAGGGCCCCCACACTCTCCCCATGGCGGCTCAGGGGCGAGTACAGGGGATTCAAACGCCCAAAGGACCGGCACTGAAGGGCCCCCATACCCTCCCCATGGAGGCTCAGGGGTATGCAGCCCGGGCCCCCTCTCAGAAGGGCCCCGCACCAGGTGAATGCTCTGCTGCTGCCCTCGGGAAGTCCCAATGCTTTTTGAAGAAGGCCCCCGCGTTTTCATCCTGCACCAGGCCCCACAAATTATGTCACTGCTTCTGACTTTCCCATATGTAATTTATTTCTAAAAACATTCTACTTAAAAGGCTTTCTGGGAAAACTACAAATTGATTTTTTCCCCAAGCTTGACATTACAACCATTATTTCCTCTCTGTCAGCAACTGCCTCGACAAATGGACCTGGGTTTTCCAAGAGCCAGGCCCTTCCTTGTTCCGTGGGCCTGGGGATGGGATCCGTGCCCACGAGGCTGAGCCTGAGGGCCGCCCCGGGGCTGTCCCCTTGGCCAGGGCACCTCTGCACCTGACTCAGCCTGCCCCACTGTAGGGCTGCTGGGAACCAGTCGAGACTACTGGATCTGCCACTGAAGTTACAGGTCATCAGGTCGCACTTCTGAGCCTCAGCTTCCTCGCCTGTGAAATAGGAATCAGTCATGGCAATGCCCAGCCCAGTCACAGGTTTCAGTAGATCAACTATGGTGAGGGCTCAACCAGCGCCACCCATCCATGCCCCTTGGAGGGAATGGTTGGTTTTAAGGACAGAACCTCCACATGAGTCTGCAAAGGTTTGTATTAACCAGGAGGAGGGAATTCATCTATTTGATTGTCCCTTTAAGTGAGCAGGGCTGGCTTCTGAATGGATCCAGGATGAGCAGGCATCTCTGCCACTGTCCCACCAGAGGCTGCTCCAAAGGAGCGTCCCAGCAAGGGAGGCCATCGGGTTGAGGATGAGCAGGCATCTCTGCCACTGTCCCACCAGAGGCTGCTCCAAAGGAGCGTCCCAGCAAGGGAGGCCGTCGGGTTGAGGATGAACAGGCATCTCTGCCACTGTCCCACCAGAGGCTGCTCCAAAGGAGCGTCCCAGCAAGGGAGGCCGTCGGGTTGACCACACAGCTGGCACAAGTTTAGGAAAACACCTCAAAAAAAAAAAAAAAAAAAAAAGAAAGAAAGAAAGAAAAGAAAGAAAGAAAAGAAAAAACCACCACTTAGAATCTGATCCCTGCAGAAGGAGAGGACAGCAACACCGCAAGGCCTCAGCCTCCGGCCCGGTCCCGTGCCCTCCCACATCAGGTGCCTGCAGACAGCTGGCTGGGAGCTCTTCCAGGCTCTCAGCCTCCGATCACGGCGGTGAGCCTGTGATTTGCTATTTTACCACCTTTAAAAAAGTGTATTAAATATGGAATGCATATTACGAGTTGCATAGTCATGGAAACCAGCAAATTGCACAGTGTTTTTTCTTTGCCTCCTCTAGCAAACCATCCTCCTGCCCCGTGTGGTCGTTCCTGCCCCGATACCCTCCCCAATGCAAAGCGAAGCCACAGTGTCCCATCTGCATGAGACATGACAAGAAAAAATGGAACACTCTCAATCATATTTTAAGCCACAAAGTAATATTTCCATAGCAGAGTGCAAATAGAATTTTACATAATGCACAGAATAAATGCCTCCAAAAATCAATATTTCCAGCTGGATGTACAAATTAAATGATGATATTCAAGTGTGAGATTAAAACAATGATTTAAGATAGAAATTGAGTTATGCTATCTCATGCCTGCCTATTGCCGAATATGTTAATGGAACAAATCTGTTAACATTCAGTCCATTTATCTCTCTAAACAGGAGGTGGGGATTCCTGTCTGAAAGCAAAAGCAATGGCAAGAAGCACCTCCCAACTACAGTTCGGATGGGGAGGCTGCAGAGTCAGATGCTTCTGTGGGAGTTGGGGTTACTTTTCTAGAAGCATCTTTGGTCCCATATTGAGGTTTTAAACACATTTGCCTGGCTCCCTCCTTCCCACCAGGGTTGTGGGTAATTAGGCTCCATATATGCGAGGTCTGCAGAGCCCATGCTCCCCATGGCCACGCCCTCACCCCATCTATTCCCCTTGAAGAGTGGGGGCCCATCTAGTCTCATGGGGCACCTGTGCAACCATGAAGCAGGAGGCGGCAGTGCTAATGGCCCCTGTACCCGAAGTAGCTCTAATTGCAGAGTGAGGCAGCCAGAGGGGCCCCTCATGGGCAGAGGAAGGCAGGGACAGTGCTCCTACCTCCAGCAGCCCCGGCCAGGGCCCCGCCAGGGAGGCTGAGCCCCGGTCCTCAGGCATGCCCTGCCCTCTCAGGCCACGCGGGTCTTTCCTGTCTAGGGAGGACAAGGGATGGAGAGACGAGCACAGCTCTAGCTGCCTCTGCAGCAGGACTTGGGCGACGCAGCTTTACATCAGCGGGTTGCAGCCACACCCACTTGACCAGGGGCCCCTGCAGGCTCGGAGTTGGCGGGCAGTCCTGGGTGTCCGATCCTTCCCCGTGCTGCTCGCCCAGCCGCCTGCCGTGCCCAGGCCTGCCCCCCATCGCCCTGCCACTCCTTGTCTGGGCCGTGGCACTGGCTGTTGTGGATCCCTCCATCTCCTTGAGGTTGGCTCCCACCTTGAGTTCAGTGGCCTGAGTCACCCCCAACCCAAGTCCCCTTCTTCTCTGTGCCTGCTCCAAGCTTCCTTCTCCTCGGCTTTCACTCTCAGGGTCCCTCTCAGGGTCCTCACCTTGAAGCTGTCTCCCCCTGCCCCACACCAGCTGGCATTCCCTGCAGAAGAGGCCATTTGGAAAGCAGGCCAAGGAACCAGTGAGCCTGGGAGTGAAACTGAGCCTGAGATAAGAACCACAGCCCAGCCCCGGCCCGTACCTTGATTGCATCGCAGGGAGACCTGAGCAGAGAGCCCAGCTACGCCACACTGACCTGCCAAACTCTGAGAAGACAGAGGAGTGTTGCTTCAGCTGCTACGCTTGTGGGAACTGGTTACGGGACACAGAAAACTCATCACATGCCTTTCATACCTACTGATCCCGCCAAAACACCTTCCCCAATCTCCCCTAGAACCCGGCCAGAGAACCCGTCTCCCCAGAGCCTGCTCCACCTCACATCAAACCTTAAAACATTGGCTGATCAGATTAGAAACGTGGTGCTTTGGTTTGCTTTTAACTGATTTCTGGGGCAGGAGAGCATTTTCACAGACTCGCTGCTTGCATTGCTTGTGTGTTTTGCACTGATATCCCTTGTCCACTTACTCATCGTTTTCTGTTGTGTGCACTTGTTGTTACTGAACGGTGGTGAGATGCGGGTCTTTTTAAAGATGAGTCACAGGTGACATAAGGAGTGGGGTCAGATTTCAGGGTCTCTGAGTTCTGAAACCGAAGAGGTTCATTTTCATACGGGGCTCCATTTTTACATTTGCCGCCTCGTGTTGAACTGGTGCCAGGGTCCCACACATGGGACCTCCTTCATGTGTGAAGACCATAGAAGAACAAAGAAACCAGGACATGACTTAGTTTAGGTGCAGTCCCGCCTGGAGGCAGGGGACAGAGAGAAAAACCCAGCAAACTCACGGTGCTCAGGGCTTGGGTGCCTCCTGGGTGGCCCCTTTTGTGGGGTCCATGCCCTGCAGGCGATTGGGGATGGTGTCATCAGTGTGTCCTCACACAGTCAGGACACGGAGGGCAGCAGCTTCTTAGGGTCTTGCTCACACCTGTGTTTTATCCGCCTCTCCTCCTCAGTGGCAGAGCCTGAGGGCCGGCAACAGGCGCCACTTCTATGAGACTGGCCGACGCTTTCCACAGCTGAGGATCCTCCACCACAGGCTGAAGCCACCTCGTTTCCTCACTTGAGCAGCGCAGAAGATAAGAACAAACTTTAAAATCCTGGATAATCCTCACTTTACTAATAAGCATTTTATCTAAATCCTGCTTTTAAAATTGTGCTTCCCCAACCGGTGTTGGTCGAAGTGAGTTTCCACATCCAATTTCCAGTCTGCATTCTGAGAGCACTCGCTCCAGGCCTGTGCGTCAGGCTGATGACTCATCCCGGCCTCATCTCAAAGCCAATCCGTGGCCCCTGCCAGCTGGGGCTCCACCGTGCTGCATCCATGTCCACGCATGCACTTGGCGCTGCCCTCCAGCCCACCCCCAGGGATGGTCCGTGAATGCCATCCAGAAAATATTTATTTAAATTAACTTAGCAAAGCTTTTTACAACACACATCCTCATGTGCCACACATTTCGGCTCTTTCATATTAATTCATTCCACCTTATAACAAATGGAAGTAAATCCTTTTGCTAAATCCCTTTTTTTTTTTTTTTTTTTTTTTGAGATGCAGTCTTGCTCTGTCGCCCAGGCTGGAGTGCAATGGCACGATCTTGGCTCACTGCAACCTCTGCCTCCCAGGTTCAAGTGATTTTCCCTGCCTCAGCCTCCTGAGTACCTGGGATTACAGGCACCCACCACCATGCCCGGCTAATTTTTGTATTTTTAGTAGAGACGGGGTTTCACCACATTGGCCAGGCTGGTCTTGAACTCCTGACCTCAGGTGATCCACCTGTCTCGGCCTCCCAAGGTACTGAAATTACAGGCATGAGCCACTATGCCTGGCCTGCTATACCCATTTTACAGATAAGAAAAGTGAGGCAAGAGGAGGCCACCCAGCTGGAGAGCTCAAATATAGCAGGTCAGGTCCAAGGTCTCCCTCTGGTGCCTGTGTACCGAATTTCCCTCAGCAGCCCTCAGCAGCTCTGTGTACCGAATTTCCAAAACCTGAAGGCTGTTGAGCCTTGCTTTTCCCTTGGCCCACCCATCTGGGGGCCTAGAGATGAACTATTGGCATAGATATTAGTTGTCCTGACAGCCAGGGCCTCGGAGCAGCTGATTCTTTCCAACACGTATTCAGCACCTCCTCCCTGGACAGCGCTGTGGCTGCAGCTATGGATAAAACAGTGAAGAAGGCTGCAAGAGGCTGGAGATACTTGTCTCTAATGCTGGATCTGGCTGAGGGCAGGACTGCCCTCACTCGTTCTGTTGTGCGCTCACCTGCTCCCCAGCCCTCACTCCTGGATCCAGCATCCACGGTTTAGGGTAACAGATCCATCTACTTCATGGCATCAAACACTTCTGACACAGCCCCTTTCTAGCCAAAGCATTCTGATTGCCTCTCTATTTTCCGAGGGCCTCTGCGACTCTCCTTCGACTGCCTCCCTGGCTTGCTCTGGCTTTCATCCAGCCTGATAGAGCTTTCTGGGGGAGCCAGGGGAAGAGGCTACTTCCCAGTACATGCCGTGCAGGGTCCCCTTGCCACGGCATCCCTCCACCACAGTGATGGCAGAGTCACTCAGCGTGACTCTGCTCTGCCATGTACAGCTTCAGTCAAGACCAAAAGGCCCCAGACTGTGTCAGGGTAGGATTCTAAGGAAGGGCCACTGGGGCAACAGCCATAACAGCTAAGATCAAACATAATGCTGGCCGGGCGCAGTGGCTCACACCTATAATCCCAGTGCTTTGGGAGGCCGAAGGGGCGGATCACTTGAGGTCAGGAGTTCGAGACCAGCCTGGCCAACATGGTGAAATCCCATCTCTACTAAAATACAAAAATTAGCCGGGTGTGGGGTGGTTCCCTATAATCCCAGCTACTCAGGAGGCTGAGGCAGGAGAATCGCTTGAACCTGGGAGGCGGAGGTTGTAGTGAGTTGAGATCATGCCACTGCACTCCAGTCTGGGCAACAGAGCAAGACTCCCTCTCAAAACAAACAAACACACAAACAAACAAACAAACAAAAACAAATAAATTAGCCAAGCATGGTGGCAGGCACCTGTAATCCCAGCTATTTGGGAGGCTGAGCCAGGTGAATAGCTTGAATCTGCGAGGCAGAGGTTACAATGAGTCAAGATTGTGGCACTGCACTCTAGCCTGGGTGACATAGCGAGACTCCATCTCAAAAAAAAGAAAAGAAAAGAAAAATTACACTGATGAGTGTGTTCCACCCATCAGACAGCTCTTCCAATAAAAGAACCTTGAGCAAGAACGAGAAGTTCTGAAGACACCACCCAAGATACCTCTAGGAAGGGAAGAAAACAGAGGCATGTGACGTTCCCTCAAGGCCCTCGCTCACCATGAACACAGGACAGGGCCTCTCCCCATGTTTCAACAGAAACGTATGAAACAGCAGACATAATTCCCAAACCACACGAGGCATTGAACAGACCTGCAGATGACAGAGATTCTCTTTCCTCACTGCACAGATTCCTATAGTCAGATTCCATGGCATGTTGCAACACATTTGTATGAAATTATAAAAACCAACATTCACCCCAGGATTGTGCAACAAATAGAATTTATTAAAGTACTTGTGAAGCGCCTCCAGTGAGAAATTCATCTTTGGTCCAGATTTTAATAAGGATTATATAATCATAATGAGACTGTAATAAAACAGCATCACCTGAATAATCCATTTTATTACCAGTTTTATTATGAGTTCCCCATTTATTACAATTCACTGGATATTTAAAGCCTATGTAAATGATGCAATATAAAATATATGAGGAACAAGAATTATGGTGCTTACCTATGTAAATTTATCTTCCTGATATCTAAGATCTCCAGACTTCTGAAGTTTACACAATCAAAAAGGATCTTGAAAGGTTACAAAGGTGGCTTTGGGTCTCAGGAATGAAATATCAATGTCTCACCATGAAAATGGTCATTCCTTCCTATGGATTTGAAACCCAAAATCTCTGTGATTAGATCTTTATTAGGAACGAAATACTCCAGGCTGACTGAAAACCGAACATTTCACCAGAAAACCCTTCCTGCTTTGGCCTCTGTTGGGAACCTTTCTAAAATGTCTAATTCCCCACATCAGTGAATGTCATCTATGGACCGTAAGAAATCTGTAATAATAAGGGACAAGGGCGGTGCACTGGTTACAAAAAAAAAAAAAAATCAAGATCATCACGAGTTCCCCTTCCAAGGACGGCCAGACACGGGAGAGCAGCCAGGCCCCGCACTGCCCAGGATGCAACCCCGCCATGCTTCCAGCTTCATCTTAGGGCAATTTCCAGCCTATCTAAATCATCGTTGTTCATCTCCATTCCCGCAGCTTTGGTCTCCTCTTCTCCCCCTCTCTGGGGACTTTGCATTTCCTTCCATCTAACTTCTTTCTCTTCTCTTCTTTCCTTTTCTTTTTTGTGGAGATGGGGTCTTTCTACGTTGCCAGGCTGGTCTCAGATACCTGGGCTTAAGTGATCCTCCCGTCTTGACTTCCCAAAGTGCTGGGATTACAGGTGTGAGCCACTGTGCCCAGCCTGTATTTTCTCCCCCTCCCCCTCCCTCTCCCCCTCCACCCCCCTCCCCTCCCTTCCCCTCCTCTCCCCCTCCACCCCCCTCCCCTCCCTTCCCCTCCTCTCATCTTTCTTTGAAAGGGAGTCTCGCTCTTTCACCCGGGCTGGAGTGCAATGGCATGATCTCGGCTCACTGCAATCTCCGCCTCCTGGGTTCAAGTGATTCTCCTGCCTCAGCCTACTGAGTAGCTGGGATTACAGGCACACACCACCACTCCCAGCTAATTTTTTGTATTTTTAGTAGAAATGGGGTTTCGCCATGTTGGCCAAGCTGGTCTTGAACTCCTGGCCTCAAGTGATCTTCCCACCTCAGCCTCCCAAAGTGCTGGGATTACAGGCGTGAGCCACCACACCCAGCCTGTTTTTTCTTCTTTTTTAAAGTTACCTGTTTTCCAGCTAATCAGTAAATCCTTTAAGAAAAGGAGCTGGGCCTGCTTTAACTATCTCTATACCCTGGAATAATGCTGCGTAGATTGTCCAAAGTGTCAGGGGCACTAATGGGACATCACCACTCTCAAAACCAAAGCCAGAGCAAGATGCGGAAAGGGTGAGCGCCGGTGCCCCGGGTTCTGGGAACAGAGCTCTCCTGCCCAGTGCTGCTGCCCTGACAGACCGTCTTGTCATGTTGGCGTGGCACACATGCAGTAGGACACCACCCGAGATGCCTCTGGAAGGGGAGGAAACCAGAACCACGAGACGTCTCCACAAGGCCCTCACTCACTGGGGACACCAGGACAGGACCCTCTCCCCATCTTTTAAAAGAAACATATAAAACAGCACGCATGCTTTGCAAACCACATGGGGCATTGAACAGAACAGACTTTCAGATGATAGAGGTTCTCCTCCCTCACTGCATGGATCCCTGCTTAAAAAGCACAGATGCTATGCTTAAAAAAATATAGTGGCCGGACGCGGTGGCTCATGTCTGTAATCCCAGCACTCTGGGAGACTGAGGCAGGTAGATCAATTGAGGTCAGGAGTTTGAGGACAGCCTAGCCATCAGGGTGAAACCCTGTCTCTACTAAAAATACAAAAATCAGCTGGGCGTGGTGGCGCACACCTGTAATCCCAGCTACTCAGGAGGCTGAGGCAGGAAAATTGCTTGAACCCGGGAAGTGGAGATGGCAGTGAGCCAAGATTTGCCACTGCACTCCAGCCTGGGCAACAGAGTGAGACTCTGCCTCAAAAAAAAAAAAAGCTCTTATGTTTAAAAACTGGTGTTTACCTTTATTGGGAGATAGTAGGTTAGGGAGGGTGCCAGGGGCGCCTGGGCGCTGGTTACTGATTGTGATTCTCTTGTCAAAGTGCAGAGGGGTAGGCTGACAATCTGTTCACTTTCTCTGTATGTGCGCGTAGTTCATGAAAAGTTTTACAGCGTTAGCAAGTAATCCCAAAGCTAGAGAGACACCACGGAGGCCAATGGAGCCCCGTCGGGAAGGTCCCGGTGCGGGGCTCCCACACACTGTCACTGCTGCCTTGGCGGTAGAACGCTTGACATATCAAACTTGAATCAATTTTCAAAAAGCTTTCCGAAAGAACATAATTAGATTAGAACGTTACATTTGTTAATTTTTCAGTTGCTCATTAAAATTGACATGCCATTTGATTTTGACAGCAACCTTTTTAACTTGATGTAAGACTGTAGGATCTTTAAAAATAAAGCTCTATTTAGGAAGTTCGGAAACATGACAACTGCAATCATGAAACTGAAACCAGTCTCCCCATCACTCATATCCAACAATCATGAAATCAATCACTTGCCCCATAATATTTTTTTTAAAAAGCCAGGGATGGGGTGGGGGGAGGGGGGAGGGATAGCATTGGGAGATATACCTAATGCTAGATGACGAGTTAGTGGGTGCAGCACACCAGCATGGCACATGTATACATATGTAACTAACCTGCACATTGTGCACATGTACCCTAAAACTTAAGGTATAATAATAAATTAAAAAAAAAGAAAGAAAAAAAAACAAGCCAGGGATGTGGTCTTTTTTAGACTTATATAAACATGAGTCCATCGTCGGAGGAGACATCCTGCTCCTGTGAGGGGTCCGGCACTCACCTGGGCGGGCTGCCTCCACCGAGGATGTCAGGAAGGCTGGGTGGGGGACTCGTGTTTTAGAAAGGGCTTCGTTTCCTTCTGCATAAAGTTAAGTCCTTGGATCCTGACTCATACAGAGGCCAGGCGGGTCGTGTTTATCCCTACGAAGAGAAGAATCCTCCTGCTTCTGCCTGGGCAGACTTCTGAAATGCTGGACAGAACCACCCGGGGAGGGGGAGGGGCACCAGCAGGAGAGGGACAGAGGGACCCATAGAGACTCGGAAGGAACAGCCAGTGTCCACGTCCCCACCCATGTACTAGCCACGTTGTCATTACTGCATGAGTTTTGGGAGACCATGTGTTCTTGGGCAAGATAACTCGTTTCTTGGAACTTCTGTTTCCTCTTCTGTAAAATGGAGATAACTAAAGGGCTAACTTTGTGGCCAAGCTGATTGGCTGACCACCAACGCTGAGCTGTCCCCACAGGGTCAGTGGGGATGGCATTTCCTTCCCGGTGGCTCCGCTTTTCTCTGGGCTATGAGCAGGACTTACGGTGCCCGGCCCGGCCACAGCAGCTGGGAGACTTAAGACAGAGAGAGTCTTCCTCCCTGAAATGAGGATAGGCAAGGGGCAGCCGCAGGGGTCTGTGACATGAACCGGAAAGAAACCTGCAGAATCCCTGGGAGTTCTGAGTTTCTCAGTCACAGCAGCTAATCAATAAGAACATAACAGTAAGTAAGGAGAAAACGAGATCGGGTACAGCCGCAGCACAGAGCCGAGCACACGGCAGCTACCTGATCAATCCGTTTCCCCTCCTGCTCTCTCAGAGTTCAGCAAGTCCCGGCTTCTGCAGCTGGAGGGGGCTTAGCTGGAGAGGCTCCTGGATGGGAAGGCAACACTTCCTGGGTTCACGGCCATGGCTGAGCAGCCTACAGACCCTGCTCACCGCATGCATCCTCAGTATCCTGGGAGGGGCCTGCAGGAGGTGAGCACAGCCCGCTTCCCCAGCCTGTTGGGGGGCCCTGAGTGATGGAGACTGTCCAGGGCAGCACTGGGCAAACCCAAGGAAGTGCTGCAGAATCCAGCCCCTCCTGACCCTCTTTCTCCTGGGGCTTCTCTAAATCTCCCAGGGAAGCTCTTCCAAAACCACAGGCAGCTCAATTCCCTGTCCAAACCTCCACTCTTCCAGCCTGGTCTCCAGTCACCAGAACCTTCCAGCTGAGCTAAATTATAGGGGGGATGACTGAGCAAATGGGCATTAGGATAAAACCCGGGAATCATGCCTGGCAAGGTCTGGCAAAGGCACCATTTGAGCTTAATGACAACAGAGAGATCATTCAGAAGATGACCCGCCCCGCATAATTTCTGACTTGGCAATGAAAAGCTGGCATTGAAGCCAGCTGGTGGGTCCCACACAGGTCTATGTTCACAGTGGAAAGAAGGTTTTTTTAAATGAAAGATGTTGGAGGTGGACAGGGTGAGGAGTGGTCACTTCTGTGTATGAGATTCTGGCTTTTGTTCAAGGGCATGGAAACTTTGTTCAATAAATCTGTCTACAATGGTATTATCTAATGAATGAGAATGGAATTTAAAAATGCATTTAAAAATTTTAATTTTGAAACAGTTGGTCAGGTGTGGTAGCTCACACCTGTAATCCCAGAACTTTGGGAGGCCGAGGTGGGCAGCACTTGAGCTCAGGAGTTCGAGACCAGCCTGGGCAACGTGGGAAAACCCCATCTGTACAAAAAATACAGAAATTAGCTGGGCTTGGTGGCATGTGCCTGCAGTCCCAGTTAATCAGGGAACTGAGGTAGGAGGATCACCTGAGACCAGGAGGTTGAGGCTGCAGTGAGCTGAGATTGCAGCACTGCACTCCAGCCTGGGAGACAGAGTGAGACTCTGTCTTAAAAAAAAAAAAAAGTGTAATATTCATAGAAGTTGCAAAATTAGTGCAGAGAGTCCCGAGTACTCCTCACCCAGCTTCCTCTGCTGACGACATGCATCATGACCCAAGCCCACGGTTGAATGCGGGAATAGGATGCCGACACAATCGCACGAATGCAGGTGTCCAGGCTTTCTGCAGGTCCAGGTCTTCTCCAGCTTTCCCCGGGTTTTCACGTGCCCTCCTTTGGGTATTTTTAAATGACTCGAGAGTGACTGTGTCTCCAGTAGGGAAGCATTCCAGGTAGAAACAGGACCTTTCCATAGCAATGTTCCTCTAACCCCAGCAGCATAAACCAAAGCAGCCCAATGGACCACAGCAAGCTCGGGATTTTAGTTTAGTTGTGTGGGTTTTCTCCCATAGCTTTAATAAACAGCATTCCCCAGGTAAATGTTTAGAGACAGATGGAGTCACGGCTGCCATGCTTTTGGGAAGCCCTACAGTTCACAAGTGGCTTCTGGGTCTTTTAATGGGTAGATATAGGTGAATTCGTCAGATATCTTGCTTCTTTATATAACACCATCCAAGCAAAGTGGCGGGTGTTGTCCATCAAATAGCTCTTAGCTACAGTCATTAGAAACTGTTTAGCCATTTTTAATTTGACTTTTTTGGTAAAGAAAAACTTGGCATTACAACTCCACCTGGAGAGGGTAGGGGTCTCCCCGGCAGTGAAAGGAGCTCACTATTTACTGAATAACGAATGCAAAGGTATCCACACTGATGGTCGGGGACGCAGACGGGTGGTGTCTCTTCCCTAAATGGGCGGCGGAAGCGTGTGGTGCCCTCCTGGCCCCACTGTGGCCATCCGTCCCCCAGGAAAGTAGCTGGGAGAAAGCCCCGGGCCTGTTTTCTGTTGCATGCCCTGCACGACAGCTGCAATCTGCCCTGGTGTTTATAGAATGAACCTTAGTAAAAAGTTGGGCTGCTGAGAGGAGGCTGCCAGAGGGAGGAAGATTTACAAGAGGCCTCCATGGAAGGTTTTGGAAGAGCACGTGGCGGGGAATGACGGAGGCAAATGCCTTCTCTGTGTTGTGCTGGAATGCTGGAAGGGTGTGTCTGTGCGTGCGAGGAGCACGCCATGCCACGCAATCATCACACGTGGCAAACGCATGGTCACCTGACAAGAGAGCAGAGACCGGCGAGCAGAGACCAGCGTGGGCCCGCTGGCAGTGCCGCAGCTCCACCCAAAGACGGAGTCGCCTGGATCAGTAGGCCGTGGCCTGAGATGAGGCCTCCTGATGGTGAGAAAGCTCCAGCAGCAATGAGGAAACTGAGGCACCGTTCTGGCATGGAGCCGCCTTCCCACCTCTGTGGCTAGGGAGAGGGATGGAGGATGGGCAGTGAATGGACAGTGCTGGCCAGCTCTGGACAGCAGGATGCATGCCGCCTGTCACCTGGTGTGGGTTGCCTTCCCTGGCACCCTCCCTCCTGCTCCTTCCTCTGCTCCTGGAGGCCGGTGGCTGATGGAGCTACCAACTGGTCTGCAGGCCACATCCTGATGCCAGGGCACTGCCAGATGCACCTGCGTGTCGGCAGCTTTGTGTGCTTTCCCTGCACTCTGTGTACAGCAGAACACTGCAGAGGGCTCCGGCCCACCCGGTAGTAAGTGTTAGACTAATCAACTGGCCAGGATAACTTCAAAAATAAAAAACCGAAGGGAGAGAGGAGCAGATAATAAGGCCACACCGGCACCGGGCCGTCAATTAAACTTTCCGCGGAAGACAACAGCCCGCGGCCATTTCCGCGGAAGACAACAGCCCGCAGCCGGGTGAACAAGGGCAGCGCTGGCTCCCACCCGGACTGCGCCGTGCGTGCAGTTCCGAGTGGGGCTGCTTGCCTGGCTGGGGGGAAAATGAATCAATTAATAAAAACAAATTACCTTTTACTAAGTTAAATAAAAGCTAATATAAATGAAGTCTCTGTGTACGTGGCAGATTTATGCTAACCATAACCATTCCATTCCAAGATGGAAACATTGTAATGTGATATTGAAAAAGATTGAATTAAACGTTAATGGATGCGACATTTGGTGTCAGGGACGGCGCAGCACCTCACACATGGTTACCGAGGTCACGAGTGGCTATTCCTCATGCATCAGTTTTCAGTGGCTGGAGGGGTTTGGGAGGAAATCTGGCCCCATCCCTTGGGGTCTGGGATCCCTCCCCACCCGCTCCACTGGCTTGGGGGGTTCCCGATCCGGCCTCTCCACGTGCCCACTGGGTCCGGGGCTAAGCTAGGGGTGAGGGGGTATCACAGCGAGGCTTGGCTGGAGGCCCCTGAGGACCTCAGAGGACGGAGGTGGACACGCAGGGAGCTGCCAAGCTGAAGCAGGAGCCCACGCCACTGTCACGAGGGAGGCCAGGTGGGAATTCAGGAGAAGGCCTGCGAATCTCTGAGAGCTCCCACAGACGGGACACAGCTTCACTCTCACCACATACAAACGATTCTGCGCTCTCTTGGCAAATGCATGGGAATTAATAAGCGGACCTTCAACCAGTTACACCAAGATCTATGCTCACTTGTGGCAGGAAGATAAACTCCATGAGTCACAGCAAGGTGGCCCGCAATGCTTGCAGACCTCCAACAGGAAATGCGACTAAAATCAGCACAGGCCGGCCGTTGCACTGCCTGTTGGCAACACAGTGGGGGCCGATCACCAAACCTGGGTCAGAGAGATACAGACGGCCGGGCTCACGAACCAGAGATCCTGAGAGGCTCTTCCAGGCTGCAGGGGGGCCCACACCCACCCCCCTCTTATTATGAATTAATTGTGGTTTGTTCTGATTTGAAGATGGCTAGTTTCAGCCAGGCTCATGAACCAGAGATCCTGGGTTCAAATCCCAGTGACTCCTCGACCTTGTTGAATTCAGGTTTCTGCACATCAGCCTCTCCTCTGTAAAGTGGGGGCACCACTGGTTTTCTTGGCGGCCCCCTGGAGAGTGAGTGAGTGAAGCCTGTGGTGTGCCGTCCCACGGTTCTCACTGCTGCTTGTTCACGGAGCTGGAGCTCAACTTGTAAACCTTCCAGCAAAAGAGAGACAGGGCTGACGCTGCCTCCCATCTTCTTACGATCCCTACAAACTCGCTCTCCTCCTCTTAAAATATACTCCCCAAGTGATGCATTTGATGGAGCTTTGGAAAACGGTGCCTGGTTTTGCTGTCTAGCTGCCCCTCCTCTCAGAGGCCGTTCCTGTCACTGCTGGAGGAGGCTGTGAGCACAGACCCGCTCCCAATGGGCCTATCTGGCAGGAGCTCAGAAGCAGCGGGACTTGCAGAAATATGCAGCCCTCCACACGTGCTGGAAATTAGTCATCATCACAAATGCGTCAGGGTAAGCAAAGAGGGAAGCAGAAGTCCTTTCTGATGGGATGATCGCAAAAGACACTAGCCATCTTCAAATCAGAACAGACCACAATTAGTTCTTAATAAGGAGGTGGGTGCGGGCCCCCCTGCAGCCTGGGAGACCCTCCTGTGTTCCCACCACAACCTCAATTCTACTCGCCCTTCAAGGCCCCTGGAGCTGCACCCCCGCAGAGCTGCACTGACCTGGGTTTGCTCCCTTCGCCCACTAAGTGCGGTTGCCTGTTTGAACTCTGAATTATTCCCTTCATTTTCCTGCCAGAGTGGGATGATTATAATCCTGCTTTCCCAACAAGACTGAAGCTCCTTCAGGTTAAAGACCTCTAATAAGCAGTACGGGGGGTTGTTAAGTCTTCAGGATCCGGGGCCTGGAAGCCTTGGCGTGCACTCTGATTTACCGCTTCCCTCCCGATGCTCAGAAGAAGGAAAAGACCCGCATCACCGTCACTGAGCTGCTCAGAGGATGAAAGAGGAAACTATGCGCCAAATGCCAAGCCTGGTGCCTGATCCATAGGCAGGGCCTGGTCAGCCTGACAACCAGCAATGCCAGAGCCCTCACTTGCTTAGCTGGTGCTTCACTCCGTGCTAAGCGCTGGCCTGACAGACAGCTCCCTTGACACACACACCACCCCTCCAGGAAGGCATCGGGGTTATCTCTACCTCACAGATGAGGACACTGAGGCACAGAGAGGCTCAGTGACTTTCCTGAGGTCACACAGCTATCAAGGGATGGATGTGGCATTTCAACCCAAGGGTGTGGTTCTGGAGCCTGGGTTCCTAGGCAGCACTGCCTCTCAGGGTCCAGCACCAGCAGGACTGGGCAGTCACCCTGTGCTGGGCTCTGCAGACAGTCCCACACAGGCGGCCTCCTGGCAACAATCTCAGATGCAGGTACTACTATCACCCCGCCTTGGAGACTGGAAGACAGATCAGATGGGTTGAGTTGGTGTCTCCATGGACATGGGCATTTCTGCTGGTGATGCCCACTCACCAGCACTGGGCAGAATAATTCCCAAAGAAGATGCTTGGTAGAAACCCGCAGGCAGATCAATGGATAGTCAATAGCCTAGAAACTGACACACGCAAGTCTGTGTGTCAGCAGGGTCTTGGGGAATCTCATACAATGGATCTGAGCCTTTCGGGGAACAGGGCCCATGTGGCCCAGCAGTTGGTGGGCAGAGTCGGCGGGCACCACTAATGCGAGGCAGTCATGTCTCAGGTGGGCATGACGAGGCCCTTCTAGACAGCGGTCAGGGCCCTGAGGAAGTGGAGGTTAAGAGCCCATCTCTGCACCTCAGTTTCCTCCACGTGGTAATGGGGATTATACCACCACCACGCAGTCTGCCTGTGAAGACACACTGGCGTCCTGCGCCCAGGAACTAGTGGCATTCGATTAAGGAACAACGAAAGAATAGACACCCATCTAGAGAGCAGCACAGGGTAATCGCCCTGCGATGCTGGCGCAGCAGCCCGAGAGGCAGCGCTGCCTGGCCAGTGCTATGAGCCCTCCTCGGGGTCGGGGCACCAGGGAGCCTCCTTGGGGAGCCTGAACACAGACCCGTCACATCACAATGCCTTTGGAGAAAATGTACCGTGAGGCTTAAGGAGTTAAGCATGATGGAAGGACAACAAATGTAGCTCCTTTGGTCAAAAAGGCTTTTGCACAGAATGATCAGAGGACCTCCCGCCGGCACCTGCATGTGCAGCTGCTGCAGCTGCCTCTAGACTGGAATCCATGGGTATAAAACCAAAGCCCAGAGGCTAGAAACACAGTGCTGGGAAATGACTGCTTCATGTCTAGAATGGAGACATCAAATTTTCTGAGAAGTCATTAAGTGTTAAAAGAGTGATTGAAGTCAGTTTTCAAAGACAGAGGCACACATCATCCTATGAAGGTCCCAAATGTTATTAAGCTTTTAAGCCCTTCTTCCTTGCGGACTGTGAATGGGATGCCAAGGGTCCAGAAATTTGTGGTGGAAACTTCCATTAAAGCACCTGGCTTCTAGGCTTTGGCCACTGGAGGGGTGATGGTCATACTCAGCGACTTACAGAAAGCCCATCTGGGGTGGTGGACAGGGCTTCATGAGTGTGCATCCTGGGAATGCATGGATGAATGGATGGATGAAGGATGGATGGATGGATAAATAATGGATGGATAGATGAATGAATGATGGATGAATGAGGTGGGTAGATGAATGAATGATGGATGAATGGATGATGGGTGGATTGATGAATGAATGATGGATGAATGGGTGATGGGTGGATGAATGGATGAATGATGGATTAATGGATGGATGATGGGTGGATGGATGAATGAATGATGGATGAAAGGATGGATGATGGGTGGATGTACGAATGGATGGATGAATGGATGATGGGTGGATGAACGGATGGATGATTGAACAACAGATAGGTAGATGAAGGATGGATGAATAAAGGATGATAGATGGAAGGATGAATGGATGGATAAATGGTTAGGTGGATGAAGGATGGATGGATGAGTGGATGATGATGGATGGATGATATATGGATGGATAGATGACAAATAGAAGGATGATGGATGAATGATGGATAGATGGATGGATGATAGATGGACGGATGGATGGATGATGAATCAATGATGGAAGGATGGATGGATGGACGATGGGTGGATGACGGATGATGGATGATGAGTGGATGACAGATGGATGATGGACAGCCTCATCATAACAGAGAATTTGGCCAAATTCCAGCCTATCTGATAACGTACCTTTCCTTTAGGTGGAACAGACTTAGCATAGGGAAGAGGTGGTTAAGAGCCCATCTCTGCACCTGGGAGTCCTCCACTTTATAGTGGGAATTATACCACCACCATGCAGTCAGCCTGTGGAGAGGCACGGGCTTCCTCGTCCTAGGAACTGGTGGTGTTCGATAAAGGGATGATGGCAGAATAAACACCCACCTAGTGTCCCAGACACAGTGAGTGAAGAATGAGCACTAAACCCTTGCAGTAGCGTCATGATTTCTTGCAAATTCTTTAGAAAACTGAGGGCCTTATCTGCATGGGGAAAATAGCGCCTGAAAAGGGATCAGGTAACCTGGGCTGAGGCATCCTCCCCGCACGGGGAGGCAGGCAGCTCCTGCCCCAGCCCCACACGAGAGGCCCATCCAGGGGCAATCAGCCCCAGAAGCTGTCTGGCTGTGTCTGTGCATTTGGGGGAGGGACCCTGAGGGGTATATGGGTTTTGTGAGGCACCTGCATGGGACGGAACTGAGAATAAATGAAATAAGAGGTAACTCAGCTAAAACGATGAACCCTGGACTGACCACGTATTTCAGGATGAAAACCATAAAATCAGACATATAATAGCTGACAAGAATAAGACGAATGGTGACCTTGAGTGTGCTGTTCCTGTCCTGAACACGTCCGACAACCCCTCCTTGTTCATTCCCTCCATGGTCCTACAGCGGCGCTGCCGTCATTCTCCTCACTTTGCAGCTCAAGGGGCTCAGCCACCCGCCAAGTTCCAAGGTCAGGAGTGAAGAAGGCAGGAATTGTGCTTGAATTCATCCTCCACTGGGGGGACTATAAACAAGTCTGACTCTTAAAAGCCGCCAGACACAAAAGTCTATAGGCCAGGCATGGTGGCTCATACCTGCAATCCCAGCACTTTGGGAGGCCAAGGTGGGAGGATTGCTTGAGGCCAGGCACTTGAGACCAGCCTGGGAAACACGGCGAGACCTTGTCTCTACAAAAAGTAAAAAAATTAGCTGCACAAGGTGGTGTGCACCTGTGGCCCCAGCTACACAGCCCCACAGGAGGTGGGAGGATCGCTTGAGCCCAGGAGTTGGCGGCTGCCGTGGGTTGTGACTGCGCCACTGCCTTCCAGCCTGGGCAACAGAGTGAGATCTCATTTCTAAAAACAAAAAGGGATTCCATTTACCCGAAGTTCAAAGTCAGGCAACATCTAGAAAGTTGGAATACAGGAATCTGGTTACCCTTTGGTGAAGGGATCGTGGCCACAAGGGGCCTGAGGGAGCTTTCTGGAAGGGCAGATGGAGTGTGACTCAAGCTGGGTGCTGGCCACACTGGGCTCTGCAGTCTGTGCAGAGCTGTCTGGTTGGGTACTAATCATGCCTGCATTTTTCAGGGCGTGCATGACATCCCAATACATTGAAAACACCCCATGTTACAAACACAGGACTCGCTGGAGGAGTTGAAAAGTTGACAGGCTGAGGGTGCCTGGAGCTCCTTGCTAGGACGAGGAGCCAGGGAGTAGGGGAGCAGGGGCTGTGTGGACAGCGAGCCCAGGTTCCCAAGAAGAAAGCAAGTGTGATCGCCAAACCGACACTCACTGACCTGGGAACGGAGCCTGGTTATTTTTAGTGCCTGCTCTCGGGCAGGGCCGCGGTTTGACATTGCACCCTGAGCCTGTGCTGCAGCCCTGTGCTATTACAATCAATCCGGCCTCTCTGAGGGTCTGATACTTTGCTTTAAAATAGCTCAGCCACTGAGCTTTCTGCCAGATGACCTTGTAAACTGTTTTCTGTGATGCTGTGACTCAGGGGGGCAGGTCTGAGGCAGATGTAGTTTCCAGGGCGGTGAGAACCTGCCGTTAGACTCCCCAACATGGACATCTGGCTTGACCTCTGGGGCTCTGCCTCCCGGTCTGTAAAATGGAAGCCGCAGCGGCATCTGGTGATGAGGAGTCGGA
This sequence comes from Homo sapiens, assembly GCF_000001405.40. Classification (NCBI taxonomy): domain Eukaryota; kingdom Metazoa; phylum Chordata; class Mammalia; order Primates; family Hominidae; genus Homo; species Homo sapiens. The sequence continues at coordinate 61,516,413 of NC_000020.11, read as the reverse complement.
GGTGATGCACATGAGCTCATGCAGCGTCCGACGGGGGCTCTGTATGTGTGTGACAGATGTTGGTCCCATGACTGCTCAGGGACCATGGCATTAATAGACGGGATGTAAGGAAGGAGCAGGAAGAGGAACAGGAATGGATTGCTCCTGTTAGGGTGGGGCCGGTGGCTCTGTCCCTGTTTTGCTTAGTCCCCAGGGCGGACACCTGCCGCAGCTTCTAGGGTAAGAGAGGTGGCCAGCGTCCCCTCCGGCCCACGGCCCAAGGGCCTGGCTGCAGAATTAAGTCCTGTGCTGCCCCTCTGCCAGTGCAACGCAGAGCACGAGGCGAGCCCCTGTGGTGAGGGAGCTGCCTGCCTGCGGTGGAATCGTATTGGGGGGGCGTTCCAGAGCCCAGGGGAAGATGGGGCTGGAGAAGTTCTGCATTCTACCCTGGAGCAGCCAGGAAACCAGGCAGGAGGGGTGAGGGATGGCAGGATAGACTGCGGGATGGGGGGGATAGACTCCAGGGGAACTGGGCAAGCCACGCGGGAAACAGAGAGCGAGCGAGCAAATGAGAAAGAGCGAGAGAACAAGAGCAGAGTGAGAGAGAGCGAGCTAGGAGAGTAGATTTCCGACAAGAACAAAAAAAGCCAGACGTGATTATTTTGCCTTTATTTGTAACTGGGCATCATAGCCTTCCTTCCCAGTCGTAGCTAAAAGAGAGGCAATGGCCAGGCGGGGTAGACTACACCGGAGCCCTGAATCTCATCCAGGAAGTGCTGGACATTTGTGCCTGGGACTTCTGTGTGGAGTGACACCTCTAACTGGTGGAATCCACAGGTCAATTACATCTTTACGAAGGCCACCTGGGAGGGAAGGAAGGGAGGGAGGGACAACCGACTCCCAACAGGCAGCTTTTGTAGCACAGAGGGGAAAAGAGAAAAGCCCCACACCATCCTTCTGCAGCCACCATGAGGAGGGTCCCCCTTCCCATCCAGGGAAAACCAGGATCTAAGCTGATGAGCCCAGGAGGGTCCTCACTGGCTTTGCAGGTGCAGCCAGCAGTGCTCCCCTATCATACATGCAGCTTTTGGGGACTGCGGCGTCCTTTCTGACAATCTGGGACCTGCAGGTTCCTGCTGTATGCTCACCGCAGGTTCCCAGGCCACATCGTGAGGGTGACCACACAGGGGAGTCCCCAGAACCGGGAGCTCAAATGGTGATGGACAGCAGCAGGGCCTGCCGGTGCTGGGCCACCCACAGATGTTAAAGCTTTTCAATTGTTTGCCAAAATGCAAAAGCAAGGACATTTTGCATTAAACAAAAAATTCCAGTTTTCTTCTCTCTGAACTCGCTACATGATCGTGAATGACAGGCTCTGTGCCTGGCACTTTGGCAGGAAACCGAGAAGAGCTGGCGTCTTGTTTTCAGGTGCAGGGCAGAGGCCCAGCCGTGCCACCCGCCCCCGCCCCAATGCCAGGCAATGGTGCAGGCAGGTGTGCCCTGGGCCTCCAGGGAGGTCCTGGGCCCTTCCCCCCACCCCATGGCTGCCGCCCAGGTGCCTTTTGTAGAAAACATTACAGTGATGACCTTCTAAATCCTCCTGCCCACAATTCCAGAGCTGTTCTTGAGACAATGAATATCGAGGCCCACATTCAATCTGTGTTTTGAGAGGCACAATAAATCTATTGGTCTCAATTCAGCTGCATTGCCAAGGGTCATGTCCATGTACTTATTACCAGCAAACCTCAGCCCCAGTGCGTATTTGCCTATGGCCCTTTGACAAGCCAGTGATGAGACAGGGCAGGGACCCCTTTTAGGGGCCTGCTAGGCCCCGCAACATGGAAATAAAGGAAAATCCTGAGTGCCTTCAAGGGAAATTCCAGGCACCCAGCGAGCCCTGAGAAGTAAATGAGTAACATGATAAAAGCGAGAAGGGAACAGTAGCCTAAAACAAGAGCCCCCCAAGGAAGTTAGAACCACAAGATGTTCGTTCCCTATGGAAACCCAAGATAACATCTTGATCTACATCCCTGAACTGTTTTTCAGAAACCTGGACCCCCACCAGACAGAAAATGCCAACCACTGTCACATAGACATCGGGGGTGGGGGTGGGGGGGGGCGGGGGGGGCGGACTGAGGCCTGAACCCTGACCCCCATTTTTTGTTCCAAAATTCTTCCTGAGGGGTCTGAAGAAAGTCATACCCAGCAGCCAGACCTTAGCATTCCTTTCTGATGACCTCAAGCTTTTAGACAAATCCTTAACCAACTGCAAATCAGAGAATCGCTGGATCCACCTATGACCTGTCAGCCCTCACTTCAAGATGTCCTTTTTAAGCCACATATTGATTTATGATTTTGCCTGTAGCTTCTGCCTTCCTGAGACGTGCCCCTGCCTTTAAAAACTCTTGCTTGTAAGCCAGCCAGGAGGTCAGGTCTCCAGTGGGCGTTGCCCATTCTCTCTGCTTGGCGCCCTGCAAATAAATGCCCTCCTTTCTCCCGCTGTGAAACTTTGGTGTGGACGCTTGGCTCTATTGTGCTGGGCAAGTGGACCCCAGATGGGTTCAGTAACAGTGACAGGGAGCAAGGGAAGATGCTGTGGGGCTCAGATGCCAGGCCCGTGGTGCCTGGGACAGGTGTCCAGTGAGTGGGTGGCCAGAGGGGCCTCCACTCTAGGGAAGGGGTGGTCGCTTCTCACCTGCAGCTGGTTACAGCTTCCTTGGGACACAGGTTGTGGTTGTCAGATGCTTTTTAAAATTGTGTTTCAGAGAAAAGAAAACTGGTCAATTTTCAGAGGTGAGACTGCTTAGAGGGAAGGTGGCATGGGTTAAAGCCCCAGAGAGCAATGTTGTTGCTAGAACACCAGGGAGCACGGAATTCTGGGCCCGGCTTCCTCCTTCACAGCCGTGCGCCATGGCGGCCTGGTGCCTTCTGTGCCTTGGTTTCCATCTGCAGCCTGGAGAGGATGGCAAGGATGTGGCCTGTGGGGTTGCTGTGAGGTTGGCATGAGATGAGCACAGAAGTTCTCAGATGCCCCAGGCCCTTTGTTAACATTGTGTAAAGTCAACAGAGGGTCCGTTCCAGAAGGAAGTTAGCCCCCGCAGTCGTGCTGGCCAGCTTGCAGAGACCGTGGATGTTCCCTTTCCACCCTGCGCCCAGCAGCCTTGTGGCATCACAGCCCGTGGGCCTGAGCAATAGCAACAGGAAGTCCCTGGGGCAGGAAGGGCCAGACCCTGAGACCTCCTGCAGGAGGACAGGGCTCCAGGCCAGATGGAAGGGGCCAATGGCAGCTGCTGGCTGTGTGTGCCTGGAAAGGGAGGAATGGACGGCCTACCTGTAGGACAAAATCCCACAAGGTTTCCAGGGAGGCACTGCTCATTGACAGCACGGCCTCCTTCATACACTTTGCAGTTAGAGGGCACATGTGCTTTGAAAATGGAAAAAAACAAAACTCTACGGGGGCTCTGATCCTACTGTTAACAATCAGATTTTCATGGACTGAATTTGTAATTGGCCCAAAAAACAAACAAACACACAAACTGAACAAGCTCAATCACAAATCCATCCATGTCCCTGTGAAGACTGAGAGGTCGGTCCTCTTTCAGGAATTTTCACTTCCTGTGCTCACAGCCATGAGCTTCCTCGAAGAGTCAGGAATGGACGTGCTCCTGGGATGTGCGTGCTTGTCATCAGCGGCGGCCCCCAAGGGCCACCTGCTGTAGGTCCCCAGGCACCACTGAGAAATGAGACGGTGAGTCCTGGAAACGCTGCCCTGGCATGTCAGTGACTCTTTGGGTGCCGGTGTTGGAACATTTCTAAGTGACTACTTATGAAATGATGTTTCCCCTCGCCCCATTCATCTCCCTCCCATGACCTACTTTTGGTCTTTTATAAGCTGGCACTTGTAGAACTAGGTCATGATGTGAGTGGGGCTTTGGCGACAGATGTTTTAATAGACTCAGCCATTTAACCTCCCTTTCTTCTAGGCCTTGGACCAGATGAAGCTTATTATGAAGTGGAAATGGGCGACCTGGAAGAGGTATGGTCGATTGAAATGATCGGGTCTCACTGTTTTCCATGCGGGACAATCCCCTTCCCGGGCCTGGCTATAAGAACTCTCGAGGTCTTTTCTTTGAGGGCCACACTCACATACACACTCCAATCACTGCCGTGGTTAACCCTTGAGAGATGATGACCTGGTGAGGCGACTGCCCACACAGCCTTGATTAGAGAGCGTTCAGGATCCATGGACCAAACCACCGGGCAGCCCAGGAACCCAGCTGCAGGACAGGAGCCTCGCCCCAGTTTACTACTCAGCATCCTTAAGAGCCAGCAAGCTCAACCACATCCCAGTAAACACACGGGCTTGATTACAGTCCTTGCAGGCGAGGAAACAAGAATAAATCAATGCGGATGGAGGGTGTTCTCGGCCTACTGTGAAATCTCAGGATCCCAGCAGGCGAGCTTCACAGTTCTCAGGGGCAGATAGAGGGGATTCTTTCTCTATAGGGATCTTATCAGGAATGTAAGAATTTTCCAGATATTTATTCTACAGTATACCCATGGAAAAAAATGAGTTTCACAATTTAGTGTATCAGTGCCCTCAGAGCAGGAAATCAATGCTGAGGACCAAGATATGGGAAGGCACCCAGGACGACTTAATCTTAGGCAAAGTGATTAGCTCTGTTTCTGATTAAGAGGCTCCAAGCTCTCTTAAACCTCTGCCAGACACTCGCCAAACATGAACATCTTCTCTCTCGTCTTTCTTTCTCCATCTAGAAAACGGCCACAAAGTCGCTTAATGCATACACATATTTTATGATTCACGAGCATATTTGTAAAATGCTATAAGTAGACTTAAGTGAGTGTTGGGAAGTACCCGCTGCTGGTCAAAGCAGAGAGAAGCTTCTTTGAGGATCTTTTTCTTAGTAGCTGCAGAGAGGGCATCTCTGAGTCTACTGTTTAGCCTCAGCAGTTTGCTTTAGGGGAAGGACTTTTTTAAAATGAATTCTGCATTATGGTGAAACACACAAGAGTTTGTGTGGCAGTGGGTGCAGAGCAGGGTCTTCCTGGCACAAGCCGTGGAGTTAGAGGGGCAGGAGGGGATGCAGAAAACGTAAGACGACTTCCAGGCCACTGGCCCCTAAATGTGGATTTCTGGTGGTGTGAAGTGGGGCTGACACTCCCCAGGTGATTCTAACGCGCACACATTCCAAAAGGCAAGGCCTGCTACTCCATGGATAACACGGTCCCGCCCTGCTGGTATATTCTACCTAATTCACTCATGATGTAGTTTGGATATTTGCCCCCAGCAAATCTCATGTTAAATGGAATCCCCAGTGTTGGAGGTGGGGCCTGTGGGGAGGTGTCTGGATCTGTCATGAATGGCATGGGCCATCCCCCTTGGTGATGATTAGGCTCTTGCTCTGAGTTCACAGGGAATCTGGTTATTAAAAAGTGTGAGACAGCCGCCCCCAACTTTCTCTCTCTCTCTCACTCCTGCTTTCATTTTGTGACATGTCTGTCCCCACCCCCTCACCTTCCCCCACCATTGTCAGCTTCCTGAGGCCACCCTAGAAGCTAAGCAGATGCTGGCACCAGGCATCCTGCAAAGTCTGCAGAACCTTGAGCCAATTAAACCTCTTTCTTTTATAAATTACCCAGTCTCAGGTATTTCTTTATAGCAATGCAAGAACAGCCTAATACAATTTTCAACCTGCCTCCTCTATATAATGGAGGGCACACCTTCCCGCCTCATAATCCCCCAAGCAAGTAATTCCCCAGCAACGCAATCCCCCAAGTAATCCCACTATGGGTCGTCAGCCACCAAGCAGTAATGGGAGCTACCTAGTCCTGAGGTCGGTCATCACCCCCGACACCCGTGGGCCATTCCTGGGGCAGTAGACAGTGGTTGCATTTTATGTGGAACGAATCTCTCTTCTTTATGGGATGCCATCAGCCCAGCAGGCATGCGGGCATTCCGATAGTAAACGTATCCTTCCAGCTCTTTGACAGAGGCTAAGGCAGGGGCTGGCCAACTCCAGCTTCCACACAAACTCCCATGCACCAGACATCTCCAGAGTCGGGCCTTGTGCCTTACATCACAATCCTCCTGGGCAAATAGAAACTCCCCTGAATGCACGTTCCTGGCCCCCCCAAAACACAAAGCACACACCAAGTAACATTCTCATGGGTGTCCTTTCCTGAGCTCCACGAGCGGGAGTGCTGAGCGCATAGATGCTGGCATATTGCAAATCACTAAATTTCCGGGTTGAAGCTCTTTCTGATCAGATTTTCAAACAACTTTAAATGAATAACACTCCACTGGAAAACACTCACAGAGTTACATAGACTTTCAATAGAACATTTCAAATGCTGAATATAGATGCAGCTGATATTTACAGCCATCTCCAAATGACATGAACCAGCCATTAGCTAACTTTACAATTGATTTTAATGAGAACCTTCGCCATATGGAAAAATCCCCCCACCCCTTTTCTCTCTTTCCCTTTTTTACCCCTAAAATATGAGGCTCTGCTCCATTACATCCTGAGATGCCAGCTGCATAGAGAGCTTGCAGCCACCAGCATCTGCCAGTGGAAATCCACTGTTTTCCTGAGACTTCGGTGGGGCAAGTGACCTCTGGACTGTCATATTGGACACCCAGACCCTGTCTGCTGACTGGTGCAGCCTCAGCCAAATCTTGCAAATTCAGCCTGTTGTTCCCCTTCCGTGGACTCTGCCACTCCTGTCCCTGACTTCTCCCGCCTGCCTGGCTTAGCCTTCAGCCCTGGAGTGTGGGCCGGCTGTGCATGCACCTCTGGCCTTGGCATGACGGTCCTGTCCCCCACCCTGGTACCCTCCTCTTGCCATGCTGCTAGGTGGCTGGGAAGAACCCTCCTCCCGCTCAACATTCACATGCTCGGCTTCCCTTAGGGCCCATCTCGAATGCCTCCTCCTCCTCCTCCAGGAAGCCTGGCTTGATACCCTCGACAAAGCAAGTGGCACTGATGCCTGTCTCACAGCTCACAGTCACCCACCTCCTGGAGTCACCAAATCATGGTTGCCCTTGTCCAGATCTCACTTCTCCCGTGTTAATATTCCCTGGGGCAGGATGAGTCCCTCCGTGGGCGGGTCCCTCTGAGGGCAGGAGGCATAGTTTAGGCGCTGGCTGACGGTGGGGCTCTGAGAGCTGGGGATTCTGCTTAGACCCTGACAAGGTGATTTCATTCATGCCCCAAGTCCTCTGCCGTCTCAGAGGACCCACCACAGACAGGCAGCTGGCTCTCCTGCTGCAGGATGCCACGGCCTTTGTGCCTGGGTCCACCCTACCATCTGCAGGGGTGTAGGGTTTGCTGCTCCAACCAGGCACAGTGAACCCCACACCTCCTCCAAAGACCGGCTTAGAACCCAGGCAGGTCCAGGTCCATGCTGCGAGCATGTACCACTGGGCGAGGCCTGGGAGAGAAGCTGCTCCTGCCCTGAGGATGTTAACACAGCAGCTGGTGCTGTGGAGGCAGAGTGGGGAGGGGGTGGAACCCAGCTTCCTGATTCCTAAGCCACTTGCCAACCCAGCCCAAGCCCTCCTTGCCCTCTGGGCTCCAAGCGGGAAGTTAGCATCATTTTTGTCCAGCCCTATCTGCCAGTAGAGCTTTCTGTGCTGCTCAAGAGCAGCTGAAGAAACTGCTCAAATCCCGGTGGCCACCCAGGCTGAGCCAGGCATTCCAGGTGGGGCAGCGCCTGGGCTTCACTGCCTGTCCTGAGGCCAGCCCTGCCTTCAGCACTGCTGCTTAGAAGCCACTTGGATGCCCCCTCCTGCCACCAGGTCCTCCTGAACACATGCCCCTGTCTTGGTTCTCTATTACAAACCCTGCCACAGCCTGGTCTGTCACCCATCACAGTGGGCTCCGCCACTGTCCACCTGCTCTGCTCAGGAGGGGGCCTTCCCAACCCAAGTGACCCAGCCACAGTCACCAGCTTCTCATTAGTGAGCTCAGGGCCGACCGCAACAGTCTTCAGCCAGCCAATGGGTTGGGGCTGGGGGCACCCGTGTGGCTGAAAGTGTGCACAGACACGAGAAGTGGCCCCGGTCACTGAGGACTGGCTTCTCACCCGGTGGGGACCTCTCCAGGCTCCTGTCCCCCACTGTGAGCATTAAGACCCAACTCAGTGGGGGGCACACATACTGCCTGGGACCTTCTGTGTTTTGCTACATAGAATCATTTGCATATTTACTTCCACTCTTAGGAGGCGGCAATGTCTCTGAAGTGGCATTTATTTACACACTGACTGATTGACCAAACACATTTTTAGGGACACGGGAAGCATGCTTATGTTTGTACAACATGAAGGGAAAATGCACGCAGCAAACTTGAATGCCCAGCATGGTCTCACTCTGCACGACAGTGCGCACAGAGACAGCAGGATACAACCCCATCCTGACAGCGACGTCTTCCCGGCGGTGGGGTCATGGGCGTTTTAAATTATCTTGTTTATACATTTTAAAGCGAGCCTTTTATTTTAGAATAGTTTTAGATTTACAGAAAAGTTGCAAAGATAACACAGAGCGATCCTGCCCTGTTTCCTCTGCTGTTTACATCTTACCTTAGTATGGAACACTTGTTAGAATAAGTGCCAATATGTTGTTATTAATGAAGTCCAGAGTTCATTCAGATGGCCTCAGTTTTTCCCCAATGCCTCTTTCCCGTCCCAGGATCCCACATGACATGGAGTCATCATGTGTCCTTAAACACCTCTTGGCTGTGACGGTTGCTCAGATTTTCCTCATTTTTGGTGACCTTGATGGTTTGAGGAGTACGGGTCAGGTATTTTGTAGGAGGTACCCTTTTTTTTCCTAGAAAAATCGTCTGTTTTTCTTAAAGTGAAACCTGGTGCCTGAGACACAGTGAACTCCACCTGTACTGTGGGTTTTACTTAAAATTTCCTCCTGCAAAGTACAGCAAACTTCTCAGAAGAGCAGCCCGGTCACGTGCTGCTGGCCAGCGATCTCCCGTGCTCCCGGAAAACCCTCCATCTCCATTTGGATTCCTGGCTTCCAATAAGAGCTAAAAATAAATCAAATCTACTTACAAAGTAGCTGTTGAGTGAGCTAATTTAACACCACGTTATCTGAAGACGGTTATTATAATCAAGATGGCTGCGCCTTGTTCTACCATCTCCTAATTAGATGTGGTACCAAAAGCTATTCTAGCTTTTAGAAAAACTACCTTTGGGGAAGATGTATATATTTATAGATGTCTGTTGTGTATATGTGTATTTGTATTTATTTTTAGTTGTTGCATCTGACTCAAGAAACTACATTCTGCTAAACAATCTCACACATGTTGCAAACTCATTTAGGAAAACAAAACACTCAAAAGTCTCAAAACGGGGCATATTTCACTGAAGCTGCACTGTTGGAAAGCCACCATGGTTACGAGCCACTGATTCGAGTAATTTTAATTCTTCCAGCAGCCTGGGGCATCCACAGCCTCATGTCTGAATAGGTGGACCTTGCTGTTTCCTTGCTCAAATCTGAGTATTCCAAAAATCTCCCGACCCACAGTGTCCATGGTTCCTTTCGCAAATGTTTAAACCCTACCCAGCACCACCCTGCAGCCTCTCCTTTCTCCCAGCAGTTCCCATCCAGAGTGAGTTAGACAGAGCAGGTCCCTCGAGACCCCCAAAAAGCCTCTCTTGAGTTGCTCTCATAACGTGCAGGTCGACCCTACGCTAGAGTTGGCTCAGCCTTTTCCTCCCCCAGCTCCTGCAGGCCGACTCATCTCTATAAGTAAATACAGCAACATGATCTGCACCTAGTAGGTACCATGTAAATATCCACTGAATTAATTCTTTGATACAATTAATTCTCTGATACAATTCTGCCCAACAGGCAAAGCTGCCAAAATGGAAGCTTAATCCTTAAGGGAGAAAGAAAATAATAATAATGTGGATACGATGTAATGTATTCAGTAGCGTATTCTTCAAATTTCTTTTACCAAATAGATCCCAGAAAGCCAGCTACAATTGAGAACCAGGTCACCAATGGTAGGAAATGTGAACTGAAGAATTATGCAACCAAACTGTTTAAACATTTATATTGCATTCGTAATGTTTCGAGTTTAAGGCTGAGCTATTACTGTAACTGGATTTTAATGAGGACAGAGAATTGTCTAGAGTTTTGTTTTTTGCATGCACCGCATATGCAAAGAAGATGCATGAGCGTCTTTACTCTCCACCGAATGCATACGTTTCCTAACTTGTCATTTTGAGAAAGATTCATTTCTGTCATAGTGTGTCTCACACACTGTTTACTCCCCTCTATGTAAATATTTAACGCAAATAATAAAGTCACTTTGGTTTTGTTCTCCACATTCAGAATTCTTATGGGGAGCAAATGACTCTCAAATCCCATCCAGTGTGAACTGCATTTGTCTAATTCAGCCACCATGTTTTCGTACCATCACCAGACTTCGAATGGACCTGGCAGATTCCTGCATGTCTGAGTTCCTTTCTCAACACATCAATAGAGATTTTCCACTTTTATTAATTGGGAAGAATGGAAACACTGCGTGGACCTTCATATACTGTGGGGCAACCAATAAACCCATTCATCTTAACATAAGCAGCGTGAGGACTGAATTTCCCTAAAAACACACGAGAACATTAGCGTCCTGGGAGTGAAGACTCTCATGTGCCAATTCTTTTTTCCCGCCAACTTGCAGTGAGCGACTGTGGCTTGCCAGGCAGGATGCCAAGCACAGGGTCAATCATGGATTCTACAGGAAAGAATAAAAACGGCCATGACCATGTCCCTTGGCCCTGGCACAGACCTTCCTAAGCAAGTGCTGAGTGGGGCACCAGCGTTAGGAAGGGTACTTTTTCCCTGGTCCACACTGACACTGGGGCCCCCTGCATAGTCCCAAAGCCCAGTGCCGCCTCCTCCATCTGCAGTGCTAATTTGTCTCCTTAAGATCACAGGCTGCAAAGACAAAAGAGAGTCGCCCTCAGAACCTTTCATTCCTGAACTTAACACTATGCTCCCATTGATTGGATTCCAAAGCGGGCCGTCCTGAAGCTACGCCTAACTCCTAGAAACGCTCTGAAGCATACTGAATCTGCATTCAGAGGGTTCAGGGTTCCTTTCCACCCTCTAGACAGGCTGGTAGCAGAATGCCAGGCTGATGACGGTGCTGCTCTCTCCTGCTCTCGTCTTCATTTAACTCTTTTTAGCCATCACTTTGCTGTAAACGGTGAAACACCCCACAATGAACCAAATCCACCCAATGAGCCTCGCTTGCGTCACCCACCTCCCTTCCCAGACATGAGTGAAAGCAGATGCGGATTTTAAAATAATCTCCACCAGGAAAACAGCCTCCAGCCCTACATCTTAAGCAAAATGTTAAAGAGCAAACAATGAACACTGAGCTGTGTAACGAAAGAGAAGCCCCCTCCCCAACATTTGCAGCGCTTTGAGTGGCCTGACTTTGCTGTTTCATCTTTTATTTTCCCCATTAAACCAGACACTTCTTCTAAATCAAGCCCTTGGAGAGGAAACGGTGAAGGTGATGAGGACGCGTGTACGGGTATGGAAGCGGAGCGTGTGCTTTCTGACCAACTCTGTGCCGAGATCAAGGGTAGTGCCACCACGCACAGCCATCAGGAAAGAGTCCATGTAATTGTTCTTCTGGTACCAATTTAGGCCATTAGTCAGATTTGCATGTGGCAAAGACGCTGTCACTGCAACGTCCAGATTGTGCCTGACATGCAGGTGGGGCTGGATGTTTAACGAGGGGCTGGGGCCTGGATCCTCCGCTCTGCTGAAAAGCAGCCACCACACGTGTCTGCGCCTGGAGGAATGCGGTCAGGATGAAACGGATCCATTGCCTACGGTGGGATCTTGGGCAGTCACAACCTCTATGGGCTTCAAAAGCCACCCCCTGCCCCCCGTTGAGATCCCCTGAGTTAAAGGAAGAGAAGGCCCAGGATGTCACCACAAACACCCCACCTCTATCTAAGGTCATGTTTAAGGAGCCATCCCAAGCATCATTTTAGCTGTAGATGTGTCTCTGGAGACAGTGAGAAAAAAACCACAATCCGAACATCTGAGTATCTAATAGGCTTCCTTGAGAGAGGAACCTCCTGAATTTCAGGCTAAGCCAGCCTCAGCCATAGGAAGACATGGGCAACACAGAGGGCAGCAGAGGCTCGCGCCCCAGTGTGTGGCCGGCCACGGAGCCAGCCCCGTTGGAACAGGCTCCAGTCTTCAGTACTACCTGCGGGATCTGAGGCACAGAGCTCTGAGATCCTGAAGGCCCTCCAAGAAAGTTGCAAATAGTGAGGTCCTTGTTCCCAAGACAGGCGTGCCTCGGTCCAACAACAGGACATGGGGAAGGCTGCTGTGGTCTAGGGATGGCGAGTGGGATGGGGGCGTATCTCTGGCCCCTATAGAAAACCAGACCATAAGCAAAGGCCTCCTTGGCCGACCTGGCTCATGTTCTTCTCCCTGTTTGGGTGAGCCAAAGACGCAGAGTTCAGACAGCAAAAACACCTTCACGCTGTGGGAACAGATGCCAATCCTCAGATGAAATTCACAAGAAAATTGTGTCCACTGTACCCACAGGCTTGACATGTTAATAACATTCAATACAAATTGTTTAATAAACAGTAATTATGTAATTTATATCATTAGTTATTAATAATTTAGTTAATGATAAATAAGAATTATCCCAATGCATAGAGAATGTGGCTCATTCTATGTTGGAGTCAATTACCCTAAAGCCAAATGTTATTCCCTGAATTCAAGGTTAAAGTATGACCTATGTCCTTATGACATATTACCTCTAACATATGACCTACATCCTTCTGTGAGACTTGAGGAGATTTAGGGTCAGTGATGACCCGACGCCAACATCCAGGACACACTTACTCTTCAGCATTCATGATCCCAAATACCACACTCATGCCGGACAAACATCTGGGTTGCTTTTTCAAAAGAAATTTTCTCTTCACTTTCAGTAATGCTGGCTGATTATCTTTACTTTTACGACCCCTTTTCCTATTTTCCCTTGTCCTTTTTTGAAAGCATATCCTTCATATTTGCAATGTGGAGCAGCTGATTGAAGATCTAATGGATGCTTGCCTGACTCACCTGTTGCTCCACCTGCAACTATGAACGGACACATTTCCTGTGGGCCCACGTTGAGCTTCTTCTCTCCCCAAAGACCTCGCCCTGATCACGTATATCCCGTTTCTTAGAGCCAGTTGTTCCATCCACAAACACCCCAGGACATTTGCAGCCCAACCCCAGGCAAGGGGCCTCCTGCCCAGTCCTCATCAAGGTCTTGCTGGGAGGAGTACCCAGCACAGTATTTACAACGCGTCTATTTTTTTTAGGTATTCTAGGTTCTCCCTGGGATTCCATCAAGCCAATAAAAGAATATTCATTTAGGCATAATCATCTTTGGCGTGCAGAAATGCTCACGGTGAGCGACACTTCAGTGTGATCCCACTGTTTTAGTAAATAAATTGCCCCAACAACCACAAGGAACCCTCCACTGTGTCTTCTCCAGAAATGTTAAGAATGTGGTTTAATACATTATTTGATGTCTCCAATTCAGGAGCCCCAGTACAGAGTAATTCTTATGCAATAAGCTAGTTCTGGTAAGAGTAATTTCTGCCAGTAACAAAAAAGAAAATAACGGCAGTTTCTCCTTCGTGATGTTGGCGACTGTTTTGAGTGCTCTTATTTTCCTCTATCCTTTGGACGCCAGGAAGCTCACAGCTAAATATGAGTCTCACCAACACTGACAAATTGTGCAGTATCAGGGTTAGAGGGAAGATTTTCCACATATGACTCAGGAGCAAAGGGAACACTTCTTAACCACACAACCACAGACAATGTTGCATCTGTAACTCCTCTTTCAATGAGCTGGAAAAATAATCTCTAGCTATGTATTTTTAACATTTTAACCCAAAACACTTCTTGAACCAGTGGCTACACCAAGAGAACAACCTTTGCCTCATCAGAGGCCAGTCCCAGGACAACCCTGGGAAACAGAAAGCAAATTCCCAGAAAATGTTAAAGATTTAGAGATGGAAGCTTCCAAGCTACACTCAGGAAAAACGACAAAGTAGACCACCAGGCTGCTAAGATGGGAAAAGCACCTTACAGCAGGAGCAGGTTTTGAAGTTCACATTGAAACTCTGTGTTCTATCTCATTTGGGCCTTGTAGATGCTGCATTGGAGCAGAGAGTCATCATTTCCTATGATGGTTTCTCAGGTTAGATCGTCCACGTCAACTGCTTTTTTTCTGGCTCACTGCTTAGCTATCTCATCCCACCCCTGTCCCCCACTCCACTTCTTCATTTGCACAAGTTTGACCATGAAAGATCATGCAATGCCATCAGTCTTGGAAACTGTGACCCACAGCCCTCACGCGCCCACTAAAGGGTAACGGCCTGGGCTAACGTGCCCACTCGGTTCATCTTACTTTACACGGGGTCCTCACTCAGGCATTCCTCAGAGGAGCTGGGGGAGTGGAGAACATGTTCTCGCAGGCGCAACAGGTATATACAAGGACACACGTGTCCAGCGTTAGCACCGGAATCACTTACCTAGAAAGGAGAGAACAGAAAAGTTTCATTAGTCGCGTCTGGTGGTCCGTCCCATAATGAGTGGCTCCCTAACGAATGGTGGAGGCAGTGGCGGGGTGGTGCTTGTGAAGATAGCTAGTATTCCAGTACCCTCTTCTAGTTCACAGGGCACGGCATGCTTTCCGGAACACGCTGCTTCTGTGTGGCCTTTGAGTCTCACCACAGCTCTGTTAGGCAACTGGAGTCAGCGTCTCCGGGCCGCAGAGATGCAGGCCCAAAGGTTCTGAGATTCAGCAAGGATGAGGGGGCAGAGACGGCAGCAGCCGTCTCCTGAATCTCAGCCAGGCCTCGTTCCAGCTACATCGCTCACCTAATAAATTCTTCCCACCTGGACTCTCCGTGGCCAAGTACGTAGCCAGGTAAACACCAACACTTTTCAGCATTTCCCAAGCAGGCCACACTCCATTTGTCTCAGTCACCCCAATGCTCTCTCTTTCCACCCGTCTCTAACCGCTGTTCTGCACGGAAGCCAGAGGCAATAATGTATTAGCTGTATTATCGCAGGCTGCAGGCTTCAAGGAATGATTGCCATTTAAACTATGAAGCTCTAAACATCAGATAAGGAGACTGGAGATGGCGGATGGCAGCGCCACCTCCCCCAGCCTGAGTCTATTGTAGCTCAGAGCAGGAGCGGATGTGGCCTGTTTTGGGCTCTACAGAAACATGTTTCTGGTCTTAACCAGAGAAGACCTTGGAAATCATGAACCGTCTGTCGGAGAAGAAAGTTCTCTCCTCCCCATTTCACCAGAGCCATTCCCAAGGGCCTGCCTGCTGTGGACACAGGAATGACACGATGTCAAGGAGAGATATGCTTAGCACAATGCTGCAAAGAGAGCTGAGTGCTCAGGAATTTGAAGAGTTTCCATTTCCTGCCTCCACATCAAGAGCGGCTGCGTGGGCCTGAGGGCATGCCTGCACTGGGGGCTGGATGTCCCAGTGCCAGTTCAACCTCAAGGCTCATTCTGGATGGGCTGTGAGGCTATACGTCAAGTACTTGACACGCCAACGATATGAAGGAAACAGGATTTATAAAGACTAAATATTAACATGCACAGAAAATGCCTCTGCCTAATGCTGCAGAGACAGTTCCTCTTCCCATCAGTCACACAGCCCTACCTTCTTATGATACGCAGGTGTCTGTGCCTCTCAGAGGTCTTTTCCTCTCTGTGTCTTGAGAGGAAAGAGCACACATTGCAGAATGCAGACATTCCCTTCCTTCTGTGTTTTCCCAGCACAACAAATATACCTGGTTACTCAAGTCTCTTTGCAGTGAGCTGCAGGGCCTGAGACAGGACCCAGAGTCGGCACAGGCAGCCACCCAGGTGGAAAGACACTGCATTTTGTTTCTCTCCCTCTCCACGCCCGTGATGTGGAATTGTAATGAGCAACTACTGGGGACTCTGTTCCCAAACAAGCATCTTAATTCACGCTGCAATTCCGAACGCGAGTGAGCAATGGCTTTATAATTGGTGATCATTGTGCACGTGGCTGCCTTGGTGCCCATCCTTTATCAGCACCGTGCATCCTCTGAAAAATTTAATTTCCATTTCCCAGTGCAGCTTATGATGATACTTCCATTATTTGACAAACACAACAGTAGTATGAACATGTTACTGACACACGGGACCATCCCGAGGCCAGGGGACGCCCTGCTCCATTCGGCTGGGCCTCCTCCTCCTGGCTGAGGATGCCACAGTGATTCCGACAGGGAAGTGACAGCCCTCACACCCAGCGCTGTTGTCATAGCAACAAGAGTCATAAAACTAATAATAATAGTTCTCATGGCCTAGCGCATGACTCAGGGACATGTAAGCTGCGCCCGTGCCTCCTGGGTGCTTTGCATAATGGTGCCACTGACCCTTCCAACCACCCCTGCCACAGACAGAATCGATGCCCACATCTGGAGGGGAGAAAACAAGGTTCCATGGTACAGGCTGGGGGAGTGCAGGAGCACTCAGAGGTATCCGGCTCAAGGTGCAGATGAATTCAGGGTCTCCTCATCGTCCCCAAAGCCTTGCTCATAAGCCCTGTTCCTGGTGTCTGCTCAGCACAGAGGTGAGGAGCTCAAGGTTGACACCCCCGTGTTCCTGCCCTCATGGGATGGCAGGTGGCACTGGCCTGCGTTTGTGGGCTGGGATCTGTCCTGTGTCTGCAGGCTGAGGTCTAAATTCTGGCTTGGAGCCCTCCTCCCTGTGTGACCTCAGGGACACTGTCTGAAGCATCAGGGCCCAGTTAGATAAAGAAGTGGCCCACAAACAACCCTAAGCCCCCCTAGCACACTCACACTTGCCTTCTTTAAAGCAGGGTAGAAAGGAGGCGCTGAGAATGAAGTCACAGCTGCCGTTCATCGAATCCTTGTTCTGAACCAGGCACACCTGCACCCCAGTCCCGCATAACCTTTAACAGGGCAGAGCAAGAGGCACTGCTATCCTTCTAGGTGGCGAAACTGAGGCATAGGGGATGAAAGTACCTGGCCAGAGTGAGCAGCATGAAGGTCCGGGGCTGTGCCCCCAACCCAGATGCTCCTGACTGCCTGACGCTGAGGATGAGTGGGCAAAGGTGCCTACTGGCTTCCGCAACCAGGGCTCCAGGAGCTACGAAAACACAACCACAGGCAGCCTGACCTCCACAGCCACAGTGCAGGGAGGCTCAGGAGGGACCTGGGTGTCCGAAGCTCCTTTCCATGAGCAGTGAGGACCACCGTAAGCATGGAAACCTGCCCCCGCCATGCAGCCTGGAGGCCATGCTCCCGGCAAGTCACAATACGCCCCCATCTCCTACTCAAGGCTCAGGACACGTGGGGTTCTATCCTCTACTGGAAGGAGACTCATTCCGAGGAGAGAAGCTGGGGCTGAATGCTAGGTTCCCTCGTCCTTTACAGAAGACAGCTGGAGTAAAGGGCTAGGGCAAACTCATCCCACCTGAGGTCCTCAGAGCACTTGCGGCCCAGGACGGCTTCGAATGTGACCCAACACAAATTTGTAACCTTTCTTAAAACGTTATGAGATTTTTTTTTGCGATTTTCTTTTAGCTTATCAGCTATCTTTAGTGTATTTTATGTGTGACCCAAGACAATTCCTCTTCCAATGTGGCCCAGGGAAGACAAAAGATTAGACCACCCTGGACAGAGATTCTGGAGATCCTGGTTAAACTACGTGTGTTTTTTGGGAGGTCCTCCTGTGGCCCTGTGAGGTTCACCTGCAGATTGTAACAGGAAAGGAGGGTCACTATGTGATCCTGGAGGTTCCTCTTCAAATTCCATGTTATTTTTATATTAAGAGTGGATTTTTAAAAATTCAGCAGTGAGTAGACAATTCTCAAAGGTGTCACCGGAAGTCGGAGCTGTTTGTCTCTGATCTGAGTGTGTATAGCATTATCGATTACACTATCAATACAGTTCCATGGCAGGAAGAGTTTCAGTGTACACTGTGGTCATCTGAGCTAGAACATTCTGAAACTCCTTTTTCAATTAACTGGAAAATCAACCGGCCAACCGGTGGGAACACCTCACTAGTCTTGTGTGTTTATTTGCCCATCCGATCTGGTCTTCACAAGCTGTGGCCTTTTTTTTTTATTATTATACTTTAAGTTCTAGGGTACATGAGCACAACGTGCAGGTTAGTTACATATGTATACATGTGCCATGTTGGTGTGCTGCACCCATTAACTCGTCATTTACATTAGGTATATCTCCTAATGCTATCCCTCCCCCCTCCCCCCACCCCATGACAGGCCCCTGTGTGTGATGTTCCCCTTCCTGTGTCCATGTGTTCTCATTGTTTAATTCCCACCTATGAGTGAGAACATGCGGTGTTTGGTTTTTTGTCCTTGCAATAGTTTGCTGAGAATGATGGTTTCCAGCTTCATCCATGTCCCTACAAAGGACATGAACGCATCCTTTTTTATGGCTGAATAGTATTCCATGGTATATATGTGCCATATTTTCTTAGTCCAGTCTATCACTGATGGACATTTGGGATGGTTCCAAGTCCTTGCTATTGTGAATAGTGCTGCAATAAACCTACGTGTGCATGTGTCTTTATAGCAGCATGATTTACAGTCCTTTGGGTATATACCCAGTAATAGGATGGCTGGGTCAAATGGTATTTCTAGTTCTAGATCCTTGAGGAATCGCCACACTGTCTTCCACAATGGTTGAACTAGTTTACAGTCCCACCAACAGTGTAAAAGTGTTCCTATTTCTCCACATCCTCTCCAGCACCTGCTGTTTCCTGACTTTTTAATGATCGCCATTCTAACTGGTGTGAGATGGTATCTCATTGTGGTTTTGATTTGCATTTTTTCGTTTTTCTTTTTTTAACAACAACAAAAAACCCCAAATCTTTCAGTAGCCTGTGATGTATATTGTAATCCCTAGAGCAACCCCTGAAACATAGTGCAGAGAGGTAGAGCTAAAAATCCTATAGCTAAATTAACATAGAATTCTAAAACAAATTAATTAACACAAGAAAGGAGAGAAGCAGGAAAAGAGACATCACAAACAGAGCAGAGCAAACAAAAACACAAATACAAGTGTTAGACCCGACTCCACCCCCACCAGTAACATACCAGAAAGTATCAGGAATCCTGTTACAAGGCAAGGGTTGTCAGAAAGGATGGGGAAAAAAATCAAGGTTCAAAGACATGCTGTTCACAAGACACACACTGTGAGTACACAGACAGGTGGAGAGTCAAAATATGAAAAATACCATGCCAATGGTGAACGTAAGAGGCTTATTCACGGCTGATATTAACATTGGATAAGAGAGACTTAAGGCAAGATGTTTCACCAGGAAAAAACAAAAAGCAAAAAAAAAAAAAAAAAATCAATCCCCAAAACAAACAAAAAAAAACACCTGCCCACAACAAGATTTGCACAAGAATGTTCTCAGCAGCTTCACCCATCATAGCCCAAGCTGCATGCAGTATTTTCATTGGAAGAAGCAGAGCCAACATCAAACCAAGCCTACAGCACATCCAAAGAACACAGCACAGGCAAAACCATAGTGAAGAAATCACAGCAGTGGCTGCTCTAGGGCCAGAGGAGGGGCTGACTGAACAAGGATATGAGAACTTTCTAGAATGATGTTCTGCATCTTGATTGGAGTCTTGGTCACCCAAATGTAAGCATTTGTCAAAGCTGAGGGAATGCGTGCCTAAAATGGATGGCTTTTTCTCTAGGAAATGTTGCTTCATTAATGTAAATGAATATTGAACACTACTGAGATACACACAGAAGTGTTTAGGTGTGAAGTATACTGACGTCTGCACTTTTATCTTGAAACGCATTGAAAAGTAAAATGGATACAGGGATGGGCAGAGGATAGATATGGGATGAAGGAAACACAGGAACATGTGAATTTTAGATTTTTTTTTTTTTTGAGACAGGGTATTGCTCTGTTGCCCAGGCTGGAGTGCAGTGGCGTGATCGGCTCACTGCAGCCTCAACTTCCTCCTGGTTCAAGTGATCCTCCTGCCTCAGCATCCTGAATACCTGGGAATACAGGCACACACCACCATGCCCAGCTAATTTTTAATTTTTTTTTGTACAGACAGGGTCTCACTGTGTTGCCCAGACTGGTCTCAAACTCCTGGCCTTAAGTGATCCTTCTGCCTCAGCCTCCCAAAGTGCTGGGATTACAAGAGTGAGCCACTGTGGCTGGCCAATTATAAAATCTAGACAGTGGGTATATAGATGTCCGTTGTTCAATTCCCTCAGATTTTCTGTAAGTATGAAAATTTTCATAATGAAATACCTAGAGAAAAAAATGTTCGAGGAGCTTTCCCTTGCATGGCACGGCACCTGGACCTTCCCTTCCTCTCTCCTGCTGTGTGTCCCTGGCTTGCTGCACTAGACTCTTTTTTTTTTTTTTTTTTTTTGAGATGGAGTCTCACTCTGTTGCCCAGGCTGGAGTGCAGTGGCACTATCTCAGCTCACCACAACCTCCACCACCTGAGTTCAAATGATTCTCCTGTCTCAGCCTCCCGAGTAGCTGGGATTACAAGTGCTTGCAACCATGCCCAGCTAATTTTTATATTTTTAGTAGAGATGGGGTTTCACCATGTTGGCCAGGGTGGTCTTGAACTCCTGACCTTAGGCGATCCACCTGCCTCAGCCTCCCAAAGTGCTGGGATTATAGGCATGAGCCACAGTGCCCGGCCTGCCCAGGACTCTCTTACCTTCTTTCTTTCTTTTTCTGAGACAAGGTCTTGCTCTGTCGCCCAGGCTGCAGTCTCAGTTTCTTAAGTGGCCATTCCCACCTCAGAGCCTCATCTGTTTCCTGCCTCCTCCCCTGCTGGGCAGTCCCGGGCTGCCCTGCAGCACAGCTGCTACCACCAAGGAAGCCTTGGGCGACCTCTCAGGATAAGCGGGGGGCTGGCGGCGGGGGGAGGGGTTCCAGGCTCCATGTGGCTGGACTCCCTCCCACAGCTCCTCCTGGGGGTTCGTAGGCTGTGCTGTAGTTAACGAGGGGAACGTCGTGTTCGGCTCCCCCTCAGGTGCCTGAGCTCCAGGGCCTGGGACATGTTTCTCCTGGTTGAAGGTCTAGGTCCAGAACCATGCCTGACACATCACAGACTCAACATTAAGTCCTGAATGAAACGGACGAGGCCACCGCCGCCTTCTGGTCCTCATACCTCAACAAATAGCATCGGCTCCTACAGGATCATGTTAATTTATTAAAACAGCTGTTTGGGGGCCCTGCCCTTGTTCTCCTGCCCCTGCCATGGGCCCCTGAACCTTGAACTCAGCCCCTGTTACTCCCACCATGCAAGGTGGCTCCCTGTGGATAGTCCTCTTCCAGCCTCAGTTTCCCCAGTGCAGGGCATGGCATCTGGCGGAGGGCCCACGCCAAAGAGTGCAGGTTGGGCGAATGAATGTCAGCTCAGTCATTTGCAGCTGATCACAATAGGCATGCACGAGGCGCTACCACACTCAATCACAGCCTCAGATGCTCCACCTTCCAGGAGAAAATGATAGCTAGAGAAACAGATAAAGAATTCACAAAATAGCAAATAACGCCAGTTTTCAATAAGTCCCTTTCTCTCCAATGCTTTGTTATCCAAAATTGATGCCTTTGACTAGATGTCTCTTAGAGAAATTCTTAACTGCTATGTAATAAAATCTATTAGAGAATAATTCAAGTTCTCTCACATATAGATTTTTGTAGATACAGAATGTTTTAGAAGAATTATTCTCTCACACATATTTTATTAAAAAGCCTGGTGCTAAACATCGCTCTTCTTGAAACAAAATTACTACCTGCAAGGAAATAGCTATTTTGGAGAGAAAAAGAAAAGCCTTCCAATTGAGCCCTTCTGTATTTCATTATGAGTTGTTTGTTAAGTACTGAAAGGATAATGGATAACAATGCATTTGTTAAATGAAAAAACTTCAAATATAAAGATTCATTTATGGGTTTCTTTCATAGCAGCATATGATTTTCTAAGTCTATTCAAGTTGATAGATTTCAGCGATTTGCACAGTATGCACGAGCAGAGGTGGGGGTCTCCTTATTGAGTTTAGAGAAAGGAGGATGAAGGCAACATTTGACACCAAACTTCTCTCGAGTTTGAGGATGAACAGCAGCCGTGATTTTAAGTCAGAACCTGGGACCCAGCCTCCAGAACTTGCAGGGGCTCACACCCAGCCCGGCTCGGCCCCACTGAGCGCTCCTGTCTCCACCTGCTCCTGGAGTTGTGTGTGATGAGCAGCAGTCAGACGGCCATTTTCTCCCCAGCCTGCTCTTTGTCTGGCAGTGTGGCTGCTGAGCTGTCACAACAACACAGACCTGGAGAGTCCGCTCCAGAGTGTTCAGGTCTTGCTTCAGGGGGAGGTTTGTGGGGGACACTGAGGACCATGGGCCAGGCTCTGAGGGGCATCCACCTGCCTCCATGGCAATTTGTACGGGCCACTGTTCTCCCAGGACTGGGGTGGGGGCCACCTGTAGCGGAATCCACACTGGGTCTGCTCTCTTTCTGGAGGGGGTCACCCTAGAGGGTTGGGAGTGAAAGTTTATCATGACTCTGACCTGCATTACCATCCAAGAAGACTGGCTAGGGAGGCATGAGAGGAGGGGAGAGGAAGGAAGACTAAACCAGACAAGACCACTAGCCCCAAGATGGAGTGGGAATCTACCCTGTGTGCAGCGGATATCCCCCTGGGAACCTGTCTCCTGCAGGGAGGCACAAAGCGACAGGCTGCCATTTTATCTCACTGGCAGCCACCAGCCATTGTGAAGGAGAAGAGCCGGAATGGCACACGGGTTGTAGCCGTAGAGGCATTGCCTAAGGCAGCGCATCAGCACCCACTTTCCAGCTTGTTTCCTAACAACTTATTTTTATGGGGCAACAGAGGTGATGACCTGCAGAGGGGAAGACTGCTCTGTAAGAAGCAAAAAACTCAGAGAACTAAAAGGTTACTTGTGGGCATTGTCCAGGAGAAGCCAAACAGATCTCTAGGCCAAGCAGGGCATAGCACGCTTCACATATGATGGAAACAAATCTCTAGGCTAAGCAGGGCATAGCATACTTCACAGACAATGGAACTCCGGAAAGGCCCACAGCGAGTGTGGGCTACAGCACTGACACAGGCCTGTATTCTGCGTCTCCTGGAAAACAGTCAAGAGATAGAAAAGTCCACTTTGGTCAATTTCCAGGAAAATTCCTGAGCTAAAATTAAATGGGTTTGAGTGACTTTATTAGAGTCTAATTTACGTACTTCATTCAAACCTACTGGGCTCCACCTACTTCTCTACCATGGGCAAATCCCAAGCCCTGGTTGACCATCCCAGGCTGACAGGCACGACAGCTCAAAGCTGAAAATGATTCTCCATCCACCTCCACTGCCAACTTGGCTCATCCCTCATCTTTCATGGCTGCTTCAACTTGCCATCCAGGTTTTGGCTTAACTGTGGACTCCCCAAAGTGGTCTTCTCTGACAATACTATTTAAAGTAGCCCTTCCCCAAATGTTCTATACTATCTTTCAATATTTAATATTTTGATTCTGTACATGGCACTTCTTGCTTCCTGATATTGTCATTGTACATGGACTTGTTCATTATATGCCTGGCCCCCACCCCAGACTGTGAGCTCCATGAAAGCAGACATCTCATCTGATATTTTCACCACGGCATTGCCAGTCCAAATCACGCCTGACACAAAGCATGCCACCATCTATCTGAGTCTTCATCAGGAAAACAAACTTGCAGAGAGGCCAGCCAACACCAACATCACTATCATCAGCATCAGGAACATCAGTACCGCCATCAACATCAACAATGACACCACCAACATCAGCATCAAGAACATCAACATCACCAACATCAACAATATTGACACCACCAACATCAGCATCAGCAACATCAATACCACCACCATCAACACCACTAACATCAACAATATTGACACCACTTACATCAACACCACCACCATCAACATCAACATCACAAACATCAACAATATCAACACCACCTACATCAACACCAACATCAACACCACCAACATCAACAATACTGACACCACCATCAGCATCAGCAACATCAACACCACCAATATCAACAATATCAACACCACCAATATCAACAATATCAACACCACCAATATCAACAATATCGACACCAACAACATCAGCAATATCGACACCACCAACATTAACAATATCGACACCACCAACATCAACACCACCACCATCAACACCATCAACAATATTGACACCACCATCAGCAACATCAATACCACCAACATCAACACCACCATCGACAATATTGACACCACCAACATCAACACCACCAACATCAACAATACTGACACCACTTACATCAGCACCACCAACATCAGCACCACTAACAGTATCAGCAACATCAGTACCACCAGCATCAATAATATTGACAACACCAACATCAATACCATCAACATCAATACCACCAACATCAACACTACCAGCATCAGCACCACCGCCACCAACAATGGCACCACCAACATCAACACCATTACATCAGCATCAACATCAAGAGCAATGGCACCAACATCAGCAACATCAACACTACTGACATCAGCAGCAAGAACATCAATACCACCAGCATCAACATCAACACAACTAGCATCAATACCACCAACGAAAACAGAGGAAATATATGTACATGGGGCCAAAACAACAGAGAGACAATGGCAGACTTGTCTTAAAATTTCACTTTCTTCAAGACTGCATCACAATTTTTGCGTATCTTTAAATCACAGTTTGTATCTTTAATATTCTTTCCATTATGTAAACTCTCCATGGTGCACAGTTGTAGGCACCCTTTTGTGCTGTCTTCCTTTGTTCCATCTTTTCCTTTTCACTAGCCCTTAGTTGTGAAGTTACCAGCATCACGAGTCATACACAGCCTGCTCAGAACACCTGTCCTGCAAATGCTCGGGGCTAGAGCTCTGTACTGTCCACCTTGGCTGGAGGTGATGAACTTAAGAACCAAGATTACAGCCCAACCAAGTAACCTGTGTGGAACTGGGCATGTTGAATCTAAGCTGCCTTGGCCCAACTTAACACAGAGAAAACTCTCCTGAAAACCAGTGTGCTATCTTTGGGCTTATCCACACTATGCGCACACTTCTAATTAGAAAACCCAACATAAGAAAGAAAACAAAACCCTGCTATAATATAACATGGTGTTGGCTATACCATATGCCAAATGTTGTATTGCAATGGAGTCAATGATAAAATTCTGTTATTCTTGAATAAGGCACTTTGTTCCCAAGGATTTCAGGCAGCCTACATTTGGTATCCAGTGTGGGCGAGAAATTCCAATCAGTCAAGCACACCCTGAGTGTGACCACATAAATCTTACACAAATTGTATCAGATGACTAAAGTACACTCAACCATCCTTATCAGCACTTTGATTATCCTGAATGTAACTTTACGTTTCTTTAAGGATTTGGGAGGTATTTTAAGAGCCTTGCAGTTGGATTCATCACATGACAATTAGACAGCCGTGTGCTGTGAGCAGGGCCTGCTCAGTCCAGGAGTGCCCCCCGTCACTCCGACTCCCACCACTGCCAGAGGCAAACACTGTAACTTTTTTTTTTTGAGATGGAGTCTCACCCTGTTGCCCAGGCTGGAGTGCAATGGCGTGATCTCAGCTCACTGCAACCTCTGCCTCCCGGGTTCAAATGATTCTCCTGCCTCAGCCTCCCGAGTAGCTGGGATTACAGGCACCCACCACTATGCCCAGCTAATTTTTGTATTTTTAGTAGAGACAGGGTTTCACCACGTTGGCCAGGCTGGTCTCGAACCCCTGACCTCATGATCCACCTGCCTCGGCCTCCCAAAGTGCTGGCATTACAGGCATGAGCCACTGCGCCCGGCCACCATGACAATTTTTAAACCACCAATTAGTTTGGCTTCTTCCAGAGGTGCCTATAAGTGGACTTGCACTGCTGAGCCAGGCCCCTTCCGCTTCGTGTGTTTTCAAGGCTCAGCCATGTGGCTGCACACCCTAGCAGGCTGCTCCTTCTCATCAGTGGGTAGAATTCCACCACATGGATGAACCCCAGTATGTTGTGGGTCACCTGGGCTGTTTCCAGTTTTTGACCTATTGTGAATAAAGCTGCTTTGACCATTCTCTTGAATGTCTTTCATTTCTTTTGGATAAAATATAGGAAAAAAATTGTTGGGCCACAGATTAGATGTCCATTTGATTTTCTTTTTTGAAACAAAAACCAAGAACCAATGTGATGGTCATCAACCAGGAATTTGTGAGCTAAAACAGCAGTCCCCAAACTTGGCCCATCATCACAATGATCTGAAAAATTTAAAAAAAAATACAACTCCTTGGGCCCATGACCTGCTGACTTAGACTCTCCCTTAGAGGGGCCCAGGAGCTGTATGTTTCAGAAGCATCCCCAAATAATGCTGATGTAGAAGTACTTTTGGAGGCCCCTGGTAGGCCAGCACAGTGGTTTAGGATGTGGACTCTGAGGCTCTCAAACTGAGTTCAAAAAGCAAGTCAGTTAATGGCTGTGCATCAGTATCTTAACCTATGAATTGAGGATCGTGGCAGCAACATCTTCCTAGGACTGCTGAGAAGATGAAATTGCTTAATGCGTGCAAAGCGTCTGTGCAAGTTATTAACGTCAGGACTGGCCAATCGGCTGAATCAACCCTGGCTGAGGGTTCAACTCATCCTCGACTGTGGTCATTAGCATCGGGGCTCAGCCCCCTGGGGAAGGAGGAGTGACAAGTCAAGTTAGATTTCCAGTTTAATGCCACTTTATCACGACTATTAGGTGGGTGCAAAAGTCATTTTGGTTTGGCCATTAAAAGCAGGTTTGAACATTCTCTTGCATCTCTTTAATTTCTTTTGGATAAAATCCAGGAAAGAAACTACTGGGCCATAGAGTAGGTGTAGATTTGACAATGCTGACCCAAGTAATGGCAAAAACCACAATTACTTTTGCACCAACCCAATACATTTGTTCAATAATAGTCACTGGGCTGTGCCTGGGTCTGAACCTGGTTCTATCTGCTCAAACAGGAGAGGCACAGGAGCTTAACAGAATAATGGCTGTCAAGCAATTGAAGACCCCCTTGGAAAGGGTGGAGCTGTCACATGCAAAGCTCTCTTCTCAGTTCTCCTGAGAAGAGGCGACTCGTGTTAGTGAGGCTGGGAGGAGATGGGGTTGCCCAGACTTAATACCCAGGAGCTTCCAAGCAGAGGTCTGGGAAGTCCTGTTTGTGTTTCAGAGTCATCAATGAGTGCATTGCACAGTAACGCATTGAAGTGTAAAGTAATGGAATATATTATTTTTCCAAACTGATGGATGAATTTAAAAAAAAAGTGATTTAAGATGGCTAGACATACTGACTTCCTGACTTTGCATCTTTAAACATAATAAAAAGCTTCCAGGCCACACTGATGGGGCTGATCTGAGGACATACTGTGAATGGCAAGGTCCATGGTGACTGTTTTAGGTGCACCCACAAATTCTTCCAATCTTTTAGAGACTACTCAAGGAACACAGAGAACAGCCGACAGGAGCATGCTTAGTTCTAAAAACATTATCAAAAGCATTTTCAGCCTTATGGCTTGATAACAAGGGCATCAAATATTGGCAGCTGCAGAGCCCCATTTTTTTTCTCTCTCTCTCTTTTGTCTCTCCATGTTCAGTCCTCTTGATACCAGTCAGGCCCCACGACATTTTTTATAGAGTACATACTTCTTGTACTTTAGAACTTATCCTGCAATTTAAGACAAATCAGCCCAGTACAAATTCTACCTCAAGTATAATTCACTCCAGTGGAAACAATCCTAAAGCAATCACCACCGTGGGATGCCTTTG
This sequence comes from Homo sapiens, assembly GCF_000001405.40. NCBI lineage: Eukaryota > Metazoa > Chordata > Mammalia > Primates > Hominidae > Homo > Homo sapiens. Next base: position 61,488,446 of record NC_000020.11, on the reverse strand, counting down.
AGCCAAAGCTACTTAGAAGGATCATTCCACAGGGGACCCGTGTGAACTCCAAGCATTTGTTTACAGAGGCGCTGAACAAATGAATTATTGTGGAATGATCTTTTAAAAAAATTAAAAACGGTTCTGTTCCGTTAAAAAGGCAGGAAGCTCTGTTGTGGCCGCTGGTCACAGTCACCTCACCCTGCCCTGTGCTTTGCTCTTTGGAGGTCAGAACAATACCTACTCTGTGCTTTGCCTTTTGGAGGGCAGAATAATAGCTGTGGGAAATGCAGCAATAGTAGATTCCTTCCTCGGCGATGTTAGATCACTGCTGCTAACACTAGGTCAAGACTGGCCATGATCATTGGCGTCATACAAGACAAATAAATGGCACTGAGTGATTGTCTTTGCCTAAGTTATTCTGCCCTTCTCCTCCCACAGAATCATCGATTGAACTGCCTCCATTTGCCTCTGGGGGTGACAAACAGATATCATGACAACCGTGGCTTGAAGACTTAAGACATTGCTTAGATGCTCCTATTAGGAAGAGCTGACCTCAGTTTGTATTTTTTCCAACCCATACTTAGTTGTAACTGCATATGCAGACTGTTTCCACGGACAAGACTTTGACACTTTGAATAGTACTTCAATTACGAAGCAGACTGGCGTGTTGACAAGTCCTCACGGGGTGAACTTGGCAGCTGGGAGACCCAGATGTTGGGCTTTGATAGATGTTGTTTGAGTAGTAGTGTTTCAAGCTAGATTTCTAGCTGGAAAATTGAGGGTCTAGTACAAATTAACCTGCTGAAGGGTTGTCTTGTCAGATTGCATTTAGTTTCCTTCTGATGCTTGTTCAGGGAGGAATGGGGAAATAGCAGAGAATCAGAAAATCACTGCAACTCCAGTTGTTTAAAGGGCAAGTTGAGACACAAACTCCCTGTGGCCATTTCCCTAAAATTCTCCTCTCATGTATTCAGAGGCTGAAGCTCATGGTACTTATTAGAATGAATGGAGGCTCCATTATGAGAACCAATAAATAAATTAAAAGTTGTGCTGAGAATGATTCATTAACAATCACATGGTGAGCCGAGGCCAATAATCCTGACCCAAATTTCATTCCTCACCCCTCACTTCCTTAGGAATCCTTCACTCTCAGGCCTCCCACTTCTTCCAGCCCACGAAGCCCCCTTCCCCCGCAGAACAGACTCACATAACTACGGTCAACTGATCTTTGGCAAAAGACAAAGGCAATTCAATGGAGAAAGCATTATCTTTTTCACAAATGGTGCTGAAACAACTGGACATTCACATACACAGAAATAAAACTGGACCTAGACCTTACACCCTTCCCAAAAATTATCTCACAATGGATCACAGACCTAAATGTAAAATGCAAACCTATAAAACTCCTGGAAGATAACATAGGAGAAAATCTAGCTGACCTTGACTGTGACTCCAGGGCCCTTCCTCTGCCAGGCACCACTGGGTACACACGAGAATAAAACAGTACCTCCCTTCAAGCATCTACCATATCCAGGGAACTGGAACTTTTATCTCATTATTATTTTATTATTTTTTAGAGACAGAGGCTCTTTCTGTCACCCAGGATGGAGTACAGTGATGCAATCATAGTTCATTGGAACCTTGAACTCCTGGGCCCAAGTGATACTCCTGCTTCAGCCTCCTAAGTGGCTAGGACTACAGGCACATACTACCATAACTGGCTACTTAATTTTTTTTTTAAGAGGTGAGGTCTCCTTATGTTGTTCAGGCTAGTCTCGAACCCCTAGACTCAAGCGAACCTCCCACCTCAGCTTCCAAAACTCTGGGATTACAGGCATGAGCCATCGTACCTGGCCTAAAATTTGTATCTTAGAAAGCAGATTATTAACTGAGGTGGCACCACACAAGTGTTTTATTTCCAACGATGGTTAAAATCCTAAGGCCAGCACATGCCGGACACTGGCTTTGCTGAGCCATGAGCGTTCAGAGCTACAGCCAGTCTTGTCCTCCTGCAGCCTGGATCTGACAATGCTTCCCGGACTGCGAGAGGAACAGGGTAGGGCCCCACGGGGACACAGGACCTGTCCTGGGACTGTGATGTCCATGTGTGAATGCTACCAGTCATGCACAGCCCCCACCCACAGGCTGGGCACTGGCCCATCACTCTCCAGCTCCTAAGCCTGATGCTGAGCTTCAGGGCTGCTGTGCACACAGATCTGTTTGTAGAACTGTGCAGGTTTCTGGGCTGTATTTTGCTTACAGCATGGCGGTGTGGAAGGATGAAACAAGGAATGCAGCAGCATTGGACATTTTGCCTTTAGCTGAGTTTCTTTTGTGTGTTTTATGAATTTTTTGGGCTCGTGATATCCTGGAAGTCTAAAGAAAGCATGGCTCACCTATGCGGGCCAATGCTCCCCATTTCTCTCACGTTAGATGGCATAGCCTGGCATTCTGGCACCCCAATCCAGTAAAATAATTTGGAGCTGATGCACTCATCAGATTGTTGGTCTCGACTCAAGGGGGTGGTGTAATTAGTGGGTGCGTGTGTTGGGAGTCTCTCCAACCAAGGGAGGATCAGAGGAACGTGGAGTGTAGACGTGTGAATGAAGCAATTCAGTGCTGCTCCAAGGAGCTGGATGTCGACAGAAACCCGTATGGGGCAAGTGCTGAGAGAAACAGGGCCCGTGCCTGGGCACTGCAGCACAGACAGCTGTCTGGCCCACCAGATGGGCAGTGGTACCTGGCCAGGGCTGATTCACCCTGCAGTGGTCCTGTTCTGCACAAGAGTCAGGAGAATCCTCCATCATCGCCATGGAGAACCAGCTTCACTGAGGCTGCAGAAGAGGTCAATGAGCCACCCTCCCCACCAGTACCCTGCAATCCTTGGGCCCACACCTGGGCCTCGTCTGGCAGAGCACCGTGGAGCTCTCTCCTTGGCTGGGGTTGCCCTTAGGAGCCTGGGCTGGATCTTCTTCAGCTGTGCATCTCCGGGACCCAACACCACCCTGGCAGAGTGAATGGGCTCTGTGCATGCTTGGATCCACAGAGGAAGGAGGGCCCTGGTGTGCTAACTGCAGCCTCCTCCGCAGGGATGCTTTCACAATAGGGAATGTTCTTGGAGAGAGTGTGGTGCTGTGATCCACAATAGCCACCCCAAATCCAGCCAAGCGTTGGAGGGTGGAATAACAAAAAGTTGGGCAGGTCTCCCTGTCACCCTATAATTATATTAGAAAGTTAATGGAATACAATTCTCTATTGGGGAGATCTTTAGAAGCTCACGGCTGCCAAACACATCTCGCAATGGAACAGGGGTGCTGACTTCAATTTTGAAGAACCCAAGTCCTTTGCCAAAATCATCAAAATGAAGCACAGCATGCCAATTCATTTCACGAAATGAAGCTGCCGTTGGAAAGGGATGAAATTCTTATTTCTTACCAGGCAGCCGGTGACCATATTAATGCTTGCATATGAAATTCACAGGTACATCCCAATAGTCTTTTCTTCCTAGCCCCAGGAGAAAACACTGGCACCTTTATCCTCTGAACATATTGAATCTGCTTTGCAAACAGATGAGATGGAAACAGGGTTTGGCCCCTGTCATTGTAGCTAAGCCTGAGGAGGGCTGTGGGGTCCTGGATAAGGTGGCTCAACACTGTGATGATGCGGGTTCAAATCCTGGCTGGGCTGCTGGGCGCACCCCCTGAGCCCCCTCTGTGTTCAGGTGTGAAGGGTCATGATAGCTCTTTCCCCACTGGCTGGTCTTAGGGATCCGATGAGCACACAGGTACCTTCTCCCCAGGGTGCCCACGAGGCCTTGCACGCCCAGCAAATGCGAGCCACCCAAACGTGGTCCACGTTCTTCCTGACTGACTGCGTGAAGCTGGCACTGGCTCCAGGGCTGCTCTTCACGTGGTTGTGGTGATAAAGGAAACCAAAGCCAAGTAAGGTTGCTCAGCATCCAAGGTGGCAAATTAGCAGAAGATAAACGGGCCTGATGAAGAGTGGGGCAGGCTGGAGAAACAGCGATGCAGCTCGTGCCCAGTGAGGGCACTGCAGATATGAGAGTCTGGAGGAGTAAAAATGCCCAATAAAGTTGTCTGCAGAGGCTTTAGGGAGAAAGTGGGGGTTGCGGTGGGCAGAAGTTCAGAAAAGACAAGAGTGCATATTTGCATTTCAGGAAGGAGATGAAAGCGCAAAAGAATAAAACGTGGGAATGTACATGGCATGGTGGCAAGTTTTTGTTCTGAGGGGAGGTGCTGGTGGGAAAATATTATGTGGTAAGTGTGGGTGTTGGGACCTCAGGTATGGTCTAGGCAGGTGATGCTGCTTCCCAGGGGTGAGTAGGGTCTGCTGAAGCCTGGCCAACTAAGTAGGACTTGACGAAGGCTATGCTTTAGGAAGATGCGTCCCCAGCGGAGAGCAAAGAGAAAATACCAAGAGCAGCATCTGGAGTGAGCACAAGGCCAAAGGAGAGACACATCTGCAAGTGGCCAGCCATGAGGTGATGAGTATATCAGAAAGATGGGACAGGAGCGAAAGGGAAAGAAAACGTGGTAAGATAAAACTACACTACAAGCTTTTCATTAGCTTTGGCTGCATAACCACCCCCCTCCAAAATTCATAAATCTGTGGGTCAGCAATTTCGACGGAGCTCAGCTGCATGGTTCTTCTGCAAGTCTTGCCTGGGGTCACCTGGGAAGGTGTCAGTCACATGGTTTCTCCAGGGCATGCATCCACTAGGTCTTAGGCTATTTGTGTGTGTGTTGGGGGCAGCGGGGGCGGGGCGGGGGGGGCGGGTGCTGGTGCTCCTCTCCACCAGGTTCCTTCTCATCCCAGTCTCAGGCTCCAACCACAGTGAAAGAGGGCCACCCCGAAGCAAGGGCGCATCCAGGCCTCAGCTCACAGTATGTTTGCTAACATCTCGTCAGCCAAAGAAAGTCCATGGCCAAGCCCATCCCTGAGAAGAGGAGGAGTCAATTTCATGCTCAATGGGCGTGCACAGACATGGGATGAATTCTTGTAACCATAACCGTCTCTTCAAGCAATCGACATGAGGACTGAACTCAAGGGAGACACTGATGACTCCCATGGTTTTGAGCTTGGGTTATTAGAACAGGAAAGTTTGGTAGAAAAGCCACAAACACAGATCAAACTGGGCCCAGCTGAACGTTGAAGGGGGAGAGTTATGTCTGGGATTCTCCTCTTTCAGGTCCAGCTGGATCCAGGTGCTAAACCACTCTCTCTCCTCTCAAGGGTAGCTCAAGCACTCTCTCTTTTCATCACTCATCTTGTCTTACTTCACTACCACTAGTGTTCCTATCTACCTGGACTCCCACAGCTCTGGGCTCAGCAGCTCCAGGGGGAAGAAAGCTTCCCTCTGAAAAGTTTTCACAGCAGCAGAGCTGAAGGTTTCGGACCATCCTGACTTAGCACAGCCTGGTAGTTAAGAGCAGCAGATCTGGGGGCTGACCCATTGGTATCAAATCCTGGCTCTACCATCTTCCAGCTGCACAAACCTGGCTAAGTCCTGTGCCTCGGCTTCTTGATCTGTAAAATGGGGATGCTGATGGCATGAGGTACCACACAGGGCGGACGTGCGGATTCACTCAGTTAACCTGAATACAGTGGAGGACCAGGCCTGGCATGTGGCAGGTGCTCCATCGGCGGCTGCTGTTGCTTAGTGTCATTCCATCAACAACTCGGCTCATTGCCCATCTCTACAGACAGCTAGGCCAGGTGGATGAAGCACAGTGATTGGCTGGTTCTGGTCACATGACTGTTCCAGGAGCATCCAACCACATGGGGCGAGTCAGCTGAGTAAAACCCAGCCCTGTCAGCAGAAGCGGTGCAGCAGAACAGGGGTAGGAGAGGAAGGGCAAAAAACCAGTCCCAGCCAGGAAACCTACCATGAACAGAACTAGGTCTCAGGCTCCACCCACAGTAAAAGAGGGCCAACCTGCTGCACAGGCGCGTCCAGGCCTCCGCTCAAGTTTAACAGGACTTGGGTGGGGCCACAAGAGAGAAAACAGCGACCTCACCCTTCCTGGCACCTGAATGTACTAAATGAAGCCACTCTGATTGCTGGCAGTGTGTGCCAGAAAGATCTGTGTGGTTAAAATGGACCAATTATTTTCATAAGAATTACCTTATGAATAAAAGAAATGCAGTCTGGGCAGACACGTACAAACATCTTGAGCAATGTTTGCAGGAATTCATGCCAGGATCCCTCCGTGGCCAGAGCTCTGATAACTTCTGGCTTCTTCCGGGCCCTACAGAACCGTGCCTCCATTAATCTGCACTTTGCAGAAAATGTGGCAAGCAGAGAATTTCAGCAACTTGAATAATACGTGAGAGCAATGGGCCCAGAGCAAAGCGGGATTCTAAGGTCTCAGTTCTCAATAGCAACAGGGCCCATTTTGCTGAAAAATGAAGCTGCAGACCTTTTGCACGGGATCAGCTAGCTGAACCTTGAGAGTGGGAGGGACAGAGAAACAAAATCACCATGGATGAGACATACAAAGTCATCGATATGTATGGAAAAGTCATCGATATGTATGGAACTGAAAAACATATGCTATGGGGGAATATTTTATAAGTAAAAATTTATGAGCATTTTACTGTATTTGAAAACCATTTGCTGAGGCAGTTTGGTTCCTGGAAAGATGTTCTCTTATATACATAACGGCACAAACAGAATGAGAGACAAACTACGATTCTTTTGAATTGTTATTGCATTTTTAACCCCCATTTGTATCCATACCGTGTGTGCTTGCAGCCAGCATTTTTTAGCTCAAACTTGTGCTCTAGCAAGGAGCCTGCACTCTGTGAAATATCATTTTTTGCTTCCTCAAAGCTTGCACACCCTCTAAAGAAATGTTTACTGTATGTATCTGGAAGAAATGGCTGAAAGAACATGATGGTAAATTCAACTATATGGTTGCACAGATGACATAAGGGATTTAGAGATGCATTCCCCTTTAGACTTGACAACAGAAATAAAGCCTGGGCTGTAACAGCAAGGCACAATCATGCCCTACGCTGAGATTTTATTTGCAATGGCCCTTCATGGCCTTCCAAGTATTTTCTCAGACAAGTGCAGACCAGGAGTTCCCAGCTGCAACTCTGTTCCCCAATGTGTGGGACCAGGAAATTGTGTTGTTGGGGGGTTGTCCTGGGTGTTGCAGGACGTTCACCAGCGTCCCTGGCCTCCGTCCCTCAATTCCAAAAGCATCTCCCTCCCCCACGCCCCAGCTGTGGCAATAATATGGCTCCAGACCCTACCACGTGTTCCCTGGGGGGTGAAACTGCAGTTGAGAACAAGATGTGTAGAGAAAAGGAAAGAGGATTTGTCACTGGGAGACTTGAGTTCTAGACCAAGGATGGTCACTGCCTAGAGTGACAGCTTTGGCAAAGTTCTTAACCGGGTACACTTCAGTCCATAGAACAGAAATGAAGCTGACTGAGAACGCCTCTCATGGATGTCATCTGACTACCAAGCAGAATCATCAACGTGGACACACTTTATAAACAGTAGCATCCGAGTTGTATAATCTTGGTCGCACAAATCCATGTGAGGGCAATGCATGTAGGAGCAGACCTAATGCACAGCCAACAAACTGCAGTTCAAAGATGGGGCATGAACTTCTTAACTTCAAACAACCAGCAGGTGTGGAAACTGGATCACAATTCTAGTCTCGTGACCTCTTTTGGTGGAATGATAATGCAACATCAGGCCACAGGCCTCAGCCGTTCCAACGCCTTACCAGGGCACAACCCGGATGCCCACACAGTGCTCTTGGGGAGATGCTCACCTGCCCTGGCTCAGCCCCGCCCTCCCCACACCTCCACACCTCCTTCCCCTGTGTCAGCCTAGCAGGCAGCCAGCCACCAGGCCCCGGTCAGGACGGGGATTCGCTGCCACTGGGAAGGGAGGGGCCTGGCTCCTGCAGGGTCCAGTTCTGCCTGGGTTCCTCAGGGAACATGTCTCATCGGGCACTTTGATAAAACCTGGACGAAGAGGGAAAGGAGGCTTCCCAGAGATGGCGTGGCAGGGACTGTGTATCCACCACCCACCTTGGAACAACGGGAAACCCAAACAAAATAGACAGACAATGGTGCTGAGGCAGTGGCACAGGGCAGTGGCCCAAGCAGAGGACACAGCCAGGGGGCGCCACAGCTGCCCCGGCTTCCGCTTGGGGAGTTTCCAGGCTACCACGAGAGGGGGAGCCTGGGGTCCTCCTGGGGTGGAAGAGATGGATTGGGAGTCTGTTGGGGAAAAAATAGGGCCCATGAGAATAAAAAGCAATCAATAAAATATATCAGGATGACAGAATTAGCCAAGAACATTAAAAAGTTACCATTCCTATATCCCGTATTTGTTGAAGAATGCAGAAGAAAACATCGACAGATCAAGACACAAAAGATGTCCCGAATCAGACTTCTATAGATGAAAACTATAAGGTCTGAAATGAAAAATACACAGAATGTGATTCATAGCAGATGGGACACTGCAGAAGAAAAAGAAAATGAACTTGAAGATAAAGTATCTAAAATGAAACAGCCGGAGAAAACATAATTATCAAAAACAGAAATGGCCAGAATCAGCGAGCTATGGGGCGACCCTGAGTAGCCTGTTACACAGTCATTAGGGTTCCCAAAGGAGGTGGGGGCAGAGTGACAAAAGCCATGGAATCATGACCACGATTTTCCCAGTCTCATGAGAACTACAGATCCAAAGATCCAAGAAGCTCAGCAAACCCCAAAGAACCAAATAAAACATGAAGAAAACTAGACCAAGCCCACTTAGAATCAAGTTGCTTAAAACCAGTGATCAGCTTTTTTATGGCTGCATAGTATTCCATGGTATATATGTGCCACATTTTCTTAATCCAGTCTATCATTGTTGGACATTTGGGTTGGTTCCAAGTCTTTGCTATTGTGAATAGTGCCACAATAAACATACGTGTGCATGTGTCTTTATAGCAGCAAACTATCGCAAGGACAAAAAACCAAACACCGCATGTTCTCACTCATAGGTGGGAATTGAACAATGAGAACACATGGACACAGGAAGGGGAATATCACACACCGGGGCCTGTTGTGGGGTGGGGGAAGGGGGGAGGGATAGCATTAGGAGATATACCTAATGTTAAGTGACGAGTTAATGGGTGCAGCACACCAACATGGCACATGTATACATATGTAACAAACCTGCATGTTGTGCACATGTACCCTAGAACTTAAAGTATTTAAAAAAAAACACCCTTGCATAAAACAAAAAAACAAAAAACAAAAAACCAGTGATCAAGAGAAAATCTTAAACGCAGCCAGGAGAGAACACACATTGCATACGGAGGAACAAAGATAAGAGCCACAACAGATTTCCTCTCAGAAATGATGCAAGCCAGAAGACCACGTGGCCATATTTTTAAAGCACTGAAAGAAAACATACAAACACACACCCCTTCAGCCTAAAATTCAAGATCCAGCCAAAAAAAAAAAAAATTTCAAAAATGGCAAAAGAAAGTTTCTCTGACATAGAAAAGCTGTTAGAATCGCTCGCAGGCAAACCTGCATGGCCAGGATGTTTAAGATGCCCCCAGGCAGAGGGTGATACAGCCAGACAGAAGCAGGTGCCCACACGAACGAATGGCCAGCACCAGAAACGCTAACTACAAAAGGGTGATTTTCAACTTTCATCTCTAGAAAATGGTGAATGAAACATAGTTTCTAGGTCTTCTGCATTTTTCACGTCACCGTGATCTCTTGCTGTTATGTCTGCTACACGCCGGGCTTCGACTCCTTGGTAGACCTGTAGAACCACAACACATATTCCCCCAGATCAAGACATGATGCCCAACACACATCAGGCACTCATAAATGCCCTAGAGGTTAATCTACACATGGAGGGCACGTTCACACCATGGTGGACAATAGTAACATGCACAGATGTGCTACACTGGACACACATGTGTTCTCTGTTGGAAGACAAGCAGAGTTGGCCCTGACTGGTCAAACATCTGAACTAGATCTATTTTATGTCCAAACTTACGTCACGCTCAGCAGAAACCTCATTGCTCCACAAGTAAACCACTGTCCCCTAGCCAGGTGCTACTTCGGAGCCAGTTATGAGGATACACACCCATTGCTGCTAGAGACGGGCCTCCTGGTGCTGCCCAGGACTCCTGATCATGTCCGTTCTGGCAGAGATGACAGCTCCTAGCACCTCCTCTTCCTGCCTTCTCGCTCTGCTGCACACTCCACGCTCACGGGCCAGCAGGGCAGGTAGCATCTGGAACCCTTTAGGGGAGTCCTGTCTTTGTTGTGTGGGGTGGCGTTTTCACAGTTCCCAATTTAGAGGCATATTTTTGGACTCTGAGCAGCTCCGATCCCTGCCAGTAGACTGAAGGGAATGTCAGTCCTCACGCGATTAGACAGCTTCAGACTCCCATCTTACCGAAGTTATATTTACATCTCATAAACTATGTTGGTGTCTTACTTTCCACAACAAAAGCTCTATGTCTGTGTGTAAGACGGAGAGAGAGAGGGATGATTTCTCAGCTCATGAAACCTTCTACAGAATGAGAAGGTTCTGCTTGAGAACACTACCTTTTAAAGCATTCACCCAGCAACGGGATCATGAGCTGTTCCAAGAGGAGGTCATTCTCCCTCGGGGAAAGACACATGAGCTGTTCCAAGAGGAGGTCATTCTCCCTCAGGGAAAAGACACACCATCTCTTTTATGAGCAATGGGCTGGAAGGAGAGAAAGCTGCCCCAGGAATGGGCTCCTGTGGGAGGACCACGGCTTTGATAAGCAGGTTCACTGTGTGTCAACCGCAGGATGCAGAGGCGCCAGCTGGGAGCAGACTGAGCTCAAGGAAGGCGGGATGTGGACCTATGTGGACCTTCTTCCACGCTCCGCAGAAAGCACAGCCCTCATCTCTTCTGTCTTCCAGTCCTGGCCTGGATTGGCATGCATCCCTGCAGCTACCCATCATGAGACTTCGTTTCTGCTGGTTCCTCTGCTCCCTGTACACGGGCACAGGTCTGCCATCTTGACAATACCTGCCTTTGGCCCAGCTATGTTCCTGACCATCATCGTAATTCCTCACTCGTTTCCACGCCTAACCCCATGGGGCCCGGACCATGTCTCCACCATCGTAATGAAATCTGGCTGGAGCTTCTTGCTGCCCCCTTGCACTGCATTTGCCCATTGGCCATAGGACCCCTCCTGCCCCGGACCATGGTGCAAGGAGCTGGCCCTCCACGCACACTGCGTGGCTTCCCTGCCCACAGGATTCCGCTGGCAGGCAGAGGCGTGGGGAGGCAGGGACCAGGCATCTCTCCCCATCTCTTGGCCTCAGGCTGCATCCCCTGCAGTGTCCACACGTCCTCCCTGGCCCCTGCAGGCAGCCCCGGCCCCTGGCTCTTTCCCTTGAGCTGACAGAAGCCCCTGTCTGCCTTTGTCACCTCTGGCTGGCCTCTCTGTCTCTCCCGGGGCTTCTGTGGTCTTCTAACACCTAAACCCAGATTCCTGCACTCAACTCTTCTATAACAGTACCAGGTGTGATCCTGTCCACCTGACTGGACTTGGACACATCCCACCTCAGTGGCCCAGACAGACCATGGAGCAGCCTGTGTCAGTATTCCTGGGATCCATGCACAGACATCCTGTCCCCAGCCATGTCCTTTCAACCATATTCAGGAACACTGTTTTGCTTGAGAAAAGTTTACAGCGATAAAGGTAATAGTGTGAAAATCACTGGCTGGTCTCGCCCAGCCTAACACTTAATTGCAGAGCTCTTCAGCTACACAGAAGGACTGAAGGTGGGGCGAGCAGCTCTGAAGCCAGGTGTGGCGGCTGATGCTCCCACTCTCCACCTGTGTCTCACCGGGGGCCTTCCTTCAACTCTCCAGCCCCAGGTTCCAGGGCTGTAATGTGGAGGTACAACCTACCCCATAGCACTGTTGTGAGGATTAAACTGATACATATGGATATAAATGTGTGTTATGTGTTGTGTCTACGTTTAGAAAAAATACATATGTTCAGACCACACATGTTCAGAACACACACACGTGCACACACACGGGCACACACACTTCTAGATGAGTCTGGCAGGCAGGAAATGTCCTGCAAACGTTGGCTTTGACTTCCGTCTACCGAGGACAGGAACCAGGGCGCATGCCTCCTCACTTTCCAGGGGCTTAGTTCAGAGCTTAACGCAGGACTGAAATTACCAAAATATTTGTGGGGTAAGAACTCAAGGAAACTCCAATAAAATTAAAACTTGAATCAGTGTGAAAATGATGTGGTTGATTTTCAATCTGATTAGTATTCCAACAGGAGAACCACCGCGTGTCCTCATTAACCTGCATTAAGCTCGTGGCTTATGTCACCACTACTGTTATTCCTGTGCGTCCAATAGGACTGGTCTAGTGGTGACCACGTGCAGATCTCTTCTGGTGTTCTAGAGACTCACTCTGGCCTAGAACTTGTGACATTCCTGAAGCTAATTCCGGCATTAGCTGGAATTCTGCCTTTGGCTGCAACACTCATGGGCAGATGCAAAACCATACTGTGCAAGAAAGCTTTCTTTCAGAATTAGTATAAAAACACACTGAATTTATCTCACAAGTGGTGTTCATTTGTAGTTCGTGATCAACCAGCAATTACATGAATATTTTTAGATTGCCATGAAGACAGGAATAAGGTTTACCTTAAGCCATGAAGCTCAGATCCTATGTCTCAGAGTCCACAGTTGTGGGGTAGGGAGAAGAGAGGTGGAGAGAGAGAGGAAGAGAGAGAGGGGAGGCGGGTGAGTGAGGAGGGGCAAGGAGAGAGACAGAGAGGGAGGGAGGAGCAGGGAGAGAGGGAGGGGCGGGCAGGGGGAGAGAGAGAGAGAGGGAGGGGGGGCAGGGAGAGAGGGAGGGGCGGGCAGGGGGAGAGAGAGAGAGGGAGAGGAGGGAGGGGAGGTAGAGAGGGGGAGGGAGAGGAGGGAGAGAGAGGGGGGGAGGTAAATTCCATGGGGGAGAAAGTGGTGGAGGAGGCTGGAGGCAGGGTCACTGAGGATTCTAGTTCAGAACAGTCAGATTTCTAGACATTGTCATTTTTGCTGGATCAGAATTTCATGTCTGGGCATTTGAAGGAAACTAAGTTGGAGGGGGCTGGGGTTGGTAGAAGGGGTCACTTCTTAATTCCACCCCTGTGGTTTGGCTGATTTTATTCTCCAGATATGAAGTCAACAGACGCCACATTTCTATTAGTGCTTTTTGGTACAGTGCTCAGAGTAATTATGGGGAAAAAAGTGTAACACATGCCCCCTTTTGTACAGTGACTTTCATAGCTAGCTTATATAATGCAGGATTCTCAAATAAAGCACATTATTAATTATGTGGGATCGCCATAATCAAAAGGCATCACAAATCAAAACTGAATAGATACTGCTCTTGTTTTATTTGCTTTGGGTCTTTTAATATTTTCAGATACTGAAAGTAAATTATGTTAGGAAGCAGGTTTCTAAAATGGCAATGGAAACCTTAAGTTTACAACCAAACTCTGCAGCGTGCACTTCTGATATAATGTTCTGAAATGCTCAATAATGCTATAAAATCTCATCCAAGGCAGAAACAACAGACAGCTCTAGAGTATTTGCTGCTAGCATCTGCCACAGCAGGGATTTCCTTAATAGAACATATAAAAATGCCCTTGGAAGTATCAAAAATGGAAAAAGGAGAAAAAAGAATTTTTTTTTTAAAAAAAAGAATGTTGAAAGCAATTGTAATTACATTTTAAAGAAAGGGTCTGGTTGCTTAACTCAAGTCACCCATGGCACAATGATTATAAAAAATCACCTGTTTAAGTAGAGCCTTCTTAATAATCTAAAAAATATTACAGCATCTCTTCAAGCCCACATGAATCAATGATATTTACTACCCCGAAGGTACTACATTTCTTTTGTATCAAATAACAGCAATAATAATGTACTATTCTGGCCGGTGCAGTGGCTCGTGACTGTAATCCCAGCACTTTGGGAGGCCGAGGTGAGCGGATTGCCTGAGGTCAGGAGTTTTAGACCAGTCTGGCCAACATGGTGAAACCCCATCTCTGCTAAAAATACAAAAAAAAAAAAAAAAAAATTAGCTGGGTGTGGTGGTGCACGCCTGTAATCCCAGCTACTCGGGAGGCTGAGGCAGGGAAATTGCTTGAACCAGGGAGGTGGGGGTTGCAGTGAGCCAAGATTGCGCCACTGCACTCCAGCCTGGGCAACAGAGTCAGACTCCATCTCAAAAAAAAAAAAAAAAAAAAAAAAAAGTCCTATTCCATGACAAAAGAATACCTCATCGAGTGGATGTTTTCTAAAATCCAGAGAGTGGAAGAAGTTTAAACTCATCATCTGTGGCTGTCAGCAGAACAGCCTGGATCTTTACAGTAAGCCAGAGTCATCTACAATCCCACGGTGTTTTCCTTACAGTAGAATCAAGTAAGAAGCACCATATATTAATTAGTATACAGTGAAACAGGGAAGGAAACAAGATTTATACCTGGCTATTCATCCACAGCTGATCACCAAAATCACCCTTCTATCTTGACATGGCTGTAAAAAGAGGAGGGGTATGTGAGTGTCTGAGTGTCTCTGTGTGTCTGTCTGAGTGTCTGTGTGCGTCTGTGAGTGTCTGAGTGTGTGTGTGTCTTTGTGTGTCTGTGTGTCTGCGTGTCTGTGTGTGTGTATGTGTGCATGCCATTCCGCACTCATCAACTTATTAAAGTCACTTTAACAAAATCATACAGACATGGTGGACTTTATTCTCCATAGCATATTTTATTACAAGATCACAGAACCCAGAACTATAAGCAAACTCCTAAATGAAATTCAACCTTCTGCTTACGAGTTAAATTATGGTTCTATTGGTTAAAATGTGAGCTCCTTAAATAGGCTGTTTTGGAAAGGAAGACCCAGCATTGGAGAAAACAATGTGCTGGCTGAGATAAAACAGGATGATATGCAGCTCTCCATTGGAGGGGCTCGTAAGCTCTCTAGCCACAGCTTCTTAGGTGGGGTACAGCCAACTGAGCTGCAGCAGGCTCCTGCAGACTCACCAGAGCCTGCTGTTAAGGATCCAGAAATTTGCCTGCTTGTTGTTAAACATAGCCACAGAGAAAAACTAACCTGTAGAAAACTGTAATTAATACATCATATTAAGATAAAAGTGAGGAATACTCATAATTTCTCACTTCAGAATTATTTTACCACCTTATTCTTATCTATGCTAAAGAGGTTATTTTGACCTATTATATCTGAGAGATAGAAATATTACAATGTGCTATTTTCATCTCTTCCCAAACTCCACATTCGATGATGTAATGTTGGTAGCTTGAAATAGATCACAAAATTACACCATGGCAATTGGCAAAGACTAGGAATCAGGGCTCAATCCCCTCCCCTCCCCTGCCCCACCAGAGTACAGCCTACCCACACCCGGTTGGGTATAGTCCACCAACTTCATATAACAGTTTTTAATTGAAAGAGCATTAGGTAAAAACAAGTTTTACCATATAATCTAATTTTGTGGAGGGTTGGTTAAGCCTCTTTTTTAGCAAAATGAGAATAGATGATTCATATTTGACTAAAAAGCAGGCCTGTGTAAAATTCTACATACATTCAGCAGTATTATTTGCTGAAAAAAGTAATAATCAAATGTTGTAGTTAGCAGAACAACTCACAAAAAACTAAATTAATAATGATGTCTCCCAAGAAGTGGCAAAAATCAAAACTATGCAGTTATTCAAACTTCATTCTGACAGTCAAGCTGTGAGGTAGACAATTTGTTTGTACAATCAGTGTTAAGTTGTCATCAGTTTAAAATAGTGGGTTATAAGGTATTATTTGAAAACCTCATGGTAGCCTCAAATCAAAAAACATACAATGGATGAACAAAAAAAATGAAAAGCAAGAAATTGAAACATATCATCAGAGGAAATCACCTTCACCAAAATGAAGACAGAAAGCAACTAAAGAAGGAAAAGAAGAGACCACAAAACAACCATAAAGCACATAATAAAATGGCAGGAGTAAGTCTTTACTTGTCAATAATTCAGAATGGAAAAAGATATTCCATGTCAATGGAAACCAAAAGAGCAAGAGTAGCTACACTTATATCAGACAAAATAGATTTCAAGACAAAAAGTATAAGAAGAGACAAAGGAGGTCATTGCATGGTGATAAAGCGGTCAATTCAGCAAGCAGCTGTAACAATTATAAATACATATGCGCCCAACAAGGGATCACCCAGATATCTAAAGCAAATATTATCAGAGGTAAAGAGAGAGAGAGACCTCAATACAATAATAGCTGAAGACTTCAACAGCCCACTTTCAGCATTGGATGGATCTTCCAGACAGAAAGTAAACACAGAAATGTCAGAGTTAATCTGCAGTACAGACAAAATGGACCTAATCGATATTTACAGAACGTATCATCCAATGGCTGCAGAATACACATTCTTCTCTTCATAACATAAATCATCCTCAAGGACAGATGATAAAACAAGGTCACAAAAACAAATCTTAAAACATTTAAAAAATTTAAATAATATCAAGTATCTGACCACAATGGAAAACTAGAAATCAATAAAAGAGGAATTTTGGAAACTATACAAACACATGGAAATTAAACACTAGGCTCCTGAATAATGCTCCAGTGGGCAATGAAGAAATTAAGAAGGAAATTGAAAAATTTCTTGAAACATTATAATGGAAACAAAACATGGCAAAACCTACGGAACACAGCAAAAGTAGTACTAAGAGGGAAGTTTATAGCTATAAGCACCTATATCAACAAAGTAGAAAAACTTTAAACAACCTAACAATGCATCTTAAAGAGCTAGAAAAGCAAGAACAAACCAAACCAAAAATTAGTAGAAGAAATAATAAAAATCAGAACAAAAATAAATAAAATTGAAAAAAAATACAAAAAAAATCAATGAAATGAAAGCTGGGTTTTAAAAAAGATAAACACAATTGACAAACCTTTAGCTAGATTGAGAAAAAAAAGAGAGAAGACCCAAATAAATACAATCAGAGATGAAAAAAGAGACATTGCAACTGATAACACAGAAACGCAAAGGATCATTAGTGGCTACTATGAGCAACTGTATGACAATAAGTTGGAAAATATAGAGGAAAGGTATAAATTCCTAGACATATGCAACCTACCAATATTTAATCATGAAGAAAATCTTAACAGACCAATAATGAGTAATAAGATCAAAGCCATACTAAAAAGCCAGCAAAGAAAAGCCCAGGACCCACTGGCTTCACTGCTGAATTTTACCAAATATTTAAAGAACTAATATCAATCCTACTTAAAAGATTCTGAAAAATAGAGGAGGAGGGGATACTTCCAAACTCATTATGTGAGGCCAGTATTACCCTAATACCACACCCAGACAAAGATACATCAAAAAAAGAAAGCCTACAAACCAATATCCCTGATGAATATTAATGCAAAAATCCTCAACAAAATACTAGCAAACCAATTTCAACAGCACATTAAAAAGATAATTCATCATGATCAAGTGGTATTTATCCCAGGGATGCGAAGATGGTTCAACATACATGAATCAATCAATCTGATATATCAACAGAATGAAGGACAAAAACCATATGATCATTTCAGTTGATGCTGAAAAAGCAATTGATAAAAACCAACATCCCTTCATGATTAAGAAAAATGCTCATAAACACTTGGTATATAAGAAACATACCTCAATATAGTAAAAGCCATATATGACAGACTCACTGCCAGTGTCATACTGAATGAGAAAAAAAACTGAAAGCCTTTCCTCCAAGATCTGGAACATGATGAGGAATCCCACTGTCACTACTCTTATTCAACAGAGTACTAGAAGTCTTAGCTACAGCAATTAGACAAGAGAAAGAAAGAGCAACCAAATTGAAAAGGAAGAAGTTGAATTATACTTGTTTGCAGATGATATGATCTTATACTTGGAAAAACCTAAAGATTCCAACAAAAAATGATTACAACAGATAAATAAATTCAGTGAAGTTGCAGGATACAAAATCAACATGCAAAAATTAGTAGCATTTCTATATGTCAACAGTGAACAATCTGAAATAGAAATCTAGAAAGTAATTCCATTTACAATAGTTATAAAACACCTAAGAATTAACACCAAAGAAGTAAAAGATCTATAATAACAACTATAAGCCATTGATGAAAAAAGAGGCCACAAAAAAGAAAAGATGTTCCATGTCTCTGGATTAGAAGAATAAATACATTAAAGTGTCCATACTTTCCAAAGCAATCTATGGATTCAATGCAACCCCTATGAAAATACCAATGACATTCTTCACAGAAACAGAAAAAATAATCCTAAAATGTATATAGAACCACAAAAGACCCAGAATAGCCAAAGCTCTCCTGAGCAAAAAGAACAAAACTGGAAGAATTACATTGCTTGACTTCAAATCATACTACAAAGCTATAGTAACCAAATTAGCATGGTACTGGCATAAAAACAGACACATAAGCCAATGGAACAGAAGAGATAACCCAGAAACAAATCCACATACCTTCAGTGAACACATTTTCGACAAAGGCACCAAGAACGTAAACTGGGGAAAAGACTGTCTCTTCAATAAATGGTGCTGGGAAAACTGGATATCCATATGCAGAAGAATAGAACCAGATCCCTATCTCTTGCCATATACAGAAATCAAATCAAAATAGATTAAAGACTTAAATCTAAGACCTCAAACCATGAAATTATTAAAAGAAAACATTGGGGAAACTTTCCAAGACACTGGACTGGGCAAAGATTTCTTGAATAACACCCACAAGCACAGGCAACTAAAGCAAAAATGGACAAATAAGATTACATCAAGTTAAAAAGCTTCCACACAGCAAAGGAAACAATCAACAAAGTGAACAGACAACCCACAGAATGGGAGAAAATATGTGCAAACTACTCACCTGACAAGGGATTAGTAACCAGAATATATAAAGGGCTCAAACAACTCTATAGGAAAGAATCTAATAATCTGGTTTTTTAAATGGGCAAAGGTCTGAATAGACATTTCTCAAAAGATGATGTACAAATGGCAAACAGATATATGGAAATGTGCTCAGTATCACTGCTCATCACAGAAATGCAAATCTAAACTACAATGAGATATCATTTCATCCCAGTTAAAATGGATTTTATCCAAAAGTCCAAAAGACAGGCAATAACAAATGCTGGTGAGGATGTGGAGAAAGGGAACCCTCATACACTGTGGGTGGGAATGTAAATTAGTACACCCACTATGGAGAACTGCTTGGGGGTTCCTCAAAAAAACTAAAAATAGGGCTACCACATGATGCAGCAATCCCACTGCTAGGTATATACCCAAAAGAAAGGAAATCAAAGAGACATCTTTGCTACCATGTTTCTTGTAGCACTATTCCCAACAGTCAAAATTTGGAAGCAACCTAAATGTCCATCAACAGATGAGTGGACAAAGAAAATGTGGTACCTATACACGATGGAGTATTATTCAGCCATAAAAAAGAATGAGATCCTGTCATCTGAAATAAGATGGATAGAACTGGAGATCATTATGTTAAGTGAAATAAACCAGGCACAGAGAGATAAATATTGCATGTTCTCACTTATTTCTGGGAGTTAAACATTCAAACAATTCAACTCATGGAGATAGAGAGTAGAAGAATGGTTACTAGTAGAAGGATGGATGAGAAGGGCAGTACAGGCTGGCAGGGGGGAGTGGGGATGGTTAATGGGTACAAAAAAGTAGTTAGAATGAGTAAGACCTACTATTTCATAGCACAGCAGGGTGACTGTAGTCAACAATAATTTAATTGTGTATTTTAAAATAACTAAAAGAATGTAACTGGATTGTTTGGAATACAAAAGATAAATGCTTGAGGTGATGGATACCTTATTTACCTGTGACTATTACACACTGCATATCTAAATCAAAATATCTCATGTATCCCAAAAATATATATACCTTCTATGTATCCAGAAAAATAAAAAATAAAAAAATGTTAAAAAGCCAAAGAAAGAAAGAGAAAGAGAAAGAATTTAACCTTACCCAAAGAGAGGTCTGGCTCTTGCCTTTGGCCCTGGGAGAGGCCATTTCTAAGTCCTTGGAATGTCATTCCTGATGGCAGTGTATTTCTTTCCCTGGGCACCTTGGGCCAGCTGGATAGTAACAATGTGATATGGGGTGGAGGTTTGGGTCATACAGAATCAGTTGGCTCCCAGAAGGGCTGGAGATTTGAGACTTGGGTCAGCCACATGGGCAATCAATCACCCCTAGGTGATGGAGTCCCAAATAAAGACTCTGGACATGGAGGCTCTAGTGAGCCTCCTTCACTGGCAACATTCCACATACACTGCCACACCCTGTGCTGGGAGAATAACACTTTCTTGATTCCATGGGGAGAAGACAACAGAAACTCCATGTTTGGTGCCCTTCTGACACCACCCTGTGCCACTTCTTCCCTCGGCGGATTCTAACTGGGGTCCTTTCCCTGTAATAAATGGTAACCATGAGTATAACAGCTTTCAGTGAGCTCTGTGAGTCCTCCTAGAGAATTATCGAATCCAAGGGTGGTTTGGGGAATCTGTGAACTTGAAATTGGTGTCAGCAGTGAGGGTGGTCTTCAAGAATGTCCCCTCTAACTTTGTAGTTGTCCACCTCCACATAAACCATAAAGATGATGGATATGGAAAAAGCATCACTGATTAAGAACCACAGAGTCTTCATGAATAAGAAGGTCTCCTGCTCTTTGTGGGCAGCAGCATGTGTAATTATGTTATGTAGAATTTGTTAATGGTAGCATAAATAGTGGAGGCAGGGATGGAAGGGGACATATTATTTCTCAAACCCCTGGCCTCAAGGAGATCCTTCGGCCTTGGCCTCCCAAAGTGCTGGGATTACAGGTGTAAGCCACCATGCCTATTGTACTGCCAAAATATTCTATTACTTATCATACTCAAGACACATGTTTCAGAGAAACGACCACAGAGTACCCAAAATAATTCAGAGTGCTGAGAATCAGATGCTTCTACAGAACATTTCAAAAAGAACCAACCCAAATGGAACGCTGATATGTAGTAAGTGATTAACAAATGTCATTGTGGTGAATTGAAATGTGGAAGACTTTCTTCATTGCTATTTACTTATTTGATGTAGGCTTGATTTAAGGAAGCAGGTGATGGCTTTGAGAATCTGTACTAATGAGGTCTGTGACTGTATGTGAGGAAACTCCCACTCTGAAGCCAGCTTCTTCATCTGTGAAATAGAGATGATTTCAAACTTCCTCATCAGTAGTTTACAGGAACTAACTGAAATAATGTTTGCAATGGTTTATTAAAAATCCTGGCTCACAGTGAACACACATAAAATGGCAAATATTAAAACCAGTGAGAACACCACTGCTTTGGTGGGTCAGAAAGAGGCCAAGATAGTAATTTTAGATGAACCAATGCTTTTAGCAACTATTAAGAATTACAGTTTGGTTGCCCCCACCCCCGCCCTCAGTCTTACTTGCAAGGAGAGGACTGATTATTTGTTATTTATTTATTTGAGGCAGCGTCTCACTTTGTCACCCAGGCTGGAGTGCAGTGGTGCGTTCTTGGCTCAATGCAACCTCTGCCTCCCAGGTTCAAGTGATCCTCCCGCCTCAGCGTCCTGATTAGCTGGAACTACAGATGCATGCCACCATGCCCAGCTATTTTTTTAATACTTTTGTATAGGTAGGGGCAGAGTTTTGCCATGTTGCCCAGGCTGATCTTGAACTCCCGGCCTCAAGTCATTCACCCACCATGGCCTTCCAAAGTGCTAAGATTATAGGCATGAACCACCGTGCCCAGCCAGGAAAGAATGAATTCTTAATGCACCAGAACCAAAATGAGGGTGCTGCAACCTCTTACATGAGAAACAAGTTTGTCAGTCCCAGATGGTAATTCTGGGATTGTACTGAGTCACGTGTTATGTATTTCTTCTTTTAGTCATATGATGCACCTGCTATGCACGATCTTATTACAATGGGGGTCCAGCCCTTTTTCCTTCTTAGCATGTTAAGAGAAAACATTCTCTAACAGGACTGCAGCAAAGCCGCCTATCTTGGTGAAGACAAACCAGCTGTGCTCACATATTGTCAAACATCTGGAGAGAAGCTTAAAAAACATTTGAATCAAACAGTCTGATGCTTGGGCATATCTAAAAAGAGACTCTGCTTGGTTCTTTGTAAATTCCTGACTAAACCTTTCCATTTTCAGCTGGCTGTTGTGGTACAAGGGCAGCCACAGTGAGAAATAAATGGAAATCCACATCTCCTTGGGTGCACAGGAACACATTCTATGCAATCCACGTGGTGAGCTAAATGTTGATGCATTCTCAAAATTAAAGAATGTCCAAGAGGAAATTTAATCTCATTGCCTGGCCATTCTAAACAAGATGGTTTCTTGATTTGTGAACCCGTGGCAGGCAGAGTAATTTGGAAACTGGCCTATAGAGAACATTAGAAAGTAAAACTGTATCCTCCTGCCACCCTGCAAAAAAAAAAAAAGAAAAAAAAGTCCTATTTACACCCTATAAAATAATACAAAAGATTCAGGAATCGATTCTTCTGGTTTATGATTTCTAACAATTCCATAGGGTCAAAATTGAAAGCAACCTTTGCAAGCATGAAACTTGCCCACAAATGAAGATCAAGTTCAAAATTATTGGCAAGGATTGACAACAACAAAAACCAGGAGATAAAGATTCAAAATTAAAATATAGCCATTTACCTTCATTACTGACAACAGTTCAAACATATGTCCACCAAGATGCAATTCCCTTCGGATGCATTTGGCCGTCTCTACATAAAATCAATACATCCATACAATTTACAGAGAGGTGCTAGGCACTGTCCCTCCTGCAGAGCCTCACCACACCAAGAACAATCTTTTTAAGATAATAAAAGTACAACTTGACTATCACGGGTAAATACATATGCTAGAAACTTGCTAGAAAACATTTCACGTGTGTGAAAAGAGAGGAGAATTGGAGAAGTTAAAAAAAAAAAATCCCAGGTTCAATATCCACTCCTTCCTCCCCCATTATCATACCTCCCTGGAAAGCTTTTTTTTAAAATGCATAATTCCAACAAAAATCCCATTCTTCCTGGATGCTATGCTAAAAACTGGAAAGCAGCAGGTTAGCTATTCTCATATAATCAAAATGCCATCTCTCCAGCAAGTTCTCTGGCAGATCCCTTCCTTGTTCCCAGAGGGACAGAAAGATACACAATACCTTGCCCTTCCAGCATTCTGTATGCCAGATCAAAGTCCCTGTGGACGGTCACCTGGGATGTTCAAACACATCTTTTAAATGTGAAGGCATATAAGACCTGCACACACTTTTGTAGACCTGTGTGCACTTTTAGGGCCTACTTAATAAAAGATCCAAATTTGGCATTTTCAGACTTTTAGCTTATTAAACAGGGAAAATGTAAAATGCATGACCTGGATAAAAAGAGCCATTCTTCTCACTGGGCTCTCAGTTTTGAAGCCGGCTTCTTTGTTCTCAGTGAAAATTAGTTTGGTAACAGCTCCAAGTCCACAGTGGATGGCGAGCCCTGTCCCTCCACCCCCCAGTGGATGCTGGCAGGAGCGCCCACTCTTGCTCAGGAGGGGACCTGGGCTCTGCTAGTGTGTCTCAGTCCTAGAACAGCAGAGACACCTATGTTAGTTACCAGGCTGTTAATAGGACCGGATCCCAGAGACCTCACAGTCCAACTGGCTGCTCTAGCCTCAACTCAAAGGATCCAGGGAGAACATCTGTGTCCAAAATTGCCCAAATCAATTAACCTTCTCTAGTATTAGTCACTACTCAGGGACCAAGTGCTGCGTGCAAAAGCAAGATGATGTCTCATCCCATCAGCAGGCAGGGCCCTCAGAGGTAATGATAAACGAAGCTATTCTGGTCTATAGCCGGGCATTGGACTGTCATTTCTCAACTGAATTGTAGTAGCAGCGTTAACTTCTTGTCTCCTACCACCCAGTCATAGCCTAGAACAGACTCCAAACACTCACTCTTTATGTTCAATCTGGATTCAAAATGCAGGTTAATAGGATTACATCCATAATAACTGTACCTGGAAATAAACTTATTGGGATTTTTCTTTTAAAGGTAATACTGTGGCCTTCCTTTTGTATCCCTCTCTGCATCTGTAGCAGCAGGGTTTGCCCAGCCCCCAGCACCTTCTTCTCAACACCAGCCAGAGCCCCAACGTGCCAAGTTTCCTAGAAAGTGATACATTGCAAACCAACAAGTTTAACAGAAGAAAAACCCTAACTCCACTAATTCTACCTGAACCATAAGCTTATGGGCAGTGACTGCATTATTATGCACCTGAACTGCTGAGGAGAGGGTCATTAGCCAGGAGCTACTGTAAGAGAGGTATAAGTTCAAACCCTTCCTTTGTCATTTCCCTGGGGCCAAGACAGCCTCAATGTTCTGCTCAGTGTGACTACACTTGATAGGTTTCTTCCTGACCATTGCCCCTGACCTCCCTGATCCCCTGATGGCCTAATCACAAACCACCTTCCTTAGCATCCTCCTGTCCTTTCTGCCAGCTCACCCAGTGCTGAATATCCCTCCCGCCTTTTGTTTCAGTGGAGTTGAGTTCAGTCTCTCTCCCCTGTTGCAAGAGTCTTGAATAAAGTCTTTCCGGACCATTTGACTGCCCTGGTGCAGTTTTTCTTTTACAGCTCTGGTGCTGTGGCTTACATAGGATGGGATTCAACATGAGACCCTCCGCCCTCTCCTCCAGGACCCACCTATGCACATTTGAAGCCATTGTCTTCACTCCTGACTGATTGGGTGGGGAACCACAGTGCCCTGCACAATGGTGCAGTGGAAGCATGCATGGTGTGGACAGATCCTGATTCCCAGGATTCTGAGTCCACTCCTGAGGCTGGGTTAGAGTCCTAGGCATCTTTGTGTGAAAAGTCTCATCAGTTTTGTACATGGGGCCTCACCTCACTTGGTTGAACTTTGGTCTTTTGATGTTGAGAGCACTCTTCCTCTGTAGAGATCTGCCTGGATTTTCTTCCTTTGTTGCTGTTACTTTGGGGCTTTGCCTGCCTACTCCTGCCCCGGTGCCCACCTGTATTATTCTGTTCTAATGCTGCTAATAAAGACATACCAGAAACTGGGCAATTTATAAAGGGAAGAGGTTTAATGGACTCACAGTTCCACGTGACTGGGGAGGCCTCACAATCACGGAGGAAGACGAAGAAAGAGCAAAGGCACATCTTACATGGCAGCAGGCAAGAGAGAGTTTGTGCAGGGAGACTCCCATTTAAAAAACCGTCAGACCTCATGAGACTTATTCACTGCCATGAGAACAGTATGGTGGAAACCACCCCCATTATTCAATTATTTCCACCTGGTTCTGTCCTTGACACATGGGGAATTATTACAATTCAAGGTGAGATTTAGATGAGGACACAGTCAAACCATTTCACCACCTGCTCTGATCCTTACCCTCCTGCTTCATCCCCTTTGAAGACTGACGGGTGAGGTGCCCACCCCATGCTGCTGACTGTCCACCTCCCTCCTTTCTGGCAGGATTTTACTGAGGATGATGTAAATCTTCCTCAGAGCAACAAAAATATTTCCAGCAAAGACGAGATCTATTCAGACCTGGGATTGTGAAAAAGTCAGGCCAATGACAAGGATGGAGGATGAAACCTAGGGAAGGAGGGAGAGGGGGGAGCCCCAATGAGCTGAGTGTCCTCCCAGGCATGGCAGAGAGGGAGGAGCAGCTGGGAGCACAAAGGGGGCTGAGGGAGGCTCAGGAGCAATGCACAAGCTGAGTGAGTGGTGGGAAGCCTATGGGATGACTTAGTTTTTAAGATATTTTGTTATTTTTGGTACAGGCAGAAGATGATGCAGGAATCCTCAGGATTACTACACCCCCTTGATTTACCAGGTGAGAATAAATTGTAATCATATTAAAAATCGTTTGCATATAAACAAATCTCCTCCACACCTCTGAAGATCCACAACTACTTTGACTAATTCTTCCCCATGGAGGATGCAATGCACCAGGTCACCCCAGATAGGGAAGGGCCAGTCCCATTGGGTTTGTACCACTGAAATCTTAAGATATCCTTCATCTTCAAGAGAACTCCAATGAAATAAAGGCAGAACTTCCGCAGAAAATTCAAACCTGTAACAAGATTTTGGCAAGGCTGGGAGATGGCGGTTCAAATACCCTTCTTACCATGCATTCCATCTGCCAGGTTTGCAAAGCCACAGTGCTTCCAGTCCTGGGTTAATTTTGGATTTATTCATTAATCCAGCTACCATCCACCCTTGACAACTTTCTTGTCAAGAAGCCTTACTGCCGTGTAGTAATTTTAAGTGCACGCGAGTGCTGTGCTGGAACCTGATCTGGGAGGACTAAAAGTGGGACTCCTTTTGTCAACTCCATCTTTAATGGGCATCTTCATGTTTCATGGACTTTGCCACTGGGCTTCATGTGGCCCTGGGAATGCACACGGCACTCCAGAGCTTTGGGCAGCAAAGCACTGAATAATGTCTCTCTCTCATCACTTGCTAGTCAAGTGTAAAGAGACACGGTGCTTGTTCAGTGAGATTCCCCTGCAAACATCATGCGTCTCCGTTGGGGACAATTCCAGGTCAGCGCACAGGTTAAGTGAACAACCTCACAAATGTGGAAATAACACAGGAGGACAGGCACAAATTCCAGAGAGTAACAGTTCAGGAAAAATGTAATCGCCCCTCACTCCCCCGTTGCGGGCCACCTCCCCTCCCACTCCCACGTGGGTCCCGTTGCATTTCCCAGGCATCCGTGCCTGGACTCAGGAGTAAGTCACATCACCCTTGCTTGAACCCACTCATTCAGAAAGAACCCTCTGAGCAGGCCCCCTCAGTCTCTTCCTTCCAGCGGAAGCCGAGTCACTTTTAATTTCCTACAAAGGTATTCTACAGAGGCTCCTCACTGCTGCTGTGGCAGGTTCTGACAGTCAATATGTTATTTTTCAGTGAACTAATGCAGTTCATTAACCCTGCACAACTGACAATTAAGAGACAGTGTCTGCGAAGCTTTGATTTTCTTAATACCCTTTTTAATTGCAGGGAACGCATAAGGCTGTCTTCCTTGCTGTCTTTCTTGCTGATGCACCTGAAATTCCAGACTTAGGGATTTTGCATTTTTTTTAAAAAAAAATGGCTTCCTAGATTATCAATATTCTCTTTAAAATAATTTGTGTAAAATTGGGGGAAGGGGAGGTTCCAACATTCATTTTAGAGGTTCAAATTTAGATCAGTGTTTCTACAAATGCAACCAAGTCCTGTATTAGGAACCTGGTCTTCAGCAAATTCTCCCTGGTAATGGCCCTGGAAACAGGCGGCTTAGATGGGAGCAGGATACTGTCGACAGGGCAGCCCAGGGAGAGGGGTCTGCCCTAACAGGGGCTGATGGAGCCAAAGCAGAGAGCCCGTGCTGGCAAGAGAGCCACCAGGGAATAACAGTAATATCATTCACAGCAACAATCACAGAACAGCTGGGGCCATGCATCGAGCCAGATACACCCATGGATGACCTTCTCAAGCCCCCAGCTCTCGAGAGGCCTGCTGCCACCCTGAAGCCAAGTTCAACACACACGGCTCCCTTTCCCACCATGAGCCCCTTCTCTGCAGAACAGCCAGCCAGGTCTGCAGCCCCTCAAGGGTTCCTAGGACACCCACTCAACATGTTTCCTCCTATGGGTGCCACCTCACCACTTAGGGACGCCTCCGTGCATACCTGGACAGGGCGGCCTGGCCTTTGCAGCCTCAGCAGACCACCTCCTGGCCCAAGGCCCTTATCCCCAAACATGGACCCTTGTAAAATGAGGCTGCTTCCAGCGGCAGGTGAGGCCGGGGGCTCTGGGGCCCCCTACTGCCCACCTTTGGTTGGGCAAAACTGGGATCCAAACCTCCCCAGTTTCTCCAATGAGGCCAGGCATCAAGGTTTCTGGGGCCCAGCTGAGAGAAGCTGGTCTCACCCTCAGATCACCTGGGCATACCTGCATTCCTTAAAGAGACAGAGCAGCCTTTTTCTGCTACAAAATTCTGCTGTCAGGATGAGCTGCTCATATTGATTGCAGGTTTCCCTTCCTTAGGAAGGGAGCAGAGGCACCAATGAAAAGTCCGACAGTGGGCACCTGGCTATTCAGTGTTTATTATGTGCTAGCCGAGGGCAAAGCGCTCCCTGTTAACAGCCTTTCTCCTTGAGTTTTACACCTTGCACATTCATTTAACAAATATTTATTGAATTTCTACTAAGGGATAATATCCACTGATTGACAATGCATGGTCCCAGGCCCCACTGTCAGCCTCTGCTTGGGCCTCGAGACACCCAGCAACCCATCACTCTGCCATTGGTTCCTGGAGTGTGAGGTCCCAGGTGTGGGGGTACCTGCGGCCCTGGGGTCAGCTTGCGGAGCTTTATCAGGTACTGTGGTGTGACCTTCTGTGGGTCACAGGCTCTGTCTCCCTTTTCCTGCCCTGGGGTGGTGTGTGGGTTCAAGGAGCTGCCTTCTGAGAAGTCCTTAACTCGGGCTGCGAAGCGCTCATGTGAGCCTGGGGGAATCATTTCTGCCTCCCAGATCCCGGCCTAACTCCTGGTACTTTAAGGACAACCACAGGAAGAGACATGAAAACATAAATCACTGTGTTGTTCTTCACAGGGTGAAGACAGGGTCCCTGGACCACAGGTCAGCCTTGTCAGCCCGCATCTATGGTGTCCTCACCATGTCCCTCCCGCTCTCCATCCCTCCCTGGGCCACTTCTCTTGCACTGGTTGTGAGCGTCCCCCATCCTAGGCACTGGTTCCTGGCCTCAGCTGCTGTGGGAATCCTCCGAGAGCTTGGTGAATGGCCAACACTGGAGTCCTGGGGGGCGCAGGCACCCCTGGCTCCCTACACAATACCAATACGTGACCAGTGAAGAACTGCAGTGTGATCAGGTGGGAACCCCGGGGTTGGGGTCCTCTCACCATTGCTCCATCATGCCCATTCCTGGCTGGGATCCAACAGCCACCCAAACACTGACCCAACCCCACAAGTGAACACAAAGCTCTGAGTCAGGGTTCTCACTGGCAACTTTGTGTTTGACCAGCATGGACCAAAAACTGGGATAAAGCGATACTCCCACAGGACCAACCTTCTGGAGAAGGGGATGGCCACACAAGCCCTAAAGAAGCTAAAGCAGCCACCAGGCAACACCAGCCCATGAAGGCAGAGACCATGCTGGGGCCACTGGGGCCTCTCCAGGGCACAGTGTGAGCTGCAAACTGACTAAAAAAGGAGACAGCCAGGGGGAGGTGTGGATGAGAAGCCTCCAGACAGAATAGACAATGCCAGGGCTCAGAGGCTGGACCAAGGTTGCCAGGCTCCAGAAGGAAAAAAAAAAAAAAAAGTGGGGATAGCAGAAGCTCAGATGTAGGAAGAACAAGAGAAGCAGGAGGAGCTGAGAGCCATGAGGTGTGTGGGGCAGAGCGTGAATTCACTGAAAGGTAGAGCAGGACTGAGGGATCGTTCCACTGACTCTGCCAGGGCTTCACTCATTGCCACCACCACTACTGTCCCATCACTGCCACCATCATCATCACTACCACCACTGTCACCATTGTCACCACTGCTACCACATCACCGTCTTCATCACCCCCACTACACCCATCACCATCATGACTATCACCATCACTATCATTACCATTATCACCATCATCACCACCACCAATACCACTACTGTCACCAGTCATTACCATTACCATTATGACTATCCAAATCATTATCACCATCATCACTATCATCACCTCCATTATCATCACCACCACCAGTGTCAGCACTGTCATCACCATCGTGACCATCACCATACCATCAGCACCACCACCACTACCAGTGTCAGCACTGCCATCACCATCACAACCATGACCATCACCACCATGACCACCAGTGTCAGCACTGTCATCACCATCATGACCATCACCATACCATCACCACCATGACCACCACAGCGTCAGCACTGCCCTCACCCTCATGACCATGACCATCACCACCACTAGTGTCAGTCATACCATCACCATCACCACCACCACCAGCATCAGCACTGTCATCAACATCATGACCATAACCATCACTGCCACCACCATCAGCACTGTCATCAACATCATGACCATAACCATCACCGCCACCACCAGCATCAGCACTGTCATCAACATCATGACCATAACCATCACCACCACCACCACCATCAGCACTGTCATCAACATCATGACCATCACCATGATATGACTACCACCACCACCACCACCGCTGCCACCACCAGTGTCAGCACTGCCATCAACATCATAACCATCACCATCCCAACACCACCACCAGTGTCAGCACTGTCATCATCATGACCATGACTATACCATCACCACTATTACCACCACAGTGTCAGCACTGCCATCACCGTCATGACCATGACCATCACCACCACTAGTGTCAGTCATACCATCACCATCACCACCACCACCAGTGTCAACACTGTTGTCACCATCATGACCATAACCATCACCGCCACCACCAGCATCAGCACTGTCATCAACATCATGGCCATCACCATGATAAGACTACCACCACCACCGCCACCACCAGTGTCAGCACTGCCATCACCATCATAACCATCACCATCCCAACACCACCACCAGTGTCAGCACTGTCATCATCATGACCATGACCATCTTACCATCACCACCACCAGTGCCAGCACTGTCAGCACCATCATGATCATGACCATCGTACCATCACCATGGTGACCATCAGCATCACCATCATCACTACTATCACCATCTTTGCCACCACCACCAATCACTGTCACCTGTCCCCCATCACTATCACCACCATTGTCATCATCCCTGCCACTGTCACTCACATCACAGTCACCACCAAATTTCACCTGCTTTGGGAGTTGAATTTCTCAGGGTGGCTCTATATCCTGTTCACATCTCTGGCTCTCTCTATCCTAGTGTCTTTTTTAACAGAGTTATCTGAAGGAGGATCCAACAAGCCACCCTTTTGCTCCACAGACGGTAGAGAGTGACAGAGACAGTAGAGGTGGGCAGAGAAAGTGACTGGGGATGTTGGTAACATCCCAGGTAAGTGGAAGAGCAGGACTGCAGCCACCACCATGACCTTGTCCGCTCCTTGTCTCCAAAAGGGCCCCCGTGGTGATAGCAACACTGTGGCTTGTCTGTGAACCTCACGGAGGTCCTTTGTCCTTATCATTTTCTCTGTTTCAGGTGGATGCTGTAAACACAGGTTTGCTCTCTTTTAAGGAAAATTCACGCTCTGAAAGGAGAAGTCTGGCACAAAGCCCCTTTTGCCACTCAGTAATTTTCTGACAAATTAAAACACCAATTCTTCTTTGTGCAGCGAGTTTCCATTTATTACCCCATTGTGAATCCAAGCTTCTCATTCCCAGCATGTTAACTTACTCACCCCCAGGAGAAGTTCTCCTATTATTCTCAGAAGCTTTGCTGCATTTATAGAACAGCTGTGTCTTCACATAAGCACATATAATCATACTAATGACACATCCAACATACGGAACACACTTTCTGCTCTAAAGACACCTCAGGAAGCTTCCTCACGGAGCTCCTCTCTGGAGCTGCCTCTCCCGTGTCTGTTGTCTTCTGAAGGTGCACAAGATCTTTCTACAGTCCTCAGTGTTCCAAAGATCAGTTATGCACATTATAATGGCTTTTAAGAAATAATATAGCTCCTCACCTTCAGCAGAGTTTCCCGACCCCAGCACTTTCAACCACGTGGGTGAATTATTTATTGATGTGGGAGCTGCCCTGGCATTGAGAGATGTATAGCAGCACCCCTGCTTATCCCCAGGGTGGACTCTACCAACTAGATGCCAGTTCACACTCCCCTGCTTTGTGAAAACTAAAAATATCCCTAGGGATTTATAAATGCCCACTGGGGGGTCAAAATCAGCCGTAGCAGAGAACCACTGGCCTACAATAAAACCTCAGATTCTTAAACAACTTAATGTTCTTCCAAAAGCCAACCTAAGATTTCACCCGCCATGTTGCCAACACATTCTATTTAGCAGTGGAGAGGCCCATTGTGCCTGAAGGGTAGAGATGGTGAACTCAGTACAAATGCTGGGCAGCAGGTTCCTGAGGGTTTTGCAGACAGAGGTTATTTAAGAGCCATCAGTCCTCCTGTCCACCCACCTACCTATCTATCCATCCACTCTCCATCCATCTATCCATCCAACCATCCAGCCATTCCTCCTTCCTTCTCTCCATCCCTCTCTCTTTCCTTCCTTCCTTTCTTCCCTTCTATCCTTCCTTCTCTCCCTCCCTCCATATATCTATCCATCCATCCATCCATCCTTCTATCCTTCCTTCTCTCCATCTATCCATAGATCTATCCATCCATCCACCCATCCTTCATTCTCTCCATCCTATTCTCCATCCACCCATATATCCATCTATCCACACCTGCATGCATGTTTGGCTCCTTCATGCTTGCTTGGTCCCATGCTGCAGATGACATGTAAGGACCATACACAGCGTCCTCGAGGATCTCAGAGTCAAGCACAGTGGCTCTCATGGGGGTGGCACCACCCCATGGGGCAGTTTGGAAATGTGAGAGGTACATTTGGGTTTTTCCAATGTCTAGGGATGCCATTAGCTTCTTATGGGCACAGGCCGGGGCAGTGAATGCACCCTGC
This sequence comes from Homo sapiens, assembly GCF_000001405.40. Lineage (NCBI taxonomy): Eukaryota > Metazoa > Chordata > Mammalia > Primates > Hominidae > Homo > Homo sapiens. The sequence goes on along the minus strand of NC_000020.11, from coordinate 61,455,639 downwards.
ATGGCACATGGGAAGCTCCACATGTGGCTGGCTAGTCGCTGGCTAGTCCTAGAAGTTTATGATTACCCGAGTCCAGATCTTCATTTTGTTTTACATATAAACATCACCTGGTTTTTGCGGGATTTATTAAAATCCTTCACTGAATTTTTCAGGAGTGCGATTGCCATATGCACAGAAGGGAAGCTGTCCTTTGTGCAGCTCAGAAATTTCCTAGAGCTCTTCACCAATTCAGAGAATCACACAACCCACAGGCACACTGATTTGAGGCACTCGCACTGCCAGCCCACCCTGGGCTGTGGGTGTTTGCAGTTGTCACCCTCACAGAGGTTTCATGGACAAGCCATAGACCTTGTGGCTGTGCTTTCTTCTGGAGTGCTTACATATTGAACATCACCAAGCAGTGTATATGCTTTCCATCTCATCTTCCTGTATCTCAAAGTTGGACTTGATATTGATGTCTTTACAAAGTATATGCTTGTGGAGATGTAACACTCTGGGATGTTGGTTGTGGTGGTTACACAAATCTACACGTGAGATGAAAAATTACATAGAACTTTTTGGGGTGATGAAAATGTGCTTGAATTGGTGGTGATGGCTGCATAACTGAATAAACTAGAAACCACTGAATTATATTAAAAAGGTGAATTTTATGGTATGTGAATTATATCTCAATAAAGCTGTTAAAGAAAATAAAACACTTAAATGGTTCTCAATTGCTTGCAATAAAATCCATGCTTCCTACCCTGGTCACGGAACCCACCCTTCAAACCACTCCTGCACCACTGCCCCCCGTAGTGGGGAAAACGAACACCAGGTACAGGCTCCTGCGTTTGCCACAGACCTCTGACCTGCAGGCTACCATATACACTGCTCCCCTGCCTAAAATGCTCCTCCCAGCAGGGCGCGGTGGCTCATGCCTGTAATCTCAGCACTTTGGGAGTCCAAGGTGGGCGGATCACGAGGTCAGGAGATCGAGACCATCCTGGCAAACACGGTGAAACCCCGTTTCTACTAGAAATACAAAAAATTAGCTGGCTATGGTGGCAGGCGCCTGTAGTCCCAGCTACTCCGGAGGCTGAGGCAGGAGAATGGCGTGAACCCGGGAGGCGGAGCTTGCAGTGAGCCGAGATCGCGCCACTGCACTCCAGCCTGGGGGACAGAGTGAGACTCCGTCTCAAAAAAGAAAGAAAAAAATGCCCCTCCCTCCCTGTTCCCCCTGACTCCTACTCTGTCTTGCGGGCTCTTCACTAACAACCGCCCGTGTTTGACCCGGGTGCCCCTCCCATCACAACCTTCCCCCCAGGTGCATGTCCCCATAACAAAGTTCACCCCATGGTTGTGGCTGCCTGTTTACTTTGCTGACTCCCCGTCTTGAGTATAAACTCCGTGAGGATAGGAACTGTCTCCACTTTGGTCACCACTGTATCCCAGCAGCCGGCCCAGGGCCTGGGAGAAGGGAACTCAGTGAACACACAGGCAGACTCATGCTGCGGAATTTCATCAGAGTGCACACAGGTCACCAGGATGGCCATGTGTTAGTCTGTTCTCACACTGCTATGAAGAACTACCGAAACTGGGTAATTTATAAAAGAAAGAGGTTTAATTGACTCACAGTTCCACAGGGCTGGGGAGGCCTCAGGAAACTTACAACCATGGCAGAAGGGGAAGCAAACCTATCCTTCTTCACAAGGCGGCAGGAAGAAGTGCAGAGCAAAAGAGGGAAAAGCCCCTTATAAAACCCTCAGATCTTGTGAGAACTCGCTCACTATCAGGAGAACAGCATGAGGGTCACTGCCCCCATGATTCAATTACCTCCCACTGGGTCCCTCCCACAACATGTGGGGATTATGGGAACTACAATTCAAGATGAGATTTGGGTGGGAACACAGCCAAACCATATCAGGTCACTTTTTGGTCTTTCAGATTATATCTTATAATTCCGCAAAGAAAGATAGGCCAAGTATTTGGTTTTTAAATACATAGAATCAAATCTACAGCCTGCAGATTGTCTGCAGGTGAGCTGCCCAGAAGGCACCATCTTTCTCTGTGGCTCTGGTTGTTATGGGTTGAGCGCACCCTGGACCCAGCTCCACACAGAGCCTTTTCCACACACTGAATCCTTTACTCCTGAGGACCTAAGAAGTGGGTGGTAATAGCATCCTCCTCCCATGAGAGACAGGACACTGGAAGAAGCTCAGGGGGGTCCCGTCACTTCCTGGAGGACCTCACAGCCGGCTGGGATTCCACACATGCGAACCCAGCAAGCTCAGCCCTGACGTCTCTGCTGGGCCGCCCCACAGGAACTTGCATCTTCAAAGTGCAATGCGAGTTCCTTCTTCTTATATGCTGAGATATATAATCCCCCATCACTGCCACTGCTCCCATGACAGAAAAATGAATGCTTCAATTTGACAATTTCAAGAACTATAAATTGTTCAAGTTCCTGGATATCAAATGGTGACATTAAAATTACTTAATATCCTCAATACACTCTTTCATTGGCTTTTTTCCCCTTCCTTTCAAATGTCTTATGGCTTATTATAAACTCATATAATTACTTCCCAGGAAGTTTGATTTTCATTTCTTTATTTGCTTCTTAATAGAAGCTTTTTCTATACTGCTAACTTAGGAGAAGACACATCACTAGTTTAACTTCTAAGAAGTTACAAGATTAAATACCAGCTATGCTTTTTATTAAGTGTGTTATTATAAGAAGGCAGACTGGTTAGAACCCAGGGCTGTGGTGTAAATGGATGGTGGAAAAGCTGAGAAACATAATAAGTGTCACTCAGTTTTCTGTTTTTGTCTCACTCCCCTATTTCATATCTTCTCCACCTGCCAGGGGCCACTTTCTCAAGGTTTTACTGTCTGAATCACAAGGCCTGCAAGGCCTTTACACATAAAAAAAAATGCATCACAAAGATGAAGTGTGAAGAATCAACCAAATCACACACCTCTTGCTTTCCCTGCCTTACTTCTGTACGGTGTGGGAAAACTCTTCAACAATTGGAAAAATTTAAAAACTGAATAAATAGCAAAACTCAAACAGCAAGCTCACCAGATGAGATGCTTCAACAACCATCTCTACCTTTGAAATTCATTAACTAAAGCAATTTACCAAGCCTGCCCCAGAATGCATTATTCACACAAGAAGAGCTGCATTTGATAAATATCGAAAACGTGGCTATTCTGCAGAGTCTGAACGCTTTTATATAAATTCCCACTAGGATTAGCAATCTTTTCAGAAATCAAGCTCCCTACATAAAGCTACTTAAGGCTGGCTTTTCTTCTCTATCAAGCAGTGTAAGGAAATCCTTAAATGAGGGACTAAGATCTATTATGGACAAGAGGCATCAGGCATCATCTCATATAATTTTCTGACACGAGATTAATTCCAAAGACACCTGGAACTCAACATGTAAGTCTGCCACCTGCCTGTTTGTGGGCCCGGCCTGGGAAGGTGAAAGGCTATTGCTTTATTACAACCTGAGCACAAGCCTCCACCAGCCGCGCAACTCTGCAGTGGAGCCCAAGCACAGGCTGAGCCAGCGTCACAATCCACAAATGAAAGGAAAAGCGCGAATGCTCCAGGTTCTCAGGAAGGGGCCACAGCCGTTTTCTGAAGGACACTGAAGGGGTGGATGTCAAGACTCACAATCAAGTTTCCATTTTATAAAGTGAAGTTAAGTGTTAGGCAATTATCTGGATAATTAATTTTCCAGTGGTTTCTCCCTAAATCATCTAAGTGCCTAGGCATGAGAAGAGCTGGGAAGTCTCTACATCCCTCCTCATTTATGTTGTGCAGATCAGGCTTTTGGAGACAAATGGAAGCTTGTATGCTGGGATCCCTGGCACACCACGGCCAGGGAGCCCTCCTGCCCTGTCCAGAGTCCACCCTGGAGGCCTTCCTCCCAGCCTCCTACCCCCTCCTCCTCCTTCCCCTCTCCTCTCTTTAGTGCCCTCCTCCCTCCCACCTTCTACAGTTTTCCTTGGCGACCCCAGCTCTCCTAGGTATGTCCACATAGACTCTCAGGGCTCCGGCGATCTTCCCTTTACCCAGTAAGCAAAGGACCTACTTGGAAGGTAGAAGAGGAAGAAATGCTGCCACTTCAGGCTTTGCCCCAGAAGCATTTTCTCATTTGAACCTGTTAGCTTGCCTGTATCTTGGAAATAGGATTAAGATATATAACGGTATTATTATACCCATTTTGCAGATTACAAAACTGAGGCTTTGAAGATGTGGCTTCAAGTAAGCAACAATCCTACCTGAGATTCATAGCCAGGTCTGCGTGAGGCCAAGCACTCTGAACCACTCTGACGCAGCTGAGACGCACATGCTCCATGGTGGTCCGTGCCGTTTCCTCCTTATATGCAGCCGCTTTTTGAAGCCAGGTGCCAAGTATCATGCCCATCAGGCTTCCGCAGCACCAGGCACAGCTCTCTATCATAGAGTTACTCAAGACTCTATTGAAGAAACATGCACAGGTGGCAGGATGACACGGAGGGAAGGGGGGGGGCGTGAGAGGGAGGGAAAAAGCTCAGAAAAGCTGGTGAGCATCTATTCCCACAAAACACCCTCCGCTCTCTTGAGCCTCCAGGCCCCTCTCTATGGAGGCTTATGATCCAGGTTTGTGGACTTCCTCACAAACGGACTGTGTCAGATGCATCATGGCTATCTGGTGTTCTGTGATAGCACAGGGACTCCTCAGGACCTGGGTCCACAGCTCCAGGATTTATTCAGCAAACTGCTGGGTGGCCACTGTTGTCAGGACACTGGGTTAGAGCAGAGAAAACCCCGCTCTAGCCACCTCCACTCTTGGAGCACAGCAGCAGACTCTCTCCATTGGAGAGCAGGGTTCTCTCTGCCCTAACCCAGTGTCCTGACAACAGTGGCCACCGAGCAGTTTGCTGAATGAATCCTGGAGCTGTGGATCCAGGCCCTGAGAAGTCCTTGTCTTATCACAGCAAGCTCAGACACCTTCTCGGTTTGGGACAATGATGAGGGAACTGAGCTTTTAATAGGAATAGACATAGATAGAACCTCAAACGTATTTGCAAAACCGAAAGCATATTTCAATATCAAAGCAGCCGTTCGCATCTGAAGTCTTCCTTAATAAATCCTCTGTCAAGTGAAGACCCAGCACAGATGAAATAAACTGTATCTTTAGAGGTTAAGGCTTGGTGCAAATCACACAGCATCTCAGCCCCCACTGCTGTGAAAACAGACTTAAAAAGGCATGGAGAACAGTTTGGGAGAACTGTTTCTATTTCCCTGCATGGCTGGGCCAATGCATGTGTGTAAGGCTGGATCTGTGGGTCCTGTTGAGCCCCTCTTGGAAGCATCATTTCCCTTTAGTCTCAACTGTCCAGAAGTTTGAAGGCTGGGGTCCCACCAAGGCCCTGTCCTGGAGGATTATCCCAGGAAGGTGAGTCATACAGAGACAGCCCTGAACCAGACTTGGGTTAAACATTCATGAACAGAAGGTCATTCAAGAAGACTTAAAAGAATCCACTAAGATAGTTTTGATTGTAATGACATCATTGTCAACACTGTAGAAATTAACATACCCTCAAGTTTCCATTCTGAATAAGGGTTGAGATTAGTCAGGGGCAGAGGCCAGCAGTGCTGCAAACGGCACCTGCTCCAAAAGGGAACACAGAGTTCTCGCTGGTTTTGCAAAAGCAAAGTGTGTGTGAGTGCCTTTTACCCATCTGATGATAGGATAATTGAAAGAAAGCATATTTTCCAACTTGGTTATGGAAATTACCATATGAAGTACCACAAAATACCACAGAATCTATGCAGCTCTTAAAAATGGTATAGAAAATTAAGTCTAATAATAGCCTCAGTATACGGGTACATTGAGGAGAAAACCAAAAGTATTTGGTATAATTTCACTTCTGTAGAGTTAGTGATAAAGGCTAGAAAAGGTATTTGTAGATCAAAATATTAGCAGTGGTGATTTCAAGTTCTTAAGTCTTATCCATTTTTTTTTTAATTCTCTACCATCAACATACACTACTGTTAAAATGATCTTTACAAAGCAATAAAAGTTGGAATTCTTTCTTTTCCTCCTTCTCTTCATACACTATTAGGAGACTGTACAAATTACCATTTAAGCAAGATGGACTATACGTCTGATTACAAAATATCCCCACGTCACAGGCTACGGAGAGAGACTAGAAGGCAGGCTGGATAGTCCTTATTAGCGGAGTGACTCAGGGAGTGGAGCTGCCGGGAAGAGTGGAGGCTAGCCTTTGCACAGAGCTTGGGAGCAAACATGAGAATCAGGAATATGTAAATGAATGGTTTTAATTTCCCCTTTCCTTGGGTCCAATGGCAGCTGGCCTAGCCATCCACACTGACCTTGGTTTCAAGGTCCCTCGGCCCCCCCGTGGAGATAAATGCACCATGCTGTGGGCCTCTGAGGACAGCCTTGGCTTGGGTTAAAACGCTAATGTGGCTGGCACCAGTGCCCCTTGAAGCAGCAAAGATGAAGCCTGAACACCCTCACCCAGCCCCTGGCACTGCACACAGTGGGCAGGTGCCATCCCATCCCCAACTGCTTCCCCAGAGGCTGTGTGTGAAGTGACAGAAGTTAATGTGGATCCAGGTTTTAAAAAGTAGAGAAAAAGTCTGAATATTCAGGACCCAGCAGCCCCTTAACTTGACCTACTGTAGAATCCAGACACTGCAGCTGGCTTCTAATCAAAATTTAAATATGCCAGGGCTTTTCGATTTTATTTTTCACGCTGTTGTTATTATTATTATTGCTATTTCCCCATCACTAACCTCGAAGTTTGGCCTAAAAAAAGAAAGAATAGCCTTTTCAGAGTATCAAAAAGAAAACCTCAGATGCGCGGGTGCCTATCTGTATATTCATTATACAGAACTGCACGTGCACGCGAGGAAAAGTTCATCATAACAAGGCTTAACACAGTGACGATTTCGGAGGCTAGGTCTATTTAAGTCATTTTCTACCACCAGAATGGTGATAATGCAATACAAAAAACTCCTCTTGCTCCTATCACAGCACAGAGCCGACTAAATCAGAGTCCGCTTTGTCCTTTCAGAGACACCCATTATCTTCCCAGAGAGCACAATGTGTGTATTTTACAAAACCCCCAACACAAATGGAAATAAAAAAACACATTATGAAGGAGATTGGAGGAGGCTGTGCCGTGATGTATGATTAACCGTACTCTGTTGGGTGCGAGTAGCAAACAACATCAAACGACCCAAATTTCTAGTAGTTTTTCTCCATTAATTTCTACATTCTGCTCATAAAACGTTCGCATAATACCTTTCCGGTCTGGAAGAGTGCAGGTTTGTTTCATAAACATCGCTTATGGAAACTATAAAAGCACCTTCTTCACAGTCAGCAGAATGTAAAAACAAGGTGCCCAGCTGTCCGTGATTCCTGGGATACAGAAGGAATTAAGTGCAAATGTCTCCTGGGGCACTGGCTTCCAGCCAGCATGGAGTCTAAAGACCTGCTGGGCTGAAACAAACCAGCAAAGCCTGGGCCAACCCACTTTTAAGATCCTTTTGGTTCTTTTCTACCTTGATTAGGTATGGAAATCAGCATAGAAAGCCCCAGGGACGAACAAGAAAGACAAACAGGATGCTGGTGGCAGAATCTTGGGAAAAGCCCATGACCTCCAAAAAGTAAGTTCATGCTTCAGAGTGTTGGGAAAGTAAGAGAAGAAGGAAAATGAAGGAAGAGGGAGAATTCTGGGGAAAGTGTTGGAAAATATGATGAAAGGAAGGTAAAAAAGAGGGTTATGGAATGAAGATATAATTTCCAAATGAAAGTCTTGTACATCATTATGTTTTAAAAAGCAAATAAAAATAGAGTTTGAAGATACAGGCAAAAGGTGACATTCTCGTCCTCGCCATCCAAGTCTTATTTTTCCTTTTCTACTCTTGCTCCTACCTCTTCTCCTCCCTTCCCATGCATCGTATTAAAATTTTCCATGCACCATCTCAAGCTAAAAAAAAAAAAAAAAAAAAAGGAAGTAGAATGAGCAGGGGAGAGAAAATGGATCTGAGTGGGAAAGGGGAAAGTAGGAGACCCCGAATGATTAAAAAGTGAAATGGGACAAGACTGAAAAGCATGACTTCCAAATACCAGGAAAGCCTTTATATCGAAAACACCATGAATAGGTCGGGCACACTGGCTCATGCCTGTAATTTCAGCACTTTGGAAGGCCGAGGTGGACAGATCACCTGAGGTCAGGAGTTTGAGCCCAGCTTGGCCTACATAGCAAAACCCTGTCTCTACTAAAAATACAAAAAAAAAAAAAAAAAAAAAATCAGCTGGGCGTGGTGGCGCATGCCTGTAATCCCAGCTACTTGGGAGGCTGGGGCAGGAGAATTGCTTGAACCCAGGAGGCGGAGGTTGCAGTGAGCTGAGATCGCACCACCGCACACCAGCCTGAGTGACAGAGTGAGACTCCGTCTCAAAAACAAACAAGCAAACAAACAAAAAACACCATGAATAAACCCAAAAGACAAAATCACAGAGAGTATTTATAATGAGTATGGTAGGCAAAAAGGTTAGTAAATAAACAGTATACAAAGAATTCCTCCAAATCATACTGGAAAAGATATGTACTCCAGAGGGAAAAACGTAAGTTAAAATAAACACACACAAAATCCAAAGAGATGACTAATTTACAAAGAAAAAAACTAATGACCAATAAACAATTGGCAATAAAAATTCAGCTTCACTAATAATGACATATAAAAATGTGTAAATAACAATTTTCCCCTAACAAATTGGCCAAACTGAATATATTTATTAAGGTATATATATAATTGTACACACTCTCCACCCCAACACATACCCTGGGTTAAGGTGAGACAGGTGCTCAGACACACACAAACTCATGAATGGATAAGCGGGCTGGGCTTTCTTCGGGCAGACCAGCAACACATGCGGAAACCTTAAAACCATTCTAGTTCTTCAGTCCTGGGAGTCAACCCCAAGGAAATGAACAGAGATGTGTGAAAAACGCATGCACAAGAATTCGCTTTACAGCCACCTTCTATCATGAAAAGTGCAAGCAACCCAACTTTTTAAGATGAGGCGGATCAGCTGAACGATAATCCATGAGATGGAATGTTTATGCAGCTATGAACGTTTGATGACACGGAACAGTGCAAGTGATGCCAATAGAATAAGACTGTTTGTTTAAAAGTATGACGCTAGATCTTATTTAAAATTGTTTTAACTTAAACTATGGGTATGATCAAAGTATAATCTTTTTATTGGAGAAGTAATTTTGTAAGCAAAATAATTAATCAAGTATTTATGTACATTTTTGCACCCCTACTTATTTTTAGATATATAAATAAAAGTGAGACAAACTTGTAGAAATAAGTTTATAAGAAAATAGCAGTAGGCCTTGGTCTAATAAATGTATTTTACATGATTATCTCTGGCTGACACTGCTTAGTGACTGCTAGTCCAGTCTGGTTCCAAGGTCATCTTAGTAAAACACACCCTTCCCAAGTATGACCCACACATTTGATCTCTGATTTCATTTTTCATGGTCTTTCTTAAAGTGGACCTAGGAATCATCACTTCTAAATCAACTGCGCACCCACAGTTTCCTTGTGGTTTCAGTTTCACTGCCATGTGTGCTACACTGTAACCAACTGCTATCCACCAGCGGGCATGGGAGGCTCCAGGGCCAGCGTTCTGGAGGAAAGGACGCCAGGCACTGGCCCACAGATGGCCTCCTTCAGGACTGCGCGGAGGACTAGCTCAGATGGGCTGGGAACCCTCCCTCCCCATGTCAAATCAGGAAAGGGCGAAGGACCATGGCGTCCAGCCAGCACGTCACATCCTGGGAAAGGTCTCGCAAGTCTCTACCTTTAATGCTGCAACATGGCTTTACTTCTTTTTCCTTTTTTAAAAATCGAGAGCACTGTGAAATATAACACAAACCCGGTGTATTCTGAAGTTGGTGAGAAAATTGCTTCTCTAGAACTAAAAGTAGAATGGCCTTGGTCCCTTTGCCTCCTGCTGACCTGTTGGAAGAAGGAAGGAAGAGGAAGGGAGGGGAGAGGGGGAGGAGGGGCCGGAGGGAAGCCAGGGGAGGTTTGAGGGGCATTGGTCTTGCCCAGCTCTTCGTCACTCCCACCCTTCCTATCATCTGCACTCCCATGCCCCGCCTGCCTCAGAGGGCCCTCACTGTGGCTGGTCTTGGCATGGGGTGCTATGGCCACTCACTTTGAAGGAGAGACCTGGGGCAACAACTCATGCCTTCGGCTTGGCCAAGTGGACCTTTCCTTCGGAGTCAGACTCTGAGCACTGATGCTGTCCTGCCTGGGGATGGCCGGGGCCCTGCCTGGCTCTCCACAGGCCTCTTGGTTCCTGGATATTGTTCAGCTGGGGTCCCCCAGCTCCATTGATTCCAGAGCTTCCTGACAGTCTTCGAATACAATCCCTGGCCAGAGGTGGCCAGGGTCAGGCTGGGATTCTTGCAATAGGGAGTGGGGGAAGAGTGGAGAAAAAAGACTAGGGACAAGAATTCCCCGTAGCAAGCACCAAGATGGGAAGGGAAAATGCTCCATCAACACATGCGTGCACGCACACAGAGATACACACAGCCACAGAGAAACACACATGCAGATACATACAAACACACACGCAAAGAAACCCACACACATATACACACAGATACACACAAATAGATACAGACACACACAGACACACACACGCAGACACACAAATATACACAGACACACATAGAGAAACACACATACATATACACACAAATATACACACAGACACAGATGTACACAAAGACACACAAAGATACACATACATACGGATACACAAAAACACACACATGCAGAAACACACAAATATACACAGACACACACAGAGAAACACACATACATATACACACAAATATACACACAGACACAGATGTATACAAAGACACACAAAGATATACATACGGATACACAAAAACACACACGCAGAAACACACAAATATACACACACACAGAGAAACACACATACATATACACACAGATATACACACAGACACAGATGTACACAAAGACACACAAAGATACACATACATACGGATACACAAAAACACACGCAGAAACACACAAATATACACAGACACACACAGAGAAACACTCATGCAGATACACACAAATACACACACAAAGAAACCCACACACACATACACATATATACAGATACACACAAATACACACACAGACACACATAGACACACACATGCAGAAACACAAAAATATACACAGACACACACAGAGAAACACACGTGCAGATACACAAAAATACATACACAAAGAAACCCACACATACATACACATACACACACACACATAGATACACATGAACACACACAAAATACACAAAGAGAGACACAGCCATATACAGATACACAGACACCCACATAGAGAGATCCACAAAGACACACACACATAGATACAGACATACACACACAGACATACAGAGACACATATAGAGATACACACAATCACACACAGAATCACACAGACAGATACACACACAGACACACACACAGACAACCAGAGATATCCACAAAGATACACACACATAGATACAGACACACACAGATATAGACACATATACAGATACGCACAATCACACACACAGATACACACACAGACACACACACAGATATCCACAAAGACACACACACAGAGATACAGACATACACACACACAGACACATACACAGACACACAGAGATATAGACACATAGAGAGATACACACAATCACACACACAGAGACAGACAGATACACAGACACACCACACAGAGAGACACACATACACAGATCCACACACACACACACATACAGAGCCAAGCAAGACCCGGTCCTGCAGGCCCTGCCCGCGTATAAATCATATGAGTCGCAGCCTTCGGATGCGCTCATTTTAATAACTTAGCCAGCAGTCTTCTCTCAAAATTAACATCTGCTCCAGCAGCTTCCAGCTTTCCTTGCGAAAATAATGGCAGCTAATAGGGAAAGGGCTGTCGTGTTCCGACTCCAGGTACTGCTGGCGTGACAGCTGTGTGATCAGGAGAAGAAAGGTATGCCAAGACAAAAGGAATAATTAAAACGAGCCATGAGAACCAGCCCTGGATTTAAATGTTTAAATGTTTTAATTTAAAAGAACAATGGCTCCTTGAAGTGTCTTCACTGCCGGTACTGACAACCTGCCATTTATTAATCAGTGTTAAATAACAGCGGCTCAGGGTTTAACACCAAACAGCAGATGATGTGTGATGATCCCTAAAATAGCAGCCACATTTCAGGGCTGATTTCTAAATGACTCCGGCATAACAAGGAAGACTCTGGAATATTTACTGCACCAATTAAAGAGCATTAACCACTCTGCGACAAATAAGCGTGCAGGGGAGTGGTATTTAAATATGCCCAGCCTTCCAGGTAAAGCGAGGTGCTTCACACCTAGGTGGGGCAGGGTGTCTCTCAACTATAGATTACATTAAAAAACAACAAACAAATGAAAAGTGTGTCTTCCTAGGCAGCGGTTCTCAATCAGGGGTTGCTTTGGTCTCCAAGACACACTGGCAACGTCTAAAGACATTGTGATTCACATACCTGGGGGTGGAGGAAGGAAGAAGGGGTGCACCTAGGGGTCATCTAAAGGGTGGCGGCCAGGGACACTGTTAAACAACCTTCAATGCACAAGGCAGCCCCCACCATGGGGTGATTCAGCCCCTGAGGCCAACAGTGCCAAGGCCGGGGGACTGCAGAAAAAGGATCAGTGCTCAAACCCAAGACATGCATTCCCACACGTGTGTATTTTTTTATCAGCATAAAGAGGGTTAAAATTCTTCTTTGCCGCTTGTTTCCTAAAAGGAGCTGCTTCAGTGCATCCCGGGAGCCTCCTGACACCCTTGCCTGTCTCTGGAAGTCACTGATCGTGGATGAGGCTCCACTGGGTGCAGGCAAGCACCCCACGTTTTGCCTTTGAGTCTCTGTAACGCAGCCTTCTGCCCCTCACTGCAGGCAGCCTAAGTGGAGTTTAATGTAGAACCCCAAAGCGAAGGCTGGAACCGTCTGAGTGGGCCTGTTAGAAATGTCACTTCTACTTAAAAGGGTGGTTAGTTCTGCAATCATTTTACTGGAGTTCTCACGATCTGTTATTCTTTTAAAGCCACAAATATTTGCACAGCAGATGATGAGCATAAGCGATATGGGGATGTTTCACTGACCTGATAATAATGATGTTTGTTTAAAAACAGGTTCTGCAAGTGGAGTATTCGGAGGGTCTGCACGTCAGGGAGGCATGGTTCCATCCACACCCGGTGTGATGCGGCCCTTCCTCGGACACACACTGCTTTTCAACAGTGGCATGAGCCAGCTTGCCCTGCGTTTGGGATTTATAAAAAGTGCACTAACACTCCTTTAAATACATCCTCGCTTATGTGCTCAATTTAGCAAAGACTGATCAAATCCATCATGCTAAATAGATGCACTTAAAACAGTAATAACTGTCTCTGGAAGCTGCTGGGGCATTTGCGTCTGGGTGGTCTTCAAGTGTGGGTCACATTCGTGCTCATCACTGTCCTTCAGAAGAATATGCTGATACAAACGATTGGATTTGAAATCTGCAAGAGTTTCCACCTCAGCAGGGCTCAAGTTTTTCTGAAGCTATGTCCTGTTAGTAAAGAAGGGTTGGAGAGAACCTGGATGAACGTGCCGTGCCACCTGCACAACCCAACCTGGCTCTTCTTGTTGTTAGGGTCCTGTCGTAGTCTGATAGGGCTGCCATCACAGAAGAGCTTAGACTGGGTCATTTATGAGCCATGGAAATTTATTGCTCACAGCTCTGGAGCTTGGAAAGCCCAAGATGAAGGTGTCAGCAGATTTGGTGTCTATTGAGGGCATGTTTTCTCCTAAATGGTACTTTCTATGTGTGCTCACATGGAAGACGGGCCAGGCAGCTCTCTGGAGTCCCTTTTATAAAGGCTCTAATCCCATTCCTGAGGGCAGAGTCCTCATGACCTCATAACCACCCAAAGGCCCTGCCTTCTAACACCATCGCCTTGGAGTTAGGTTTCAGCAGATGAATTCTGGAGGGACACAGACATTCAGAACACAGCAGGATCAAACAGTGGTTAAATGGCAGTGGGGAAAGGGGTCTTTTCTCCCACCTGGAGTGGGTATAACCAGTGTCATCGATGAGCGAGCAGAGCCCAGAAGCCTGCCCAGCTCTGCCCCAACTAGCTGTGAGGCCCTGGCCCAGTCCCTCTGCCTAAGTCCTTTCTGAAGCCAAGGGGCTGACCTGGATGCTCCTTCCGCTTCCTTTCCTTCTGAAACCCCTGATTCTGAAATTTAGTCCTTTCTCTTGTTACTCTTCCAAGAGAATGGACAGTTTGGCTCCTGCCATGGATGGATGACAGCAGGGCCGGTGTTGGACGCTGTGTTTCAAGTCTGAGATTCTGCGTGACCTGTGGGAAAGCTCGCCACATAGCACACGCTTGGAACTCAAAGAAGTCATCTCTGCTCTGAAATGGATAAAGAAATGTGTCTTTTTCACCCCAAGACTGAAGCTGGACACAGAAAATGTTTTTGAAGTGATATCTGAACTCAAAAGAAACTTCCGGCTCAGATCCAAAGTCTGACTGTTTTGACACTTTTCTGAGCAATCTGCCTGCCGATTTGCTGACCTGGGCTCTTCCCGACAACTACAGACTTCCAGAACTTACCACCGCGAGGGCAGTGGCATTTAGACACCTGATGTGATTGCCAGAACTTCTCCCCATGCTGTGCCTGTCTCAGAGAAGCGCCATGACAACCAGAGGCATCGGGACACCTGCTGAGGACACCAACAATAGCGCTTCCTCCATGGCGCCCGCCACGGGCCGAGAAGAAAGCAGGCATTGCAGCCCTGGTTCCCCGGATTCACATCTCAGGAGGTCTTTGTTCTGAAGGACAATCCATACTGTCAGAAAGGCTTCAACAGGAATCCACTGAAAACCAGGGTTGAAATTTTATAGTCAAGAGTGCAAACCGAGTATTTGCTTAGCACTTCATATCCAAAAAACAAAACTAAAATTTTGCAAAAATAGATGTATTTTATTTTGTATTTAATAAAACTTTGCTTATAACTGCAACTAAATGCTAACTTTTAGGGTGAAAGACATGCAAGCAGTGACTGCGTCCTACTTGACTTGTTGCGGCTAACAAGCATTGTGGCTGCTCAACAGGGTGTTCCCTTTACATTTGCCTTTCAGAGCCCCATTGCAAAGAGTGATCTTTGCAAAAACGAGTCTAGAATGTTACTAATATCCTGAAGGTGTTCTCTGAATCATTCATCACTTCAGTAAGTGTCTTCTACTCTCATGGGCTAACTGGATCTCTGCCTCCTCAGTGGTTATCTGGTTGAACTCCACCTCCTTTCTCAATAATTGTGGCTGCAATTCCTGCACTTTCTTGATAGCAGTTTCATCTTCATGATGAAGATAGCGCAGGCATCTTCATGAAATCCTGCATGTTTGCATTTCTTGCACTTTCACTTTGCAACCAACTCCATTGCACTGAGGCTTTATGGATAGGACAGTTGCAATATAAAACAATCAGCTAAGATCAAGCCGTGATGACCTGAGTGTATTAGGCAGAGATGGATCTCAGTGATGAGCAGTGAGGCATGTTAGAGTGGGAATTCAATTTAGGAGTGGTCTGTACAAGAATGCCTTTTTTCCCCAATATCACCATGTAACTAGGGCGATACAAAGAGTTAGGATGTGGGCAGCCCTCCCCGCTAGTCCCCTCTAGTGCTGAGGGTGATGGTCTCCAAAGAGGCGCCTCGAATCCTACCCCTCTGTATTTGCATGCTGGACTGCCCATCAGAGGGAGGGGCTTATGCCCAGCCCTTGAACCTGGACTGGCCAGTGACTGTCTGACTCATACAGTCCTGCAGAAGAGATGTTCCCGCCTTCCACAGCTGGGTCACAGGAGCCTTCTGGTTTCCACAGAGGACTCTTGGAATGCTCCCTGTGGGGACATCTGCTCTCAGAACCTAGTCCCTATGCCATCAGAAGGCTGAACCATGTCCAGTCTTTGCTGCCAGCATATCTCCAAGCTGGTGACCAGCGTCCACTACTAGCCACATACATGTGCCATCTTGCATGCCCTGGCTGGTCATGGCTTGGGATGATGCCAGCCTTAACCCCACTGAGTGCAGGTGCATGAGAAACTCCAAGTCCGGACAGGCCAGCTGAGCCCAGCCAACCCTCAGAGCCACGGAGCAGCTGTTTGACGCCTCTGAGCTTTGAGGGGTTTGTTTTGTCACACTGTACAACCGAAATGCACACTGCAGTACAACCGAAACGCACACTGCAGCACAACCAAAACGCACACCGCAACACCCTTCTTGGGCTCTCGCTTTTAAGACAGGCCTGAATCTTCAAATAACACAACTTCAAGCACCAAGATTGTTTTGACCATTTTGACAAAAAATCAAACTATTTTTCAGTTAAAAGACAAGTCTTTTAAAAGTTAAAAATATATTCAGTCAGAAGAGTCAACACCGAAGGCAGATGCTAGGCTTGGGGGGAAAAATGAAAGAGGCGTTGAAAAGCTTTACCCAATGTGTTTTCATTGTGTAAATAAGAATGAAATTTTATGATCTTCATGTTTTTAGGTAAGTTAAGGTTTTTGGTTTTTTTTTTTTAGCTAATTTTTACTATTTGTCTGGGGGCATTGAAAATGAATTGAGCTTCCTTCCACTGATTTTGGGAATCTTATTGATTTAATAACATGGCAGGATTTACTTTTGCCAAGGTTCTCTTTCTGGACACTGCTGGGATGTTTTCTGTGGGTAGTTAGTGGACTTTAGCACCCTACTAACACAGGATGGCAAAGTTTTGACCAATATTTTTTTTGGAAGTACAGAATATGCCTTTTCATATGAAATGTTTTCAGAGCAGCTTCCTTCTGCCCTTATCCACTCAAATAAAGTTCTGACATGCAAATAAATTTTGCATTAGCAGAGATATATGACATCTACAGTTAAGGACTATGGCCAACCAATTATACCCACATGCCATTTTCTACTTTTACAAACCCCTGATAAAAGAGAAAAGTCTTGAAGACAGCATTTCACACATAAAATATTTCTTTTATAGCAAAACGTGTCCAACTGATTTACGAGGTCCTCTCAAGGAGAACAAAACACACACTATAAAACTGAAACTCACAGAAAGATTTCCCCAGCTTCTTTAGAAAAAACACACTCAAATTGCACGGGGTATAGATTTTCATAGTATATAATGTGAATTCTTCATGGAAGCTGTGCTTTCATCCTGGTGAGTTTATTTATTTCTATGGTAGTATAATTTTTTTTAAAAAACAATACATTTTCTCAAGATACTTGTCCTTGAATTAAAGGCATCACTGGAAAAATTTGACCCATAAGTCAGGGAAATGCAAGGTGCATTTTGCCTAATTTGGGACACCTGAATCAGAATTGTAGCAGGGTTCAGGGTGGCAGACGATAGCCCACTGGGCAAACCTGGCATGCACTGTTTGTGAAAATAAAACGTTGTTGGAGTCTGGACGGGTCATTAAGTGCTGTCCGCGGCTGTCTTCCTGCTGAAGTGGTGGAGCTGAGTGGTTCTGATGGACATCCGGCCCATGAAGCTGAAAAGCCTACTGGCCCTTAGTAGAAAACGTTTCCCGATTCCTGGATGGATGGAAAAGGACCAGTCTTTCTGGCATCATCAGAATGTCTTCTGTTTTCCAGGGGCACATCTGGAGGCCCCATGGAATTTTCCTAACCGTCGTGTGGAGTGTGTCAACAAAACGGGACCGTCTGCATCAGGGCAGTCATGAAAGGGTCCCCAGCGACCTAAGTCCTTTTAAGTGGAGTACAATGGACCCAGATTCCATGAGAGAAGCCGCCATGCACAGTGGCACTTGGGAGGAAAAGAAAAACCCTCTCGTTTCCTTATTACCCGAACACACTGACGATCCATTTGTAAAAGACGGCCCAGCCAGCATCTCCCTCCCTGAGAGGGCGGTGTGTGCTGCTGAAACTCTGATTACAACTGCTCTTAGGATGAAGTGACTGGAGCCCAGATACCTTATTTAGCAATCAGTGCTCGGCACAAGGACTTGCTGTGCCAACGAAAAGGAAGCGAGGCATTTTGGCTAGTCACCGCGTTTTTGCTGCGTCACAGGGAGACAGAAGATGGGCTGCTATTTCGTCGGCTAAATGCTATCATTTTAAGCACCGTTCCAAAGAAAACAGGGATCTTGCCAGAGGAAAATAACATATACCATAAAGGAAAAAGAAATGTGCATCAAGGCAAATAAACAGCTCTCTACTAAGGGCCTAGGATCTTGCTAGACGAGTCATTTCTCTGGTTGAAAAGCAGTTGAGAAAGGCAAGACAAGGGGGGCGGGGGCCCAGCAGGGCACCTCTGAGCCCTTCCTGCTGCTCTTCAAAGACAGACGCATTTTCCTTTCTACGGTCTCCTTGCAAGTCTTCTGTAGGCCCTGCCACCTTCAGGCTGACTGACTGCCTCCTTCAAATATCAGCATTTGGTGAGTTCCCACCATGTCCCAGGCCCTGCGCTGGGTGCTAGGACGCAGGAGGGGGCAAAACAGGCCAGGCCTTGCCTTTCTGAGCTTGCTGCAGGCAGAGCAGACAAGAGGCCTTTGTCCTTGGGCCCTGGTATGGAGCATCTAAAAACCCTTGGAATTTCCTGAGAGATTGGAGTGTCTTTGTTATGCTAATGAAGTGACTCACTGTTGGCCCCTGGGTGGTTTTAGGATGGGGAGGCTGGTCGCCAGAAAGACCAGGCACAGGACCAGAGAGTTGGGGACTTGGAGCTAGCCTGACCTCCAGATGGGGGTGGGGGGGTGTTGGAGACTGAGTTCAATCGTGAGGCCAATGTGTTAATTAATCATATCTACATAACAAAACACAATAAAAATCCTGGACACTGAAGCTCAGCAGAGCTTTGTGCTGGTGGACAGATGGATGTGCTGGAAGGAGACCCCTGCTGACCCCTGCTGACTCCATGACAGAGGGATGGAAATTCTGCCCCTCCCAGACCTCACCCTATGCGTTCTGTTTCCTTTATAATGAAAGCACAATTAGAGGTAACTGAGTTCTGTGAGTCATTCCAGTGAGTTATCCATTCTGAGCATGTTGTGGGAACTCCAGAATTTGTAGCCAAGGTCCCCCGGGACTTGTGGCTTGCATCTGAAGTGGGGGTAGTCTTTTGGAGACTTTTGTCCTTAACCTGTGGGGTCTGAGCTGCCTCTGCTAGACAGTGTCAGAAGTGAATTGCAGGATACCCAGTTGGTGTCTGGCCAGTGGGGTTGAAATGGAATCCATGCAGTTGGGGGCGAAGGTGCAAGAGTGATCATGATGGTGCTTAAGAGAGGAGCAAGGTGAGCCCAAGGTGGGGGTTGAAGCCGAGACTAGGAGGTCCTGACCTAGTCGAGGAGGGCAGGGCCAGCTCCACTGGGAAGTGACAGCTGACCTGGGATCTGGAGCATGAGCAGGGCTAGCCAGGTTAGGAAAGGGCACTCCAGGCAGCAGGAAGAGCATGTGCAAAGGTCCTGTGGTGGGGCTGGGAGAAGGCAAGTGTGGCCAGACTGGAGAAGGCGAGGGGAGGTGGGGCAGGGCCAGGCCACACTGGCCTGGAAGGTCACAGAACACATGTGGCCAGAGTCCTGGAGCCCCTCCCCAGCACATGGGCCAACAGGATGCTCCCCACACCCACATGAGGCAGCTGGTGTCTTTACCCCCACTTTAAAACCCTGACTTCTGCGTCTCCAGGAAGGGTACTGGGGAGTCGACACCCTCATGTCTGTGAGCTGACTGCAGGACGTCTCCTGTCCAGGTGCTGGCACCTCATCTAACATTTGAAGGTAAAAGCAGCTCTGGCCTCCTGCAGGTGCAAGGACCCGGGAGCCGCTCTGTGGGCTGGGCTCAACCCAGGTGTTGGCCCAGGCTCGGCCCAGGCTGGCCATTCCGGATGATTCTCCTACTTCCTCCTCGGAGTCCTCAAGTATCACTGTCCCCTTGCACTCCCTGTCTTTGAATCTTACTTTCCATCCTCCACCTCCTCCGGCCGCAGTGCACCAAGCTGGAAGCAGCACCCTGCAGCCGGGCTGGACCACTCTGGAGAGCAGTGAGCCCAGCAGAGCCCCCCTAGGGATCTTCAGCCCCAGCTATGAGTCTCAGAAGCCATGCCCCAGGGCTGTGGTTTCACAGGTGCAGGTCCAACCCTCCTTTCTCTGCCTTGTGGCTGCCTGTCCTGGGGCAGGTTACGTTGCCCCTGGGAGCCTCTGTTTTCTGTAAAATGGTCCCAGTAATGGCATGCAAACTCCTGAGCGCTGTAAGGATGGACAGAGACAGCATGGCGCAGTCAGTCCCTGTTACTACGGAACCCATTGTCATGAATTCTGCTGCTTTGCAGGCTCAGAAGAAAAGCCACGTCTGCCTACACAATCTCACAATCCGGCTTCAGCAAAGCATGAGTTAATTCAACTTCATACTCGTGAACGTGAAGCGGGGGTTGGAAGGAATGAAGGCTGCAGGACACCCATGTACCAAGAAAAAGAAAGACAAATTGGTTGTTTTATCTACTTTACATCATGATGGAGTCCTAAAAAGTAAACAAATTTACACAGTTATTAATAAGACATATTAAAAGAAAGGAGTGAGAATAAGTTGTTGTTTTTTTTAATTGCAGGGGCCCCATGAAGGCAGGCAGCCCAGGGAGGAATGACTGGACGGTGACATTGTGCAGGGGGTCTGGAAGTTGCCAGCGCAGGGGTTAGCAGCTGCAGCCTGGCCTGGTCCTGTCTGCCTGGCTGTCAAACCCAGAAGACCGTGGTTTCTGGTGGCCTCTGTGTGACAGCGGAGGAGGTGGGGCGAGGCCTGGAAGTGAAGCATCTCGTGAGCCACTTAAGTGTTTATGAAGCTCGCTAATGTGCTTAAATGAACGAGAAGCAGGTACTTGCTCCCAGGACCAGAGCCACCAAAGCAATTTCCTCTGCAGCCCCTCATACTTCGCACACTGGAAGCTTGCATTCTTTCCCAGAGGACAGCCGGATTACAGCACCGCCTCTAATGCAACCCGATCTGGTTTCTTTGAGCGCCGCGGTGAACGTGCAATCTATCTCATAAATGCATCGCAGTGTTCCACAAATCACCCACGTTCATCCCTTGAGACGTCTTTAACTCGGGGCTTAGAGTTGCAAATGAATTCTCCTATGGATCTATTATTCCATCAAATAGCGGAGAGAGGGGACTAGCTTGTGCAGAGCCTTCATAGAGCTGGGCTAAATTCGATTATGCAAAGTCTAACGAGCACCATTCAGCAAAACCATGGTGGGTGTGAGCTGCAGGCCAGCCCCTCCACTGGGCCATTATCCAGGGGTAAACACCACTCGTGGGTTAGTTCCACGAGTTACTGGCTGATTTGACCTGTGATACTCCAAGGTGGAAGTAACCAAATAATATGTATCATGAGCCCCAAGAACGAAGCCAGTGGAGAGTGGTACATGCTAGAGGGTAACGCCTGGCCCTTTGCAGGACAGCACGTCAGCCATGCGCCATGGGACGATGGTGGTGGCTGGGACACAGGAGGCCACGGCAGGAAATGGGCAGGTGGGTGGGTCTATGTAAGCTGGCTTTAGACTTCAATCCACAAGCATTTGCAGCTCAACTACTCAGCGTCTTATCTTATTTAATCCTTTCAGCAATAAACACTCTTTTCACATGTAGTAAGGTTAAGGAGTCTACATCACACCCTTTATCATTATTAATAAAGGGACACACCCTCCAGGGATCCTAGGGAACCTCCTACCCACCCTGTGGTCACTCTAGGGAAAGGAAAGCTCTCAGGGACCGACGGGAGCCTGGGCACATGCGCCACCACTCTCTCCTTTATCCCCTCTAGCCCGGCTTGCTGGCTCTCACTTTCTTTTGTGCACTAGAACTCACGTACAAGTTGCACACCCAAACCCTTGCATGCTGCATTTCAGAGTCAACTTCAGTGATTTTTGAGAGTGATTTTGACAATCCCAGTCAAAATTCTAGCAGGTTTTTTTTTTTTACATGACAAGTGGATTCTAAAATTCATAGGAAAATGCAAATGACCTAGAAGAGCCAAAGCAATTTTGGAAGGAGTAAAGTCGAATGGCTGACGCTACCAGATTTCAAGATTCACTTGAAACGCACAGGAATCAAGACAGGGTGGTGTCGACAGAAGGAAGGCGTCAGAGCAGGGTGACAGGAGGCAGGGCCACACACAGACGGCTGATTGATACCCGACAAAACCGCCGAGGTAATTTCACAGGGAAAGGAACTCTTTTGAACAAATGGTGCACCAACAATTGGATAACCATACGGAAAAAATTTAAAAAACAGAAGAACATTGACCCTTCACGCACATCAAACATAAATTAACTCAGAATCCATCATAGGCTGGGTGTTGTGGCTCATGCCTTTAATCCTAGCACTTTGGGAGGCCAAGGCAGGCGGATCACCTGAGGTCAGGAGTTTGAGACCAGCCTGGCCAACATGGTAAAACCCCATCTCTACTGAAAATACAAAAATTAGCCAGGCGTGGTGGCACGTGCCTGTAATCCCAGGTACCCGGGAGGCTGAGGCAGGAGAATTGCTGGAACCCGGGAGGCAGAGGCTGCAGTGATCCGAGATCACACCATTGCACTCTAGCCTGGGCAACAGAGCAAGACTCTGTCTCCAAAAAAAAAAAAAAAAAAAAAATCATGGATTTAAATGTAGAACTAGAAAGGGTACAGAAGAAAACATAGGAGAAAACATGAGGTGACTTTGAGGTAGGAAAAGTTTTCCTATAGATAGAACATGGGAAGTATGAACCACAAAAGGAAAAACTTGATATGCTGGTTTCTATCCAAGTTATAACTTTTGCTCTTTGAAAACACTCCCAAGAAACAAACTACAGAATGGCAAATATGTATATTGAAATATATATATATACACACACATACATATACATACATACACACATGCACTTTCAATATGCTGTGTATATCTGGCAAAAATTATATCTAGAATATATAAACAAACGTTTACAACCCAACAAGAAGAAGATATACAATTGAATAATGGTTAAATGATGGAAACAGACACTCCACAAAAGAAGATGCATGAGATGATCAAGGAGAACGTGAAAATATGCCTAATATTGTCAGTATCCAGGGAAGTGAAAATTAAACTACAGCGAGATTAGAATGAAGCCCCACTCACTAGAATGGCCATAATTTAAAGAACTGACCTCACTGAGTGTGGCTTAGGATGTGGAGGAACTGGAGCCACACACACTGTTTGTGAGAATGTAAAATGGTTCAACCACTTTGGAAGGCTACTGAGCAACTTCTTAAAAAGTTAAACACTTCTCTACTATATAGCCTAGCTACTCCCTTCATAGCATTTACCCCAGGTAGGTGGAACCATAAAGGACTCATATAAGAATGTGGACAGCAGCTTTATTCACAGTACAAAAACAAAGAAACAGCTCAGAGTGCACATCAGAAGGGGAACGGATACAGAGAATGTGTGCTCCATAACTGGAGTGCTGCTTGGCATTAGAAGGGGCACACACGCACAATGACGCGGACAGAGCTCAAGTCATCAAGCTGACATCCATGTATCGGTGCAAGAAGCCGGCACAAAAAAGTATATTCCCTACTACCCCATTTACATAAAACTGCAGAAGATGCCAGCTGGTCTTAATGATGGGTTCCATAAGCCGGTTGCCAGGGGATGGGGGAGGGGAGGAGAGACTGTCCAAGGGGCAAAGTGAACTTTTGGGAGGAATGGAAATGCCCTACCTTGATTATGGTGGTGGTTTCATGTTTTCATATGTCAAAATTCATGAAAGTGTACACTTAAAACCTTGATTAAAAAGAGTAACTTTGGCCAGGCATGGCTGTTCACTCCTATAGTCCCAACATTTTAGGAGACCAAGGCAGGTGGATCACTTGAGTCCAGGAGTTTGAGACCAGCCTGGGCAACATGGTGAAACCCTGTCTCTACAAAAAATACAAAAATTACCCAGGCGTGGTGGCATGCACTCGTAGTACCAGCTACTCAGGAGGCTGAGGTGGGAGGATCACTTGAAACTGGGAGGTCGAGGCTGCAGTGAGCCATGATTGCAAAACTACACTCCAGCCTGGGCAACATAGCAAGACCCTGTCTCAAAAAAAAAAAAAAAAAACCAACAAAAAAAAGAGAGTAATTTTGGCCAAGCAAGATTTTCTCCTACGCTGGAACTTCAGTAGCCAAGATTTGACAAATAAAACTTCCTTGCATAGTAATTTAAGATTTGAAATAGTGGGGAGAGGCAGGGTTTTGTCTTGTTTGCTTTTTAGAAGATAACTATTATGATAAGTTTTAAAGTTAAAATCCACCTGATCCTCTACCCACGTGCTTCCCCTGGAGTGGGAATTCCTTGGGTGGATCTGTGCGTGCTGCGCTGTGTTTCTTTGCATACACAGAGCCAGCATGCTACAGCCAAGCAAAGAAACACACAGCAACACAGTCTCTGGATCGAGGCTGATGGCAGCATGTGGCCCCTCGGGAAGGAGGCGTCTGGGGCATTTTGGAGACAGGGAAATGCTTTTCAATTCTTGCCGATGACACCCTGTTCCACAGGAACCCTGAAGCCTGGGGGCTGCAGGCACCAATGGACACACAGGCTCCTTTCTCTGTTTCTTGGCCAGTAGGAAGTAAAGAATACACTTTTAGCCAAATGAGAGCTGAAGTGTATGGGAGGAGTATTATAAATGATATGCAGGCTACCAAATAAAATTCAATTTTCGGTTAATGTGAAGGTGTAATGCGTGTGGAGCAGCTGCTTTGCATATCACACAAGACAGCAGGTAATAAGGAGGGAAGCAGGACTGGCGACTGATCTGTCACCGGCGAGGCTGGGATTGTTTCCTTCCTTTACCTCCTCTAATCGCACCATTGCAGTGTTGATTCAGAACACGGCGGCCCATGAAAAATGTCACCGTTCTGTCGATGGTGTGGATCTGCTGGCAATTCCAGCAAGCAGTGGCTGCACATAAAGGGTGATAAGGCACTATATCCTGCCACGCTCAGCAGGTTTCCCATTTCCTCCTGCAATTACACATCAAACTGTTTTGGCTTCACAAGCTTCTGCACTATAAATGGCCTGGAGGCAGAAGGCCGCCTGGCACACTGATGAGCCGGGCGTCAAAGCTGAGTGCAGACTCAGGTGTGGGGGAGGTTGCTGAAAAAACATATCGCCCCCTTCTCTGCAAGCGCACACCCACTCTGCAGGGCCCTGAAGGCATGCCCTAAAAATCATTCTTTCATTATCTCTGCTTAGTCCAATTAACAGAGGGTTAAGGGAAACATTACTGACTGTTGTTGCAAGAGAGATGGCACCAAAGGCACTGGAGAGCTTTATGTCTTTGCCTCTCTGTTGTGGTCCACAGATAAGTATAGGGGCATCCCCTGGGAGCTTGCTGGAAATTCAGGGTGTCCAGATCCATGGGAAATCTGCTGACTCAGAATCTCTGCGGCTGGGCCAAGGAATCTGTTTTAAGGGCATCTCCAGGTGAGAAGCATGGCTCCAAGCCATGCTCGGCACACAAATATGCCTGAAATTTTGACGCCTTTCTCAGGGAATTCCTTACCTGCAGATCCAGCCAGAGGAAGGCTACAGATGTAGCGCTTTTTGAAAATCCTACCCACCCATCCACCCATCTATCCATTCACTCATCCATCCACCCAACCATCTACCTATCCATCTTTCCACCCACCCATCCATCCATCCATCCATCCATCCATCCACACACCTATCCATCCATCCATCTATTCATGCACCCATCCACCCATCTATCCACCCATCCATCCACCCATCTATCCACCCATCCATCCACCCACCCATCCATCCAGATACCCACCCATCTATCCACCCACACATCCACCCACCCACCAATCCATCCATCTATCCACCCACCCACCCATCTGTCCACCTATCCATCCACCCATCCATCCATCCACTCACACACCCACCCATCTACCTATCCATTTATTCAACACACACCAGGCATTAATTTGCTGCCCTGTACTGGAGATACAGAGATGAGAGACCTCACTGGGTGTTGCGCTCTCTATAGTATCTGGCATACGATTTGCTATAAACTGGAACCTAATCACTAGGCTAGGAAAAAGAGCCTGATGGCCAGGGCATGTGTAGGCTCTGGAGGCTGCCTGCTGAATGTGGGATGCTGCCTCTGCCTTTCACCAGCTGCATGGATTTAGGTACGTTGAATAAATTTTCGAAGTTTCAAATGTGTCTGATCTGTGAGATGGATATAAAGGTGGTCCCTACCTCAAGGGTTGGTTATAAAGATAAAATGACTTAATTTTTACTGAGCACTTAGAACAGTATCTGAGAAAAGTGAGCATTTAAATATAAGCTGTCATTATATAAGCTTACCGTCATAGGTAAGCTATCGTAACTTATGACGGTAACATAAGTTACCGTCATCTTCGTTAACATCTTTCTATAGTCTAGAAAGTAGGTTCTGGACTAATACAATATAGTTAGATAACTAAGGCAAACTAATACAATACAATTACTAACCTCTATAGAAGGGGCAGAGGGAGACATATGCACTGTGAACATGGGAGAAATGGCTCTCAGTCTGTGCACAATTTTCCCTGGAACATAGCTGGAAAGCTCGCCTGCTCTCGCTCACTCTCTCTCACTATCTCTCTCTCCCCATCGACTTAGTTAAAATCTATATTAAAGTATACATATACATATGATAAAATCATGATGCATGGCCAGATGGATTTTCAAAGTGACAAACACACCATGTTACCAGCATCCAGATCGAGAAGAGAACATCACATGGACCACAGAAGTCCTGGACGCCCATCCCGGCACCTTCCACTCTGCCTCCTATCATCAGCACACCTGTGGTCCGCGTGGTAAAGGGCAGTGGTTTGTTCTTATTGAACACTGCATAGTATTCCATGCTAGGAGTATGAATTGCCCACAGTGTCTTTCTCCTATTCTACTCCTTGTCCAATTGATGAATCTACCACCCATTAAGCCAGATGCTTTCTGGCTTGGGGACATAACAAATGATGTTGCCGTAAACATTCTTGTGTTTGTCTTCTGGTGCACACACATCTGTTAGGGAGACATCCACGAGTAGAATCTCTGTATCCCTGTTAGGGAGACATCCATGAGTAGAATTTCTGGGGCATAGGATATGCATATATTCAGCTTTAGAAGCAATGATTCTCCCAAAAGACAGACTAGTTCCCACACCACCTGCTGTATGTCAGGATTCCAGGTGCTGCATGTTTCTGTCGACACTTGGTAGTGTCTGATTTTTGCCTTTAGATAGGCTTTGAATGAACTCACCGTCCCAAGTTAAGAATCCCAGAAGCAGAAGGAATTCCTACCTGGCCCCACTTTTCAGCAGCTGCTTCCTGCTGGGGGTCTCTGTCTATGACTCGGAAAGGGTGCGACCTAGGAGTGAGCAAGGTCTGGGGGAATACCATGCACCATCTTCATTCACTCCTCAGTAGTTCTCTTTTCTCTGGGATTTTGACTTCTCCAGCTGGTTTGGTTGTTTTCTGATGCTATCAAAGTCTTTCCCTCTCTTTCTCCTGCCTTCCTCCTTCTCTCCCCGCCTCTGTCCTATCTAATACAGCATTTGATTCTCGGTGACTTGGTTGGATACCAGCCACTCTACCATATGGTAACTGGAGGTCCTTGGAGCTAGGTATGCACTGCCTGCCTGCAGTGAGGGAAGGGTGGGGAGACAACTGCTTGCACAGAGACAAATAATGCGTGGGTAGACATTTGCCTGTCACGAAATTGGGGGTCTGGAGCTGGCATTCCAGGCAGAAGACAGAGTATAGGCTGCACACCCCAGAAGTTCCAAGTAGAGAATCCTGCTCAGGAAACTGGAAGGAGCAGCTTGGAAATGTGCAAAATAATATGTCAGGAGGTAGACAGTGCAGGGATGAAAGATGATGCTAGATAGGCTGGAGCTGCCAGGTGGTCCAAAAAAAGAAAAAAAAAGCCTCTCAGTTGGGAAACAGTTTTGATGAATGCAGGATGGCACACAGATCCAGAATCAGGGAAGACGACGTTCTGATTTCATGCCACAGCCTCTAAAAACCCCTGCAGAAAAATTGCTAATGCCTCTGGCCTTTGGCAGTGCCTGTGCTGGGAGAAGAGACACATCATCTTCCACCTTGGCCCACGGAGAAATGGGCCAGGGGTTCCCAATCAGGCAGGCTGTGCAAAAGAGACAGTAAAGGTCAGAGCAGGGTCAGCTCCCTGCACACACAGGGCACAGGTCCTCTCTGCAACGCTGGGAATGTGGAACCGTGAGGAAGGGCTCAACGGTCTCTGCAAATGCGGCAGGAAGCTGTGCAACTGGGTTCAAGGTTGTCTTAATTATTTGTTCCAAAGATGTCAGCCTGTGATGTATTTACTTTCCTGATTTTTCTCCTCCCTAGTTAGTCTTGGAGCTGCTGTTGTACATACAACTCTCACTTCAGTCATAAATGAGTGACATGAACATTACTAAAGAGAAACATCACTTGCCTGGAACACAGTACCCAATCACAAAAAATTACTAACAATTAGCCCAGGACTATACAGCTGGTTTAACACAATAGGCCATAAGCCAAGATTTTTATCTAGAAGAACATCTTCATTTTGAAATCCTCGACATCTGAACACACTTCTGCATATACCCTACTCCCAAGACAAGGTCTATGAAGAAAGCATCCATGCTTCTGCCTCGATTCCCTGCAGGAATTTGCGGGGCCAAAGCCCTCCCTCCACCTTCGCTGGTGTCAACAGCTCAGGTCACTTTGATAAGAAGGCAATGCTGCAATCTCAAAAAATTGGGAATGGCCAAGCCTGCACTGCACAACCATATTCTGATGCAGAATTTCCGTGACAATCATAATTGGGAGCTATGAGTCACTCACACATACAGCGGAAAGGCAGGTGACGGGGAAGGGATTAGCAAACAGGCAGACCGTCTTCTGCAGTTGCTGAAGCTCAGAACTGAGCAAGTCACCCAGAGTCTACCTACAGCCCTCCACACAGGACACCCCTATCCCTTGCCACACACCCTCCACCCACATGATGTCCTTGCTGTACTGGAGCCACCCGAATGCAGTGCCTATGAGTTAGACACGGCATTTTTCAGGTGTGAGCATTATTCATTATAGGTACCTGCATCTTCCTATATTTCCCATCCTTAATATATTAAGCCAGAGTGTTTTTCCAAGCAAAATTTTTATCAGCTAGATTAAAGCACCTGGCTGCGTCAAAAAATGAGATGATTCCTTTAACTCTCAGATGAAAAAGAAACAAAACAACTAGAAACCCCCATTGAATACATCACATACTCTTCTGGCCTCTTCTATTTCTTTTATTGCTTTTTTCATAAAATTAATACCTCTTAATATATTTTTTAACTGCAATGAGTTAGTAAGGAGTCAAATCTCCCCGTGGTCTCACCAGAGAGGTCAGCCTTGGTAACTATTTGTTGCATGTGAACTGCCCTGACTTAAGAAACACAAGATCACATGCCTCAGTTTTCAGATGATCTGAGGACATCAGCACCTCCTGCAATTGGCCATCCTGCCCTGGGCGGGGCCCTCGAGAACGTCCTGCAATTGGCCATTCTGCCCTGGGCGGGGCCTTTGAGAATGTACTGCAATTGGCCATCCTGCCCTGGGCGGGGCCTTTGAGAATGTCCTGCAATTGGCCATCCTGCCCTGGGCGGGGCCCTCGAGAACGTCCTGCAATTGGCCATTCTGCCCTGGGCGGGGCCTTTGAGAATGTCCTGCAATTGGCCATCCTGCCCTGGGCAGGGCCCTCGAGAATGTCCTGTCCAGGCTGCGCCGTCACCCGGGTTTCTGTGCGCTGCCGCCCTGTTTTCCCTGGGCTCTGCCCCTCCTGCGGGATGTGCTCTGTGCCTTATCTCACGGATAATCACAGCAGCGTCTGCCCTGCCCACTGTCCTTCTCCTAGGCTCGACCTCAGAGCCCACGTCCTGCTCAGGGGTCCAGGCTGGAGACATGGGGTTTCCTTCACCTCCCCAGCCCCCCTTTCAGACAGGAGCCAGTCCCAGCTGTCCCACCCTGAAGGCCCGCCCCTCCACCGCTGCCTCTGTCCTGGCTCTCCCTTGGCCGGCTCGCTTCCACACTGAACGTCCTAGTGTCGAGGGTGGCTCCAGGTTCAGGGTGCCACTGCTCTCCGGTCCTGGCCGCCTCCCTCCCTGCTCCTGTTCCCGGAGCCTTCTGTGGTGCCCGCCCTGCTCAGGGTGAGGGTTGGCCATGCCTCTGGGCCGGGCTGGACCTAGCTCTGCAGGCAGCTCTGCACCATGGGGCCCACGGTCCTGAGCTGTGATTCAAGGCGCTCGCGGAGCCACACAGGCGGTCTTGGGGATCCTTCACCAGAGCAGTGACCTGCTGCTCCTGGTCCACCTATGCCTGGCACAGAGCTGGGGCTCAGCAACCTTTCCTGGACGAGCCAGCACCGGCTAGGAGGCTGTAGGCTCCTCCTCTGCGTGAGGCCCACAAAGCTGCACGTGGTGGGTCCAGTTTTTTAAATTTGGCTCCGGATGGACCACGCGGCACAGGCTTATGCCTTTCCCATCTTCAAGAGCATGTGGGGCACTGTGCTGTCACAGCCAGAAGTGGATTCCAAGCCTTGCTCTGTGGGGGGCACTGGATGGGAAACAGGCGGGGCAAATGCCCACAGCACAGGGATGACTGAGGCCTGTGTCAGGATGACACTCTCCCTAAACAATGGGAGTCAGGGAGACACGGTCAAAAGAGAGGGACTGAAGCTGAAATCTGGAGGGTGATGAGCTGGAGCTGGCCAGAGTGAAAACAGGGGAAGAGTGGGTGACAGGGGACATCCCTGGCCTAGGAGTGGCCTCTATAGAGACCCAGGAGGAGACAAGGGCCATGGGAGGACCACATCAGTGGCTGCAGTGGAGGGTCTACAGGGCCTGTGCGTCTGTGAATATGTGTGTGCTGTGTGTGGACACATGTATGTGTGTGCTATGTGTGGATATGCATATATACATGTGTGCTGTATGGGGATACATGTGTATAAGGGTGTGCTGTGTGTGGATACATGTGTGCTGTGTGTGGATATGTGTGTGGATACATGTTTGTGGATATGTGTGTGGATATGAGTGTGTTTGGATACATGTGTGTTGTATGTGGATGTGTGTGGATATGAGTGTGTTTGGATACATGTGTGTTGTATGTGGATGTGTGTGGATATATGTGTGTGGATACATGTGGATATGTGTATATACATGTGTGCTGTGTGTGGATGCGTGTGGATACATGTGTGCTATGTGTGGATACATATGTGTGGATATGTGTGTATACATGTGTGCTGTGTGTGGATACATGTGTGCTATGTGTGTATATGTGTGTATACGTGTGTATACGTGTGTGCTGTGTGTGGATGTGTATGTATATATGAGTGTGTGGATATGAGAGTGTGTGGATACTGTGTGTGTGAATATATGTGTGCTGTGTGCACATGCCCATGCACACGTGTTCATTTGTAGGTGTGGGCATGTGCCTGTGTACAGGAGCATGTGCACAGCCTGCATGTGTGCGCACAGGGAGTGACAAGGTATGAGGCTGAGGATGCCGCCAGAGGCCAGGCGAGGAAAGGCTTTAGAAGCCACTGAAGAAGCTTGGCCTGATTGCGACGGGACCATCCACTTAGAACTGCTTGCTCGGATGCTGAGAGAGGCAAGACGCCTTTCATTAGGACCTGAGGAAGTGTTATTAATGATGCAGAAATCAAAGGATTTAAGTGTGTAGATCTCAAAATGAAAAAAAAATGACGAACGTACCTGCCAAGTAAAAGAAGGGACGCAATACAGTCATGAACAAAAAAAATCCCAAGCCATTGCTGCTATAAATGCAATTTCTCAAAACGCCATCCAAAAGTCAATGCTAAGTTCATCCGAGTGCGTTTGCAATATTCAACCACACCAGAACTAAAGAAATGGAGATAGGGGTCTCTACCATATTGAGTCTCTGTTTTGGACTCTGGGATAGTTTTGCAATGTGTCAATTCAGCTAGGATGAAAGACATGTCTTGCCCATACAGGTCTGGGTCAGGGTTGGCAATGAGGGGGACATGATATTTAGAAAGAAACATGAGGCAGTGGCCTCTGCATCTGTGAGGTGAGTGCACACCCGGGGCACTGGAACAGCTCAGGACACCTGCCTGCCCTGCGGGCTCACCAGTACCGCCCACAGCTCCTCCACCTCCTGCCAGCTTCACTTGCAGGTCATCACTGATGTGTGCAAGGCAGATGCTGGGTCTGTCCCATCCTCGTGGGTCTGGGGGTCCTTGCTTCCCCCATTGTGCTTCCAGCATCCCTCCCCAGCTCTCTGCCCTGCCCCGAGGTACACCACGTGCAGCAGGGCCACAGCATCCAGGCATTTCTCTACCACGTCCACTCAGCCATCCTGTTTGCGACTTTTCTCTGACCTTCTGACCTCTCCAAATCTTACCTCCTCAGCTTCTCCCACACCGTGTAAGGTTTTAAGCCCAATAAAAAATCCCTTATCGCATGGGTTTTTTCCCAGATGGAATCCTGATTGACACCTGACACCTGACAAGAGGGCGGGGCTTCCCAGCAGCAGGAGAAGCACTGAGGCTGCTGAGCCCAGGAAGGGGAATCAGGTGATTCTCCCAAGACACATGACACACCCACATGCCCAGGAAGCTCTGAGCAAGCAGGTGCAAGGTGGCCAAGAACAGGAACTCTCAGAAGCCTCCTGAGGCCAGATGAGGCCCCTTCTGCAGCTGAGGTGCTCAGCAATTGCATCTTGTCCTAATTTAGAATTCGGAGCCAGATCCGTAAGTTCTCCTGCATGGTTGCGCTCTGAACTCTGTGCTCATGTACACCACGGAGAGAAGAGAATTTCTGGCATGCACCCTTAGTATAAAAATATTCATATGTTTATAAATGTATTTACTGCTGCTCTGAACCCTCCACTGGTAAATAAATACTTAAAGAAGACACTTGGGGAGATTTGGTTTTTTTTTTTTTTTTTTTTTTTTTTTTTTTTTTTTTTTTTTTGAGACGGAGTTTTGCTCTTATTGCCCAGGCTGGAGTGCAATAGCACGATCTCGGCTCACTGCAACCTCTGCCACCCGGGTTCAAGCGATTCTCCTGCTTCAGCCCCCCGAGTAGCTGGGATTACAGGCATGCACTACCACGCCTGGCTAATTTTGTATTTTTAGTAGAGATTAGGTTTCTCCATGTTAGTCAGGGGTCATGAACTCCCGACCTCAGGTGATCCACCCACCTCGGCCTCCCAAAGTGCTGGGATTACAGGCGTGAGCCACCGTGCCCAGTGAGATTTGTCTTTAATGACAATGCAGTGGAATGCATAGATATACGTTCAAAAAGTCATCTTGGTAACTTCACACGTTTGGGGCTGACATCTTCCAGATGTGATCGGATCATAAGTTTTTGTTTGGTTTTGAGCCTCTGACTGTGGCTGGTGATAGCCGCGGCCTGTGAGGAATGTGTGTCAGCCCCACACTGCTCAAGGCTTGCGTGGTGAGGAAGGTCTCCAGGCTGCGGTTTCCTTGCAGGGCTGTGTTAAAGCTGCTTGGTTTAGTCCATGAGCATGGGTTGAGTTAGAACTCGATACTATTCATAAATCCACTTACCCTAGTGCACACCCAGTGGGCCTCCATCAGCCAGCGCTGGACAAATGATGGGGGCCACTGCTTTCTGCACATGCCCTGCCCCTCACATCCCGGCACCAGAACCCCGGCAGGGGGAGAAGACTCACATCCACCTGTGTCATAAATGTCAAGGAAGCACAGTTCCTCCTTTTTTTTTGAAGTATAACATCTCCAGAGAAAACATGCACATCTTAAGTGTAGAGCTGCACATGGATTTTCACAAGGGGGCTCTGTGCAAGCTGCACCCCAGAAGGCCCCTTGATTCCGTTCAGCCATGAAACACCCTCCATCCTGAAACGCAACCTCCACCCTGGCTTTGGATAGCGGAGATGAGTTTGACTGTTTTGCATTTCCTATCAATGAAAGCATCCAGAAAGCTTCCTTTTCTGCCTAACTTCTTTTGATCAAAATTACGTCTATGCACTTCACGTGAGTCCCTTTCGGTAGCTTCCATTCTGTCCAGGATTATGACATCTCCTCCTGTTATGGAATGGAATAAAGACCCCTCAGTGCTTTTCTGAAATTGAAGTGTTGTGCACATGGAGGAAAGAATCTACTCTGAGTGAGGGACTCTTACAAATGCACGCTGCCATGCAGCCACCAGCCAGCCAAGGGGAAGACATCGGCCCCAGGAGCCTACCTTGTGTCCCCTCCCAGCCAGGGTCCCCACGGAAAAGGGCTGTAAGGGCTCCCATTGCAAGGACCAGCTGCCCCTCCCTGTCTTTAGCTCCATAGAAATGAGTAACATATGGAAGCTGCCACTCATATTCCACAGCACGTCTGAGACCCATCCACATGGCTGGCAGGCCTTGCCGTCACTGTCCTATCATCCCCCATGGAACATGCCACACTCTGTTTGCCAGTGCACTGTGTGTGGATACCTGGGTCACCCCTGTCCTATCGTCCCCCGTGGGACATGCCACACTCCATTTACCAGTGCACTGTGCGTGGACACCTGGGCCACCCCTGTCCTATCATCCCCCGTGGGACATGCCACACTCTGTTCACCAGTGCTCTGTGCATGGGCACCTGGGTCACTCCTGACCTTATTCCCCTGTGGGACATGCCACACCCTATTCACTAGTGCACTGTGCATGGGCACCTGGCTCACTCCCAACTTTGGACTGTTAGGAGGAGTGCTGCTATGAACCTTCCAGAGCACGGCTTTGGCTGCACCTGGGCATGGGTTTCTGTTAGGTCTTGTGAGGAAGAGAGTTGCTGGATCCCTGGAAATACACACGCTCAGCTTTACTGGACACTGCCACATGGTTTCCCAGAATGGCTGGGCCTGCTTATTTTGTTTTCAGTGGCGACAAAGTCACAGTCAATAGAAATTGTGGTGAGATCTTCCCACCCCTGGGGACCCTGTGGGGAGGGGAGCACTGCACTTGGAAGCCTCTGGCTGGAGATGGCATCTTTCCTTCCTGCACCCTTTCATTCCATGGCCTTTAGTGGCAAGATCAATGCCTTCCAGAGCAAGGAGCACCCCTGAGTGGTCCCTCCTCCAGTTCTTTCAGCCCTTTCCAGGCCCCGGTGCTGACCCGCTCCCTCTCCCTGCGTTTCCCCGCACAGCAGGAGGAGCTGCCTGCAGAGGGAGGCTTGCTCTCGGGGCAGAGGATTCCTGCAGCTGCTCACACTCCTGAGGGACAGTGGCTGGAGACCACTTGTAAGAGCCCAGATTTGCAGTCACTCTCCAGGTGAGTGCCTAGTGCCCCTTCGCAGGCCTGGCATCATCAGGGGGTCCCTTCACCTCTCTATGCTCTTGGTACAACTCCCACTAAGAGGGCTGTGGCTGGAATTCAATGAGAATGCACAGGCTTTGCAAATAGTGCATTCAACAGACACCTACTGTGTGCTGGGTGCTTTTCATGAAGCTGCCCTCAGGATGATCACCGACTGAATGATGCCAATGTTTGTATAATTTCAATTCTGATGATGGCTGTGAGGGAGCACACATGTGTACTTAGGAGAACACAGCAGGGGGATGTGCCAGCCACGGGGCTGTCCAGATGGCCTCTCCGGGGTGGAAGGCTTAAGCTGAGGCCTGAGGGTTAGATGGAATTGGCCAGACACAGGGAATGGGGTGTATACTCAGCAGAAGGGACAGCATGGGCCATGCCTGGAGCGGGGTGGCCTTGGCTTTGGGGGAAGAGAGAGGCAACTAGGACTGCAGAAGAGGGGAGGGTGGGGAGGGAGCTGGGGAGGCAGACAGGGCCAGAACCTTCCTGGTGGAAACTCCGCTGTGGCTGGCCTGGAAGCCAAACGATCCCCTCTCCTAGCTCTGTGCACCAGCCGACTGGAAAGCTACCCCAGGATGTAGAGTTTGAAATCCCTCTTTCATCCTAATGTGTCTTTTAGAACTTCCAAGGAAGGGAGTTTTTACATCTCTCAGGTTTCATCTCTGAGGCACCACGAACTTGCCTAAGCTGTAAGGATTAGCAGTGGCAGAAAGATCCTTATAGTCCCCAGAAACAGCCGTGATGGGAGGGGATGTATTTGTCGGGGTACGATAGAAACTGATGAGCAGAGACAAGAACCAAAAGCACCGCCCTGGGCAAAGCGGCCGCCTCTGCTCTCAGCTGCACCTGCTGCGGGGAACGAGTGATCTCGGGCTCAGGACACGTCTGCAGTGAGCCCCACCCCCATAACCAGCAGTCCCACCAAACCCTGCGAGGCCTTTCTCCATGGACAAAACACTGACCCACTGTCATGGTTGAACAGTGGCCCCCAGAAAGATATGTACACCTGGACCCGGTGTGTGCAATCTTATCTGGAAAAAACGTCTTTGCTGAGGCTAACCTGGATGAGGGTAGGTCCTAAATCCAATGACAAGAGAAGTCACAGACACACAGAAAAAGTGGTATGAGGGCCAAGGCAGAGATTGGAGTGATGTGGCCACAAGCCAAGGAACATCAAGGGCTGTCTCTGGCAGCCACCAGAAGCCGGGAGAGGGATGCGGGGGTGTGGGGGTGCTGCCATATAATCACAGCTCACTGCAGCCTGGACATCCTGGGCTCAAGCAATCCTCCCTCGGAGCCCCTGAAGGAACCAGCCCTGTCCATACCTCCATCTCAGGCTTCCGGCCTCCAGACCCCTAAAAGAATAAACTGCTGTTGTCTTAAGTTGCCCAACTGACGGCGCTTTGTAACAGCACCCTCCAGGACACTAACTCCTCCACACGCGATTTCACTGGGCTGTAGAGCAAGTGCCATTATCAGCCCATCTGATAGATAGGAAATCAGAGGTTTGGGGAGGAAAACCAGCTCACACAATAACCTCACTTAGTCAAAAAAGTTTGGCCAGGCGCGGTGGCTCAAGCCTGTAATCCCAGCACTTTGGGAGGCTGAGGCGGGCAGATCATGAGGTCAGGAGATCGAGACCATCCTGGCTAACATGGTGAAATCCCGTCTCTACTAAAAAATACAAAAAATTAGCCAGGTGTGGTGGCGGGAGCCTGTAGTCCCAGCTACTCAGGAGGCTGAGGCAGGAGAATGGTGTGAACCCGGGAGGCGGAGCTTGCAGTGAGCCGAGATGGTGCCACTGCAGTCCAGCCTGGGGGACAGAGCGAGACTCTGTCTCAGGGAAAAAAAAAAAAAAAGAAAAAAAAGAAAAAAGTTTGGGCTGAAGCTTGCAAACTCATCTTTCACTTTCATCTGTCTTCTCTGTCTCTTGAGACCAAAGGGCCAGCACAAAGCCAATGGACACCTTTACTTTCTTGATCAGCATTTGCCATTTAATCAGCATTTGCCATTTAACAGCAAAAGAGCAAAGGCAGGTGAGACTTCTGCTTGTGATCTGTCTAAGGAAGCAGGTGGCTTCTCTGTGCCTCGAATGCAGCATCCCCCTAAAACAGAACATGTGCACCCCTCAGAAAACTCAAGGGATGGGAGGCTCCATCTCTTCCAAGTGGGCCTCTGAGCATGAAGGGCCCTGCTGCTCCTGGCCTGGCCCCTTGGCCCAGGACCACAGTACACTGAAGTGCAGTCTCTGGCGGCGCCTTCCAAACTCAGACTTCCTGAGACCTCGCCTGGCCTCGAGGACCTTGTCAGGTCAAGGCTCCTGTGCCCACTTCCCGCCATGTGCACCTGTCTCCAGCCGTAAAATGAGTAATACAAGTCAGGAGAAATGCATGTTCTGAGAGGGAAGCGGCTAGAAATTTGCTCCCCAATCCACGCTGCCAATTTACAGCCCTGCTAGATAGCGATACAGAAATGCATTCCAGCCAGAAACAGGGCCAGGGAGGGATGACAGTTGTTGACAGTAATCAACCCAGAAGGGGAGATGTTCCGATGGCCCGATTCCCAACTCCCAACTCCGGACCCAACGGTGCTGGCTCACGTGGGTGATATTTTTAGAGGAAACAGCTGGCACTCGGGCCCCACACCCCACAGCTGGCTCAAGGTGGAATAGGTGACCTCAGCAGGTTTGCTGGTAACAGGGAGAGGGAGGAGAGAGAGGGGCTAGGGGTGAGGGGAGAGAGAAGAGAGGTAGAGGGAGGGAGAGGGAGATGGAGAAAGACAGAGAGGGAGGAGGGGGAGAGTGGGAGAAAAGAGTGAGAGGGAGGGGGAAGAGAGAGCACGACCAAGAGAGAAAGAGTGAGTCTCTTGGAGACCAGGACTGCATGCCCCCAACAGAGTCCTTTTCTGAAGAAGAAGGAAATAGGCCACAGAATCTGGGTTTTATCCCAAGCACCCACAGTCAGCTCTGCGGGCCACATATTATTCTATTGAGCAGTAATGCCAGGCTGCGCCAGTCTTGCTGTGTTCTGAATTGGTGTTTCCAAACACCTCCCCAGCTCAGCCTCTCCACCACTCCAAGTCATTTCAAACCAGCAATTGGAAGAACCCCCGAGATGTGCAGCCTCTGTGTCTGAGCACAGATATCCACTTCTCCCCAAAGGCAGTGAGTCAGGACAAAACTGTCCGAAGATTTCACCCCCTCAAAAAGATACCCTTCATTAAAATGAATAGAGCTGCAGGCCCTAAAATCACACTTGGTAAGCTATGTCCTCTGTCCCTTTCTGGAGCTGCGGGGAGACTCGCCCAGCGCCATGCTGTCCACAGGGCGTCAAGGGGCGGGCCTGTGCCAAGTGCCTTCAATGGGTCTGGTCTGAGCAGAGCTGGGGTGTGAGTGTCTAATGCACACCGATTTCAAAAGCTTCCTCCAAAATAAAAATTTTAAAACCATGTAAAATACCTGATTAATACTCTGAGTATTTTTACACACTGAAATAATACTGTTCCAGCAATACTAGGTTAAACAAACTCGTTCACGAAACTGATTGCATACCACTTCACACCCATTAGGATGGTCACTATCAAAACACAGAAAATAACAAATATTGGTGAAGATGCAGAGAAACTGGAACCTTGGGAACTGCTGTGGGAATGTAAATTGCGCAGCAGCTGTGAGAAACAATGAGCCAAACATTCACTCGTGAATGAGGGGATAAACAGAATGTGGTCTACCCTATGATGGAATGTTACGCAGCCTTAAAAAGGAAGGAGAAGCTGGGCCCGGTGGCTCACGCCTGTAATCCCAGCACTTTGGGAGGCCGAGGTGGGTGGATCATGAGGTCAGGACTTCGAGACCAGCCTGGCCAACATGGTGAAACCCTGTCTCTACTAAAGATACAAAAATTAGCCAGGTGTGGTAGCACACATCTGTAATCCTAGCTACTAGGAAGGCTGAGGCAGGAGAATTGCTTAAACCCAGGGGGCAGAGGTTGCAGTGAGCTGAGATCGTGCCAGCTTGGGTGACAGAGCAAGACTCTGTTTCGGGGAAAAAAAAAAAAAAAAAGGAAGGAGAGGCCAGGCATGGTGGCTCACGCCTGTAATCCTAGCACTTTAGGAGGCCAAGGCAGGTGGATCATTTGAGGCCAGAAGTTTGAGTCCAACCTGGGCAAAATGGCAAAACCCCGTCTCTACTAAAAATACGACAAGTAGCCAGGCATGGTGGCGCACACCTGTAATCCCAGCTACTCGGGAGGCTAAGACACAAGAATTGCTTGAACCTGGGAGACAGAGGTTTTAGTGAGCTGAGATTGTGCCACTGCACTTCGGCCTGGGTGACAGAGTAAGACTCAGTCTAAAAAAAAAAGAGATTCTGACACTCGCTATAACATGGGTGAACTTTAAGGACATCATGCTAAGTGAAAACAGCTAGATGCAAAAGGACAAATACGGTATGATTCTACCTGTTTGGGGTCCCTAGGGCAGTCACATTCATAGAAATAAACAATAGGATGGTGGGGGCCAGGGGCGGGGGAGAGTGCGGCTGGGAGTGCGTGTTTAATGGGGATGGAGTTTCAGGTTGGAGAGATATAAAAATTCTGGAGATGGACAGTGGCCATGGTTTCCATGACTCTGTGAATGTACCTAATGCCGCTGACTGTACACATAAAAAATGGTTAAAATGGTTAAATTTTGTAAATACATTCACCACAATAAGAATTAGTTTTACTGTTTCTTTTCACTTTTTTTTCAACATGGCCACTAAGACATTTAAAATCCCTCCATGGCTCTACCATGTTTCCACTGGAAGGCAGCACAGGGCTGGGGTACAGGCAGGTTCTTCAACCCGAGCTCCTGCTTCGGCAGGTCTGGGGTAGGGGGGCAGAGAATGGGAGTCCCCAACGTCTCCCAAAGTAATGCCGATGCCACTAGTGTGGGGACCCCACTTGGAGAACCACCACTGAAAAGAATTTGAATACCACTCACTTCTGAGCTGGCAGTTTGACGAATGTGGGCCAAGGGTTCTGAAATTTCCAGCTAGCGGAAAAGCCCAGCCTCCCTCCGGCTGGTTGAATCTTTGGAGTCACCGTGAGGGATGCAGGACATCCATCAGCCTCCTGACCTCCGGTCCATGGAGAGGCACACCCCCACTGCATGCATGGGGCAGCTCCTCCTGGGCACTCACAGGCATCTCACTGAAGAGGACGAGTCCAGACCAGCTGCCACTCTCACCACGGGAGGAGGCAGGCTGGCTCTGCAAGGGACACAGCTCTCGGCTCTGCTAAGGACTTCAGACAATGTCCTCTCCCATCTGGAGGGACTTCCTGAGTGCAGCTCTAATCGGAATTCTGATTCTGAGAGGTGACATTAATTTCTGCCCTAAGGACAGGATGAGCTCTCTGCCAGCAAGCCCCTGTTTATAGCAATGCCCCCCTCCACCACCCCATCACACGGCCGCTTCCTGCTGTGCTTGCAACAATAGTGAGCATTATTAATATTGCCGCACAGAGAACAGTTGAATCATGTGATAATGCCAGGAGTCAGCTTTGCCGGGAGCTGGTCGGCAAGCATTTGTAGCAAGCCAGCTGGAGAGGGCTGGGGTGCCTGCCTGTCTCAGAATGGCCTCCACGCAGGGCTCTCCCTGACTCCACTCTCCTTTCCAAGTCACCTCACACCACAGTGAAAGCAGCAGAGGACTCAGTGGCCCAAATGCAGGGGAGTCCATTCCTCTGATTCCTCTACCAATGACACCCACTTCCTGCAGGCATCAGGGCTGAGCCAGGCATGGGCCATGCCCTGCCCACTCCAGTGAGATGGGTCATTCACGCTGGGAAACCCACGTTACATGGGACATCAAGCCGGCTAACCTGCATTCCCCAAGATTCATATGCTGAGTCTTAACCCCCAGCAGCACAGAACGTGACTGTATTTGCGGTAGCGCCTTTAAGGAGCTAATGGAGGTGAAATGGGGTCACTGGGGTGGCTCCTAATGTAGTGGGACTGATGTCCTCTTAAGGAGAGGAAATTTGGACAGTGACACACACAGAGGCACAACCTTGGGAGGTCACAGGGTGGAGATGGCATCCACAAGCCAAGGAGAGAAGCCTCAGGAGAAACCAGCCCTGCAGACACCGTGGACTTGGACTTCCAGCTGCCAGAATGGTAAGAAAATGAGCCATGTTGAAGCTGCCCAGCCTGTGGGTCTTTGTCACGATGGAGATAGGGAGGCTGCTGAAAAGGCCCTACTAAGTGCTGCCCTTGGGGAATGAGAGCTGGCCACAGGGGATGACCCTGAAGATCTGTGGCCACCAAGAAATTGCTTTTGTAAGTGACTGTCCTTGAGAACCAGTGGGAGAGAAGTTCTGGCAGGAGGGGACTCCATGGTGAATATCTGAGCATCTACTATGTGCAAGGCCCATCCAACCGCCAGCGCCAGGCCATGGCCAGGCAGGAATCACACAATAATGGCGGTAACAGCCATCGCACAGGGCGTGGCAGTTGTGCGGGGGTGTGTTAGGCACAAGACACACAGCATGCCATCCCGTGCAGCAGTCCCACCACCTCCCCAGTTTACAGATGAGGAGACTGAGGCTCAGGGGGGCTTGTTACAGACTCAGGTCACCAGCTAGGCAGTGGTTGACTTGGAAGGTGAGGAGAAGCCCGGCTCCACAACCACTCACGCAGCCTTGGAACAGGGCAAGCTGGTGACACACCCCTCCCCTCCACTAGGGTCCTGACTGCCAGGACAAAAGCCAAAAGCCATGCTGGAAGCTGTGGGAGGTACAAAGAGAAACACAACCAGCTGGAAAGCACTTCCAGGCCAGCGGTGAAAGGCAAGGAGGCCACCCAGGCAGGGAAAGGGAGCATGGGCCAGGGGTGGGGGGCGGGGAAGCTCTGCGAATGGGGAGGGGAGCTTCCAGATCTGAGGCTGGGATGGGAAGGGGGGCCTTGGGTGCCATGAAGGATGATTTAAAACCATGCAAAGACCGGGAAGGGTGTTTGCAGGGAGGTGGCCCCCCACACCAAGAGCCTGGAACATGGAAAGGAGGAGTGGCTTGGGGGATGGACTATTTCGCAGAGGCAGAGGACAGAAGCAAAGCCTAGGCAGGGTTCTATCAACACAGCCTGGCTCCTTCCTCTGGAAACAGCCCCTCAGGGTCTCCCTGGAGAAACACTCTTCCCGTTCCCAGGGCTTGACCCTGGGGTTTAGTGGGGCTGACTCTGCCCCTCCTGCTTAAAGGGCGATCATATGAGCCAGGCCTGGCCATCTAGAACATTCCATTTCATTGGACTGGTTCGAAGGAAAAACAAGATGTCCATGAGGCCGGAGAGATGCAGTCCCAAAGCTTCTGGGGAACTCCACGAATAAAGTCGACCTGGAGCTGGCAGAGACCACCACGTGGAGAAGGCAGAGCTGGAAGGTGGGGCTGGGCCCATCTTGAGCACACAGTTAGCACCCTAGGATCTAACTATGTCTCAGGATGTCCTAGAAATTAAATTATAAGAGCCAAGAAATCCCTCCTCCACCTCTCTGTTTCTCTGTAGCCATTGTGAGTTGGATAAGAAAACCAGGAGGGACCTTGAATGCTATGCTGAGGAATTCAGACTTTAGGGCATCAAACCAGTGGGGTGCTGATAAATGTAACCTCCGGCACTCTGGGGAGGAGGCAGATCTATAGCATTTGCCAATTTCCATCATGTAAATATTCCCACCGTGGCCAGTTCCAAGCTACCAACATGCCCTTGCTCACCATGGTCAGGGAGGGACTGCACAGACGGCTCTGGGGAGTCAATGAGAGCCAGCTCCAGCCATCATGGGCTCATGCTACGGACCCAGAGTTTCTTGCTAGAGTGTTTGCTGAAGTTCACTTTGGTCTGTTAGCACAGACTAGACTGAAGGGCAGAGGCCCTGCTCTACCCACCATGATCTGGGTAAGAACCAGGCAAGGGGCAGCCACAGAACAGAAACTGGCTGGTGCCTGCAGAGGAGGGTTGGTCATATCAGTGACCAAGAGGCCTCCTTCCTTGGCTCTGCCCATCCAGAGTCGGCCTTGATCCTGGCTCAAGGGCAGGGTGTCCTTCTGGATGAGGCAGCAGCTCTGCATGACCAGTGCCCACAGTCACCCTGCTGAAATCAGGCCTTGGTCTCTCTGGCCTCACCCAGTCCCCTGTTGGGCCATGCTAAGGAGTGGATACAGGGCAGCCCCACTGCCTGTGGGCACTGATCGGGGCCTGGCTGGAGGCTTCTGTGCACTGTGCCCATGCCGGCCAGCTGCCCACTCTGATCGGCCCACAGTGCTGACATATCCCTGCCCAGACACACCCCCAACCTCCCACACTACTTCCCATCCAGGCCCAGCAGGCACTGCTCATTTCATTTTGATTTTTTTGAGCTCAAATCCTGCTCTGCATCAGAGAGAGCTGAACAAAATGAGCTGTTCAACGTAGACATGGAGCATATGGCAGGCCATGTTTGAATGTTGCTGCTGGTGGCATCCCTGAAGCAGACAGCACCACGTGCCCAGCCCAGCCAGCAGCTGAGCCCCCAGGTTGAAGCTGGGCCGTTTTGACCCTGTGGGAAGGCTGCCCATTTGAAAACTAAAATAAAAAAGATGAGAGAGTTTGGCTTGAGGTTCTGCCAAGGCAATTATCTAGGCACAGTCTTTACATCAATGAATGCGGCTTTTCCTTGCATGAGGGAGTGACTGAGGCAGTTTTGAAAGCAGAGTCATACTAGATGAACCCAGAGGTGGATGCTCAGTGGGGATGTAATGAAGGCCTTGTCAGGAAACTACACAGTTCCCCCTTTTCCATGGTGGTACAGGGTGGTGAAGAATGAACAGTAAGAACATTAGACCCGTGAAAGCAGGCACCTCATTAGCCTTGTTGGTCATGGAATACCTAGAATCTAGCAAGGATGGATGGATGGATGGATGGATGGATGGATGGATGGAAGGAAAGACGGATGAATGACTGGAAGAATAGATGAAATGATAGATGGGCTAACAAGTAGGAAGATGGACAGGAGGATGAATGGACGGTTGTGTGGGTGGATAATGGAAAGATGGATGAATGGATGGATGTGTGGGTGGATGATGGACAGATGGATGAATGGATGGATGTGTGGGTGGATGATGGACAGATGGATGAATGGATGGATGACTGGATGAATAGATGGAGAGATCAGTGAACTAACAGGTGAGAGGATAGATGGACGGACGGACGGATGGATGGATGGACAGACCAGTGGGAGGAATGGAAGATGGATGGAAGGACAAATGTGTGGGTGGATGACTGACAGATGGATGAATGGATGGATAGATGGACCAGTGAGAGG
This sequence comes from Homo sapiens, assembly GCF_000001405.40. NCBI lineage: Eukaryota > Metazoa > Chordata > Mammalia > Primates > Hominidae > Homo > Homo sapiens. The sequence continues at coordinate 61,410,737 of NC_000020.11, read as the reverse complement.
AATGGAAGATGATGGATGGATGAATGGATGGATGACTGGATAAACAGATGGACAGGTCAATGGACTAACAAGTGAGAGGATGGATGGATGGATGGATGGATGGACCAGTGGGAGGAATGGAAGATGGAGGGATGTGTAGATGGATGATTGACAGATGGATGAATGGATGGATAGATGGACCAGTGAGAGGAATGGAAGATGATGGATGGATGAATGGATGGATGACTGGATAAACAGATGGACAGGTCAATGGACTAACAAGTGAGAGGATGGATGGATGGATGGATGGATGGATGGACCAGTGGGAGGAATGGAAGATGGATGGATGTGTAGATGGATGATTGACAGATGGATGAATGGATGGATAGATTGGCCAGTGAGAGGAATGGAAGATGATGGACAGATGGAAGAATGGAGAGACTAACGGGAGGAATGAACAGGTGAACAGAAGGATGGATGTGTGAGTGGATGGATGGATTCGTGTGTGAGTGGATGAATGGATGGGTGGGCAGATGGGTAGATGGATGGATGGATAGATGAACACAAGTTACTCTTCTTTTCCCTAATAACATATAGGAAAGGCATTCAGATGTCACCAGGCTTCTCCATACATCTAGCCTGTCCCATCTCAGTGTAAGAGCCAATTCTCATGGGATCAAGCAGCCTGTTGTCAGGATTCAGACTGGTTGGTTCAGATCCCCGCTCTGCACTGAGCTGCACTGTACACCCTGTGGCAGGCCACTTCACTTTTCTGAGTTATCTAGTTCTCCTCTGGGAGAAGTGGTGAAGTTGCACTGACTAGGAGGCCTGGGCAAGGATGGAATAAGATGGTGATCAATCTCTTAACACAAAGCCTGGGCTGCTATAAGCCCCCCAACCGTTAATTATGATGATGAGCTTCTGAAGCATTGAATATTCTTAGCTACCTATTGTCATATTTCTTTGGTAGCTTTGATTGATTCTCTTTAAAAATGTCCAAATTGGGAATATTAGAAAATAAATGGCATTCCAGGGCCGCAGGAAAGTGCAGTGTAGAAGAAAAGTTGCCGGTATCTCTGTAGACTGATTTCTGCGACCAACCTGTGTCACACGCAGCGGCTCTGCCTGCTTAGGACATGCATCGGGGTCCTTACTGCCTCTTTGAAATGATTCTGAAATGCACACAGTGCGATACCTCTCAGGGCGGTGGCGACGGTGAGTCCCGACTGCCCAGGCGGCCCCGGGTGTGATGAGCATGCAGCCCTTCCCAGTGGCTCCAGGGAATCCTTGTGTTGGATGCTTAATTTTCAATTTGCATCTTTAAAAAGGTAACATTTGATCCAGATGAGTTGGTCTGTTCTTGAAATATTTATCTGAAAAGAACACATTTTATTGCCTTATGGGGAGGGAGGGAACCCCTTTTGATGCTGAGTCTGAAGTTATTTAAAGAGTGTTCCAGGGATGTAGTGAAGTTCTCTCTGAGTCCCAGCTGCTTTGAGGTTTATTTGATGGCTCTGATGCTGGCACTACGTGGGGGAGGGTTCAAGGTCAGGAGCACTGCTCCCCATGGTGAGGCGCCCAGCCACTCTGCCGAGCCATGTGAGAGCTGTCCCCACCACGTGATGGAGTGGCCGGTGCAGCCTTGGCATCTGTGCCAGCCCAAGCTGGGTCTTTGAAGACAGAAACATCTTGAAAATGCCCAGGGTGCTTTGCCTTTGACAAACCTGCCCAGCAGTTTTCTAAACTGCACAGTTTCCGGAACCTTAAACGCCACATTGAAAAGCAGAGAAGCCTGTGCAGAGTCAGTGTCTCCAAAAGCCCACAACTGTGTGTGTAGGACCCAGTCCCAGTGGGCCCGTGACCCCGTGGCCATCTGGCTGGGATCCTGGAGACCACTGAGGGCCTGGGGTACTGAGGATCGCAAAGAACTTCCCTTCCATAAACATCTGTAAAAGCCCCACTCACTATGCTGTCATGGGCCCCATATAAAAAATAAGCTGCTTCACTCTCCATCATGTGATTCCATGGTGTTGTATGCAAAATGAAATGGAACCAGGAAGGGGCTCTAAAACACAGGTGGTGGCAGCTGGCTGCTCCACGCCTCACCTCCACGCACCCCACACTGTCTCCATGACGCTCACTAACACAGGGCCTGGTTATTGCTTTGTTCACCCTCTGAGCACAGGGGCACTACACACAGGCAATGCAACATCTGGAGGAGGGTAGCTTTACCCTTCTCTTCTGTTTTAGATTTGTGCCCAAGTGTAACAAACACACAGTGATGTGCACTGAGTCTACGGTTACGGTCTGGTCAACTTTTACTCATGCATGTGCCTGTGTCCAAGTCTGAGGTCCAGATCTAGAGCATGGCCAGCCCCCAGAACACTCCCCTCATCCATTCCCAGGCAACACCACCCCCCAAGTTAAACCGCATCACCATCTGTTCCTGGGGCAGGAAGACAATGGCTCCCCTGAGATGCCCACGCCCTAACCTCCAGAGCTTTTACAGACTTTGCAGGTATGATGAAGTTAAGGAGTTCGAGATGCAGAGATGATCCTGGGTTGCCTGGGTGAGCATGAAGTGTAATCTCAGGGACCCTTATAAGAGAGAGGCAGGGGACAGTCCTAGTGAGAGGACACTTGACGATGGAGAGGTCGGAGTGGGGCAAGGCAGCTCCTAAAAGCTGAAAAGATGAGGAAACAGACTTCCCCCTGTAACCTGCAGGAAAAGCAGGACCTGCTGCTGCATTTTAGACAGGTGGCTTTCAGTAAGAGAATTCTCTTCTGTTGCTTAAGCCACTGAGATTGTCGTCCTCTGTTATGGCAGCAATAGGGAGCTAAGACAATTAGCGTTGCCTGTTCCTGGACTTCATGGAAACAGCATCACACAGTGTGTCTCCCCTTGTGCCTGGCTTCCTTCGCTCCATGTAATGTAATGACATGACAGTCACTGATGTCACTGTGCACAGTGCATTACTCATCACCGTGCTGTGTTCCATCCTGTGACTGCACCACGGTCCTCTCATCTGTCCCTCTAGGTATGCACACTTGGGCAGCGTCCAGTATGGGGCTACTAGAATACAGCTTATCTGCACATTCCTTCACATGTTTTATCAGGACAGACTCATTCATTTCTCTGGGGAAAATACCCAGTTGAGTATAATTTCTGGAGCAATTTCATAGGGAAGTTTGTGTGTCACTTTACTTATAAGACCCTGCCGAAGTCTTTTCTAAAGTGGTTGTAGCCATTTAGGCCTTTCTGAGCCACGTATTCACCCACAATGATTTGTCTGAACAAATCCCAGAGTTGCAAGTGCTTGGAATCGGTGGAGAGCGAGTCAGCCACACCTGTCCCCAGGGTTCGGTGACAACAGGTGAAGGTGGCATCAACCGCTAGATGCCAGGTGCTGAGAAGCTCAAGGAAGAGACAGAACCCGGGGTGGCAGGCACGGCTTCTCTAAGGACCTGACATTTCAGTCGATGTCAACATAATGAGAAAGAACCCAGCCACATACGGAACCAATGGGAAACTGTTCTAGAAGCAGCAGTTGGGTTTGGCAGCTAACTGTTGCAGGAGGCTTTGTGTTGGCTCTCTTGAGTCTTCACAGGGACCTCACAGCAACCTTGCAAGTGGTACATCTTTGCTTGGTGGGGACAGTAGAGACATCTGTCTTATTTGACGCTGTATCCAGGCAGAGCAGATGGTGGTCCGGGCAGAGCAGATGGTGGTCCAGGCAGAGCAGATGGTGGTCCGGGCAGAGCAGATGGTGGTCCAAGAAGAGCAGATGGTGGTCCAGGCAGAGCAGACGGAGGTCCAGGCAGAGCAGATGGCAGATGGTGGTCCAGGCAGAGCAGATGGTGGTCCGGGCAGAGCAGATGGTGGTCCGGGCAGAGCAGATGGCAGATGGTGGTCCAGGCAGAGAAGATGGTGGTCCGGGCAGAGCAGATGGTGGTCTGGGCAGAGCACACGGTGGTCTGGGCAGAGCAGATGGTGGTCCAGGCAGAGCAGATGGTGGTCCGGGCAGAGCAGATGGCAGATGGTGGTCCAGGCAGAGCAGATGGCAGATGGTGGTCCAGGGAGAGCAGATGGTGGTCCGGGCAGAGCAGATGGTGGTCCAGGCAGAACAGATGGCAGATGGTGGTCCAGGCAGAGCAGATGGTGGTCTGGGCAGAGCAGATGGTGGTCCAGGCAGAGCAGATGGCAGATGGTGGTCCGGGCAGAGAAGATGGTGGTCCAGGCAGAGCAGATGGTGGTCCAGGCAGAGCAGATGGCAGATGGTGGTCCAGGCAGAGCAGATGGCAGATGGTGGTCCAGGGAGAGCAGATGGTGGTCCGGGCAGAGCAGATGGTGGTCTGGGCAGAGCAGACAGTGGTCCGGGCAGAGCAGATGGCAGATGGTGGTCCAGGCAGAGCAGATGGTGGTCCGGGCAGAGCAGATGGTGGTCCAGGCAGAGCAGATGCTGGTCCGGGCAGAGCAGATGGTGGTCCGGGTAGAGCAGATGGTGGTCCGGGTAGAGCAGATGGTGGTCCGGGTAGAGCAGATGGTGGTCTGGGGTGAAACCAGGTATTGGTGTACCAGACGGGCATTACCTGGGCTTTCGGGATCCTGAAAAATCCCGACAGAGATTGTAACCTTGCAAGCCAAGTGCGAGGTCTTTGCTCCCAATAAAGACGTGGAAGATTTTGATCCACACCAAGGGGCTGGGTTTATGGGACAAGTGACAGTTATGATCTATAGAGGAACTCACGTGATTAAGTTCATCAATTATAGAAATTATAGGCCGGGCGCGGTGGCTCACGCCTGTAATCCCAGCACTTTGAGAGGCCGAGGCGGATGGATCATGAGGTCAGGAGATCGAGACCATCTTGGCTAACACGGTGAAACCCCGTCTCTACTAAAAATACAAAAAATTAGCTGGGCGTGATGGCGGGCGCCTGTAGTCCCAGCTACTCGGGAGAATGGCGTGAACCAGGGAGGCGGAGCTTGCAGTGAGCTGAAATTGCGCCACTGCACTCCAGCCTGGGTGACAGAGTGAGACTCTGTCTCAAAAAAAAAAAAAATTATAGATACATAGATATAGCTATAATATATATAGCCAGACCTAGTCTAAATATTTACTATAAAAAAGACCTAAAACAGGAGTTGAGACCCTTGGGTTCTATTTCTACTTCAGCCTCAGATTTCATTTTCCCCTCTGTGGCAGACATGAGAATATCAACTCGTCTAATAGTAAGAACACCAGGGATTGGGGCTGCGGTGACAGCGCGTCGTTGTACCACACTGACTCTGGGAGCAGTTTCTTTGGTTTTTATCTTTACTTTACAGGACGGGAGAGGCTCACAGCCCCTAAAATCATAAAGGGCCGCACTGTAAAACATCAGCACCATGGTGATGAGTGATTTCCAGAACGTTTGATAAAGGATATATGTCTACTAGCGTGATCAGTATGGAAGTGGCACACTAGTTCACAGGAGGGGGATTACGGAATCACTGCCCGAGAACGGCGCGTGGGAGAAAAAGATGACCATGGCTTCTGCTGAGGGACACAGATACGCAGCGCATCCCGGGGAGGGAGGCAGGGTCGAAAGGAGGGGATGGAGGACCTCTCCACATCCACTCCCTGGGACCCCGAAACAAAATCAGCCTCAAAGACTCATTTAGATTCACTTATTGATAACCCCAGTAGAAATAAGGGAGCTTTTTCTTTTTGAGACTGAATCTTACTCTGTACTCAGGCTGGAGTGCGGGGGCGCGATCTCAGCTCACTGCAACCTCCGCCTCCCAGGTTCAAGCGGTTCTCCTGCCTCAGCCTCGTGAATAGCTGGGACTACAGGCACGTGCCACCATGCCCAGCTAATTTTTTGTATTTTTAGTAGAGACGGGGTTTCACCGTGTTAGCCAGGATGTTCTTGATCTCCTGACCTTATGATTCACCTGCCTCAGCCTCCTAAAGTGCTGGGATTACAGGCGTGAGCCACCACGCCCAGCCTGAGCTTTTTCTTAATAATGTTCTCCCTAGGAAAAAAAGAAAAAAAAAAAAAGCCTAAATATTCTCACACAAGTCCCTGAAGCCTCGGGATGTTTCACATTTTCCTTAAGAAGCAGCTCAGATTAATGGGAAATTTGGCCTTAAGAAAACAGAATGCAATTTTCTCCCAAATCCCCTGCCCACGTTGTCTCTGTGCCTCAATGCAAGTGGCGTCGGGAATAATCAGGCCTCCTCTTGCAGATCGTCATAACCACAATTAAGTCTCGAAGCCTCGGGCCGGAGCCAGGTGCACTGGGTGCGTTTAATGCCACCGGATATTTCAGAAAAGGCAAGAAGCGTGAAATTTATTTGATGCCTTGACACAAAAGCACTCTACCATTGTGGAGGAGGGTGAAAGGTGTGAAAATTAAACAAATTAACCCAACTTTCCAGAGAAGCAGCATTGTTTAAGATTTCAGCAGCTGTCCTCATCATGGTTTTTGGAAATTAAAACAATCAGGAACAAGCAGAGGAAGGGGGCGGGGGCTGCAGAAGCATCTTGTCCTTAGCAAGGAGAAGAAATGTGCCCTGGGACAGGTGGTGGTGGGAGTCCTGGCCCAGGACCCCTGTACCCGCCTGGCTGTAGCAGCTCAGCTGCACCAGCTCAGCTGCACCTGCCCAGTGTCTCCTTGCCCAGTGCCCAGCTCCTGGGAGTCCAAGCTGTACTTTCTGATCAACGGCATGTGAAAAGACATGGTCCTTTCATTAGGACTTAACTGAGGTTGTCAGTTACCTAATTACTTCAATAAAATATAATTAATTAAGAATAACATGTGGAGATATTTACATGAGCTGGAGATCACACACTGCAATTTGCAGACTTTTTCCTGAAACACAGCGTCCTGCCAGACATTTTCTCCCTGTATGTAGACAAAGGGGACAAGCTATTCCATGTTAAAGATGTTGATTTCCCCTCTCAGTTTGGGTTTTGGGATAAAGACAATTTAAGTCTACTATCTGTGCCAAAAAAAATTGTCCCGTGCGAAATCAGGAATACACACGGAGTTCCTGAGGGGAAGTACAGACCCAAGAACACAAGAGGTGAGCACAGCCCTGCATGAGCACACGGCCTTCTGGAGAATAATGCCGCATGCCTGAGGTCCAGGCAGAAACAAAGTCAGGGAAAAAGTCCCGTCCTAGTCTCTTAATCCAGCCTGCATGTTTTCCACGATGATTTGATTTGAGTTATGGCACCGACACCAGGGAGACAGGGCCCACAAAGTGGCCACTCTCCAGAACATCCGGATCTCTAGAGAGGGGACCGTAGACCTCAGGGTATGAGGACCACCCAAGAGAAGCAAAGCAACAACTGGGACTCAGTACCACCGCTGCCCCCAAACTCAGCAGCTCCAGAAAAAATAAGTTACTCAGTATGAAGGACTGCAGGTTCAACTGCACACAAGGAAACACCCTCAAACCCACAGGGCTGTATTTGCTCCTGTAAGTGAAGCCCAAAATCTGGCAATGCAGGAGGATGATAGTAGCAAAGAGGATGGCAAAGATCAAGACCCGCCTCCTGCTCTTCTGCTGTGTACATGTGTAGCTTGCCTCTTCAAGATCCCCTCATGGTCCAAGGTGGCTGCTGGACCTCCAGCTATCACAGCTGTGTTCCATGCAGGAAAAAGGAGAAAGGGAGAATGGGGGCAGGAGAGACCCCTGCAAAATTTGCAAAATTAACTTTCTGGAAGTCCCACAAAATGTTTCCACTTAATCACAGTGGTCAGCACTTAGTGACAGGGTGATGCTTCGCTGTAAGGGAGCCTGGGAAATCAGCCTTTTTGTTGGGTGGATTATTGTCCTATGTAAATTTGTGGATCTGTAAATAAGGAAGAAAGGAAAAATGGATTTTCTCCAATGAACTCCATCCTAGTGACAAAAGGACAAGTGGCTTAACCATTCTGTTTCTTCATCTATAAACTGGCCTAACACCTGTTTCAGATAAGATGCTATGTAGATAGTCAGCCCTCCATATCCATGGGTTCCATATCCATGGATTCAACCGACTGCTGATTGAAAATATGTTTTAAAAACTGCATCTGGGCCAGGCACAGTGGCTCATGCCTGTAATCCCAGCCCTTTGGGAGGCTGAGGTGGGCAGATCACCTGAGGTCAAGAGTTTGAGACCGGCCTGGCCAACATGATGAAACCCCATCTCTACTAAAAATCAAAAATTAGCAGGGCATGGTGGTGTGCACCTGTAGTCCCAGCTACTTGGGAAACTGAGGTATGAGAATTGCTTGAACCCGGGAGGAGGCTGCAGTGAGCCAAAATTGTACCACTGCACTCCAGCCTGGGTGACAGAGTGAGACTCTGCCTCAAAACAAACAAACAAACAAAACTGCATCTGTACTGAACATGTACAGACTTTTCTTGTCAATATTTCATAAACAATACAGTATAACAACTATTTACATAGCATTTACATTGCATTTGGTATTATAAGTAACCTAGAGGTGATTTAAAGTACATGGGAGGATGTGCATAGGTAACACACAAATACTGCATCATTTTACATCAAGGACTTGAGCATCCTTGGATTTTGGTATCCTGGGGAAGTCCTGGAGCCAGTCCTCCACAGATACTGAGAGATGGCTGTATATGCTTTAAGACAGCGGCTCTGTGCAAATATCCATTATTATAAAAATCCATTCTGTGCTGTGTAGCTAGGTGACTGGGACAAATGTTACCCAGGGATGTTTCCAGCCTCCACAAACAACATCTGAGCAACCACTGCTGGCCTCCGTGATACACCTGTGAACAAGATGGTTATAGAAGTCCATCATTAAATGCATGTGCAGCTGGTCAGTTCTTCCTAGCAGCTTTTGTCACAGGTGACTGTGGCCTCTGTCCCCTGGGCTCCCTTCTCCTTCTTTCATGGGCCTCCGTTCCAGCAGATGACTGCAGGGCTGACCCTTCACTTACACTGGGGCCTCAGCTGTGGGTCCGTAACCCAGGCCTAGTCATTGTATTTACTCCCTGGCCAAAGAATCTACAGATGTGTAGAATTCTGTCCTAAACCAGACCAGACAGAGTGACATTCCTATCACAGTTATGAGAAGAGGCTGGCAGTCTAAGAGGTCATGATATGTCACAGTGCCCACCATATGAAGAAACTGTGTTCAAGAGATCGGACATTTGAAAACCTGGATCCAGCCACACCTGAAGCCAGGCTGTCCTTGCGCTTCAGGTTATGTGAAGAAGCCCATGCCCCTCTTGGCTGCACGAGCACGAGTTACGTTTCTCTCATTTCAAACAAAAAAGATGCCACACAACATTCATGACAGCCCCATGGTAGGGTGGGGTGCAATCGTGAGATTCTGACCCTGTTCTTTTTGTCTGACAAAAAAATGGCATGGATGATTTCTGCATAGTTCAACGCACAACAGGGACTGAAGCCTGCAATGTACCAGGCACAGAACCAAAAGATACAGATCCTTCCTTCTCAAAGACCCATGGGCTACTTATTGGTGGAGCAGGTTTACAATTGCATTTTTGAAATTTGGAGTGAAAAGTACAGGTTGCATGGGAAGAGGCTTCAGGTTTATCTGGGTGACAGTGGGTAGGCCCTGCCTCCTAAAGGTTGTCACTTCAGAGTCTGCCAAGGACAGTACGTCTGCCCAGTGATGAGCATGAGGCTGGAGAGGCCTGCATGGCCCAGAAACAGGGTCTAGGGACCGTGCTAGGAGCTCTGGACTTGTCTGGAGGGCCAGGTGTGAAATGGGTGGAAGATGACAGGGTTGCATCTGCATGCTGGCGACTGTGAAAGAAGATCTGAAGAAAGCAGAATACAGAGAAAGAATGACTACAGTGGCAAAGGGACGTCAACTTAGAAAGTAGTTAGGAGCTCACAAGGTGCAGATGAAAGGATGAGGCTCTGGAAGGGGGCAGGGCCGGTGGAAATAGAAAGGCCAGAACAACAAGGAGGTGATGGTACCAGCGGAGGTGGGGCCAGGCCGGCCCCGAAGCCCTCTGGTGCTGCAGCCAGGAGCCCTTGTTGTCCCACCAAGGGACCCAGAGAAGCTTCTCGCATCCCCACCCCCAAGGCCAGGACTGCTCCCAGGGGGCTCATCCCACAGCAGTGACTAAGGAGCCTATGTGTTCCCGATGGTGCAGAGATGAGACGGTGGAGACTGGATCCATGCGTGACCATATGGAGCAGAGTCCCTACAGATTCATGGGAACATACAGAATGAGCAAGAAATAAACCTTTGACAGTAGTCCTGAGATTTAGGGGATGTCTCTTATCAAAGCAGAACTAGGGTTTCCGGGGATCATCTAGGCTGCAAGGAGGACTGGGTCCTCTTCCCTGAACTCTGATGCAGCAAAGCTACCCCCAGTGCAGCATCACTTTCCACCTCAGATCAGCCCTAAAGGGTTCCTTCCTTTCCTTCCTTCCAGTGAATACTTCAGTTTCCAATAACTATAACTCCTGAGAGGTCCTGTTGATCACAGGAAAGCTCTGATTGTAGAGCATCATCTTTTGACAGACGAAACATTCAGGTCTCCAGGAGTTTCTGCAGATTGGGAGGCACTAACTCCCTCCAGAGAAGCCCCCCGAAGACCTGGGGGCCTCTGTGTTGCCATCAGAGCTGTGACAGTCAGATTGAAGCCAGCCTGGGCATGGCTGTTCTCTACAGTTAGGGCCAGGCCACAGCCCACTTGTGGGAGAGTTGTCCCAAAACGTGCTGCCCAGCTGTAAGGGGGACTGGTTTGAAAAATGACAGGAGGGATCCTGGTAAAAATGGGCCCATCCAGCTATTCCCCCTACCACTGGTCACCAAAGCAGCTGTCCAGGGGGTTGGTTGCCTAGAGCAGGAGTGCGTGAGAACCACTGGGCTTGCAGTGGGCAACCTGTGCTGAGCCCCTCAGACCCTGCCGGGGAAGGCACCATTGTCCCCGAGCCCCTGCAGGGCAGGCTCTGAGTTCCTCCCCTCAGGATCTCCTGAGCCCAGCATCACACATGTGAGCAGGAACTAAAAAAGAGGCAGGTTGAAAAAACACTGAAAGGGAACTGGAGAGGCCAAGTGCTTCGTGGGTGATGGATGGGCAGGTGGACGTGAGTGGCCAATTTGCCAAGTCCTGCAGCGAGGCCCGGCACACACCATAGACCAACCGGATAGGACCTCATGATGGAGGTGAGGCTTTGGGGAGGGCAGAGGGGGTGCAAAGGCTGAGCCAGGCCTGGGGTGGTCATAGAGGGAGCTGGGAGATGAGCCAGGGGCTCAGGGATACTATGCTCTCTACCTTTGGGTACGTTTGAAATTTTCCAATAAAAAATCTTTTTAAAAAGTGGGTTTTGGCCGGGCGCGGTGGCTCACGCCTGTAATCCCAGCACTTTGGGAGGCTGAGGCGGGTGGATCATGAGGTCAGGAGATCGAGACCATCCTGGCTAACAAGGTGAAACCCCGTCTCTACTAAAAATACAAAAAATTAGCCGGGCATGGTGGCGGGCGCCTGTAGTCCCAGCTACTCGGGAGGCTGAGGCAGGAGAATGGCGTGAACCCGGGAAGCGGAGCTTGCAGTGAGCCGAGATTGCGCCACTGCAGTCCGCAGTCCGGCCTGGGCGACAGAGTGAGACTCCGTCTCAAAAAAAAAAAAAAAAAAAAAAAAGTGGGTTTTTCCTCCTGAAACAATTGTTAAGGTTCTGAGTGGTAGGCCTAGGCTTTAAGGACTTAGTATAAATAATGACCTGGGGTTCACTTTACAAAGCATTTAACCCACATCCACATTTAACCCACATCAGCATTTAACCTACATCAGCATCACACCTCCATGGCCAGAGGCTGCACAATCTGAAAATGTGAGAGCAACAGGGCCTACAGGACTGGGCTGTGGCCGGGGTCTGACTGTGAGAGTCCTGCTCTGGGCACACCAGTCACACCTGCTGGCCTGAGAAAGGGGACACACAATGACTGACGCAAGGCCAATCTTCCTCCAAGACATAATTGTGTATGTGTCAAAATTAACGAATTTGGCTAGGCCACAGTACCCAGACCTAGGTACCCAGCCTGAATGTGGTGGTGAAGATATTTTTAGATGGGATTAACAATTCAGTTCGTAGACATGGAGTGAGGTGGATGAAACTCCATGGTGTGGGTGCGCCTTGTCCAATCAGTTGAGGCTTTAAGAAAGACTCGGCTCCCTAGAAGAGGAGGGAATTTCGCCGGGAGACTCCCTGGGACTCGAAGGGCCACACCCGCTCTCCCTGGTCTCCTCCTACCCATCAGCCTGCTCTGCAGATTTCAGACTTGCCAGACCCCATGCCCTTGGGGCCTAGTCCTTAAAAGAAATCTCCTCTGTGTATACACATCCGATGATTCTGCTTCCCTGGGGAGCCCTGCCTCACAGAGTCCATCCACCCTGCTCTCTCCACCCTTAGAGGTGATAGACGCAAAAAACATTAAATAGTTTTCCTTTTGTGTTGTTAACAGTGCTCTCAGGAACATTGTCCCTTCCGTGCATAAGCTGAAGAAATCTAGAATGCAAATCTACCATAATGCAGAATCAGGCCTCTGTCAATATTTAAAGCCGGAAATCTTTGGAGGTACATTATCAATTCCAAGATAAATAACCAAGACTGATACGCTTGAATGCTCATTCAATTCTAACGTGAGAATACAAGTCTCTGTCTGCAAATGAACACAGCAAGTGAATCGGTGGAAAGAAGCTCACACTTCTGGCTGGTTCAGGACACGCAGGTGAAGCTTGCCATGTGGTTCCCAGGCACGCAGCTCGGCATGCGGTCAGCCTTGTCCTGCTCCATCGGGCAGGTCAGGCCAAAATACCAGTGATATCCCTTCTGTACACTGGATGCGCTAAAAAAAAATAGCAGCTGCGATACGGCCAAGCGTTCATGCTAAAGTTTCAGTACCATGGTTCTAGACTTCAGGGCACATGGGAATCTTATTAATTTGTCCAATCCATGTGTCCATTCACTCAGTGGCCACTTCCTAAGGTATGCATGTATGTCCACCTTGCACCGATAACTCAGTCACAAACAGGACAGGGGACCCTGCTCAGGAGGGAATTCTTTTTCTAACAAAAACTATAGTGCAGTTTAAACATTTATATCTATTACCATTGAAATGGGGAAAATACAATGCAATGTGATTATGCCATTCTGAAGAAAATGACAGGATTTACAAAAAGTATTAATTCAAAGGGCGATATGGGGCTACCTCCAGTAACAAGACCCAGGTTTCAAGTTCGGTCTCGACGGCGTATCAAGGTGATTCTAGGTCTCGTTGGGAAAGCCCTCAAAAGCCTGTATTTTTCTAAGTATGCGTTTAGGAAGCATGTGATATGCGCAAGGAAGCCTGAAGGTCGTGAACACAGTTGGGTGAAGTTTCACAACATGAATTCGGGACCTGGCCACCACCCCATTGGGGAAAAAGACCAGGACCCCCTCCTGCAGCTGCCCTTCCTGCCTCCTCCATTCGTCGCAAGAAACTTCACCCAGAAGAGGCCTCACTTCTCAAGACTTTCTGGTTTTTCCTCATTTAAATAAATATTTTTATGAAGGCCAGTTGCGGTGGTGCACACCTGTAATCCCAGCACTTTGGGAGGCTGAAGCGGGTGGATTGCCCAAGCTCAGCAATTTGAGACCAGTCTGGGCAACACGGCAAAACCCCGTATTACAAAAAATACAAAAAATTAGCCGGGTGTGGTGGCGCACCTGTAATCCCAGCTACTTGCGGGGGCTGAGGTGGGAGAATTGCTTGGGCCTGGGAAGTCGAAGCTGCAGTGAGCTGTTATTATGTCACTGCACTCCAGCCAGGGTGACAAAGTGAGACTGTCTCAAAAACAAAACAGTATTTTTATCAAGATACTGTTTACATAGTTGAAAGATTTAAGTAGTATTAAAAAGTGTATCATGAAAACCACTAGAGCCCTGGGGCATCCCTCCCCACCCCAGGGCTTCCAGCCCCCGGCATCTCCCTCCTAGGCTAGTGATGGGTCACTGTGCCTATGGCGACTGATTGAACGGAGGAAGAAGCTACCCCTTCGGGGCCTCCGCAGGGCCCCAGAACTGTGAGCCGAGAAACGTGGAGACGCTGGAGACAGGAGGAGGAAGTCTGCACAGCAAGTGGAGTTGCCAGGCCAAGGAAGCCGGGCCAGGTCTGCTGGTCTCAGGATGCTCCCCGTGGCCAGTCCTAGGCACAGAGATGCTCAGGGAAACAGGTTACTCAGTAGTTCCATGGCCAGGTGAGGGCAGGAACCTGTGCTGTGAGGGGGCAGCACCCCAGGTGGTCTATGCGCAGAACGCAATTTGAGAAACACCGGACGCTGCCAGCATCCTGGGAAGTCCACGTGCTTTCCAGATCCTCCTGAGCCTCTTGCCGAGCTCCATGATGGCCCCAGAGGCTCAGTTCCATACACAGTCCCAGGCTCCCTGCCTGCTAGGTCTCCAAGGAAGGGGCCTCGACCTCGGTCTTCAAGGGCCCTGGAAATTCCGATGTAGCCAGGATGGTACCAGGATGTGGCCCTCACCCTCCACCCCGACCTGAGTTTGGGAATAACCACTTTTTCTGCAAAAGGCCACCTGGTAACTATAATATTTTAGGCTTTCAGGGCTATACGGTCTCTGCAGCAACTACTCGACGCTGCTGCTGTCATAGCATAAGAGTCAAAGACGGCACGACGGATGGGCCTGAGCGCCAATAAAACTTATGTATTATTTACTCAAACAAATTTGGCGGCCCCACATCCAGTCCTAATCCAAGCTATCTGTCAGCCACATTAGGGGTAAAGACAAGTGAAGATCTAATTAAATTGATGAAATCATCCCAAACATCTCCAATTAATAAGACTATGAAATATGGATCAATGCTGGCTATCATTAAGCAGGACACTCCCCTAAGAGTTTTCGTGCCTTCAGATAATACCCCGATAGCAAAGCTAGCAAGCCCTTTAAAACCTAAGTGTTTAGAATACTAGCAACATTTTTTATTTGAAACAGAGTCTCCCTGTTTCCCGGGCTGGAATGCGGTGACGCCATCTTGGCTCACTGCAGTCTTGACTTCCTGGGCTCAAGTGATCCTCCCACCTCAGCCCCTGGAGTAGCTGGGCCTATAGGCACGAACCACCATGCCCAACTAATGCTTGTGATTTTTGTAGAGATGGGGTCTCACCATGTTGCCCAGGCTGGTCTCAAAGTCCTGTGCTCAAGAGATCCTCCTGCCTTACCCTCCCAAAGTGCTGGGATTACATGTGTGAACCACCATGCCTGGCTAGTAACATTATTGATAATACTATGCATATGTTATGTCATGGTATATCATATACGTTATTAATAATGCCATGTACGTATTAATGCCATATATATGCATGTATATATGTCATATATGAGCAAAAAGGTTCTTCTGCTGTTAATAATTAATACAAATTTATTTTTGCAACTTTAACATGTCAATTTATGTTGAATGTTTTTACTAAATAACAGTAGTACAGGAGTTCCCATATATAATTTATAAAATAACAAATGTCTATATTTTGGAGTTACAAGACTAAAATATTTTTCTCTGGATGAGTTCCTCAGCATTTTTTCTTTTGACAAAGTGAAATTTCAGGATTAGGACAGGCAGGAGCAAGAGAGGCTGAAGGTGCATCTCCCCCCTGGGACTTCCCAAGGCCCGTCCTGCCCAGTGTCCTGTCCTCCCAGGAGGAGAGTGGCTTCAAATTTCAAGGTTACCATTTCCAGTTCTCCCAGGAGACTCTAACCTCCAGCCTAGGAGCCACAGGTGGGGGTCCAGACAGGTGCCCCAGCTCAGGGAGCGCTTTTCCAGGATGGACCTTGGGGCCTCAGAATCACTGCTGGGCGGGGTGGGGGTGACAGGGGCAGGGTTGTGAGGGCTCACAGCCCCATGGCCATGGACTGCTTCCAAACGACAGGTGCCTTCTGTTGGGCTCGTAGAGTGTTTTATGTTTTTTTGAAAGTACGAAGTTTCCAACATTTAAAAATTAAATAATTTCACCTAAAAATATGGATTTGCTGGCTCCTTTTGAGAGGCTGGAAGAGGAGGCAGCAGTTCTGGCTCCAACACCCACTGGGAAAGGCTGCCTGTCTGCTCAGATGGCACTTATCTGCCCCCTGACTGCTCAGATGGTGCTCAGCTGTCCCCTGGCCGCAGTCCTCACCCCGCCCTGGTGCTCTCTTCGGCCCAGCCTAAGGACAAGTGCTACCTGTCACCTACTTCTTACTGTCCTTGCCAGAGAAACGGACATTCTCACTTTTGTATCTCTATGTCTCTATCAAAGTGGAAACAGGAAAGAGTTTAAGAAATACACATCTTTCCAGGAAGATGGGAACAACCGACTTTCTTTACAAACGAAGCAGTTCTCAGGACTGGGTTGCTGCTGCTGCTCACCTGCCGCTGGTCGCTGGGGCTGAGAGGTGGGTTCTGCCCGAGAGGGACAGGCAGGGGCGGGAGAGTCCTGGATGGCAGGAGATGCTGGAGTGATGCCTTCCCGGGTGGAAATGAAGATGTCCAGGAGAAGGGGCACCTCTGAGATCGGTGGGGACTGAGGTCAAAGGGCTGGGGCTGTGGTTAGAGAGGAAAATGTTCCCCAGGAATGACTGGCTGAACCTGAGACACGAACCAACATCACCTACAAATCCTCCAAAGCTGAGGGTGGCCTCCTTCCTGCTCTCACATTTCAAAACACACAGCATAGTTCTCGATGAATAATAACAATGCAATGATTTATATAAGTATTTGTATTATACGTCTTCTGTGATCTATGCAGATAGAGCAATGTTATTAGATTACATTGGTATAATAGAATATGGGGCAGTCATTATGATGATGTTAATGGTAACATTAAGTGCACACTCTTTTCCAGGGGCGTTACAGACCCATTTTACAGAAGAGGAGAAGCCCATGGTGCAACTGTCTTGGTGGTGAAGGTGGCAGTAGCTCTCACACACTGAGCCCTGGGGTGTAAGAGTTCACTGCACGGTCTCCAGGACTCGTGTAATCCTCATGAGAACCCTGCCAGCTACATATCTTGTCCTGACACAACAGAGGCGTGAGGGGCTGCAGTGACTCTCACCCAGCCAGGTCTACTTCGATGATCCTCGCTGCAACCACTATGCTTTGGGTCTCTGTTACTCAACACCTACCTTGCCAACACCTAGAATAGGGTTCAGCCAAGTGGCTGTGGCGAATGTGGGCTACGTGAGGATCCTGCTCCATAAAGACCCCACTCTGGGCTGTCATTCAGAATTACTCTGGAAAGAAAGTTGTGGTTCAGCGTGTCGCTTACTGCCAGCGATCAAAGCATCCAGGTTTAATTTTGCCAATCCCTGGGGGTCCTCGACATCAGAGGGGCTGGTGGTTGTTGATCCATACACAAGCTAGGAGGTAAGGAAGACCCCGGCCCCCCCCGGCTGCTGTCCCCCACACCACTGGAAGACCGGATGCTGGGCCTTCTGTTTCTCTCCAGGTGTGTGGGCTCGCCCGTGAGATGGCCTCTTGTTGGAGGGAACACTGGGTCCTGCACCCCCAGGGAAGCTCCCGCGAGGACCGATTAAACAGTGTTGTCAATGTCACCAAGACTGCTCTGTATAAACCAAATGAAGGCCCTCAGGTCAGATGAGATAATAAAGAGGATATTTCTACAGAGATTCAGTGGGAATCAATTCAGTAAGAAATTAGGAGGAAAATAAACGGCCCTGATCACCGAGGGGCCCCGCAGCTGCTCTGTCCTCACGTTTTCTATCCCGTCAAGCCCTGAGCGACAAGGCATGTGCTCAAGCAGGAGGCTCGGCTGCCCTTGGTGGGTATCGGGGTGAGTATCTGCACCTCCTTCCCTGATCGGGAGACTTTATGTCAATCCACTGGCTTTACTTAGTGCAGTGACACAGGGGATGGTGGAGGGGCTAATGGAAGACGAATGCATCTGACATTTCTAGAGCACCGTGGGGGGCCAGTGTTTCTACCCCGCTAGGAAATAAATGTGCAATACCGAGTTTCTGATGAATACTGTGAGAAACAGTCCAAGGTTCAAATTTAACAGCACGGGAAAATGTCTTTTGAATCAGAAGATGAGAACCCAAGGGAGTTGAATTAACAACATAGCACAACATTTTACCAAGTAATAGGACCATATTTCCCCTTTATGGGGCACTGCTCAGGGCAATATTTAATCTCTTGAGTTTAATGAACTTTTGAAACTACTCAATAAATACTCAAGGCCATGACAAGCACTGTCATAAGATAAATCCAGCCCTACTTCAATGGACTATATCATTTCTGTTATTAAAAAAGGTTAATTTTAATATTCAAGGAACTCAGTTCTCTGGAAAATCACGTCGGGGCGCCGTGCGTTCCATCCCGGTGGCGCCCTGTGATCATGCATACTGAGCAGCGTGGGACTCCGAGCGGAATCGCAGGGGAGCCTCTGCTTCCAGGGAGGCTGCGTCCTGACAGCAAAACACTCGTTTGGTGGAAGGATCTGCCTCGGGTTCCTGTCCCTCCCCAGCCCAGAGGCAGCATGTCCGGGTCCCGTGTTAAGGCCACTCACACTGCACGTTAAACCACTGGAGGAGTCCCTGTGACCGTGTCACATGCCCGGGTTCACCTCCTGCAGCACGGGCTGCCCGACCACCACTTGGTCCTGCAAAGCTCTCTAGGCCTTTCTCCACAGCCCCCGCGATGCTGAAACCCACGGCAAGCGAGGCGGGGGAAGGGTTGAGAAGTAGCCAGCTCTCCCCTATCCCATAATATCTCCATGCTGAGTCACTGGGGCTGTCTTTCTCCCAATTGCTCATCTTTGCCTTTCTGCACAATGCAGGCAGGGGGAAGTGTACCTGGCAGAAAAAAATCCCAGAGCCCTGCAGGCCCCGGAGCTGCTGTCCCTCCTAGCGTCTCAGTGTACCCAAGGGCTTGCCTCAGGAAAGCTGCCTGACACCAGCAAATTGGATGCAGGGCAGGTAATTAGGGACAGACAATATCCTCCCACTGTTATTTCTTGTCCACCTACGCAAAAGAAGCAGAAGCACTGGTTCTCCGCTTTTCTACCTAAGGATCGTTCTGCTCACATTCCCCACGGGAGAGAAGAAGAGCTTTGGACCAACTGTCTTACTAACCAAGCACAGACATGCTGCAACCAGGAAACATCCCACAGGAAATGAGACCAACAGATACAAAACACACAGCTTTGCTGTCTAAGAAGGAGCCTCCTCTGTTTAGACAATTGCTGAGCCCCTTACGCCACACGTGCAGAGTGGTGGGGCATGTGTCTAGCCCTGGCGATGTCCCTTAGTCCAATAAAGCGGTTCGGAGGGCGCAGGTGGTGGACATTCTCATCTACCGCAGGAAGTGCCCTGGCTAGCAGGTCACCCACAAAAACCAGCTGCCCCCCACCTTTCTCCTGACGCAAGTGTCAGATCAGATAGGTTTAGCAAGTCCGGACCCAGCCCAGCCCCGACGGCTTCCAGGCCCCTCAATACAGCACTCAGCCCCTCTCCCTAAATGGCACTAA
The DNA here is from genome assembly GCF_000001405.40 of Homo sapiens. Lineage (NCBI taxonomy): Eukaryota > Metazoa > Chordata > Mammalia > Primates > Hominidae > Homo > Homo sapiens. The sequence goes on along the minus strand of NC_000020.11, from coordinate 61,391,244 downwards.
TTCTGTCCACTTGAGTAAATTATTGCGTTCCTGGGCTCACTTACTTGGCAAACCACAGAGTGGGCACATCTTGGGGGTGTTTTCTAGAACAAATGTCCAAGTGCTCTGAGGCCTGAGGCTGCGTGCAGACCTTCAACCTGGCACCCCAAAATTCCCCATGCAGGACAAAAAGAAGCAGACAGGAGCAGTGTGCTGTGGTCAGGCTACCCCCCACTGCGGCACTGCCTCCTCTTCCCCAGCTTGTATTAGTGAAGAATATCTCTTTAATAAGTAATTTTTTAACTACAAAATTATTTCAGAGAATTTGGAAAGCCAATACAAAGAAAAAGGAGAAAATTACCTATGACCGCATGATCTCATTCAGGGTTTCCCAGACATGGTGCTATGGGCACCCTATGACCTCATGATCTCAATCGGGGTCTCCCAGACACCGCACTATGGGCACCCTATGACTGCACGATCTCATTTAGGGTTTCCCAGACACGGCACTATGGGCACCCTATGACTGCACGATCTCAATCGGGGTCTCCCAGACACGGTGCTATGGGCACCCTATGACCGCACGATCTCAATCGGGGTTTCCCAGACACGGCACTATGGGCACCCTATGACCGTACGATCTCAATTGGGGTTTCCCAGACACGGCACTATGGGCACCCTATGACCGCACGAACCCAATCGGGGTTTCCTAGACATGGCGCTATGGGCACCCTATGACCGTACGATCTCAATTGGGGTTTCCCAGACACGGCACTATGGGCACCCTATGACTGTACGAACCCAATCGGGGTTTCCTAGACATGGTGCTATGGGCACCCTATGACCGCACGATCTCAATCGGGGTTTCCCAGACACGGCACTATGGGCAACCTATGACTGTACGAACCCAATCGGGGTTTCCTAGACATGGTGCTATGGGCACCCTATGACTGCACGATCTCAATCGGGGTTTCCCAGACACGGCACTATGGGCACCCTATGACCGCACGAACCCAATTGGGGTTTCCTAGACATGGTGCTATGGGCACCCTATGACCGCACGATCTCAATCGGGGTTTCCCAGACACGGCACTATGGGCACCTTATGACCGCATGAACCCAATTGGGGTTTCCTAGACATGGCACTATGGGCACCCTATGACCATACGATCTCAACTGGGGTTTCCCAGACGTGGCACTATGGGCACCCTATGACTGCACGATCTCAATCGGGGTCTCCCAGACATGGTGCTATGGGCACCCTATGACTGCATGATCTCATTTAGGGTTTCCCAGACACGGCACTATGGACACCCTATGACCGCACGAACCCAATCGGGGTTTCCTAGACATGGTGCTATGGGCACCCTATGACCGCACGATCTCAATCGGGGTTTCCCAGACACGGCACTATGGGCACCCTATGACTGCACGATGTCAATCGGGGTTTCCCAGACATGGTGCTATGGGCACTTTGGGGAGGATCCTTTGTTGTGGGGTCTGCCCTTTGCACAGCAGGATGTTCCGCAGCACCCCCAGCCCCCACCCACCAGGTGCCAATTGTTCTCACCCCCTGATGTGACAACGAAAAATGCCTCCAGACATCGCCGTGTGTTCCTGGCCCAGTTGAGAAGCGTCGATCTATAGAACAACAATGAAGACGCTGGGAGGCGTTCTCCCAGTCTTTTCTCTATCCTTTGTCAAATCCAATCATACATTCAAATTCAATCATACAAATCAAATCATACATTGGATTTGTCAAATCCAATCAACAAATATCTAAAGCACCTACTGTGTGCCAGGCATTGGAATTAGGTATGAGAAATACTGTAGTGGACCAGAAAGACATGCTCACTTTTACAAGGGGGCGATATGTGTAACCACAGGGACAAACAGATGTTTAGGAGCTGTGCGAAGTGCCAGAAATGCCCAGCGGCACATGGACATGCCATGTGATAAGATAAAGAACATCTGAGACAGGCCGCCACATGGTCAAGGCGGAAAAGCCAGGAACGAGCCGCCCAAGAGCAAGAGGAGGCAGAGCCTGCACCCCCACCCCTCCCTGCCCCTCCGAGTGCACACAGGTGCACAGCCATGGCTGGGCCTGGGGACTGTGGGCTGACGGACTTCAGCCCACTGGCAGAACAGCCTCTAGCCGTTTGCATTCTCAGAAAACAAAAACAAACACCAGCAAAAAACCTTGATCAGTTTAGCCATACATAAAAGGAAGCTTTTAAAATATGTCCTTTGACTCCATGCTTCTCTTACTTAAAATATCTCCTAAGGAGAGAAAAATTCAAATGTGAAAAGATTGGACTTCAAGGCTGTTTATCACAAAGCAGTTTACAATGTAAAAAAATCGAAACAGAATATAAGGGCTTAAATATAGTATATTATGCTCACACAACGGCATAATTGAAGTTACGTTTTAGATGTACTTTGTTTTCATGAAACAGCTCTAAGAGATGTTGTTAAATGAAAAAAGCACACGATAAAAATGTAACTCATGTATTTGCGCACGCATACACATGTATACACAAACCATACACATGTAGCCAGCATCCCCCTGCTGTCTGTGCTAGCTTTAAAAATCAAGCTGTAGCACAATACAGAGTACCCCCGAGTTGTTTTAAAAACGCTAACGACAGAATAGAAGCATGGGCAGAAGGTATGAATGGGCATGTCACAGGCAACACTCACGGCCAGTGGAGCCTATGAGGGGATGTTAAACCTAATGTGCTATCAGGAAGATGCAAATCGGAGAAGGGTCACGGTATCATCCTGCACCCCTTCGAGGGCTCAGGCTTCCAAGTATGACATGAGACCACTTCTGGGACAGGAAGTGGCTCGCCGCACAGTGCAGCTGTAGGGGCTGTAGGGGCAGAAATTGGGACCCCACTTTGGAGCCGATGAAGGGCAGTGGTATGTGGTCTACTCTTCCAGGAAAGGCGAAAAGTGAGACGGGGGTCAACCCCACACCCCCCTACCCCCACCCACCACCACTCCGACAGCTCAAGCTTCAAGGCAGGGCTCTGCTCCCGGCCGACAGCTGCACAGCCCTTGCCTGTGAGCCTGCAGAAATGTGGACCACGCACATTCTAACTGCAAAGAAACAGCCAGCCCTGCCGTCTCCACCCTGCAGGATGGTAAACTGTGGAGTTCAAACAGTGGTATACCATATGGTGGCCAAAATGTTTGCTTTATAAATCTTATCAACATTGAATGCAAAACTGTTAAGTGCCCCCAAATTATAGACACCCATTTATTACAATTTAAACAACCCAAACCAAAAATAGAGATACCTTTTAGCTAAACACACAGATGTGATGAAACTGCATTAGAAAGCAAAGCAGGGAACAGAGACAGTGGATCTGGGCGGCAGTGGAGACCTGGGGCGGGGCCAGAGGGGGGTGGGGCCGGGAAGGAGTGGGAAGGAAGGGGCAGGGCCACGGGCCGGTGCGGGCTTGTCTGGTGCTCTCACTGCGGAAAAGCTTCACCGTGGAGTGATTAAAAACACATTTATAAAATAGAGGCTTGCGTGGACCAATGACAAGATTGAGCCACGAGCCACTGTGATGATTAATTACGTACCTGAGCACAGACTCAAACAGGACATCGGGATGTGTTTGTGTGTCTGTGTGTATCTTTTTGTCTGTGTGTGTTTGTGTGGCCAAATGTGCGTGTGTCTATGTCTCTGTATGTGTCTGTGTGTATGTTTGTGTGGCTGTGTGTTTCTGTTTGTGTGGCTATATGTGTGCCTCTGTGTATATTTGTGTGGCTGTGTGTGTATATGTATGTATATATTTGTGTGGCTGTGTGTTTCTCTGTTTGTGTGGCTGTGTGTCTCTGTGTGTTTGTGTAGCTGTGTATATGTATGTGTATGTTTGTGTGGCTGTGTGTTTGTGTTTGTGCAGCTGTATGTGTGCCTCTGTGTGTGTTTGTGTGGCTGTGTGTATATGTATGTGTATGTTTGTGTGGCTGTGTGTTTGTGTTTGTGTGGCTGTATGTGTGCCTCTGTGTGTTTGTGTGGCTGTCTGCATGTATATATGGATCTGTGTGTGGGTTTGTGTGTGTGTGTCTGTGTGTGTGTGTGTCATATTAGGGGGGTTAGAGAAGAGGTGAGTATCTTTTACCTTCCAGCATCCTGAACTGCAGGATTTTCCTTTCTTTTAATTGTGAATATATTTTATTTTTATAATTTTTAAACAAAATTGCAAAATATAAAAAGAATCCAACCCAGTAATGTAAACTCATCTCAGAGACGTGGAAAATTGGTAACAGAACTCGCGGGAGTTCCTCCCATGGGCAGCTTACATATCTACATGTATTGACCCGGAGTGTGGTCTTGGGGCCGGTCCTGACGCCTCCTCCCCCCGGGCTCCGGGGAACATCTGCCTCACCCTTCAGGTCCAACTTTGACCTCTCTCAGGAAGCACCTTTGGAACCTGCAGGGTCACCTCTCTCTGTTTCCTGAAGGCACAAAATATCGAGGACAGCAATGGTTTACCTGACGGTGTGCTAGGCACAGTGATGAGTGCTTGGCAATACTCTCCTGCTTAACCCTGAAACAATCCGATGAGAAGACACCGTCACCCCCAGGGGAACATAACACATTTCAGAGATAAAAGAATCCATGTGCAGTTCTCTAGGAAGGGCAGAGCCAGGTAACCCAGCCTCTCTAACCTCATGGTGCCAAACCGCCTCCATCTTCCCATCAAAGACCTCAAGGCCAGGCCCCCCGCATCATTCCACCAGAAGGAAAGAGCTTACAGTACGGGTTCAGTGCATGCCAGGGCTTCCGCAGGGAAGGCTGGGGGAAGGCAGAGTGGAACCACTGGTGAGTAAGAAGTTGACCTAGAGAGAGAGGTGGCTGGGAGGTGAGAATCCACTTATCCAATGTCTCCTGTCTGGAGGAGGGTGTCATGGATGGGTGGGTGTCATCCTGGGCAGCACTGTCAGCATCAGGGAGGCCATGCCTTTGGAGGAGACCGAGAGGTTTTGTTCCTTCCAGGAGCTGTGAGGCCAGGCACAGCACGACTGTGGCTCAGCACCCACAGGGGCTGAAGACCTCCCCAACAACGAACAGCAGTGGTACGTGGTCTATTCTTCCAGGAAAGGCGAACAATGAGACAGGGGTCAACTTCACCCCTACACACCCTTGTCACTACTCAGACAGCTCAGGCTTCAAGGTAGGGGGTCTGCTCCTGGCCGACAGCTGCATAGCTGAGCACAGAGCCACGGGAGAAACATCCATGAGCGTCCCCAGGCGCTAGGACAACTGTGGCTCCTGACCTCCTGCAGCTCAGCTCCAGTCTGGTGCCAGGCATTAAATCCTTACCCACATGATGCATGAACCGCAGCTGCAATCTACATAGCAAATGCCAAGTGCAGAGATCAAGGTGAACAGGAGGCCTGGGCACTCGGGGGCTCTTTGAGTAAATGACACCTACGTTAAAGTTTAAAGGTGGGCAGGAGGGGAGTACGGCTTCTCCCACGAAGAGAAGATGGTGATTCCCGTTGGTGGAAAAGGCATCTGTGACGATCCTGAGCCTGGGAACCTGGCGTGTGGAGAAGCTACAGCCAGCCTGGATACAGCGTGGACAGCAACAGAAGATAACGGGAGAGGAGGCAGGAGAGCAGGAACCAGTCCCTGCAGAGGAGGCTAGTCACGCGTTTGGCAATATGGTAGGGCAGAAATTTGAACCAACGCAGGCAGGGACAGCTGGACATGCTGCATTAAGGCTAAGATGAGCTGAACAGACAGGAAGCGTTCAAGAATTCTTGAGACCACAATCCAAGGGGGCGGGGGGCGGCGGGGATTTCGTCAGTGGCACAATGAATTCAGCTGTTCTTGTCCAGGGGATTTGCCAACCTCCTGATCTGAGCGTTCATCTCATGGTCTTGGAAGGGAAGGGAAGGGGTTGGTTGTGGGGAAAGAAGACAAAGCCTGGGGCCCATCCAGGTGGATGGTCTTGTAGGAGACAGATCGCAGAACGCTGCCACTTCAAAGTGCACATCCTCCGTATAAGGTTAAACCCTAGTCCCTCCTCCTGCCACTTCCAGAGGCTTTAGGGAAGGTGGCTCAGTGGAGCAGAGGGTAGGAGTACTGTTCGGAGAGGATGGAGGCCACATTCACCACACCTAGTTGGTGCCGGTAGAACCCCAAGTTCAAACTCAGTTTAAAGCAGTTCCAAACTGAAAACGCCCCTAGGGCTTGGCAATCGCTAATGCAAAACCTCCCTGGAGACACACATCCTCATCGTAGGAAGATTCTCACCAGTGATATCCCATGGCAAACGAGTAGCTCAGAGTTAGATATGATTACACTATGAGCTAGAACAAGTAGAAACCTCAGACAATAGAATCAGAACTGCAAACATCAGGACTGAGAGGGATCAGACTTAGAGTCTGAAATACCTATGCTTATTATGTTTAAAGAGATTTGTTTAATGACCTAGAAAATAACTTCAAAGAACAGAAAAGTATAAAAAAAGAAGCTGAAAATTAATGAAAGAGAACCCCCAGAAGTGAAAAATAGAGAATTTATAATTTAAAACTTAATGGGTAGGATTAGTAGCTGAGCTGACATTGCTGATGAGAGAATTGGTGAATTGGAAGGCAAGTCAGAAGAAACTGTTTAGAATGTGGTAGAGAGAGACTAAGGGATTAGAAAGAAAAGGGTAGAAGACGCAGAGGGTGGGATGAGAAGTGCTGAGACATTGGGGCAGATGTTCAGAAAAGACTGGTTTGCAGGACAAACCACACATCCAGGTCACCAGCTTCCAGATGGACAGCAGCACAGTAAATGCCAGACCACGCTGTGGAAGCACGGCCTTCTCTATCCTGCCAGGGCCTGAGTAAGAGGCCAGATCTTTAGCACCCCCATTGGTGCTAGTCTCAGTTGGGGCTGACCTGGGTTCCATGCTCTGTGGGGAGACCCTGTCTCTACACTCATGGTTCCTCCTGGTGTGATTCCCAATATCCCCACCTGTGATGGTTAATACTGGGTGTCAACCTAGTTGGATTGAAGGATACAAAGTACTGATCCTGGGTATGTCTGTGAGGGTGTTACCAAAGGAGATTAACATTTGAGTCAATGGGCTGGGAAAGGCAGACCCACCCTCAGTCTGGGTGGGCACCATTTAATCAGCTGCCAGCACAGCTAAAATATAAGCAGGCAGAAAAATGTGAAGAGAGAGACTGGCCTAGCCTCTCAGCCTTCATCTTTCTCCCGTGCTGAATGCTTCCTGCTCTCAAACATCAGACTCCAGGTGCTTCAGTTTTGGAACTCGAACTGGCTCTCCTTGCTTCTCAGCCTGCAGATGGCCTATTGTGGGACCTCGTGATTGTGTGAGTTAATACTTAATAAACTCATACATATTCATATATCTTCATATATACGCATATATATCTTCATATATACGCATATATATCTTCATATATACGCATATATATCTTCATATATATGCATATATATCTTCATATATATGCATATATATCTTCATATATATGCATATATCTTCATATATATCATATATTTATATATCATATATCATATACATTCATATATATCATATATCATATACATTCATATATATCATATATAATATATACATTCATACATATTCATATATGATATATATCATATATTCATATATATCATATATATCATATATTCATATATATTCATATATATCATATATCATATATCATATATATTCATATATATTCATATATATTCATACATATTCATATATATCATATATAATATATTTCATATATATCATATATATTCATATATATCTTCATATATATGAATATATATTCATATATGATATATATCATATATATCATATATATTCATATATATCATATATTCATATATATCCATATATATTCATATATATCCATATATATTCATATATATCACATATATTCATATATATCACATATATTCATATATATCACATATATTCATATATATCATATATTCATATATATCACATATATTCATATATAATCATATATATTCATATATATAATATATTCATATATATTCATATATAAATATATTCATATATATTCATAAATATATTCATATATATAATATATTCATATATATTCATATATATAATATATTCATATATATTCTATATATAATATATTCATATATATATTCATATATATATTATATATATATGAATTATATATATTCCATTAGTTCTGTCCCTCTAGAGAACTGTGACTAATACACTCCCCCACCATGATACACAGTGATTGGTTTTTTTTGTCTGTGTACCGATTGACTTGTGTCCTCCCCTCTGCAAAAAAACATGTCTATATCCTAACCCTAGTTACCTGGAAATGTGAGCTTATTTGGAAAAATGGGTCTTTGCAGATGTAATGACATTAAGGATCCTGGGATGAGATCATTCTGGACTTAGGGTGGGCTCTAACTCCCTGGCACTGAGTATTTCTGATGATAGGTGACCTCTCAAGAAGGGAGAAGGCCATGGAGGTGCACCCGAGGAGAACCACATGAAGACAGAGGCAAAGCCTGGAATGACATGGCCGCCCAAGGCTGGAAGACGTGAGGCAGGGGCCTCCCCGGAAGCTTCAGGGGGAACATGGCCCTGCTCGCACCTGCATTTCAGACTTCTGGTCTCCAGAACTGTGAAAAGATAAGTCCCTGTGGTTTTAAGTCCCCTAGTTTGTAGTAATTTGTCACAACAGCCCTGGGAAGCCAATAGAAGGTGTCACTTACTCTGCCTTTTCAGGAGGGCCCATGGCAGAGACACCAGGAACACCTGCTCATGGGAGGTCCACTCCCAGGGGTCCCCCATGCCAGGGTCTTCCATGTGCATGTTCACCATGTGTGTTTCACCCACCTTTCCTCTTGGCATAAGGCTCTCTCGCTCTGCTCTTCATCCTGATGAAGAAACGATCCCTACCTCACACCACCTACCTTTCCATAATAAGTTAGAGCTGCTGCATTTGAGCATTCCATTAGGCGGCCAGGCAGTCAATAGGCATCAAGTAAGCTTTGTTTATAGTTCTCATTTCTTATTTTTACGTTTAAGCCTCTAGTTAAATGAAACATGATGCCACAGGTATCAGGTATCCTTTCCATTAAACATTTCTGCTCAGAACAGTGATCTTTTTATTTTAATTATTTTTATTTTTATTTTTGAGATGGAGTTTTTTTCTTGTTTTCCAGGCTGGAGTGCAGTGGCATGGTCTCAGCTCACTGCAACTTCTGCCTCCCAGGTTCAAACAATTCTCCTGCCTCAGCCTCCCAAGTAGCTGGGATTACAGGTGCCTGCCACCATGCCTGGCTAATCTTTTGTATTTTTAGTAGAGATGGGGTTTCACCATGTTGGCCAGGCTGGCCTCGAACTCCTGAGCTCAGGTGATCCACCCGCCCAGCTTCTCAAAGTGCTAGGATTACAGGTGTGAGCCACTACACCTGGCCAACAGTTATCTTTTTAAATAGTTTTCTGAAAGGTGTCATGTGATCAAAGTGTTTCTCTGGTAGTAGATTATGCAAAGGCCAAATTGGGGTGGGAAAGTGAGTAATTGATATTCCTTAGGTGGGGGGGTTAACTGGTGGCTCAAATCTTCCAAGGGGGGACATTCTGCGGACTGCCCTATGGCTTTAGAGCAGCGTTCCATCATAGCGTGTACAGTTTTTGTTGAGCTTCAAGGCATCCTGAGAAGGGAGAAGGCACGCAGGGATGGGGAAAGGGTCACATGTTCTTTCCTTGGTTCATTTATCCTCTTCAAAAACTGAAAAAAAATCTCCTTGCTAAGTGGATGTTTTTGTTAATCGTAAACTGCTAGGTTATGTGCAATGAACTAATTATTTCCGCACAGGCTAAGACAAGCCCAAAACAGCTGTCTATGATTTTCTGCACTTACTTTCTCCCAAAGAACTTATTCTTCCTTACATTTCAGAACTTGAGTCCCTGATTGGGCCCTGGTGATATCATCTACAGAAATAAGCAGCAACTCCTATCAAGAGTCAATCACAAACGTCCTGGTGACCTTTCAAGGCAGGACACTTGACAGCTTCTTTGGAAGACGCATTAAGGAGCGCAGGCACCCCGAGCCTCATTCGAGATCACTACTCCATACAGGCTAGGGGAGCTGGTCTCTCTTCCTTCTCCCAAATTTAAAATGTGCCATCCTATGACCAGATAACCTTCCCTTGCAAAATAACACTCTGAATTTCCATCTGCCGAATTCAGACAGGGACTATGTCACGCTGCGTAGCTTGTAGTTTTCAAATATTTGCTAGATTATAAAGGATGATACTCCAGTATTTTTATGTCATCTAAATTTTCCCACATCTTCCCCTGCTAAGGGTGAGTATTTCTGATGACATCTTGAGCAGAGGCAGGAGAAATACTTCGGATGCAACAGAACACAGATGACATATTTCTTTGTAGAACCTCAAACCTTTCATTTGCCGAAGCTGCAATAAGTCCCACACCCTCTTTCAGCATCATGAAAGATCTCCAAGTTGTAACAACCATGCGGGCTGCCATATTGAGCCATTTAACAGTTCATATGGTCTTTAAAATGCATATCGTGTGACAGTGGGTCTGAGTTTGTGAATGACAGCTTTTTATTAGAACTGCCTTTCATCCTCCCGAAAGATATTATCTTCTCATCATCGCAACTTGCTGACATCTTGATGGATCGAGGGAGGGGTGAAAACAGGTGGGAGGGGGCAGGGGGGTTTGTAGGATGGTGTTGTTGGTGGGAGCGCCGTGGAAGGGAAAGCCTGTGAATTATCAGAGTTCACACAAACCCGATCACTCATCTATCTGTCCACGGATATGGATACACAGAGATGATCACAACTCTATCAGGCCATGGCCCAGAACTGGGTAAAACGGGGATGAGTGTAGAGTGTGATTCATCTGCAAATGGTGTCCATTCAACCATTGAGGCAGTCATAAAGGTATTAATTTAGCTGCAAACATTAAAATGTGTATAGTAAGATGGATTTTTTTAACAGTTCAGTGTGGCATAACCTTAATGCAGTACATTAAAATCATTCATTACAATGAATAAATAGCTTAATGAGATTTGAAGCATCGAGCAGTCTCCCCCTAAATGTCTGATGAAGTGAAGCAGGCAGTGGCTGTCACTGAGCATAAATTATGCAAAATAATATGCTCAACACCATCTCTCCCTATGCATCCTTGCTTTTGTTGAATATTCAAAGGGACAGCTTCCCAGGACAATGTCAAATTAGTCTTTGTAAAAAAAGTCTGCAACAAAATTATCTACACAATCCTTATCTGCCTAACTCTTCACTTTAAACAAAGGCCAGTGATAGTGTGATATTTTCTTTGAATGATTTGTCTCTGCTCTAAGCAATGCTACCTATTTTTGAGTCATTTTTATTTTTGTTTAATATCCCTGGAGTTGACACTTCACCTCTAAAACTTGCAGCGGGAATTGAAACAAAGAACAGTTGAGCACAGGAGCCTTGGGTAGAGTTGGTTAAACCGTGGGAACAGGAAAGAATGTCCTGGCCATTTTTCTACTGCTCCTTAGAAAAATTCTTTGTCGAATCAGTGCATTTAAATGAAGCATTTCAGTAACCTCCCTCCCCTCCATTTGTGGATTTCAGAAAGTGTGATGGTTATACTGGACAATAGGGGTGAGGCAGAGGATTTAAAGACCAAAAGCCCCACAGGCCACCTCCCTGCAGCCGCTGGCTTGGGAAGATGAGGTTCTGAATTTTCTTAATGACCTTCAGGACTTCCCTACACAGATTCGGATGTTGGATTAACTTCAATAACTGTGAAAGTCACGGCTCTAACTATTCCATCCTGCTTGGTATTTACAGCGAGAAGTACAGGATGACTCTACGTGGTTGTCTGTCAATTAAGGGGACTCCATGCCACTGCTGCCCTGTTAGTGACCGTGAGAGCAGAGCATTCCCAAGACCTCACTGAGACCCAGCACCCCACAGCCAAGGCACTCACTCCAAAACCACGTGCATCCTCTGTATCTCATCCTCAGACCCTTCCGAGGAGCAGATCTTGGAATGGATTATGTTTTCACACCCTGGTGTTAGTCTGTTAAGAGGAATTACACTTACCACTTGTCAGGCAGGCCACGTGCCCAGTTTCATTCATACAATCTCATTTAATTTTCCCAACCCCCTACCCGGCATTCTCACGCTCCCTTTTGCATAGGTGGAAAACAGAAACCTTGGGCTCAGAATGATTGCAAACTTGCTTAAAGTCAAACAGCGAGGAAGGGAGGGTCTCTCTGACTTACAGCTGAGCCCTCAGTAAAAAATGGATGCTTAACATCTGTGGACTGGACTAATGTCAATGTCTTGGTTGTGATGACATCATCCTACAGTTAATTGAAGGCTACCTTTGGGACATCAAGTGAAGGGACCTTTCTGGGCTATCTTTGCAATTTCCCTGTGAATCTAGAAATACTTCCAAAAAAAGTTCTAAAAATTATGCTAAAGCATCCTTCTACATGGAATGAGTTGTCTGATGGCCAAAATACATCCTTGTCAATCCCTAGAACCTATGATGTCATTTTACTTGGAGAAATGGTATTTACAGGCAGATGTGATTAGTAATTTTGAGATAAAGACATCATTCTGGATTATCTGATTGGGCCCTAAACCCAATGACAGGTGTTCCTATGAAAGACACAAAGTGAGGGACACACAGATGAGAGGAGAAGGCCGCGGGAAGACAGAGACAGAGACTAGAGTGATGTGGTCACAAGCCAAGGAAAGCCGGAGCCAGCAGGAGCTGGAGAAACCCAGGGAGGGAGCAAGCATGGTCCTGCCCACACCTTGATTTTAGATTTCAGATTTCCAGAACTGTGAGACAACACATTTCTGTTGTTCTAAGCCACCCACCTTGTGCTAATTGGTGACCACAGCAGCCCCAGGAACCTCACACACTATAATTTCAAAGTTTTAAAGGGAAGAAAACTATATCCCAATAAATTTTTTTTTCTTTTAACAGAGAGTTTTGCTTTCTCCCTCTGGCTGCCGTGCAGTGGCAATGATCATGGCTCACTGCAGACTCAACCTCGTGGGCTCAAGCAGCCCTCCCACCTCAGCCTGCTGAGTAGCTGGGACTACAGGCGTGCACCACCATGCCCAGCTTATATTTGTATTTTTTAGAGAGATGGGGGTCTTGCCATGTTGTCTAGGCTGGTCTTGAAGTCCTGGGCTCAAGCGATCGCCCACCTCGGCCTCTCAAAGTGTTGGAATTACAGGTGTGAGCCACCACACCCAGCCTCCCAGTGAAATCTTTAGAACCATTTTTCCTAAGTCATTTATCCAGATCACGTGAGTCAACATCACGGCACATGAAGGGATGTGTGAGCTAATTCCCCGCTAATTGGCAGGGCTGCATTGATCTCCCTTCTGCTACAGAGGACAGGCCTCCAGCCTTCTAAGGACAAGGCACAGGCCAGTGGACCGACCTAAGGAGTCCAGATGGGGAACAGATGGAATGTACCCTTTACACAGCACTGAAGAATTGCTTGGAGCCAGTGGTTATGGCACATTAACAGCCTAAGACTTCTGGTTTTGAAAGGGATGTTCTTTCTGGGGATCTGGTTCACGTTCTTCAGATAAAGTTAAAGACACTACAGTTGTTTGAAAGCTAAAGCGACTCGTTGACTACAGAAAAGCACCATGCAATGGTTTTGTTTCATTTAACAAGGACATTTGAAGGTCACCGTAACCACAGCCTCCTCTTTATACAAGTGCACATGGGGATGTCTTGGTGCTGGAGGGTTTTACACTCAGGAAAGGCACCAGGGAGGTGGAGAGAGGATGAAGGAAATGGGGCAACCAGGAGGCGGGGCCGGCAGAGCCCTGGACCACACAACTCAACCGTCCGATGGGCACTTAGACATGGAATGGGGACCCTTTGGATTCGTCAGGGCCCAGGAGTCCCGGGCTGTGTCACCTAAATGATGCTGTGACAAAGTGCAACACGGCCACTGCCCCTCACCAGAGCCCCCCATGCCTCTATTCCACTTCTGCAAACTTCAAGGCTCCTCCGTTTTAGATTGAGCCGCCAACTCTTCAATAATTGCCGAGCCCTGCTTGCAGAATATGTCACTTGGCTGTCCCTTCCAAATCCCCAGTTACCTTGGCAACGCAGACTTGAAGGACAGCAGCCGCCCTCACGTGTTGGTGGTGGGTGCACGTTCATATTTTGATCATCCTACAGCTTTCCAGCTTGCCTAACTAGCGCTCACTGGTTGGGATGAAAGAGTTGGCCCCAAAGAATTGCAAAGCAGGCTTTTGACTCAGGAACTGTGCCCATCAGTGTCAGAACCACCTAGGAAGGCTGTCAGATCAGGGCATTTGCCACAGGGAAGTGCTAGAGAGGAGAGGTGGTGTAGGTAGTGCCTCCCGGTGCCAATGATCTTGGCCACCGGCCATTCACCTGTGTCTCTGAACTTTGTCCCTCACCTGTAGCATGGGAATGTGAGCACCCACCTTCCAGGGCTTGCCTGGGGGTCTGTGCTGAGACAGATGGGAAAAACGGGAGCAGCCACACAGAAGGATCCACAGGAGGGAACCACTCCAACCATATGCCATGGGGGAGAATGCTCAGTAAGATGCATCATGGCCCCAGACTAGCCTTTCCCCATGGGTGACCTGAACTCCGCCTGGAGTAAGAGCCCTTCCAGCATCAGAATGTCCCAAGCCCACGCCTCCACCTCAGCCTCCTCACCATGTCCCTCTCAGTCCCTGCTGCAGGTTCCCCTGCCCCACTTCTGTGCCATTTCCATTTCTCTAACTTGAGGAAACTGTCTTGCTGTCTCCCTTCCCAGGCCTGGCCAGAGCCTGGCTTTCTCCAAGAAGATGGCTCCGGCTCCTCTTGCCCTCCTTCCCCTGGGATCTTTCCCAACAACACTCACATCCCACACAGCAGAATTCCAGGCACTTTTGTGGCCGGTCTCAGGGGTCCTATGCTCCTTTCAAAGCACATCACCACCACTACTACCACTATCAATGCAAAAATGCCACCACTGGCATTGGCACCACCACCACACCCACACAATCACCAACATCAGCAACACCATCACCATCTTGAGCACATTTGCCACCAGTACCACCTTCATCACCACCACCACTCCACCATCACCACCAGCACCAAGACCATCACACTACCATCAACAAACCACACCATCACCACCAAGACCATCACACTACCATCCACAAACCACAGTATCACCACCACCAAGACCATCACACTACCATCAACAAACCATACCATCACCACCAGTGCTATGACCACCACCAGCACCACCATCATCACCAGCACCAAGACCATCACACTACCATCAACAAACCACACCATCACCACCACCAGCACCAAGAGCATCACACTACCATCAACAAACCACACCATCACCACCACCAAGACCATCACACTACCATCAACAAACCATAGCATCACCACCAGTGCTATGACCACCACCAGCACCACCATCATCACCACCACCAAGACCATCACACTACCATCAACAAACTACACCATCACCACCACCAAGACCATCACACTACCATCAACAAACCACACCATCACCACCACCAAGATCATCACACTACCATCAACAAACCATACCATCACCACCAGTGCTATGACCACCACCAGTGCTATGACCACCACCAGCGCCACCATCATCACCACCACCAAGACCATCACACTACCATCAACAAACCACACCATCATCACCACCACCAAGACAATCACACTGCCATCAATAAACCACACCATCACTACCAGTGCTATGACTACCACCACCAAGACCACCACCAGCACCATCACCAACACCTCCACCATGATCACCATGATCACCACAATCCAACCATCACAATCAGCATGGCCACCACATTCATCACCACCTCCCCACTGTCACCACCATCACCTCCATCAGCACTGCTACCATCACCCAACATTACCAAGCACTTAGTAGGTACCATGAACTTTTCTAAGCATCACTCCTATGTTGACAAAAAGAGTCAAACTCTGTAAAATATCTGAAGAGATTTCTGAGCCAAATATGAGTGACCCTGGCCTGTGACACAGCCCTCAGGAGATCATGAGAACATGTGCCCAAACATGTGGTTGGGGTGCAGCTTGGTTTTATAGGTTTTAGGGAGACATGAGGCTACAATCAAATACCTTGAAGAAAGACATTAGTTTGGTCCAGAAATGTGGCATGACTTGAAGGATTCAAGTGCTTCCGGGTTATAGGTAGATTTAAACATTTTCTAACTGGCAATTGGTTGGAAGAGTTATCAATAGAAAGGAATGTCTGGGTTGCAATAGGAGGTCGTGGAGACCGAAGCTGTATAATGCAGATGCAGCCTCCAGGCGGCACGCTTCCCAAGAAATAGGTCGCAACTGTTTCTTATCAGACTTGAGGACTGTGTTGATGTTAATGCCAGAGAGGTATCATGAGGCATGTCGGACCCCCACTTCCCATCATGGCCTGAACTGATCTTTCAGGTTAAATTCTAGAGAGCCCTGGAGGCATGTCCGAACTCCACTCAAGGCCCAAACCGATCTTTCAGGTTAAATTCTAGAGAGCCCTGGCCTAGGAGAGAGTCCGTTCAGATGGTTGGGGGGTGCTTAGAACTTTATTTTTGGTTTACACCTGTGACAACTGTGTGAGATCGGTACTACCGTCATCCCATCTCACAGCTGAGGAAACTGTTGTCCAGGTACCTTAAATAACTTGCCCGAGGCCACAGGGAAAGTGAGTGGAGCACCAGGACCCGAGATCGGGCAGTCTGCAAGCAGAGTTGCCCCTCCCAGACCCTCTCAGGACTCCCAGGTAACTCCCAGGGGATGCCACGACATGTCACGCTGCCAAGATGGGGTGCCCTAGTCACCCTCAAACTGCACCTTTCCTCCAGTCATCACCTTCTCTGCGAAGCCTTCCCTGAGTCCTGTGCATGGGGACGGCCCCTGGTCCAGCTTCACGCATCTCCTCCACGTCACGCTGCACAGAACTCAACTTTTCCACATGCTTCTCCCCTTTCAGACAGCGAGCTCCTCAGGGAGCTAGTGCCAACCTATAGGTGCTACTGCCAACCTACAAGCCCCAAGCTCAGTGCCAGCTCTGTGACAGTGCTTGATAGATGTTTAAAAACTTGGGGTCCATGCTCTGTCACCATCACGCAGGAGCCCCGCGGGCTCTGTATCGCTAAACCCTCCACACCCGCCGTGCGCACTGCCAGCCACACCCCACCTCTAGAGAACACCACTGCCCCACGAGTTCCACACCTGCCCCATCCCCATCACTTTCTGAAGAGAACAGGTGTATCCATATGTTTAATGTGACTGAGTCCTCAGAGTTTATACAGTCACCCACATATGTCTACTTCTTCAAGCTGCTGTGCATTTTAGAAATCACACTTAGCATTTATGTTGCCCTCGATGTGTTCAAATCACTTTCCAACCCATTCAACAGCCAACCCGCATGGCACCCAGAGGGGAAGGCACATTATTGTGATTCCTCAGTGGACAAAACAGCCCCAAATATCCCACACAATCAGCCCAAGGTCACCTGGCAATTCAGGTGTAAGTCTGGTCATCGGAACGCATATTCCCCAGGTTCTAATCCCGTTTTGCTGGGAGGGTGGATGCAGCAAGGAATTGCTACAGCTTTGTCTGCTGCTTTTTCTCCATTAAGTCCAAATGGTCCTGCGAGCCCCAGGACGACATTCATTATGAGAAATGTAATGGGAGAACATCCAGCACATTATCTTCAAAGAACAAAGAATATCATTGCTGTTTTTAGAACAATAAAAGGGTCTTTGAATCAGCTTCCAACAATGCAGAACAAGTGGCTAAAGGGCATAGCCCATTTCATTCAACGGGTGCAAGCCCTCCTGCTCGGGATCCCTGGCTCTCCCCTGAGCTGGGGCCTATGCTGGGCCCCAATGCCCTCAGCCCTCACCGAGAGGAGCTGCCTAGTGCTGACGGCCCAGGGCACAGGACACAGGGTGTTGTTCCAGGCTACGGGGCCGGCAGGACACACACCTGGGTGTTGAGACGGGGGCGGGAGTGTCGGCCACACAGAGGACGTGCCCAGTTAAGGGACAGCTGCTGCCCTAAGCCAGCCATGGGGCATTGCAGCAATGTGGGCTCTGGAAGCCAAATCCTCCAACTGTCTAGAAAATTAGCCAGGAATCAGGATTTTTATGAAAAGTACTTTTTATAAAAGCGTTAACATCTAAATGAAAAAAAAATCTGAAGTATCGTGTGAAATGCATGCAAGGACGCGGAGGGCACGGGGCTGGGGTTGCGTGTCCACGCCTGCTGCTGAGGCCTCCGCCCTTTGAATCTCATTCCCGGAAACCTCCAGGATGCTTTTTAGCCTTCCCTGTAGGTGTGGAAAGAAATAGTCTAGCTTGGTAAGTGTGTCCTGCTACTAGGAGTCGGCCATCCCTCCTATGTGGGCAGAAACCTGGGAGGCTTTGCTCCTCATCTGTGGCAAAACTGAGACCCGGCTGGCACGTGGGTGGGGGTTGGGGGAGGGTTGGCTCCAGGTCTGGATCTCAGGGGACGTCAGGGTAACCGAGAACTGGAGCCATGCCAGGGGGACCAAGATCTTTGCAGCCACCCAAGTCCACCACAGCTTTGGGGTGACCCAGGAGCAATCCAGAGGTCCGGCAGGGCTCCAGCTTTTCCTGGATGTCACCCTTTACTGAAATATGAATCTGTGCTGCTTAGTCTGTGTCAGGCCCCTGAGGTGGGTCTGCAAATAGAGCCATGGGGACCTGCAGGCAGAAGAGTCCACAGTACAGCTGCTCAGCAGGGCGGTGCTGCACGGAGAAGGAGGCGAAGCGTGTGCGGGTAGACACGTGAGCACGCTGTTTCCTTCTGATGTAAACACTGGGCAGGAGGGCTGGGTGCCTGGTCCCATTGCGGCTGCCTCTGTGCCTGCATGGGACAGACCCATGGGCCAGGTCACCTCTGTGTGACTTCCCCACAGGAGCCAAGCCACAGACAACGGCTGGGCCATCAGGAAGACATGGAGTTTGGCTTTCAGGGGTAGATGGGGCATCCACACAGGTCACACGCTTCACTTAGGGGCCAAAACACCCGGCAGAGAACGGCTTCTCTCTATCCCAGGAGGGAGAGACCTGGGTGACAAATGTGGAGCAAAAGTATGGAATCCAAACACAGAAGCAAATTCAGAGCCCTGTAAGCCTGGAATGTGCACGTGTTTACAAACACAAGCGGCCTGCCCGTGACCTCATTAAACATTACTCTGGGTCATCTCCACAAGACTGGGCTTGGTACAAGGAGCCCAAATGACAGTCACAAACACTTGGCCAGGGGCGAGGGACGGATGGTGAGGGTGGGGGTTTACATCACCGCAGGAAAAGATTTCAGATTCAAAATCTGCCTTCAAGATGTGCACCAGCACACTCTTGCCCGTTCTGGACTCGAGCCTTCGCCTTCCATGCGGCCCAGCCCAGGGCTGCTCTGTGCGTGATGAGGTCTCCACGGGAGCCCCATGGCCTCTGTCCTCCAGATGCCGGGACCCAGCCACGAAGCTGGTAACACACACAGGCCTTGGTAGGGGCTCGGGGCCCGCAGCAGAGGCCTGCCCGGTGGTCTTGGGGAAGGGATTGTTCAAATGCAGAATGAGCTGAAAGGCTGAGAAGCCACAGGAAGAAAAACGAGCTGTCTGGGGAATAACCAGACAGTCCACCTATACGACGGCTGGTTGAAGGCTTTTCCCGATGGCACTGAGAGCTGGCAGGGTGAAAACACGTCCGCAGCGTCTGACACTTCTTACCTGCGGGGACAAGTCGTGTGTATTGAGGTATTCAATGTCCACTGGACACCAAGGGCTGCCCCAGGAAGGGTCCCCTTCATCCAACCCCGGCCTCAGAGCCCGAAGGGGGTCTGCCTGGGGGACGCTGCAAGAGGGCAAATGGCCCTGATGGCCTCCATCCTGCAGGTGCCCACCTCTCCCCACTTCCCACCCTTCTGGCCCCATCACCGCCAGCACTGCACAGTCCAGGGCCAAACCAGTCCCTGCCACTCTAGAGCCTTCTGCAGGGCTCCGAGCTCCCGGCTGCAATCAGATTACACGCTCCAGTGCCCAGCCTGCTCGCTCCAAACAGAACGAATCCATTCATTAACACCAAGGCCAATTAAAAAGTAGGCATGCTCCCAAATAAAAAATCCCCCAGGCTGCGCGCTCCCGCCCCGTTCCCAGGAAGCCTCTCCAAGCGACCCCTGCCCAGAGCGCTGAGGCTCCTCGGGAGGACAAACGGCGCGGGGGAAAGGGAGGGAGAAAGGACAAAGAGCCGGCACCATTCCGCTCCTCACAATGACAGAAGGCTCGTTCATCAGTGAGCTGGAGCCTGCACAACTTTAATTTCGCATTAAGTCCCAACTCAGCTCTCACCATCCCAAGTTTTATATAGTCATTTGTGTACTCTCATTAAAAAGCTTAATATCCAAGTGACAGGGGAGAAAAATTGCCTCCTCATTACAGTCTCTGTAAAAACAATATTGTAAAAATTTACCATTGAGTTATTTACAAAGCAAAAGATGTAATCAGTATTTAAATGCTCACTGGAATGATATGTCTTCCCTTAATGCAGGCATGTCAAAAGCCCTTCCTGGCAGTGCTGGCTTGAATCCTTTTCCAGTTTAATCCTTAGAAGCAACTGATACTCCCTGTCTATAGAGGAGGAAACCCCTGGACTTGGTGGGAATAATGACCACCACTCACTCAGCGGCACTGGGGAGAGGGAGGAGGCCACAGACTGAGGGAGGAGGCCGTGGTCGGGGTTGCAAAGCCCCCTGCATGCCCAGGGACCACCTGGCTCCTCTCCCGTGCATCACCTGTACCACTCTCCTCTGCATGGATCCCAGAGCCGGGAGCTCCTTGAAGGCATGCAGAGGTCCAGCCCAGCACTCTACCTTCACAGGCAACAGCCACCCCCAGGGCCAGCCAGGAGCTCAGTGTGAAAGAACAGGGCCCTCCTTGACCTGGCTCCTCCCTACGCACAACTTCCCAGGGCCACCCACCCTCGGGGAAGGCCTCCATCAGCTGCCACCTGGCTAAAAGCAGGGCCTCCCTTCCCCCAACCCCAGTCAGTTCTCTGACCAGCAGTAGACACAGGATGCAGCCCTGGCAGGCCAGGCTGGGGCCCTGCATGGCTCAGAAACCTTCCCACCAGGTCCTGGAACACCAGAATAAAACCCCGCTCCTATCCCGGGGTCTACAAGGCCCTATGGGCCATGCTGCCTACCTCTGCTGTCCCCAGGATGCCAGCCTTTGTGTCCCCAGGACTCTGGAAAGTCCTCCCCACTGGGGGCGCTTCACTCTGTTCCCTCTGATCTTTGTGTGGCCAGGCACCTTCTCCTCTTTCGTGACTCAAATGGCGCCTCTGCAGGGGTCTTCTGTGATCCCCTGTCTGAAGTGCCCCCGAGCCCTGTCCCTTTCCATTTGACATTGCTTTTTTTTTTTTGGTTGGTTTTAACTTTTATTTTAATAGAATTTTAGATTTACAGAAAGTTGCATGAAGAGGACAAATAATTCCTGTAATTCCTTCATGTAGATTTTGAGAACCCCACTGGGTTCATCTCTAATACATCCTTCCATGTGCCTCTTCTAAAAACATGGGCATCTTCTTACGTATGCACAGTACACATAGCAAGATGCAATGCCATCTTCTAATCTACAGACCCAACCCAGATTCTGCTTATTGCCCCAACGATGTCATTCTTTTTTTTTTTTTTTTTTTTTTTTTTGAGACAGAGTCTCACTCTGTCACCCAGGCTGGAGGGCAATGTTATGGTCTTGGCTCACTGCAACCTCCACCACCCGGGTTCAAGCAATTCTCCCACCTCAGCCTCCTGAGTAGCTGGGACTACAGGTGCATGCCACCACACCTGGCTAATTTTTGTATTTTTAGTAGAGAGGGGGTTTCACTATGTTGGCCAGGCTGGTCCCGAACTCCTGAACTCATGATCTGCCCGCCTCAGCCTCCCAAAGTGCTGGGATTACAGGCGTGCACCACTGCGCCCAGCCTAACAATGTCTTTTAACAAAAGACTATCCTGGGCCAGGGGTTCAACTGCTGTTTTGACAGGAGTTTTCTTTAATCTGGATTTAATCGGTCTATACATTTCATGAAAATGGCATTTTTGACGATAGTAGGCTACGAACTACAGAATGTTGCTCACTTTGGGTTTCTCTGATGTTTTCTCATGATTAGATTCGGGATTTTCAGGGATATATCACAAAAATGATGCTGCGTCCTTCTCAGTGGATTGTGTCAACAATCAGTGATACTGATTTGTTCAATTACCAGTGATATTAATTTTGATTACTTCGTTAAGGGGTGTTTTAGTACCTTTGGGTTGCTACAACAAAATACCATCCTAGCCGGCTGCAGTGGCTCACGCCTGTAATCCCAGCACTTTGGGAGGCCAAGGCAGGCAGATCACTTGAGGCCAGGAGTTCAAGACCAGCCTGGGCAACATGGTGAAACACCATCTCTACTAAAAATACAAAAATTAGCCTGGCATGGTGGCACATGCCTGTAATCCCAGCTACTTGGGAGGCTAAGGCAGGAGAATCACTTGAACCCAGGAGGTGGAGGTTGCAGTGAGCCTGGGTGACACAGTAAGACTCTGTCTCAAAAAAAAAAAAATTACCATTCCTTGGGTGACTTATAAACAACAGCAATTTATTGTTCATTGCTTTGGAGGCTGGGAAGTCCAAGATCAAGGTGCCTGCAGATTCAGTGTCTGGTGCAGGCTTCTTCCTGGTTCACAGACGGTGCCTTTCTGCTGTGTCCTCACCTGGCGGATGGGGTGCAGGTTCTCTCTGGAACCTCTTTTCTAAGTGCACCGATCCCATTCCTGAGGCTCCACTCTCATGGATCACTTCCCAAATGTCCCACCTTGGGGGTAAGGATTTCAACACAGGAACATAAAACACTCAGAGCACAGCAAGGAGGTACGTGCCATTTCTCCAGTGGGAAGTTACTATTTATTTTTTCCCGTTGTAATCATTAAGAGTCTGGAGAGGCCGGGCGCAGCGGCTCACGCCTGTAATCCCAGCACTTTGGGAGGCCGAGGCGGGCGGATCATGAGGTCAGGACTTTGAGACCAGCCTGACCAACATGGTGAAACCCCATCTCTACTAAAAATACAAAAGTTAGCCTGGTGTGGTGGTGGGCACCTGTAATCCCAGCTACTCAGGAGGCTGAGGAAGGAGAATTGCTTGAACCCAGGAGGCAGAGGTTGCAGTGAGCCAAGAGCATGCCACTGCACTCCAGCCTGGGCGACAGAGCAAGATTCCATCTCAAAAAAAAAAAAAAAAAAAAAGATCCTGGAGAAAGGCATTTCCAGGCAATGTACAATATACATCCTGTACTTGTCCTCAAACTTCCACTCAGTAGTTTCAGCATCTACGGAGGCTTCTGACCTGAATCAATTATTGTTATGATGCTTGTCAAATGGTGATTTTCTCATTCCATGATTCCCTTCTCATTGATTAGCTGACATTTTGCCGCAAGAAAGTGCTGTTCCTCCTTTCTCCTCTATTTACTTCAGTGTGGACTCGGGGCTCCTGTTTATTCTGGAGGTTATGATCTATAACTGTCATTGTTTCTGATGCTCAAGGTTGGGTCAGTGGAAGCCCCTTCAAGCTGCTCAAGGTTGGGTCAGTGGGAGCCCCTTCAAGCTGCTCAAGGTTGGGTCAGTGGGAGCCCCTTCAAGCTGGCTTCTGTGGTTTTCTTTTATCACATTCCCACCACTATTTGAGCACTTTCTTACTTTCTCCATTGTTTTTTTTTAATTGGCTTCACTTATAATTAGCAGGAGCTCTGCTGTTTACTCATTCGTCCACTTATTTACTGACTGTCTCTTGTGTCAGCCTTGTTTACAGCTGTGCTTCAGCTCCAGAATGTGTTTAGCACAGAGCGAGCATTTAACTGAAGACACTCTCAGGTGTGTTAGGAAATGTGATCTCAGGGAGCCCCCGGAGGCACTCTGGAGCCCTGTCCCACCCTGGCCTGGGGGAAGTGACGGCTCTGGTGGCTGCTTTGGCACACGCCCTCCTCCCTGAGGACCTGCACATTTGCTCAGTCAGGGCTTGGGTGGACTGGATCTGCCCGAGTGAGTAGTCCCGGCATGGCTCTCTGTCAGCAATGGGGTGGGTGGGGTCGATGGGCCCCGCTGTCTCGTTGCCTGCAATGTGTTCTGTGTGGTGTCTGGAGGGTCCGCAAAGGGCCCAAGCTCCAGTTGTCCAGGGCTATGACCCCGTTAATATGCTGTTTTTATGGTTTTCTTCCTTTACCGTTTTTCTTCCTGTTGGGAACAAGCCCCCCAAAATCTGGCCATAAACTGGCCCCCAAACTGGCCATAAACAAAATCTCTGCAGCACTGAGACATGTTCATGACAGCCATAACGCCCATGCTGGAAGGTTGTGGGTTTACCAGAATGAGGGCAAGGAACACCTGGCCCACCCAGGGCGGAAAACCACTTGAAGGCATTCTTAAGCCACAAACAATTGCATGAGCGATCTGTGCCTTAAGGACATGCTCCTGCTGCAGTTAACTAGCCCAATATTCCTTTAATTCGGCCAATCCCTTCGTTTCCCATAAGGGGTACTTTTAGTTAATTTAGTACCTATAGAAACAATGCTAATGACTGGCTTGCTGTTAATAAATACGTGGGTAAATCTCTGTTCGGGGCTGTCAGCTCTGAAGGCTGTGAGACCCCTGATTTCCCACTTCACACCTCTATATTTCTGTGTGTGTGTCTTTAATTCCTCTAGCACCGCTGGGTTAGGGTCTCCCCGACCGAGCTGGTCTTGGCACCTCCCCAGCCTCCCGCCTTATGTTTCTTGGGTTCATCTCCCAAATAGTCACAGGGTCTACCTTGACCAGACTCTAAGCCAAGACAGAAATCTCGTCTTAGAATGACCTCCCAGGACTGCAGAGAACTGCTAGGAATGAATTCAAAGTGAGACTCAGGAACATCTCTTTAGGGTTGAGTCTTCAGCCCTGGAGGACTGCAAAGACTCCAGCCTTTCTCCAGCAGAACTGTGCTTCAGTGGAGACAACCTCTTCCCACAGGACACTTACCCTCCTTCTGACTGCGGCTGGCCGGCCACCACTGGGGAAGCCATGAGCTGCCTGAAAACCATTATCACATCCCCAAAACTTGGGCTCTGGTGCTGCATGCCTGTCTAATTCCGCATTTGGGTAATTTACTATCATTAAATTATCTCCCAGCTCATACATGCATCCTCTTTAGAAAGGGCATTCTCAACACTCCCAGCCTGTGTGGAATCCAATCTTGCTCACCTGTGTGGAGTTTGCCTTGGATCTCAGGAGCAAGGTGGGGACACTATCTGCAAATCCTATTGATTGTTGATCTGAGCGTTCTCAAAGGCCATGCCCCAGTGAGCTTGGTTACTGTCTCTCCAAAGGGAATGCAGGCACGCCCCATTGCAGCCCCACTAATGTTCTGAGCCTCTCTCTGCTGTGCTGGACTCTGCTGCGTCAATGAGTAGCTCATCTCTCACCAATGCACCAGGCCCTGGCAGGTTCAGACCCAGCTTCCCTCGCCAGCTGCATCCTGGCTCACAGTCATTCTCGACCCCCACACTGAGCCCACCCTCAGGAGTCAGCTCCACACCCTCATTACCCCCCAGCTCCAACCAGAAGCCTTTCTGGGTCCTCTGGAGATAGTGAGTGCCGCCTCCTGTCCCCTTTGCTCCTCATACCCCAGCACTCATCACCCGTCTGACCCTTGTTGACTATGAGCCACTCAGGTTTCCACCCCGTCCCTCCCGTGATGGACCAGCCACGCCCATGTTCTTGAATGCTCCTAACAGACATCTGCAAACACAAAGAGAAGCCAAGCCCCACGAAGAAGACATCTTTGTACTTACTTAGGTTTCTCATTAGGAGCAAAATGTTGACTCTTGGTAGAATTTGATTATTCACCAAAAAAGACAGCTAGGAACCAAAACAACATGGAAACCATTTCTGCCCCCATGATGACCTACCTTGGACTCTTGCTATGATCTTACCAAGCACACAGTAGAGTTGGGCACTGAGGTGCATTATAGACTCCAAATCTACAGGTAAATGGCTAGAGGACAAAAGTTTGTTTCAAAGGAGATCCATTCCATATCTTGGAATCCATCATGGGCCAAGTTTGGTACATGTGGTCTAGGGCAGTGGTTCTTAAACCTCAACAGGCATTGGGATCCCCTGGGGGCTCCTTAAAACAAAGCTGCTGCTCCCCACCCGAGTTCCTGCTGTCCCCACTCTGCAAGAGGGCCTGAGGGTCTGCATTTCCAACAGGTGCTGTCACCACTGCTCGTCGGGGGCCGCACTGTGAAAGCCACAAGGGATCTTGCAACTCTTCTAAATTCTCATCGTCTTCTGCTGAGGCAGCCTCATCATCGCTTGGGTTTGAAACCAGATCTATTTCACTACTTTTAATGTTCATCCACTAGAAGCAAGACAGAGGTCAGAATCTCCACCCTGGGGTTTAAAAAAGCACAACTTTGTGCATGTTTATGCACATGTTTATGGACAGCATGTGCACCAGGATGTCTGTAGAAGTCTGAGAGCCAAGGAGAGGGTGAGCTGTGACCTGGCTAGGTGGACCTCAAGGTCCCACTTGGAACCCCCCTCCTGATGCGGAACAGAGACAAGCCCAGGCTGAGCCCTGTGGAGGCAGCTGATCTCCATCTGCAGAAGCAGCTACAGAGGAGCCCTCCAGGTAGCAAGTCCAAGGCCATGGGGAGCCCTGAGCTCATGCAGTGCTGTGAACATTCATGGGCCTGATCTCGGGGTGTGAGGAGCCCC
Organism: Homo sapiens; assembly: GCF_000001405.40. Lineage (NCBI taxonomy): Eukaryota > Metazoa > Chordata > Mammalia > Primates > Hominidae > Homo > Homo sapiens. Next base: position 61,364,363 of record NC_000020.11, on the reverse strand, counting down.
CAGGGATAGCCCTGCGGTGTTGCCTAGACCAGGGCAAGTTGATCTAAGAGTCCTCCCAATGGCTCCACCCCCACGGCTTGTGTCTCTACCAGCTTCCATGTGGGTTCCCTGGGAGACGTCACTTCCCAAGGTGCCTGGCCACTGGATCAGAAAACCCTCCTAAATCCTCAGCTCCTACTGGATGAGCCTGAGCTGGGGTAGAGAGAGCACAGCTGGAATCGGGGATCTGCTGGACAAGGTGCCAGGCCTTTTCCTGTCCTTGCTTCAGATGGCATATTGGTCTATGGGTTAATGCATGGTGAGTGTCTAAACGACACATGGAAATGCTGGCCACAAGCAATTTAGAAGTTCAGATGCTCCTCAACTTATGAGGGGACTGTGTCCTAACAATCCCATCATACACTGAAAATATCCCAAGCTGAAAATGCCTTTAATACACCTCTCTCACCAAATATCATAGTACGGGTTCTACTGTTACCACTTTCACATCATCATGAAGTTGAAAATTTAAGTTGAATCATTCTAAGTCAGGCACCATCTGTAACGATTTCTATATCTACTTCTTCCAATTCACTTGCCTAGAGAAACACTGACCTGGTAGCTTTCACTCCCTGATTTGACCTTTCTTGACTACCTCTGAGCTCTGGCCACGTTGATTCTCTCCTCGAAGGGGCAACTTTCTCACCTTCTGGCCTGTGTGAATGCACTGTGGCCCCCGTCAGGAACACTAACTCCTCCTTGACACCTGCCCTTCATCCCTGGCATCAGCCTAACTCTTGCTGCCTCAGGAAGCCTGACTTGGCCAGATCCCCCTTATTTAACACTTCTGTTGAGTCCAGGACTTCTTTATAACATTTGTCATAGGTGTGTGTGTGTAGGACTTCTTTATAACATTTGTCATAGGTGTGTGTGTGTGTTTGTGTGTGTGTGTATGTGAGAGAGAGAGAGAGAGATATTTAGATTCTTTTATGCCTCTCAAAAGACTGGCGCTCCATAAGGACAAGGAATCTATCTGTTTTCCTGGCCGTTATATCCCCCAAACCCTGCACAGTACTTGGCAGATAATAGATGCTCAACAATATTTGTTGAGCAAATATTTGTTGAGCAAATGGATAAATGAATGAATAAGTTAAAGAACAAACGGATGGGAGGATGAGAAAATGGCCAGCTCACACATGTGCATCAGGTCCTCGGTCCAGTGCTCAGCCTCCAAACCTGCCGGCAGCTGTCCTGGAACCCAGACACAATTCTAAGGCACGGATGCAGCAGGTTCAGCTCACCAGAATGAGGAGATGTCAGAGCTGGAAGAAACTCACTGTCCTCACAAATGGGAACCCCAGAGTCCAGAGCCACTTTTCAACTCTCCAGGACACACAGTTCACATGTGACACGGCACAAGGGCACAGGACACAGGTGGCACGGAGCTTTGTAAAAAGCCACCTGTTCACATTCTTGAAAAGTTAGGAATGGCATCTTTGGACTCAGACCCAGTTGGACCAATGATGCACGTTGCTGGACCCTTGTACTTGGCAGTTATTTGATCTCCTCTGGCCCAACACAGAACGCATGATCCTCTCGCCACCTCCTTCCTTCCCTAATGCTGTCTCAGGTGCCCCTGTCTCGGGGAGTGCCCCCCACCCCATCCAGCCAGGGGCACTGATGGCCCCGGAGGTCATCAGGACTGTGATGTGTCTTCACCTCAAGTCCCCTTTGCTCCCCCATCCTGACCCGCTGAATCTCACCACTTCCCTTCACTTCCACTACACTGTCCTAGGCCACGTCTCTGCTCTCCACTACGCTGTCCTAGGCCATGTCTCCGCTCTCCCCTACGCTGTCCTAGGCCACGTCTCCGCTCTCCACTACACTGTCCTAGGCCATGTCTCTGCTCTCCCCTACGCTGTCCTAGGCCACGTCTCCACTCTCCACTACACTGTCCTAGGCCACGTCTCTGCTCTCCCCTACGCTGTCCTAGGCCACATCTCTGCCCTGCCCTATGCTGTCCTAGGCCACGTCTCCGCTCTCCACTACGCTGTCCTAGGCCACGTCTCCGCTCTCCCCTTCCCTGCTGAATACTCTGTGGCTTCCATCACCCCAAAACCCCAAACCCCTCCCCAAGGCCCACACAGCCAAATGCAGCAAGCACATCCCCCCCTGCCAGGCTTTGCACTTGCTGTGCCCCCACCTGGACCTTTCTTCTTCCTCATCATTGCCTTCCTGGCTCTTTCTTGCTTCTCAGGTCTCAGCCCAAATGTCTCCTATTCACAAAGGTCTTCACCGACCATGCTGGCTAAGGGACGCGCAGCCCTCTGCATCTTCTTCACCAGCACCCACTGCTCTCCGAGCTGCTCCAACTGGGCAAGACACTTGCTGGTCCCCTCTCGGAGAGTGTGGGCTCCGGGATGGCAGATGCCTGGCTTACTTGCTGTGCACAGGATCCCCTGGGCCTGGAACAGTACCTGGGGCATGAGAGGAAGCTGATCCCCTGGGTCTGGAACAGTACTTGGGCATGAGAGAAAGCTATGTGCTGGGCTGGCCTCTTCTTGCGGGCAGGCACCCCGGGTTCCGCACCACGGCACCTCCTCCCTATGCCCGAGCACAGACTGATGAAAGCCTCATTGCCCTGGCTTCATGCCTGCACCGCTTTCCTGACTCGGGCTCCAGCTCTCCCTTCTTAGACCCTGAGCTTGGGTTGGGTCCGTCACCTGCTGCTCAGCGGATGTCTGTTCAAGGAAGGAGTCAGGCCGGGCTCCTCCACGCACGACTGTCGGAAACCAAAGTTAAAATGGGAGCATCTTCCTTTTCGGAACCAAAGCCAGTAGACAGATGCTCTGCAGATTAGAAGAAAGAGGTCCAAGGAAAGTGTCTGGTTGTCTGTTTTGATCACTGCAGCTGTATCCCCCTCCCCATCCCCTGGAAAATCACACCTGGGAGTGATTTACAAATACTCATCAACTTGCCAAGTGCTTCTCTCATCTGCCCATTTCTACAAGTTCTCCCTTCTCTTTTTTGACACATGTGATCATGAAAGCTAAGAAATAATACCTCCTCATCCTCCCCCACTCCCACCCACATAAGATCCATGCGTGCAAGTCTCTTGGCAAAGGAGGGCCCATCCCAGAAACCCTAGCAGGGTCTCCAGAGCAACGGGAGGGCCCTGAGCTCCATGTTGCCAGAAAGGGCAACCCTCAGGGCTCCTTCCCTCTCAGTCTCAGCCTGAGAGTCACCCCAGGCTCCCCAGCCAAGTCGTCTCCACGTCGCTCCCTTCCCAACTCTATGACGCCAGCCTCGTCTCTTGCCTGCTTTTCCCTGAGTCTCCTGTCTCCTCTCCTAATAACAGAACTTGAAGGGCATCCCCTTTTTGGAAACTGTGATTCTCTGCGTTCTCTCAGGCCTCCCACCCACCCTCCTCCTGCTACATTTTCATGCTGTTCCTTTTGTTTGCCTCTCCGTGGAAATGGGAATAACCAGTCCGTCTTCTTTTTGTTTGATGGATGGGGTTAAAACTATCGGTTCACAAGTATACAGCCCTTAGTTACCAAAGCCTCCTTTCTAGAATTGAGTTCGTATGCCTCTGATCATCTGACTGCTTTTGACAGATTCTTTACAGTTTTCTTTTCCATTTTGTGTGAAGTTCAGAAACCCCCATGACCCATGGCCTCCAATATCAGGTTCAGAGTGGAACCGTAAGGAACATCTGGGGCCCTTCTGACTTCCCTCCATTGCCACATGTCCCCAGGCTGGACTGGGTGGTGACATTCTGAGTGTGTCTCCGTTACTTTGCTCTTCACAGTGTACTGAGAGCAGGACTCCCATGGCCCCCTGCTCCTAGGCGGGAGGGTCTCATCTCTGCAGCACTGGACAGCGTCCTCCATCTGGCTCACAGCTACTACCAGCAGATGCCAACTGTCCAGGAATGCATGGCTGATGGAAGCAGAGGCTCATACCTGAGACACAAACCCGGGATCCTGACCGCGGCTCTCTCCAATGTTCTTCTGCCCTGCTCCGAGGGCACACACCAGCCCCAATAGGCACCTCTTCTACTTCTTGGGTCTCTCCCACGTCTCACCTGGTATCCTTCATACCCTGGAAAGATCCTCAAGGGTAAGGAACACACTTTTTCATTGTCTGACAGCTTCTGGCTGTGCCCAGCACAGATCTGCACACCCAGGACATAGTTCAGTTTCTCTGGCTCTGCCCGACAAACCTGCGAGCTGATGTGGCAAATCTCCCTTCCCCAAGATGCCGAGAACATGCAGACTCTGTCTCACAGGCAGCCTCCCCTGGATTTTAGTGATTCTGGTTAAATTCTGGTTCAATGAGAAGTGAAAACTGGGTGTGGCAGTTTGCTTCTTTTTGGAACCAGGATCTCACCAAGAGCTCCAGATTTCAGCTTCTGGTTATGATCTGCTATTCCTTCCAGAAAGTCCTGTTCTCTGATCACTTTCCTTCCAGGAAGATTTGTTTCATCTGTTGCCTTATCTGAGTTTATTATGGCTGATCACTCAATAAACACTTTCTTTCTGAGGCCTCTCTCTTTAAACTGCCATCTCGCTGGGGTGAAGCCTCTGTCTCTCTCTTTTCTCTCCCCCACAGCCTGGCTTTCATCAGGGCACACTGTAGACTTGGATGGGAGCAGTTTGTGCAGAATGCAGCCTTTAGGTTTTCTCCCTTCCTCTCTGCCTTTCTTGCTAAAGCTGAAAAAGGGAGGATGTGGGAGAGAAGAGAGTGATGCTAAGTCCTTGTCCCCAAAGACAAGCACCGAGGGGTTGCCAGGCCGGGACACGGAGCACCTGCTTCATGTATCACTTTGTGGGACACAGCAAAGACTCAGCCCAGACTCCTACGCCCTTCAAACCTGCCGCGTGGAGGTGGTGGGAAGGAACCTCCTCCTGTCCAGGCGGCCTGCGTGCTGGGGAAGTCGGGAGCTTCACAGCGGTGCTCCCAGGGGAGCCTGGTGCCCAGTCCTCTGTGGCCTCTCACCATAGGTTCTCCCGGGACAGGGAAGGTGGAGAGCACGCACACAGGCGCATGGCCACAGAATTCGGGGTCGGCGTAGCTGACAAATGAGTGACCTCGTAGTCCACCCCCCACCCCCAAACTCCTAGGGAAGTGAGCCAACGACACAGAATAAATACCTCGCCAGGTTTAAGAGGGGCTTTCTGTGGTGATGTGTGAGTTCATTGTTTATTTATTAAAAGAAAGCCAAGATGAGAAGTCACTGACACCGAAACTTCCCATGAGTTAACGAACTCAGGCTGCCAGGGAGTGAAATGCGGGCATGTGTCTTTGCTGGCTGATTCTGGGAAACTCTGCCTGGCTCTCTCCACATTCCGGCTTCCCAACCTGACCCTCTGACAAGCATAAGGACGTGAATGCTGTGGCACACTGTGATTAGAGACCCCTGTTCTATCTGAGGTGCTCTGGAACCCAAAAGCCGGTGAATCACGGAGTAAACCCCCCCGTCACCCTGGGCTGAAACTGACGGTGAGCATGCCGCATGACGGCTCCCTGTAGAGGGAACGGTTTCCGTGGCTCATGCAGGTCTCCTCTCCTTCCCCCCCGCATTAAAGCGACTGTTCCCTGGGTGGGAATTACTGTCTGAGACCCTGGCCGGGATCACTGTTGCCTGAAGCTTCCAGCACCCAGCCTTCAAAAACAGGCAAATGTGTTCGCAAGACAAATGTGAGGTTTGCAATAGAAAACCAGGGAAGGGCCGTGCATTTGACCCTCTCTGTGTAAAATACGGGGATATCTCTTTACAAGGGACTGGATTTTAGGTTTTACTAATTAGCAGAATAATGCTGATATTTAAATTGTCCTCATTTAGACATCAAAAATAATTAGGAGGGAGGTGATGGGAAGCTTATAGTTTATTCAGCTTTCATTCAACCAATATTTATGAAATGTTCGCTCTGCCCCAGGCCCTCTACTAGGCATTGGGGATATGGCAAAGAAATGGCCATGCCGGACCCTGAGCCCCTCGTGGAGGTCAGTGTCAGGCCTGCGGGCATAGCCTGACTGATGTGGGTGCTGTGTGCAGGGCACAAGGCTTGGTGCCTCGGGAAATAAGGAGGCAGGACCATGACCCCACTCAGCACACAGTGGGTCGGCTGAGGGAGAGGAAGGCAGACAGCACACTCCTCATCCTAAACCAACAGCTCAAAGGAGGGGTTTCGAGGTTTCTGTGCAGGAAGCACGTCCCGGGGGTTTGCTCACAGGAATCTCTCAAAGTACCCATATCCAGGCAGAAGAAAATGAGCACAACCCACAGTTATGAGTCCTAACATGTCTTCCCAGAGCGACAGGGAAGGAGCGCACTACTGCACATCCAAAGACCAAGTGCAATTGTCATAAATCTTGAACATGACACACAAAAACGCCATCGTTCTCCCCGCCACGCCCTGCCAAATACACTTAGGAACAACTACCAAGAGATAATTATGTCGGTGTTGTAGGGGTGACTGGGGAAAAAAAATAAAAAGCAAAGAATCGTTGTTCCTGCCCTTGGGGATCATAGAGTCAAGGCCAGAGATCACTTGCAGGCATGTGGTCCTGGCTGGCACACGGGTCTGCTTTGTGAGGCCGGCACTGTGTTTTTACAACCCTTGGATTAGCTGCCACTATTTGAAAATAGGGGATTTTGCATTTAATTCCAGATTTCTGGTTTCTTGTGGAAGAGGTGAAGCTCTAGCAACACTGGACCTACACTGAGATGCAATGACCACTTGTCCATCCCTGACAGCAGGTCATGGGCTGCCTGGTGGCCAGGTTCCCCCTGGGGGCTGTCTGGTCCCTGTAGGAATGGGGATATGGAACCAGGAAGAATTGGTAAGAAGAGAAACATAAAGAGTTCATCACCATCAGAGTGAAGAGCTCACGTGAGACCTCACAGAGATGAAGGGCAGGTTCCAGGAATCGGGGAAACCCAGAGGTTTCCCAACAGTGTGTGTGGCGGCAACATGGCAGGGTGAGCATTTCCCAACAGTGTGTGTGGCTGCAACACGGCAGGGTGAGCAGTGGGTGTGGACCAGCCGGTCCTCCTCTGCCCTGCCTACCGGATGTCTCAGACAATGCTGGGAGGGGCACACGATGTCCAAGGCGAGGCTGAAACAAAGCAAAACTGGATAACTAACAAATTATAGAGAAGAAGCGAGGGCCAAGGTGTGGGAGGACGAAATCAGGAGGCAGGTTTCAGCTCAACACAGGAAGGAACTTCCTAGCAGTGTATTCCCAAGATGGCGGCATGGCCATGCTTCTAGCCTGGGCGGAGGTTGGGGGCACATGTTAACCTGGCACCCCGCATCTCAGTGAGGGGGAGAAGGTCACCAGCATGGTTGACCCTAACCCTGGAACACCCCACGGAGTTCAGGCCCACTACAGATTCCCTCGTCTCTTAGCACATGGGCTGCCTTTGAGATCCATCTCTTCCTTCCAAACAGCTGCCGAGAGAAAGAGGCTAAACGTGAATAACATCTTTGAACTTTATTTCACATCTTTCAAATCTGTCCAGATAATCCCCACCTAGATCCAATCTGCTGACTTTTTAACTAAGTATCCAAAACTGGCTGATGTTCCATTGCTTTGGCTTAATTTTTTAAAAACAGAATATTTTCTAATAGATGAAAAAAATTTCTTTTCATGCTTCACTAATGCAAAAACAGCTGAACCAATTTAGCTCAAACTTTCTCAATAGCTTGTTACAATCCTAATTAAAATATTCACATACGGTGCAAGCTTTGGGGAGCATAATATTGCACTGTCAGTCAAATTCTGGCTGAATATTTACAACCAGCTAAACAGAAAAGCAACTGCACGGCTTTTACTCTTTGTTGCCTCTTGAAGAAAATGTAGTCAGACAATTAATGGTGAGGAGATAAAAGCAAGCAAGAGGCATGGTGTTTCTCCGCTTGGCTTCACTCATCAACAACTGGGTGTAAAGACTCTCAGGGCTGCTGGCTGAGCTGGGCTGGGTAATGCCTAAACCCTTGTTTACCTGGACACTCTGGGAAACAGCAGTTCTCCGCCGGGGAATGGCCTGCTGCTTGGCAGGAGGATGTGGTGCTGCGATGACACAGAGCAGGTTACAGTCCAGCTGCGGTGCCTTCCAGATGCAGTTTCTTGGGCAAGGGACTCAACCCTCTTCCAAGATAATCCCTCGTCCATTCAATAGGAACAGTGGTCATTCCAGATGAGGCACTTCATAGAAAAGCACTGGCACATTGCCTGATGCCCAGTGAATGCTCCAGAAACGCTGCTGCTCTGCCTCATCATCCTACCTCCACGGGATGCCCAGATGAAGAAAGACAATTTGCTGAAAATACTAAAAAGAAAATTTGACTTCTGGAAAGAAACTTTAACCAAGTGCATGATAAACTTTATGCATCCGAAACCCCATAACATGCTCTCTTGACAACTTGATCATTTCCAGAACAATCCACCACCTTCCTATTCCATAAACACTCATGCCCTAACAGGCTGTGGAGAAGGCAGGAAATTTTTCAAGCATAGAGCATAGCCTGGTGGCCTGAAAGGCTTCTCAGGCCTTCTGACTGTAGTGCGCATGTGTGGTACGCATGTGTGTGCAGGTGCATGTATGAGCAGAGACAGAGATCCACGCACAGACAGGCGGCAGACAGGTGCACAGTGCACACACACACACAGGTGTGCATGTCTACATGGTTTCTCCCTTTGTCTTAACTACCAGCTACTGCTCCTCAGTGTTCTCAGAGAGTATGTCTTAAGCTGCCTCTGTTTTTTTCTCTCAGACCAGAAAACCAGGCTGAGCTTGTGTTCAATGAGATAACCGTCCCTTGGCAAGGACTGTGCGGGAGCTTGGGATGGACTTTGGTTTTCATTTATGAGGCACGTGGTCTTTTGCTTCATCTTTCACGTTTGTCTTGGATCCAGAAATTTCCACGAGAGGAAGACCTGTACCTTCACCCCCAATCACCTTCCCCTTCAGTCCTGCCGAGGTCACTGCTAAGAACCAAGGACATTTAAATCCCCATGGATGACTGGCCACGTGCTCATTTTCCTCTAAGTCCACAGTTTTGTGCCAGCAGAGGCGGAATGAGAGTCCGGTTCCTGCTCCAGCCTTTCTGAATGTTTTGCTTTCTTGGTCACCCCCTTGACTCAGAGCTTTTTTCAAGGACTTCAATTCTCCAGGGCAGGTTTGTTCAGTGTTTATTGCCTGGAAATGAAAGGATTTAGGGGTCTTTGCTAAAGGACTTAACGGTGCGTTTTTCTCCCTACTCAATGACTGCAGCCACATTTGAGGAATTTTATTCCCACAGTGGTTTTGTCTGATGTGCTGAGTGTGAAGCCAAAACCCCAAAGCCAGCAAGAATTACATCGGCTTTGCTTTTCTTTATGGGAAAATGGCCCATAAAATGTTAATGCGCCATTCCAAATGTGGCCGGTGATGCCTAATTAAGAGGATGCTCTTAGGTGCGGAGTAAGCTGCGTCGGCAGCCAGAGAGAGGCTCCCTGTGCCCTGCTCTCCCCTCACAGATGCTCTCCAGCCGCTCCTGCACCCCTGGCAGGTTCCAGCAACATGACAGTGTGACTAGGAGTGTAGGATCAAAACTGGGCTGGTCATCCCCGGGACGATAAGCCAACGAGGTCCTGTGAAGGCCAGGGCTAAACCTTGGCCGAGCAATGTGGTGGGCAGGCCCCGGTCAGCCACGGCAAGCAATGTGGGCTCCACACTGCCAGGCCATACAGGGAACCCAGCAGGTGCAGCGGGGCTGAGCCACAGGGAGGGGTCAGGACAGCCCCTCAGATGTGGGGCAAGGGAAAGCCTGGAAGTCTCTTCTCTCTCCCCTCAATTATCATCTTTGATTTATTTCAACAGCAACGGCAACAGCAGCAGCAACAGCCACCACCTGGATTGTGCTAAGCTGTCAATGTGCATCAGTGGATCCATTTTCATAAGGACCCAGCAAAGTGGGGATGGCCATCTCGAGAGCCCTTGTCAGGAAACCGTGGTTCAGAGAGGTCACGTTGCCAGGAAGAGGTAAGTCTTGGAATTCAAAGGAGAATGATTTGACTCCAGGGTCTTGGGGGATCCAGGAGGACTGTCTGGAAAACCGCCCTCTCCCACTCACGTGCTGCCGGGAGACATTTCCGCTCCTTAGAGCAGCCAGGCCCGACCTCGGCGCTGGGACATTTGGGCCTCTGGGGGGTGGGGGGCGTCCTAAGCACTGTAGGACGGTCGGCGGCACCCTGGCCTCCACCTACACGATGCCAGCACCACCCAACATCCCTAGACGTTCTCGAATGTCCCTTGAGGGCAAAATCACCCCTCGTTGAAAACCACTGCCATAGAATCTTCAGAATAATCCCCATCCCTGTAAATTATCGATTCCTCACACCTACAAGCAGGAAAACAGAGTCCTGCAACACTGACACAGAAGATAAGTCCTTTCAGCACAAAGCAGGGCTGCTGGGGTGAAAAATCATCATTCTCCATTATGCTCAAAGATAAATTTCATTAAACCAACCAAGCTAAAAAGCAATTTTCATTTGCGGATGTTTCTAACGGGGCACATTCCAGGCTCTGGCATGAAGCGCTGTTCCCACCCAGTGGAAGGTGAACTGGGGTGAATCATCGTACTGCACTCACATCACCTTCCAGAGGAAAAGGGGAAGCAGGGGAGGAGGAGGAGGGGAGGAGGAGGGGGAGGAGGAGGGGGAAGAGGAGGAAGAAGAGGAGGAGGGGGAAGAGGAGGAGGATGAGGAGGAGGAGGAAGAGGAGGAAGTGGAATTAACCTGAATTGAAAGCCAGGATGCACAAGAAGTGACCAGTCTGAGAGATGTCCACTCTCAGTGCTGTGGAATATATTCGGTTTTCTGTGAAGATTATATTCTGCAAGGCTCAGTGTATTAAGGCAGCTTACAAGGTAAAGAGTTAGATAACGGTGGTGAAATAAATTTACAGGCCAAAGTCGCAGGCATTATGCAATGCGCGAAGGCTTGGCACATCGCTGGAGATTGCTAAATTAATTTTAATGGAAGAGGAAATATTAGTCCAGATACAGGCTGCTTCAGGGACACGCGGCTGCCCCATGGTTCCAGAGACCCTGGCACCTCTGCACCCCCAGATCCCCATTCACAACCTTGAGACCCCTCCCACCAACTAAGCTTTGCCTCCAGGGGAGGAAGTAGCACATTCATCATGTATATGCTTTCCACAGGTGGAAACCTGAGACACAGCAGAGCCAACACCAGAAGCGAAGCCTGTGGCTGGAGCAGAAGAAGCAGGACAGAGTCGGGCAGGCGAGAGCCCCTGTGGCGGGTCAGAAACCTGCGGAGCTAAGAGAGGGGAGGGGAGGAGATGGGGCCCGTGGGGTCCCCAGAGCCTGAGCTCAGCCCCAGGGGCCCCTTGGTCCGGCATGCCACACAGGCAGAGAGAATGTTGAGGCTTCCTGGGTCCTGGAACCTCCTGTGCGCCGCAAGGATGGGACATTGACACACTCCTTGTCCGCAGCGTCTCACAGGTGCACGGGGTGATGGGCTCCTGGCTGCACTGCCGGATGAAGAACTCCGAAGAGCAGAAAACCAGCAAGCGGCAGACGGCCAGGAAGAAAATGCAGTGCAGGTGACCGGGGGGAGTGAATGGCAGGCTAGGAAAACAACGCCTGCAAACCAACAAGAAACAGCCAGGCCCCCTAGAGAACATCTCCATCCAAGGAGAAATATACAAACAGGCTCAAACACGAAACGGCCTACCCCAGCAGAACCAGGCGATAGAAATCAAAACAAAATACAAAGCTTTGTTTTCTTTCCACCAGGTCAGAAACGAAAAGGGCTGGACGTCCCGCGCACCGGAGAGGCTGCCCCACAGGCGGCTCACACCCCGCTGGCAGGCACGGGGGCCAGTGCAGTCCTTTCTAAAGCAATGTAAAGACGTTTGCCACATTTTCAGACGTGCTCACTGCATTGTGGAAAAACACTGGCTCTCATGAGGGACAATGCTGGCAACAAACGAACGTCACCAAAAATGACTAAATAAATTTTAATCGGGGATTTTTTTTAAACGAGGTAAAACTCTTTGTTCCGACACGGCATGTATTTCAATATATATTAAATTTTAAAAGTAAGTTGCAGGACAGAAAGACAAACTTTGCACATTGTCACTTATTTACAGAAGCTAAAAATGAAATGAACTCATGGAGATAGGAGAAGAAAGGTGGCCAGAGGCTGGGAAGGGTAGTGAGGGCAGAGTGCAGACGGTGAGTGAGCACAGAAAAAGTTAGAAAGAATGAAGAAGAGCTAGGATTTGTTAGCACAACAGGGTGACTGTACTCAATAATAATCTAATTGCACACTTAAAAATAACTAAAGGAGGCCGGGTGCGGTGGCTCACACCCGTAATCCCAGCACTTTGGGAGGCCGAGGTGGGTGGATCACCTGAGGCCAGGAGTTCGAGACCAGCCTGGCCAACATGGTGAAACCCCGTCTCTACTAAAAATACAAAAATTAGCCTGGTATGGTGGCGCCTGCCCATAGTCCCAGCTACTCGCGAGGCTTAGGCTGCAGAATCGCTTGAACCTGGGAGGCGGAGGTTGCAGTGAGCCGAGATTGCGCCACTGCACTCCAGCATGGGCGACAGAGTGAGACTGTCTCAAAAAAAAAAAAGATAAATAAAAATAAAAATAACTAAAGGAGTGTAACTGGATTAGTTTGTTACACAAAGGATAAATGCTTGAGGGGACAGCATCCCATTGCCCTGATATGATTACGGTGCATTCTACGCCTGTATCAAAACATCTCACGTCCCCCCCATACACATACATACCTGCTGTGTAGCCTCAAAAAATAAAAATTACAACAAAAGTAAGTTGCAGAACTATATGTCTAGTAAATGTCATTTATGCCAAAGTATACAGCTGTCCCTTGGTATCAGTGGGAGACTGGTTCCAAGACCTACCACCGTGCATGCCAAAATCTGTAGACGCCCAAGTCCCTGATACGAAATAGCACAGTGTGTGCGTAGAATCCAGGCACCCCCTCGCATAGACTTGAAATCACCTCTGGATCACTTATATTATGGAATACAATGTAAATGCTATGTACACAGTTGTTAGATTGTATTGTGTAGGGAAGAATGACAAGAAAAAATCTGTCCATGTTCAGTACAGGCACAATTCTTCCTCCGAATATTTCTGATCTGTGGTTGGTTGATCCAGGGAGGCAGAGCCCTGCAAATGGCCATCACCTGACCTTCCCAGCATCTGAAAGCACGGAGGACAGCAGGCCTTGAGCACGGGCTGCCCGGGGATGGAGGGAGGGCGGCTGTGACACCCAAGGCATTGCCCCCACCACAGCTGCCACCCCAGCACCACCGTGAACACAGGTTTGTTGGCGTTCAGGATGCAGCACATGCCTGGTTCCTGCTTCAGACCGGCTCAGCCTAGAGCGATGGTCTCTGTATTGAGTCACTCTTCAATGTGTACAATATTTCCTTTCAAAATTATTCCTAGAAAATAAAAAAAAGGCAGCATGCGACATGCTCATGGAATCATAATTCCAAGTGAAGCTTGAGTTTCCAACACAGCATCATCTTTCCCATAAGAGTGGCAATTTTCCGCTCACAACACAACTTTTCTCCCCAGGCCACTTGAGGGCGCAGTTAGCACTGGGGGGGGGCCTCTGCCTGATGCTGGGTGGGAGAGGCAAGGTCAGAGGTGTCCTGCTGGCATCATGGCACTGGGAGAGGGCAGGGATCTGCCTGACTCTGGGTGGGAAAGGCAAGGTCAGAGGTGTCCCGCTGGCCTCTGCAGCACTGTGGGGGGCCTGCCTGACCCTGGGTGGGAGAGGCAAGGTCAGAGGTGTTCCGCTGGCCTCTGCAGCACTGGGGGAGGGGGAGGTGTCTGCCTGACGCTGGGTGGGAGAGGCAAGGTCAGAGGTGTTCCGCTGGCCTCTGCAGCACTGGGGGAGGGGGAGGTGTCTGCCTGACGCTGGGTGGGAGAGGCAAGGTCAGAGGTGTTCCGCTGGCCTCTGCAGCACTGGGGGAGGGGGAGGTGTCTGCCTGACGCTGGGTGGGAGAGGCAAGGTCAGAGGTGTCCCGCTGGCCTCTGCAGCACTGGGGGAGGGGGAGGTGTCTGCCTGACGCTGGGTGGGAGAAGCAAGGTCAGAGGTGTTCCGCTGGCCTCTGCAGCACTGGGGGAGGGGGAGGTGTCTGCCTGACGCTGGGTGGGAGAGGCAAGGTCAGAGGTGTTCCGCTGGCCTCTGCAGCACTGGGGGAGGGGGAGGTGTCTGCCTGACGCTGGGTGGGAGAGGCAAGGTCAGAGGTATTCCGCTGGCCTTGTGGCACTGGAGGGCGGCTGCCTCCTCGCCCACATGTGTCCAGTTCCTTCCTGACATGACTGTCCCAGTGGGCAGGGGCAGGAGGAGAGGGATTCCTGGGTTCCTGGCGCTGGGCTGAGTCTGGCACTGAGGCCACCACTCGCTCGAATGGTAGCATGAGCTGCCCTGCCCCGGGGGTGAGCTGTGCTCTGAGCTGGGTCCCACATGAACTTGGTCCTTTCCCCTCCTGGAAAACTTAGGAGCACATGCTCCTTTCCACGTACATGGTTGGCCTCAGAGGGGTCTTATTTGCAGAAGGATCAGCAAGACTGCCCCTGAGAGCCGTCTCCACGAGGGACTGTGTGATTCTTTATAACACAAGGGCGTGCCTCACGGGGCATGGAAGGGAGCTGTGGGGAGCCCCAGCTTTCACTCCACAGACCTCCCGATGAGGCCTGCTGTGCCATACCCCAGGTCCATACACATCCAGCAGCATCCAGCAACGGGGACATCAGCCAGCACCCCAGCTCCCGGCCTCGTCTGGATCCTGGCTCTGCGCTCACCCTTCCCGGGCACCTGCAGGATTTTCCCTCACTGACTTTGTAAATTAACTGGCTCACGCCTCAAGTGGGCATTTTCTCCCTATGATTCAATTCACATCAAACATTAGCTGGTGCTCAAGATGAAAACTTCAGCCCAGATGTGCTGAATCCTACCCAGCACAGGAGCTGCCACACCCGGCTGCGGAGCTGGGGCTGAATCCCAGGTTGCAGCCACCTTTCTCCCCAGAACCACCAACTCCACGGCTACGGAGCAGCCTTGGGTTGGGGCAGGTAGAGCATATGTGGCCCTGCAGGGTCCCCGCTGTCTGTTCCTGATGACCCAGCCTGTCCATCGGGGCTGCAGGCCGGTTCCTGAGAAGTGGCCCATGTTCCATATAGACAGGAACTCTGTCCCATGACATACGTGTGATCTTCCAAGCACAAAACCCTGGATGCTGGGGCCGCACAGCATAAAATAAAACAGGAAGCTAACTACATAAAGGAACAATTGCGGCACAATGTGGCCCTCCCACCACCACTGTTATTCCCAGAAGCCCTGGGCAGCCAGGACAGGAGGGGCTGCGGGTCTCTATGCCTCTTCTTTCAAATGTAGTCCCAAAACAAACGAAAAACAAACAAGAACTTTTAGAGACCCTGTGTCAATTACATCCAAAAATCCAAATGGCTTTCTCTTCCATACTTGAGAGAGAAACAGTTACTGGCGGCCATCAGAGGGTTTATTTCAAAGCCAGGAAGAAAGAGGCCCTTTGGAAGTGACAAGAGCTTTTATACTTCCTGAAGTCCTGTTCTCACTTCTGCCCACTCGTCCACCTGCCCAGGGCCATAAACTCCCAGCCATTTGGAGAGATTCAGCCAGATTATTGAAAGAAGATATCATGATACATAAACTGATCCTGGGTTATTTAAACACCGGAAGTGAAAGAAAATTAAAGAGAACAGAAGTGAAGCTCTCACTGGAAGCTCAGCTTTAAGATGAGAAAAAGTGGGCAGCATTCAGTCTCTCTAGGTCTTGGTGGAGGGAACCGCTGGCAACAGTTCCCTTGTCTCCTATTGATATGGTCTGGCTATGTCCCCAGCCAAATCTCATCTTGAATTGTAGCTCCCATAATTCCCATGTGTCATGGGAGGGACCCCGTGGGAGGTAATTGAATCATGGGGGTGGGTCTTTCCCGTGCTGTTCTCGTGATAGCGAATAAGTCTCATGGGATCTGATGATTTGATAAAGGGGAGTCCCCTGCACATGCTCTTTTGCCTGCCACCATGTAAGATGTGCCTTAGCTCCTCCTTTGCCTTCCACCATGAATGTAAGACCTTCCAAGCCATGTGGAACTGCGAGTCCATTAAACCTCTTTCCTTTATAAATGACCCAGTCTCAGGTATGTCTTTATTAGCAGTGTAAGAACAGACTAATATACCTACTCTCTCCAAATGTAGGAATGCTTACCATTATGGGGCGAAACAGACCAGTGGGAAGTCACCATGTTACAGGCACACCTGTTCCCAGAAGAAAGTCTTCCCCGATAATACACACGTGGGTTTCCACTCTTCCCTTTAACCATGGAAAGGGCTGTTCCTCATTTTAAGGACTTGTTATTCCCTCTGACTATCAGACTTTGCAGACACAGGACTCATCTGATATTCCAGGCACGGTTCAAACGCCATGCTTCCCACCTGGTTTGTGGGTCCCAATTCAAATCAGCTGAAGTTGAAGAGACCAATGTCCCGTGCCGAACCAGGAAAGCACACCCCGCCAAATGTTATGAGACAAAGAAGGCGAGTTGGCGCTTCGCAAACACCAGCCCCCGCCAGCTTATTTTGCCTGATAAGCATATACATCTCCCGACTAAGCTGAACAATGGACTTCCAGGTCCACGATGAATCAGAACAGCCTTATGTGTCTCTCAGCGCTCACACTAGAGGGAAACTGGAAAGGTCTAATTCATTTTAAATAGCACTGACAGCTGCCATTAATGATTCCTTCTGCGATCTGTCATACATATTTATATTTAGTCACCGCAGGAAGCATCGTGGGAGTCAATATCCTCTTACATTTTTTCTCTTTCTTTTTGGTAAAGTATGAAGAGGGGGAAATGTGTAGATAGTTTTGTTTTTCCTTTAAGCAAAATCCAAGTAAGAACATTTGGAATCATCTAAGACAGAAGCCTCATCTAATCTAGGTGTATATTTCTAAAACCACGTTGGCCATCACGCAGACTCAGCCGCCACTAGTAAAATGTGTGGAGCAAGCATTTAGCCAGGCAGCGGCACGGGCTGTCACCTGTCTTCTGAATGCGGGCAGGGCCTCACGGCCATGTGGGGCACGAGGCTATGACTTTGGTCTCCCACAGAGGTCAGGTTCTGAGAACCGCAGTCCATGAGTCAGGGGTAATGTAGGTTCCTGCTGGGAGTTCGGGCCCTACACTGGGTTCTACAGATGAAGTTAGTAAAACGTGGTACTGACCTTGAAGAACCCTTGGGCTAATGGAGGAGACAGCCATGAAACCATGTTATTAGACAATGGGAGAGATGGTTTATGAGACATGTGTGCCAATCTGCAGGGGAGCAAGCAGAACTGCCTGGGAATGTGGGATGGGGATGAGGGACAGATGGGGGGCACCCGTACGTGGAGTCAATATGATCTAATTCCCACCCTGGCCCACTCACCGTCGCCTCTCACCTGCATAGCGCAGAGCCTGGCTTCCTGCTGCACCCTGGCCCCCGGAATCCATTCTCATGCCACAGCAGAGGGGTTAATTTTTTTTTTTTTTTTGACAGAGTCTCGCTCTGTCACCCAGGCTGGAGTGCAGTGGTGTGATCTCAGCTCACTGAAACCTCCGCTTCCTGGGTTCAAGTGATTCTCCTGCCTCAGCCTACTGAGTAGCTGGGACTACAGGCACGTGCCACCACGCCCAGCTAATTTTTGTATTTTTAGTAGAGATGGGGTTTCGCCATGTTGGCCAGGCTAGTGTTGAACTCCTGGCCTCAGGTGATCCGCCTGCCTCAGCCTCCCAAAGTGCTGGGATTACAGGCGTGAGCCACCATGCCCGGTCAGCAGAGGGGTTAATTTAAACCTCAAATCCAACAGCACGTTCCTGCTCAGACCCTCCAAAGCCTCCTCATGGCCGTGGGAATGCAGCCCAAGCTCCTTGCTGGGGCTCCCATGGCTGGCCTGGCTGATCCCTGCCTCCCTCCGACCACACCAACCATGCACTGATTCTACTCATGGCCCCTGGGGCCGTCTTGTGGTTCCTCTAGGACCTCCTGACTATCCTGGTCTCAGTCCCCTGCCTCTGCTGTTCCCTCTTCCAGACACACTCAGCCCCAGGGCCTGACAGAATGGAATGACCACCTCACCCTGAGAGAGACTGTCCTGACTGCACATCACCCCTCAGCCTCCAGCCCATGATGCTGGTTTCCCTGCAGCATTTATCCCGCGTGGGTTAATTTGTCCCGCGTGAGCATTTATTCTGCTCACTGTGTACTTCCCTGTGTGTTCTGCCTCTCCCAGGGGAGTGCCACCCGCATGAGGAAGGGAGAACGTGCTGCCAGAATGCTTACAAAATACCAGGTCCACAGCAGGTGCTCAGCAAACATTGATCGAATAGAAGACGCAGAGCTGACAGGGCACCCTAAGGAATGCATACCTTGGAGAGCGCCTCTCCTCTTGCCCATGTCTTTCCTGCCAGTGGCAGGGGTTGTCCACCTCTCTAGTTTGTAACCTGGAAGCACAAAGAGCCCTCCCCGAGGATGAAGCCCCAACACCACTCACTCCTGGCAGCCGCTTCCTTGCTGTCCATTCAGGATCTCAGTGCAGGGGTGACCACAAACTCTCTCTTCCCCTGTTCCCCTCCTCGTTGCCAGAGGGGAAAGTAAACCTGACAGGCAGTGAATCAACATTTCCTTGTCTAATAAGATGAAGGCATCGTGAGGAGTGTCCCAGGTAGGGCTCCTTACGTTGTTATTACAGATTTTCCACCCTGGGTATTCCATAAAGGCATGGTTACCTTGTCCTCACGGACTTCTTTTACCCCATACTACATTAAGCTGAGTAAAAATGAAATACGGAATGTTCAATGAAACATTATATTCCCAATGAAACATGGCGAATTAATTACAAGAACGAACACTGCTTTTAAAAACCAGAGGGCTTGAGTTTCACTATGCTCATCATCGCGGGGTGGTGTTGTCTGAGGTTTTAAAACTATTCCAGGTGAGAAAGTAGAGAAGAACATGGCGTGTTGTCACTCTCGATTTCCCTGGGGTGGAAATATGACTTTTACAGATGAAGGTAACTGCAAACATGCCAGCAGTGAGGGAGGCGCACTGGGCCTGGCCCGAAATGCACACATGGAACCCATTAGGTTTCTCATTAGGAGCATGTGTTGACTCTTGGTAGAATTTGATCGTCCATCGAAAGAGACAGCTAGGAATCCAAACGAGATAAAAATCACTTCTGCCCCCACTATTACCTGCGCATAAGTAGCTCTACCTTGGACTTGACCTTTTACCTGAGAGATCTCACTCAGAACACAGCACAGTTGGGCACTCAGGTGCATCCTAGACTCGAGTCTGCGGGTCAATAGCCGGCGCAGAACCTGACTTTGTTTCAAAGGACGCAAAGCCGAGGAAGTGTTCTATAATTCTGCTGATTCCGACCCTTGCTTGGTGGCTTCATATGATCAATTTTAATCTTAGGAAAGCCTTATTTTGAGCCATTGTCTATGAGCTTGTGTTAGTATTACAGACATCACACAAAAAGTAAAATATTAAAGTTGAACACAAGACACTGGGAAACAAGGATTTAGTCAAAAATCACAAAGAAAAATCAATCTAGGAACTGGCAGCATGTATGAAACTCTCTAAATTAATGAGCAACAGGGAAACACAATGGCTTACCTCTTAGTGAAGAGGCGGTTTGGCCCCTGGCTATCTCATCACTGAGAACAATGGCAAATATAGAAAACAAAAATACATGAGGCCATTCATGAAAAAAGAACAGACACAACTTCAATAAGTTGCTTCTCTCGAACTCACCATGTTAACAACCATAATTTATATCTGTATTTTTGAAAATTACTTCAAATCCTTTCTTGATTGTGGACAGAAGAATAATTACAAATAAACAGAAAAGCCTGACAGACCAGCCAAGTCATTCCAGTCCTGCAGTAATTCCCAAATGAACATGCAAACTGAGGGCCCAGTCCATGTACAGCCCCCTTGTGTGACCCCAGTGGAAGCAAAGCCTTACAGCTGAACCCATCAAAGGGTGTAAGAATACACACAAAAAACAAAGCATCAGTATCAACCCCCGCAGGCCCCATGGACCATTCCACTCGCCCTTCGAGGCCAGCCCTAACCCGTCTCCTCCCCAGTCCTCATTAGTGCTTCCCTCGGCCCCACAGTGACCGCTCACGTGGAACTTCCTGGAAGTCCTCAGTGCACTCTGAGCTTCACCACGCTCCTATGTCTTTGCTCAAACTTGTTCCTCTTCCTGGAGCACCCCTCTTCATTCTTCACGTAGGTACAATCCTTTAAATCCAAGTGAAGTCAGTTTCTCAGGGAGTTATTCAGTGTTTATTTTTTTTTTAATCTTGGCCCCTGTAGTGTCTAGCCTAAGTGGGCCCCATTCTTTCAACCGATGTGACCAACTGTCTTTGCTGTGACAGGCACATGAGGTTGACACAATGGCCCATACCCTCTTGGGGCTTCGAGCCTAAAATCATGCTAATCTGTTTCTAATATGAGCCGGGAAAAGTGCTCTAAAGCAAAGTCACATGGTACTAGAAGAGCACCTAACATCTTCAGCCAGGACTGCAGACTACTGGAGACATGATGCAAACCACAGCAGGATGAGCCTTTTTGGAAGCCACTGAGACCCTGGGGTCATTTGTTACCGCAAGCACAACTTGCCTATGCTGACTGCCGCTGGAACCACTGAGAGTTTTATACTGCTGCAGCAGGATCTTAAAAAACAAATATACAAAACTGATGTGTTTCTTAAACACATCACAAACGTTGCTTGAGAGCCGCCTGGGCTCCAACACTGATACACAGCAGACACCCATGCACACACACATTTTCTCACATAACTATTCAAGAATTCTAGTTAAATATTGTTCTTTTCATGTTCCTGGCTCCCAGCCAATCCCTTGATATAATCTGAATGAAAATCATTTTTTGGCAAGGACTGCTAACCTGAAGTTTCTTTTACCTTAAGTCACAATCATTTTGAGTCTTATTTTCCAGCCTAGAACAGACATTCATCTACTTATCCACATTACGCATGCTAAGTGCAAAAACTCTTCAGAAACAGAACATATTCCAAAAGGGGGATCAGCAAATGTGCGTGTCACCAGCCACAGCACGAATGAGCATCCTCCACCCTGAGCAGCAGCTTTGAAATGACACCATGAGGCATCCAGAGCCTAAGAACTCATCAGTGTGTCCCTTCATAACCAGTGAGGTCATCTGTGAGGGTCAGGGGAAAAGTCTATTTGAGAGCATTGGGCCGTAGGTGGGCGATTTCAAATCCATTCATATTCAAGAGGCTTCAGTTGCTCATGTTACTTTTTGTTTTTGTTTTAAAAGAGGCTAATGTTCATTTGAGATGCCACCTTTATGTCTGGCTATAATCGCCGCACAGAACTTTAAAACAGAGCATTTTTTTATTCACAAATTTAATCTGCTGCCCCCTGGGCTCTCACGGTCTCCATGATTAACAGAGAATCACTTCCAAGTCAAGGAAATCTCCAGAGAAGAGGGTCTGTGTGGATCTCCCCGCCCAGGATACTGCAGCCCATCCTTCCCAGCCAGGGCAGAATGAATGGTCTGAGTCGGGGTCCCCAACCCCCGGGACTGGACTGGTCCTGGTCTGTGGCCTGTTGGGAACAGGGCTGCATCGCAGGTGAGCAGCAGGTGAGTGCACGAAGCGTCCTCTGTATTTACAGCTGCTCCCCCTGGCTCACATTCTCGCCTGAGCTCCACCTCCCATCAGATCAGTGGCAGCATTAGATTCTCATAGGAGCTCAAACCCTATTGTGAACTGTGCATGTGAGGGATCTAGGTTGCACACTCCTTATGAGAATCTAATGCCTGATGATCTGTCACTGTCTCCCATCACCTCCAGATGGGACTGTTTGGTTGCAGGAAAACAAGCTCAGGGCTCCCACTGACTGTACGTCATGGTGAGTTGTGTAATTCTTTCTTTATATATCACAATGCAATAATAAGAGAAATAAAGTACACAATAAATGTAAAGCGCTTGAATCATCCCCAGACCATTCCCTACCCCTGATCTGTGGAAAAACTGTCTTCCATGAAACGGGTCCGTGGTGCCAAAAAGGTGGAGGACCGCTGGTCTAAGTCATACAGCCTCATCTTTTCAATCATTGCTGTCCCAGGAGACGAAAGCCTCCCCTTCCCCAGACCCTACATGCACGGCTGGCAGTCATCCATAGCTCTGCCTCAGTGCCACTGCTGCCAACAGCCTCACCCACTATGGCCTAAGCATTTCTAAAGAGTTTTGTGAGTTCCAGAATCCCAGATTAAACAACCAGCTTCCTCCGCATTCCATGCTCCACTGATACTGGGGGCAAGAAAAGGAGACGCAAACCCCTAGGAAATGACTGTCCTGGGTCCTCTCAAGGCAGGATGGGCGTCTCCAAGTCCCGCCCACTTGGTCTCTGGCCTGTCACTCTCCAAGCTTCTCCATTGCACTCTGAAGATGCCCTGTGCTGAAAATGGTCATAAAAATGCAACAAACAGATGGGCTCATGAGACCTTCTGCCAATCACTTCCAATTACTCAGCGGCCTATTAATAGCACATGGCAATTAATCAACAAAGGTGTTTATCATCTGAGAAGAAGGAGCTTCTGCTTTGGAATAATGTTATTCTCCAATCTTCTCATTTACCAGTTTTCAAGGCTGCTAAAAATCATGATCTCAAACTCCTTTCTCAACACCATTTCATCTAAAAAAAAAAAAAAAGAAAAAAAAGTATATGAAACCAAGTAATCTTGCCCTGACAGTTTGGTCAAACAAAGGTAATGCTACTTTTTTGGCTACTTCACAATTCCCAGATTTGGCCAATATTAGGCCATAAAATTGCTTTCCCTGTCACTGGAGTCATTTATTTCTCTCCTGAGTTTACATAGCTGAAGCCAAAGTTTAATGAAAGTAATGACAATGACAACCATTTCTGCAGGTCAAGCTCTGTGCCCCATTTTGTGCTAAGCACTTATTCCCCTTCTGTCTGATCACAACCAAGAGTGATGCCTTCAACCAAAATGATTTCTTCCTTAAAAATAGTGGGAAAATTCACAGAACACACTGCAACAGCACTCACATCTTGAAATGTGTTTATCTCATGCTTGCACTTTATCTCACTGAGCGAGAAGGGCAAGCTTACGGTGAAGGCCAGGATCGTGACTGTCTCTCCAGGGAAGGAGGTGAGGAAGGGTTTCATCCCAAGCGGCCTCGTGTAGCGGACGGCAAGGCTGCTGCTACCTGCTGCATCTGCCCAATGGGGATGTTGCTTTCTGTTGCTTGGCAGATTTAAGCCAACACCTAGTTCACATTTTGAAACTGTGCTCATGAAGGTGTGGCTAATGTAGCCCTTACTGGGCAAAAACTTAGATTTACTTATTTGCACCCCAATATTCAGGATTTTATAGGTAAACAGAATCAAGTATCAACCCAGTGGGCTAAGAAACTATCTCAGCCTGGGCAACAAAGTGAGACCTCGTCTCTAAAATAAAAAATCAGTTGAGCGTGGAGGTGTGTGCCTGTGGTCCCAGCTATTTAGGAGGCTTAAGCAGGAGGATTGCTTGAGCCCAGAAGATGGAGGCTGCAGTGAGCCGTGATCATGCCACTGGACTCCAGCCTGGGCAACACAGCAAGACACTGTCTTGAAAAAAAAAAAAGAAACATATAAATAAAAGAAACAAACACTTGTTTTATGGCCCACTCTAAGTCCTTGGTCCAGCAATTATGTCATGATGCTTAACTTTACACAAATCATGACAGAATCCTATTTGGAAAGTCCAAGTTGCCACCTCATGGAAAAGCCCCTTTAGCAAAATATCTCCGACAGATGGACACCGGACTTGGTTTATTCACCCACGATGGAGGCTGCATTATGTGCTGGACAGCGGCAGGCTGGCAGCTGGCTCCCTGTCAGAGGCTCTGGCTGTTGGCAACTCATCCATATGTTCACCTAACACCATCTCCCTGGTGCCCTCCACTGTACACTGTGACTCAGGGTCAGGTTGAGTCTCATTCCTCGTCACCTGTTGGTTCTCCCAATGCCTGATTTTCTCTCCCTTGCTAGCTCCCCTTCCCTTCACTCCAGTCCCCTTGTTGGGGTTACTATATCCTTCAATCAGAATATTATTTTCCAGTCTCCCATTCAAAGTTTTAAATGATGGGATTATACCTATCTGGGTTTTAAAATTATGTCAAAGAGGCTTTCTGGGAATTATACTTCATTAATTAACTCATCATCTTAAACTCAGTAATACCCTTTTTATTCATAAAAGGAACTCAGAGGTAATGAGATAGCATTTAAATAACTCTTTAGAGGTGGGACTAATTCAGAGGACTGTTCCCTTCGAACATTCTAAGTCAGTTGCTCTATAGGGCACACTGAATAGTTGCTCTGATCCAGCACGTGGAAGAGTCCTCTCAAATTCTCCATCAGATAATGGATCCCTCTAAGACTTCCAATCCCCAGCGATGCCTGCAGGGAACTGAGCATGAGGAAATATCTAGGTGTCCATGGCACAGGTCTGGAGAAAGGCAAAGAGCAGGCAGGAAGCCCACGTCACAATTTCATTCATAACCTACCACAAAGTCCCTTAATCACTCTCACAGCTTTCTGCATGACCCTGATTTTTATCTGGACTCAATAATTCCATCTATTATGAGAGAGTCTGATGTAAAAAAAAGTATGTACGATCTCTTCATCAAGCCCATCACAAGACCAACACTGTTTATTTAACTATGAAATATTTCAAACACACAGGAATGTCCCAAAAATGATCACACACACACATGCACGCACATGTGCAAGGCGCACACACACTCCACCTAAATTTAGCAGGTGAGAACATTCATCATCTTTGCTTCAGATCTCCAGGAAGTGTCACACATTCTAGTCGAAGTATCACCATTATACCATCATCATCATCACCATCAGTGGAAGACCTGTTTGCTCATTGTCTTCCATCCCAGTCCCTTCCTCCACAGTGGGAACCATGATTTGGAAATTGGTCTATGTGTCCTCTCTGTTCATGTTCATGCTTTCATTCCATATGAACACAAAAATAAAATATAGTGTTTGGGGATGTTTTTAAACATCATATAAACAATACCATTTTGTCAAAATAATTCTGCAATTTTTACATACTAATATGTTAGAGATTCATCCATGAGAACATGAATATATGGGGGGTGTGTGCGTGTGTATGTGTGGCTTACTACAGAATTGTAGTGCTTGAATATATCACAATTTACATATTTATTCTCCTATCATTGGACATTTTGGTTTCTTTTTGTTTGTTTTTGCCATGATGAAGAATACTGCAATAAATTTCCCAGGTAATCTCTTTGGAGGCATGTTCAAGAGCATCTCTAGGTGTTTGCTTCAGAAACAGCAGAAACACACACATAAAATGAATGATGGAACTTTCTCTAAGATTCTCAGCCTTACAATATTATCTTCGCCCTGAGGATAGTTCAACATTTTTAAAAATAAACACTTTCTGGGGAACTATTAAGTATAATTAAAAAGTCTCTTTTTAATTCTAATTTAAATCTCTGCATTGGGCAAGTGCTTGGTATTATTATTACAAATAAACAGTAATGGTCAGTCAGGGAGCAACTTAGTCTGGAGGGTCAGGGAAGACTCCATGAACAAATTAAAGTTAAATCCAGGTCAGAGGACCAGGCAGATTGGGGAGGGAGCAAATATCTAGGCAGGAGAAGCAGCAAGAGACAAGTCCCCAAGTCCAGACGGGGCCTCATTCGCCGATTCCCATTCTTCTGGAGAACGAGTCTTCACGGTGAGAAAACAACGTCTTTGGCTCTTCCACTTCCATTCCTGGTCAAATCTTATGTACAACTACTCAATTGTTGCCAAGAAAGAATGTTCCCTTTTGAGATTTTTAGGTGCAGGAAAAACCTCTGCTGGCTTTAAGATCCTGATACCCTGATTTTTTTTTCTCTTCAATTTTTTCCCAATCTCCCAAGTTAAAGTACCTTGATAACTTGTGCTTTTTAAGTGTTTTTAAGCAAAATCTGTAGAAAATGAATAGTTGAACAATGAAGCTATGCATTGTCTAATATTTCTTTCCTTGGTCAAACCAAAAAGACAAACTGAGCCCCGTGACTTTTTGAGGATAGCTAGAGGTGATTTCAATGACTCTGATCTCTCCTTATTACTGGATTCTCTGCAAGTCCTACCACCCATCCTTGTGACTAAAACATTGCAAAAGACCCCAATGAAGAGTAGGAGTCCTTGGATATCTTCCCAGTTAATAAGAAAACTGTAAATGCTATTGTGAAATAACCAAACTAATTAACCCCCTGCAGTTTGAGAAAACTAAAAACCCCAGGGCAGAAACTCACACATCTCAGAATTACCAGAGGAAAGAAGGAAGCTCCATTTCTATCTTCACAGCAGGGCAAATGATTGGTGCGGGCACAGGTTTAGAAAGTAGAATAAAGCACACATACTAAAGGAGAAACCACAGCTCAAAGAAATAGAAATCTTACAGATTATGAAGGTCATGGAATGGAATGTCAAGCTTCCCAAGCAGGGATGACAATTCAGCATGGTGTGAAAATATGAGGTTGATGCACTCACAGGGAGAGGCTTTGGAAATGGACACATGCAAAACTCTTTAAGGAAATACTGAAGAAACCTGAGGATTAGACCCAGGAAGTATCTATACACCATCACCACCACCACGACCATGCTTTCCCTCATCTTCCCTTTCATCATCATCCGTTTTTATCATTGTCATTGTCAACATTATCATCATCACCCTCTTTCTTCTCCTCATCATCCATTGTTATCAGCATCATCAGCAGCAGCAGTAGCGTGATCTCCATCAGTTTTATTATCATTATCATTATGATCTCCATCATCATCATCACCATTGTTATCATCACCATCATTATCATCACCATCATTATTATCACCATCATTATCATCACCATTAGTGTTATTATCATATCACCACCATCACCATCACCATCATCTTCACCACCACCATTGCCTAACAATGCACTCTGCCAGCCACATGGAAGATGATAACTCACTAAGTTCTCAGGTATCCATGGGATGTGGCTGCCTAGAGCATCCCCACTTTATGGCGAAGGATCAGTCACTCAGAGAGGGAAAGCAGCTTGTTCAGGAACATCACAGCTAAGAACAGTTGAGTCAGGATTCCAACCCAGGCCTGTCTCCAGCCCTTGCTGTGAACCTCACAGTGAGAGGGAGCTATGACACAGAGAAGAGGCATGTCATTCCAAGGTTACAGACCTCTGCCTGATAGCCAGAATCTGCCCACCCACCCAGACCACCTGTCTTCACTCCCCAGTCATTGCTTTCCCCTGAGAGAGACTGGGATGTGCTTCTACTGGGCAGGTATTGTTTCAAGAGAAGAGAGATAGGAAGGAACACGTCTCAGTCCTTCCTTGTAAAGTCCAGCAGGGAAAGCAGGTCAGACAAACAGGAGCCAGGACTCAGGGACTCTTACCTTCAACTGATTCTCAATGAATTGGGCAATCGACCCTCTGAAGTGAGAATCTACATTGACAATCTCCCCCATTTTTGGGTCAAAAAGAAGTTTCATCCTACAGGCTGGCTATAGAAGGCCCTGGCTTCCTTCCACCAAATACTTAGCAAGGACCTGCTCTGCACACAGGCTTGGCATTGATCAAGGGAGGCTGAAGGAGGCCCACAAAAATGCCTTCCAGGTAGGAGACAAAAAGGGGCTTGAAGAAGGAATAGGTATTGTGCTGAGGAACAGGTGCCATGAGAAAACAGGTCACCACAGGGAAAGCATGGTCGTGGTGGTGGTGGTGGTTGTGGTGGAGGAGGAATCAGGGAAGAATCAGTGAAACACTCATGTTTAATGATAATGTTGATGGTCGAGGAGGAAGAAGAGGAAAAGGCACTTCTATGTGTTAGTCACAGTGCATATTTTATACACATCACTCATTTAACCTTCAAAATATCCCCACTGTATAGATAAGAAAAAAAAGGCTTATTGAGTGAACTGTGATTCACCCATGGTCTCATAGCAGCCAAGTGGGTCTGTTTGGGCCCTGTAGGATTTAAACAGGCAGGAATGGAGAGAAGGCACTCTAAGAAGGGGAAAGTTCCCAGGCGGGAGAGCTGATGAGAATGCATCTCCTGGTGATCATATCTGCACCTTCTCCCCCACAGTATCGAAAACAAGCTGGATAATGACAAAAAACCTTGAGATTCTCTCACACTGGCCAGTTGTTTAAGAGGTGATCATGATGTGGGCCGCGTTTCTACTTTCATCATTAAAAAACCACATAAATAAGGGCAAGGTACCAAAAGATCCTTGCGTCAACCTGGATGATTCTGATTGGATCAGAGAAGCAGAAACAGTCATCAGTGGGTAGAACCAGCTCTTACCAAAGTCACCCTTTAAACAACTTCAATAGCCAAGACAGGATGCAGATGCTAGCCCCTTTACACAAATAGCTGCCTATGAACCACACCCTGAGCCTTCGGCACCCGAGCCAGGGAAGTGTTCAGGTGGGGCGCATTATGCTCTCCTTCTCTAAAGGTGAACTCAGATGCCCTCCATGGAGGGAGTTTTCTGACAATTTGCACGACTTATTGATCCCACCTCAGTTTGAATTTTCTTGACGGAAATCTGAATGAGTCATGGAGATTCAGAGAAATGTGTTAGTTCTCTTATTAGGAACAACTGCTGGTGCAATTAGGGTCCCACTGGGGCTCCCTCTCAGTGGTGAGACCACCTTGCCCTGGAAGGCCCCACTGAGTAACTGGCTAGCAGGAACCCAAGCCAGATGCGACTTATTCATGGTGCCAATAATCACATCTGTGCATCACACACAGTGCAACTGAATATTTTAAATGTCACATCCCTTTGCCTGTAATCTTTAAATACTTTACCTGTGGCTTATTCCTAAGTTTTTGAACAACATGAATATAATGACCTTCGATCTCCGTTGGACCAAATACACGGCAGCTTTACCTGTTATGTTGAACACAGGGACGACTGCTGGCTTGGCCCCTGCACATTCATCCCAGATCGGCTGGGCCAAGAAGGAAGGCATCAATATCAATATATTGACATTTGTCAATGGCCGCGAGACCTCCTCTTGCCAACTCTGTAAAGTGGCTCATGCTGAACAACACGAAACCACGTTAGAGAGACTCGCTGGATGTCTTGTATCTCATTGGCTCCTCAGCCGCATCATCGCTGTCATCATGCTTATTAAGAGGCAGAATGCCTCTTACTGAGAAGTCTTTGGAGGACAGGCTGGAGCCTGGGGCTCAGCAGCCTGGGAAAAGGAAGGTCTCAAGGTTTCCTGCAGAAAACTCATAAGCAAATGAAGGAGGCAAAGTGGAGTTTCTCAGCACATCCAGCACCATCGTGCACAGGAGGAAGCCTGAGGTTCCAAAAGCTGAATGCCAATGACCCTCACAGACTGAGCAAAGGACATGAGCTTCCACCCCAGGAGGCGAGGGCTACAGACGGAGGCCCTGCAGAGGTGTGGGTGCTCATGTCCCCCACCCCCAAATCCATATGTTGAAACCCAGCCCCAGCGTGGTGGCACAAAGAGGCGGGACCTTTGGGAGGGGTTGGGTCCTCTGCCCTAATAATGGGATTAGTGCACTTATCAGAGGCTTGAAGATGCAGCAACAGGCACGGTCAGGGAAGCAGAGAAAGAGGCCGAACAGATGCCGAACTGCTGGTGCCTTGATCCCAGCCCCCCCGGCCTCCAGAGCTGTAAGCATTGATTTCTGCTGTTTGTTTATCCATTAGCCGGTCTCAGGCGGTTTGTTATAGCAGCCCCAACAGACTAGAAGAGACCAGACGCACTGCACCACCCACTGCTGTGTGACCTCAGTGACGGTTTAACCTCTCTGAGCCTGATCCTCACCTGGAAAACAAGGAAAACCAGCTCACAGGTCTGTGAGACTTACCTGTGATTATGTGAGACACCACAAAAATAGGAAGTACTCCATGAGCCTCATTTCAGGTCAGATGAGGTTTTATAATGACAGAGACACTGTTTCAAGAGTTGCAATAGGAAGCAGACTTGGGGGGTTACAGAATGGCTCAGGGAGGCCCTCAGAGGGGGTGGCCCAGAGGCTTACTGTGGTCAGTGGCTCCAATTCCAGGCCCTCTTGGGGTGACCAGAGCTGCACAGGCCAGGACACCCTCCAAAGCTGGAGAAGAGGGGACACCTCCCAGGATGGACAGGGGCTACCCTTCTCAGCCTGTGAAGAGTCAAGACTTACCTACCCATTGTCTCTCCCGCCCTCACCGACCAGGAGGCCCCCTCCCACCCAGTCACCTCATGGTGCCCCTGGTCTGCAGCCTGTATGCAGCCATTGCCAGGCCCTGGCAGGACACAGATGTGCCATGTGCTAACGGTGGCACCAGAGCCATGTGGAGTGTGTTTCCAAAGCAGGTCTCCCAGACAGCCCAGGGGTTAATTTTGAGCCACTCTGATACAAGGGCAGTAAACCACATCACGATGCTCTTCGCCTGAAAGCGCAACCCAGGGATACCGCAGAGGCCTGTGCAGCCTTTGGTAAAGGGAAGGCAGCTCTGTGGGCCACGTGTGGCCCGGGGTAAGGGCTCTGACTGTCCTTGCAGGTGGCTCTGGGAGGAGAGGGTCAGCCACACACACCAACTACAGGGTAGCTCCCTGTACAACTGCACTTCTTAGGGCTGCACCTGCCACTGCAGTCACCCCTCCTGGAACCAGGTGAGAGCTCTGTGCTGGGTCCCCCTTGGCTGGATTATCTGGTGACCTTTGTAGTGAAAGAATGCCTGTTGGGGTCTCATTAAGCCAGAGCTTCAGGAGCCACATTGACAACCCGCACCCCTGCAATGTCTGAATTGAGGTTTCTATGACTCAGATTTTGCCAAATGTCCAGAAAAAGAGAAACTTGCCAGCTCCCCCATGCAGGTGTGTGTGCATGTGTGTGTGTGTGTGTGTGTGTACATGTGTGTGTGCATGTGCCTGTGCATATGTGTGCATGCGTGTCTGCACGTGTATACGTGTGTGTGATTACAAGCAGTTGTCACACCTACCTTTGTTTCTTTTCTTTATTAGAGTTGCCACAATGCCTCTAAAAATAGTTCCCTGCTCTCAAAAGGCCAAGGAAGTCTGCCACCAACCCCAGGTAAGTTTCTTAGAAGCCAAAAAGCGCCACCCTTTACAAACAAATAAGTGTTTAGTTTGGTCCAAAAATAAAGACTTTGCCCAGCGGTGGGGAAGAAAGGCTGAAGCTTTGTTTTAGGATAATGCTGTAAGAGGCTCTCGGGGCCTGTGAGGGCAAGGGCGCGTCAGCCTCCGCAGGGGCTGAGCAGAAAGCCAGGGTGATGAGCACTGTGACCACAGCCTTCTCCCGAAATAGCCTGGACCATCAGAAAACACAGGGTGAGGCCAGAGGAAGGACTGGCGCCACAGCCGGGGCAGGGACAGTAACACCCACCAGGAAGCGAATAACTTCCTGCAAGACCCAAAGCAGGAGAGCAAAGAGAAGAAACAAAAATGCTCACACCCCCAGGGAGGAGGGCAGCCAGCCAGAAGTCTCTAAACTAGCCAAGGGCCTTCGCAGAACCTTCAATTACCCCCACTGCAGGGTGAAGTTAACTGGAGGTAACTGACTGCACCTGGCCCTAGTGCCTGCTGCCCAGGGTGGGGCAGGAAAGGCACAGAGGCGGCAGTGGCAGCCAAGGGGATGCACCAAGAATCCCCCTACCGTAGATCAGAAACCAGAAGGAGACCTAAGCCCTCTTCTGAGAGAGGTCCTCCTGTGGGCCTTCTGGGATCACACGAATCCTTGCACTGTTGAGGGCATGGGAGGCAGCAGCCCTGAGGCTGGGGACGCTGTGCAGTGGGCCAGCATCATGGGTTTCCCGGACTCTCTAGGGAAACAGCCTGGCTTGGCCAGCTCTGAATCCATAGCCACAGAGACCTTGACACCCAGAAGGAAACCCGTCACCGCTCCGCCCACCCTGATGAGAGACTGACATTTGCTAGCTCCTTCCTGATGGACGTCCAAAGCCTGTCTCCTGGAGGAGTGAGGGCCACGGGCAGGCTGGCAGAGGGGGTGTGACTGAGAAGGACCCTCCTCTTCTCTGGGAAGCCGGGCATCGCTGTCGAGTGTCTGTGTTCTCAGCCAGGAGCCAGCCTCTGTCCACTCAGAGATACCTTTCCAGAGCCCACCTGTGCCTGGCCCTGCTCTGGGCACTGAAGAACCATGGCAGAGAAGGGGGCAGAGGCACAGCTCCCTTCCCTGTGGGGCGCACAGGCGACCTCCCTTGGAAGAGTTTACTCATGCCCTCAACACACGCTTTTTACACGCCTACTGTGTGCCAGGCACCGTTCAGCACCAAGGACGGCGGCAAGGGCTTGCGGTCCAGGGGAAGAGACAGAAAGCCAGCAGATGAGAACTGCTCAAGACTGCTGCAGGCAGGCTGAGTGCTGTAACTAACACAGGGGACCTGGGGACAGTGCCTCGCATCTCATTTCTGTCAGGTGGTCGGGGCAGGAGGTGGCTCTGGGGCAGGTGGCCGGGGCAGGAGGTGAGCCTGGGGCAGGTGGCTGGGGCGGGAGGTGGGTCTGGGGCAGGAGGTGGGCCTGGGGCAGGTGGCCGGGGCAGGAGGTGGGCCTGGGGCAGGTGGTCAGGCAGGAGGTGGGGTTTGAGCTGAGACCTGTATGTCAGCTGTGGGCAGATCAGAGGACAGCTCTGGTGGGGGACATGCTGGACAAGTGTGAGGAACAGAAAGGACAGTGTGGCTGATGCACAGACACAGTGAGGAGATGGCCAGGCCAGCCAGTGGGAGTTGGCTCTGGGTGCCGGCGAAGGGACTGGACACAGAGGCTAAGCAAGCATGAACAGGGCAGTGACATGGTCGGACTCATGCTTTTCACAGTCTCCTCCTGACCACCATGGGGAGGACTCAGGGGACCAGAGGGCAGTGAGAACAGGCTGAGGGAGGGCCTCATCCCAGGGTGGGAGCTTTAGAGGGTGGCTATGGAGATGGTGCAGCTGTGGCCATGGCAGGCTCCTGGGCACTGGGCATGGAAGGAGATGGGGACAGAGACGCCGAGCCCCAAGACAGCCTTCCCTGCTGCAGCCCTGGCAGAGATCCTCCCACACGTGGGGTGGCTGTGGAAATGCACCCTCGCACAGGTGTTAGTGGGAGTGAAATTGCAGAATCTCGAATGATCATTCGATGACATCCACCAAAATGGCCACCTTATAACTGACCCAGAAATTCCACTTCTAGGAACTTGTTTCACAGACCCTCTCCCAGGTGTGCAGGGGAACTCAGGGGAGGAGGATTTTATGATAGGAAACTGGAAACAACTCAATCTTTATCATTTGGGAATATTCTAAGCAAGTACAGCCCAACCACAGAGCAGGAAACCAGGCAGCGATTGGAAGGGATGAGAGAATTTTGCAAAGAGCCGTGCAACTTTGATAATGCTCTTATACGAAAGTCACTTTCAGTACTTAATCTCACGTGAGAAAAGCGAATTCCCAAGGTGGCAGCCGTGTTCTGACCCCGTTCGTGGGAATGAGGGCCATCCTGCTGTAGCATGTCGGTGCCCAGCCAGCCGCAGGCACCAGGTGCACTGCCCAGAAGGCAGGCGTTCCCCGTCAGGACATGCGGATACTTTTCTTGAAGGCAACTGCCTACAACGACTTGAATCTTATTCAACCAAAGCACAGGCTGCTCTGGTGACAATCAAACCATCACAAGGGACAACCTAAGCTCAACATCACTGATCATTAGAGAAATGCAAATCAAAACCACAATGAGATACCATCTCATGCCAGTCAGAATGGCGATTATTAGAGTCAAACAACAGTGGATGCTGGTGAGGCTGTGGAGAATCAGGTACACTTTTACACTGTTGGTGGGCGTGTAAATTAGTCCAACCATTGTGGAAGACAGTGTGATGATTCCTCAAAGATCTAGAACCAGATTCCTCAAAGATCTAGAACCAGAAAGATCTAGAACCATTTGACCCAGCAATCCCATTAAATGGTATATACCCAAAGGAATATAAATCATTCTATTATAAAGATACATGCACGCGTATGTTCATTGCAGCCCTATTCACAATAGCAAAGACATGGAATCAACAGAAATGCCCATCAATGATAGACTGGATAAAGAAAATGTGGTACATATACACCATGGAATACTATGCAGCCATAAAAAGGAACAAGATCATGTCCTTTGCAGGGACATGGATGGAGCCAGAAGCCATTATCCTCAGAAAACTAACACAGGAACAGAAAACCAAACACTGCATGTACTCACTTATAAGTGAGTGCTGAATAATGACTCACAGGGAGGGGAACAACATACACTGGGGCCTGTCGGGGGATGGGGTGGGGGGGAGGGAGAACATCAGGATAAATAGCTAATGCACGTAGGGCATAATACCTAGGGGATGGGTGATAGGTGCAGCAAACCACCACGGCACATGCTTGCCTATGTAACAAACTTGCATGTCCTACACATGTATCCTGGAACTTAAAATTACATTAAATTAATTTTTTTTTTAAAGTGACAATCCAGGGTCTGCGGAATCCAAGTGGCTAAGCTCTGAGAGGAGAGCACAGGCTCACTCAGCTTTCTGATGTTTTAGGGGGAACTATGCTGGAAAGAGATTGATTGAAAGTACAAAGCAGGAGAGAGAGAGAGAGAGCAAGAGCCCTCTCTTATTATAAAATACAGAAGCCAAGGGCAGAAGAGCCACTCACAGCCACCTCAACCCACATCCCAGACCCACGGGGGACCATGAGGACCTGGGTGCCCTCCACGCACGCTGCAATCCACTGCAGCACACTGGGCTTAAAGCCACCTCGACCCGCGTCCCAGACCCACGAGGGAACCATGAGGACCTGGGTGCCCTCCACGCATGCTGCAATCCACCGCAGCACACTGGGCTTAAACACTGGAGCAGAGTGGATTCCAGTGCAGAACGTATGTGAATATTTCATATCAACTGTCAAGTACAGACAGTCTCCAACTTAAATGACAGCTGAACTACAATTTTTTGACTTTATGATGGTACAAAAATGATACACGTTCAGTACAAACCATCCTCGGCACCCACACAGCCGTCTGTTTCCCACTTTCAGTGCAGCGTTCAATAAATTGCACAAGACACTCAACATGTTACTATCAAATCGGCTTTGTGTTTGATGATCCTGCAAGTGTTCCGAGCACGGTTAAGGGAGGCTAGGCTAAGCCATGATGCTCAGCATGTGAGGTGTATTAAGTGCATTTTCAACTAGCTATCTTTTCAACTTGCAATGGGTTTATTGGGCTGTAAATTAAGGAGCATCTGTACAATGGGAGTTTTCATCATTCAGAGCTAATAGGAAAGGCCAAGGTCCTCCTTGAGCAAACTATTTTTTATTTATTTAATTAACTAATTTATTTATTTTTGAGACAGTCTCCCTCTGTCACTTCAGGCTGGAGTGCGGTGGCACAATGAGGGCTCACTGCAGCCTCAACCTCCTGGGTTCAAGCAATCCTCCTGCCTCAGCCTCCCAAGTAGCTGGGAACACAGGTACATGACACCATGCCCAGCTAGTCTTTTTTTATTTTTAGTAAAGATGGGGTTTGGCCATGTTGCCCAGACTGGTCTTGAACTCCTGGGCTCAAGCAATCCTCTTGTGTTGGCCTCCCAAAGTGATGAGATTACAGGTGTGAGCCACTGCACCTGGCAAAACTATTTTTAAAAACAGCAATTTTGGGCCGGGCGCGGTGGCTCACGCCTGTAATCCCAGCACTTTGGGAGGTCAAGGCGGGTGGATCACAAGGTCAGGAGATTGAGACCATCCTGGCTAACACAGTGAAACCCCATCTCTACTAAAAATACAAAAAATTAGCCAGGCATGGTGGCATGCACCTGCAGTCCTAGCTACTCGGGAGGCTGAGGCAGGAGAATCGCTTGAACCCAGGAGGTGGAGGTTGCAGTGAGCCGAGATTGCACCACTGCACTCCAGCCTGGGTGACAGAGCGAGACTTCATCTCAAAAAAATTTTAAAAAATAGCAATTTTATTAGAGAGTAATTTGAGTCCACTCTATCTAATTCACATAAATAAAGACCTCTTTGTCCCCCTGCATCCTCTAACCTGCTCCCTAGCTAAACTGTACATTTAACAAATATCTTTCTAAAAATGTTGTACAAACACATATAAGCACAAATATCATCAAACATACAGTCCATCTCCCACAAAAGCATCAGTATTGTCCTGTGAATTTGCTTTGTTCACGTTAAGATCCGTTATTGACCAAATTTCCATGGCCATTCATAAAACTACACCTGATCCTTTACGCAAGCCGTCTGGTGTCCTGTTCTGTGGATGCTCTGGAGTGAGGTGAGACAGTCCTCAGCTGCTAGAGATGTGTGTAATCTTCAGTTTCCTATTATAAATAGCCCTGCAGTGAAGACCCCTGCACACCTGTGGGTACATCTATAGAATAAATTCCCAGAAGTGGAATTATTGGGTCAAAGGGTGTGTCCATGTTACATCTTGGTGGATGCTGTCAAAGGACCATCCAAAATGTGCAATTTGTACTCCACCAACTCCCTGCACGAGAATCGATTTCCCTACAGCCTCCCAGCCCTGAGCACCCACTTTCTAATCTTCGCCAATCTGACAGGTCAAACAGGAGATCAGAACTTTCTAATCTTTGCCAATCTGACTGGTCAAACAGGAGATCAGAGTTTTATTCTGCATGTAGTAAATGTGAGTATCTTTTAAAACTGTTTCTCAATCACCTAAAGTCCATTCTCCACTGGTTCACAGAATTTAGCCTCTCTTTCTTCAACATCCCCAACCTCCACCAAA
Source organism: Homo sapiens (assembly GCF_000001405.40). Classification (NCBI taxonomy): domain Eukaryota; kingdom Metazoa; phylum Chordata; class Mammalia; order Primates; family Hominidae; genus Homo; species Homo sapiens. The sequence goes on along the minus strand of NC_000020.11, from coordinate 61,327,371 downwards.
TTGAGTTGTGGGTGTTTATCTTATTGATTTCAAAGAGCTCTTTATTTATCAAGGAAAATTGTCAAATATATTTAAAAAGTTTTGCTCAGGTTTCTATTTATTTCTATAAAAATGAAATTGTGTGTTTTGACAGTGAAGAACTTCAATTTTTATATAGCCACACATATCTGCCTTTTCTTTTATGGCTTCTGGGTGGATACATTTTTTTAGATAAAAGATGAGATTTCAAAGCCATCATTTGCTTCCAGTAGACCACTTCACACAATGCTCACAGGATCCCAGGGCTACCTCTTCCCTCTCCTTTGCTGCAGAATGGCTCAGAGAGACCAGGATGAAGAGTAAGGGGTAATCTTGCCTGGTGGAGGTAAATCTTGAAACTTCTAGCCAGTAAAAATGCACCTGACAAGCAGGTTGTTTGTAGATGACATATAGGAAGGCAGTACTGAAAATAGTTATTTCATGTATCTTACTACACCTCACAGCTGGCTCTTGCTGAGTCTGAGGATTACTGAGATGAGAAGTCGTAAGAAGTAACACATCTTGCATTTACCAGTGCCTTCTATCCACCTAAAATCAAATACATTTTTCCTCCAAGGAAATGAAAAAAAAACCTCATTTTTGATACCAATTGATGTGACCTGGTGTGGGAGAGGCTGTGTCCTGTGGAATTTCACCACCCGACACTCAGTCAGCACATTTGCAAACCCCACATGCAGCCACATAGGCTCTCCCATGACCCCCAGTGTCTTCCAGAATACCTGTGTGCCTTCTGGATCAAGGAAGAATGGAATTCCATACAGTGTAATTTTAAGGCTAGTTTGATTTTCTTTTACTGAATATTTTTTAACTGGTTATCTACTTCATATGCTGTGACAGATTCAGGGTGATGCTTGCACCATTGATTGACTAAAATGTCATATCCTCCTCTGGCTAGACTATCGGAGGATTTCCAGAAGATTCTGAAGCCACACAACATATTGGAAAGAGTGTTGTGTATTTCATAAAATAACATTTTTTTCTCAGCAATTTTCCTCTTATGCTTATTTTTTAATCAGCAAACCAACAGGTTTCAAACAGGTCACTCAATCCTTTATTTGTTGAATATGTTCACAAAACCTAGTATGAGCTAAACTTTGGGCTAAGCCCTTCCTAAAACAAGGCAGTGCGGTGGAGAAGTATGCAAACGGTGGCATATCCATCCCTGCCTGAGCCAAGATTCCATGAGAAAAACTTGGACCTGCCACCTTACTCCATCCTCCACTCTATTTGTCCCTTAAAGTTAGTGTCTGAAAACAAACAGAAGGGAAAATGTAGTTACAGTGAGTTCCACTCCCACTACTATCACGGGTATATTAGGACAGGCAGCTCCTCACTTCCTGATGGGTTTGAACCGGTACCGCCACCATCAGGGAGAGCGAGAAGCTGGGAATGGCACGGCACTGACCAGGCCAACCAGACGGGCTCTGGTGGGAAAAGAGGCAACCCACTTGCGTCGGCACCCGTGGCAAGAAGCACACATGGTGTTGGGTTTTCAAGAAATTTTCTAGTAAAGCCTGTTAGCTTTGTTGGAGGCAGCCCTCCAAAGCTGATGGCCATGGAACTCTTTACAGACAGCGCTGCTTTTTTTTCTTTTTTTAAAATTAAACCTATAAACACTCTTGCACATTGAGTGGCATTTTCAACCCTTCCTGTCGGGGCCCGCTTTGCTGTGGCCCCCCCAAGTCGCACCACCCTGGGCCAGTGCTCCTGGCTTCATAATCTCTCCAAGAACTCAAATGCTGTCCCCTGCACATCTAACCCCCTGCCCCACAGACCCCCACCTGATGAAAAGGCCACTTACTGCCTGAATTTCCTCTCTTCCCCAAAACACACCCCTCCCGTTCTGACATCTCTCAAGAAATGCAGTCTTTACTTCTCTTTTTGCCCTTTATCAGAAAAAAAAATGAGAAATTTCAAGGCCCTACTATCTACAGGTAAGGGGACATTAACAGAATTTAAAATAGCAACTTCACTCCAGAAAGAGAAAGATACCTTTGGATTTGCCTTACGGCCACGTGAAACAAAATTCAGGGATGCCAGCTTCCTCTGAACCTCTTCAAGAGATTTTCTACATGAAAGACTTTAAAAGCCAAGACTTTTTTTTTTTTTTCCAGTGACCACTTACTTATGACCCACCGAAGGATGTTGCAAAAATGCCGTCCACTCTTTCCAGATGGCTGGCTGTGCGTCAGGCACCGTGAGATGTACATGATGTGTTCCATCTTGTCTCACATCCACATAGCCCCATGGGGAAAGGGCCTCTGGTGGCTCTGGACATGAGGCACTGGCAGGTTACGGGACTCGCCCAGCATCCCCCAGCTGCAAGGGGTAGGAGCCAGGACCCCTGCAGGCATGGCTGTGAGTGCTTCCTGCAAGCTTAAGAAACAGGCTCGATGTGGTCTCGGAAATTGTTCTTGCATCTCCTTATTTGATGGCCTCCCAGCGAGTTCCATGTCCCAAAGCTCTCCTGGGTCAAGTGCCTGCCACACCCTCTATAAATGGGGAGGTGTGCAGATGGACACACAGCCGAAGTGCCTTGAAGATGACTTAGGGCAACTCTTCCTGGGCGCTAGAATCTCCTCCACTGCTCCTCTTTCATATTCATTGTGGATTGGTGTACTGGGTTGAGCAGCATGCTTGCAAAAGTCACATTCCTCTGGAAACTCAGAAGGTGCCCTTATTGGGTACAAATTAGATGAGTTCATACCAGACTAAGGTGAGTCCTAACCCCATGACTGCTGTCCTTACAAGAAGAGGGAAATGTGGACACAGAAGAGACTCAGACACACCAGGAAGAGGCCACGTGATGAGCCAGGCAGATACTGGAGCATCTGAGCCCACAGCCAAGGTCTGCCAGCAGCCACCAGGAGCTGGCCAAAGTCAGGAAGGGTCCTCCCCTAGAACTACCGGAGGGAGCATGGCTCTCTGACACTTTGACATCAGAGTTCTGGCCCCCAGAACTGAAAGAGAAAAAGAGATCTGTTGTTTTAAGCCCCCCCAGTTTGGGAAAATTTGTTGTGGCAGCCCCAGGACACTAATGCAATCAGTTTCAATTTAATATTCAAATTCCTCCAGGAGGGCTTCCTGGACTGTACCACATACAGAAGCCCCTGCTCAGGCCCAGCATCCCTGGCCCTCTGCAAATCTGTCTCCACAGCCAGGCACACACTTCATACCCAAAGGCCAGGACCACATTTGGACGATCTGGGTCCCTACTCAGTATCGCACACACTCCCACACCCTTGGCAGCCAGTAAGGACAGACAATTGGATTTTTATACAAAAGTAAATGGCATAACTGCTGTGTCAAGTTCTATCTTGTTGGAAACCATCTTTGCGATCTCCCCTCAAATGTGCTGGCACCAGAGCTAATATTTTCCCGTAACTTCAGGTTCAAAGGCCTTGTCTCTGGGTAAGTCACAATTATCATCTCCGTCCTTCCACTCTTAGGATCATACAATCTCAATTTCCCCAACAGGGAGGCATTAATTGCAACAAGCCTCTTTGAAATGCTCTCAAGAGCTAAAACAAACCCATTTTGCATGTACTAAAGGTGACGGCAAGATGAGAGGCCCCTCCTCTCCAGGGAGAGCCCCCTTCAGTGTTCCTGCATAGCCACAGTCCCTGTGGCCCCAACCTAGAAACCCAAGCATCCAGAATGTGCTCTGATTGCCGAACTGGTGACTAAAACACCCACGAAGACGCCAGTCTTGGTAAATTATCACCGTCAGGGAGCAGGGGTGGGGAGGGGTTGCAGGCCCGCGTAACATGACAGAATGGTGGCAGAAGCTGAATGTCACTGGCTCCGACGTCAGGTGGCCAAAGAATTATAGGCATCACACATTATTTTGTGTTTGGTGTATTGTTTCTTCCTGTGCATGGATTCAGCCAACTGAATAGAACTTTCCAATCAGGCTGCACGTGAGCCATGAATGCCTGGTGGAGGTGAAGCACTCACTCGATGAAGACTTTCCCAAACATCCCCTCCTGGCAGGCTGATGAACAAATGTGTGATGAGTTCATGCAGAGGCCAAGACGAGGGGACAGGGGCTGACCTGCCACCCACTCGGGACACTGGGCTGCCCTGCAGCTAGTGGCAATCACTCCTAACGAAGAGAAGTCCTCTAGGTGCACACTCCCCTAGGGAAAGCCAGCTGACTCTCAGAAGACCCCGTGCCGCAAGGGAATCCTCATGCCTCCTTGCTATCCTCTTGCCACCGTCATTCCTAATACTCAAATTTGGAGAGGCGAGGGGTATATCCGGCAGTGCGTCCTGGGCAGATAAGCTCAGGCCCTTGGATGCTGGCTGGAAGTCTCAACTCTGCACCTGTGAAATGACAGGGAGGATCCTTGAATGTTCTAGAGCTCAGTGTTCCTATCTGTAAAAGATAACAAGACCTCCTGACAGCCTGGGACATAAAAGGGGACACCAGGGATAGAGCCTGTTGTGTGAAGAGCATCCAATACACTCTTGAAGAAATGCACTGCTGCGATCAAAGGCCTCTGCACAAGTCCACTGGGAACTGAACCAGGGGCCCCCACCCCAGTCTGTCACTTTCCTCTCCAGTTGTGAGTGTTCCGCTCCCTGCCATCTATCTGTTCCTTCCAGGATGCTACCCCTCGGTGGCTGCGTCTCAGCGTTGGATGAAGTGAACATATTGTGTGGCTGGCAAACAGCCTTGCCTGGAAAGGGCTCTGGGACAAAAGCTGCTCTGGGCACAGCTTCCTGCTGCCTCAGCACACCCCAGGATCCCGAATGCTGCAGTGACAGCCACTGCACACACCAGGACCCAGGAGGGGATTCAGGCACCAAGGAAGGGACTCATCCTGGGCTGTAAAGGGAGACAGAGAATCTTGACTTCTTTCTCCCTTCATGCCAGTCTGGGAAGGAAAGGGGAGGCGGCTCAGATACTGCAGGAGCCAGGTCTCCGCTCAGTTCAGCTGCAGGTGTGGGCTGCGGATCCTGATGCCGGCACCTCCCAGCTGCTGCGGGAGAGACTGAGCCTGGTGCACCCACAGAGCCAGGCGAAGCCTCAGGTGCAGAATTAGCAGCCTCCCCTCTCCTGTGTATGTGGGGAGTTGGAGGGGATGGGGGGTAGTTAGTCAAATGAGGAACGTTAGCTCCCAACCACAGGCCAGCAGAGTGCAAAGCACACAGACGGCACCAACCCCATTGCACTGAATGAATAAATAACCATCCCCGAAGCAAGTACAAGGACCCGGAAGAACTGCTGGACCCGAATCCTGGGGTTCGTATCCTGGGGGGACCTCTGACCAACCACGTAACCTCAAGCATGGGGTTTCATGTTCAATGTCACCTTCCTGAGCCTCAGTTTCCCCACCTGTAAAATGGGGATAATAATGCAGCTCCTTGTTATATTATTATATAATATTTATTATTATAATATATGCTACAATATATTATTCTTATATGTTATATTGTTATGCTTATTGTAAGACTGCAGAGAGGACTGAGCTAAGGAACATGAGGTGAGCGTCTTTGGCAGCTATTGGACAAGGGCTCAGTGCTGTCACCTGTTAACATCATGGAAACTAAGTCATCTGTTGATCACGGCATCATGTGACATGCGTGGCACGCAGCATCTCCCAGGCCTGTGCTGAGAAGCACCAATTCTGCAGGCTACTCCAGGGAGGCGGCTCTGCCATCAAATAGTGGCAACGGCTGAATTTGACGAAGCCGGAAGTCCTCCGCTCACCGCACGTCTACATGGAAGGTGTCAGCACATACATCAGGTACCCAAGTACCCAAGGGAGATGAGGCCACGTGGTGTCTTCCAAACACACTGACCCGTGGAAAAAAATCCTTATATTCTCTCTCACACACACACACAATGTGAAATGTTTTAAGGAAAACTTAACAACATTAGCATTCCAAGGCTATATTTTTTAAGACATCAAAAATTAAAAAAAAATTTCCAGCAAAAAAGCAAAGATAATCAAGCCGTTTTTTGTTAAGAGTAACCCCGCCTCTGGAATTAGCAGAACCTGCCTCGCCTCCTCCCTCTGCCCTCCTAAGGTGAAACCCGCTCTTCCCTAGATCAATGAGAAGACTCTATTCATTTCCCAGGAAATTAACTGTTCTAATTTGCAGAGTTAAATAAACGCCAGAGCTCTCTGACCTCAATCAACGACTAATGAGACCCACAGAGCCTTCTCTCTCTTCCTCTCTCTCGCATGCGCTCTCGAGGTGGAAATGTGCGGTGTGGCTGACCACAGGCGGGACTAGGTAGGTCAATGCCACCCCACCGAGGACCCACGGTGTCAGGGGACCCTGGGGAAGGACCCGGGGGTTTAAAAGGCTAGAGCAGCTGGACAGAGCCAGCCTGGAGGAGAGACCTGGGACACTTCCCCACAGCAGGGGCAGGAAGAGGAGCTCCCCTGGCTCCCGCCTAGGCCTGGAGCCTGTGCACCCCGCCCTGCCCACATACTGTCTTCACGCCACAGCCCTGCCCACCCCTCCAGCCACCTGGCCGTGTCCCCACACTCCCTCCCAGCACAGGACCTCTGCGCACGCTGCTCCCTTTGCCCAGGCCCCTTTCCTGCCTCTTCATCTGCTTGGCTCCTGTTCATCTTCAGGTCTCACTAAAGCCAGGCTTCCTCGACCTCAGCAGTGCTGACACCTGGGGCTGAAGGGTTCTCTGCTGGGAGGCAGCCCTGGGTAGGGCACTTGGCAGCACCCCTGCTCCCACCTCCCAGATGCAAATAGCACCCCCATCCCCCACTCACAAACATCAATGTCTCCAGATATTGCCAAGTGCTCTCTGGGGGCAGAACTGTCCCAGTTGAGACCCTCTGGCTGAAGTAAAACATTTCATGGTAGTGGCTGAGACCACCAGGTCACCGCTCCCTGTGGAGGCCAACCCAACCCCACCGACACTCCAGTCTCACCCACACCTGCATGGTTTTGTGGTTGGTGCTCCTCTTGCCCACCAGGCTGTGAGCCCCCAGGGACTAGAAAAATGACACCCTGTGCCTAGCACTGGGTCTGACCCACGGCAGATGCTCAAAGATGCTGGTTGAATGAGCAAATGAACAATCGTGACAAAAACTGAAACAAGGAACGCAGGGAGAAGACACAGTCAGCATGCATAAGACGCCTTGGGAAGAGACCCTCAGGCTCTTCTGGAAATCCATAGGCCCTGCAACATCAGCAACACCGAGGCCCAAATAAATGCAGAGAGGGAACAGTCCCACCTGGGAGATGCTGCAAAAATACGAGCAATTTTGCAAAAATTATTGTGGGAAGAACATTTAACATGAGATCTATCCTCAACAAATTTCAAGTGCTCAACAAAATACCATTGGCTGGATGTTCTGCAGTGGATCTTCAGAATCTATTCACCATTTTTTTTTTTTTTTAGATGGAGTCTTACTCTGTCACCCAGGCTGGAGTGCAGTGGCATAATCTCGGCTTACTGCATCCTTCGCCTCCCAGGTTCAAGTGATTCTCCCGCCTCAACCTCCTGAGTAGCTAAGGACTACAGGTGCCTGACACCACGCCTGGTTAATTTTGTTTTTTTTTTTTTTAATTGAGATGGTGTTTTACCATGTTTTGGCCAGGGTGGTCTTGAACTCCTGGGCTCAAGTGATCCATCCACCTCCACCTCCCAAAGTGCTGGGATTACAGGCATGCGCCACTGTGCCCAGCCAGAACTTATTCATCTTGTATAATTGAAACTTTATATCCCTTGAATAGTGACTTCCCATTTCCCCTGCCCCAGCCCCAGGCAACCACCTACCATATGATCCAGCAATCCCACTTCTGGGTATTTATCCAAAAGAACTGAAATCAGATCTCAAAGAGACCTCCGCATGCCCGTGCTCATTGCAGCATTATTCAGCAAAGCCAAGATACGGAAGCCTTGATGAGCCCACAAGGTGGACGGATGAATGAGGCTGCACATGTGATGCACTCTTAACAGTGCGATCTAGCCCTGCTTCCCGGTGGAGCATAACAGGGAATTTTTAATCGATGAATTCTCTGACCTGGGAAATGTTAGCAATCCCAGTGTGTCCTTTTGGCCCTACACACGTCACCTTCCTGAGCCTCAGTTTCCCCACCTGTAAAATGGGGATAATAATGCACCTGCTTATTGTATTATTATATATTATAATATTTATTATAACATGTTATATGTTATATTTTTATATGTTATATTATTATGCTTATTGTAATACTACAGAGAGGGCTGAGCTAAGGACCATGAGGTGAGCGTCTTTGGCAGCTACAGGGCAAGCGCTCAGTGCTGTCACCTGTTAAGATCGTGGAAACTAAGTCATCTGTTTATCACGGCATCATGTGACATGCATGGTGTGCAGCATCTCCATATCAGTGTGTGGTGCCCCACCATGGCTCAGGCCGATGGCAGCATCATTGCGGGCAAGGAGGGGTCTCTGCCCAGCTCTCTACCACCGGCATCTGTGCAGTGGCAGGCACAGAGAGGGTGACTGGGCATTTGTGAATAAACGAATGAAAAGAAACATTACATGGGAAAAGGGGCAAGTCACCACTTCAACTCAATCAGTGCATATCCAGGGATTACTCTCTCTGTGCCAAACAAGTGGTAGTAATTAATAACATAAAGCCAAAGAGCTCAACACGCTTCTTGACCTCACTGAGCTTCTAATTTCCTCATCAGTGGCTATGCATTGAGCATGTATTCTGACTGAGTATCACTGATTCCAGGCTCCTCCTGGGCACGAACCAGGCCTTCTGGACCATGGTGCCCTTCTAGAGCGCATGCCCACATCATAGCCTCCAGCAATCCCTACCCGATTCATGATCTAATAATAAAACCAAATGGATAAGGTTTTCTTAGGAGAGTCCCAGTTAATCCTAAGAGATGAGGCAAGGGGTAAAGGAGAAAAAAAAAGAACGTCAGTTCAAATCATTGTCACACGCTTAGGTTTTTGAATCATTCAAAGCAGTAAATCTTGGACAGGATCAAACAAAACCCAAGGCTGCATCCGCTGGCACTCACTGCTGGTCAGCTGAGCACTGTGAATCCCAGGCTGGTGTCTTCTGCAAAGCCGGGGCTGTTGGGAAACTTCACTCCAGATGGAGAGGAACATACGGGAGAGTCGTCAACGCAAAGCAAACTGCTGTCTAAACAGGAGCCGGGCAGTTTAACATCTATTAGGATGGTGAGTTCCCCTTTCACACATCCTGCCACCACAACAGCACAGGGTGGGGGCGCATGGGTCCCACCTCCAGGTTTCAGGTGAAAAGTGTCCCTCCAGCCGGGACGGAGAGCAGGAAACCACCCTCCAGCCCTTTAGTCTCTCTGGGTCTCTTAACCTCTACCCATTTAGGTTTGCTAAGAACAAACACAGTTGGCGTTTTCCTCCAATAAGTGTGCACAACACTTCACAGTTGCAATGGCTGGATCATTCTGTTTTTCCCTAAATGCCATGGGGCATTAACTCTACTTTTACCCCACTCTGACATGTCCCTTGAGGAAACTCGTGCAAATTCACCCTTGCTGGCTGGCTGGACACCCACAAATTCACACGGAAAAAACGCTTCCCAGAAGTGCCCTTTGTCTAGAACCGTGGGGGTCTCGGGCATGGTGGAAAGGGGGTCCCTGCTCCCAGGGGACACTGGGCAACATCTAGAGGCATTTTTGGTTGTGGCACCTAGGGGAGGGGTGCTACCAGCCTCCAGTGGGTGCCAGCCTGGGAGTCTGCTCAACACCATACAGTGCACAGGACGCCCCACCACAGACTCATCCAGCCCCCCATGCCTGTGGCGTCAGGAAACCTGGTCTGGAGCAATGGTGAATGCAGGCTTTGGCAGGCACGTGAGCTGGGAGATGCAATGGGCCACAGACCTCCCCATCCAATCAGGTCACGAGGGTGGGGGCTGCTAATAAACACTTCAATGCAAACAGATTTGATAGAATTTACAGTGCAGGCACCTGGAGACTCAGTGGCAAAGGCGCCTTAATTTATCCCATGTTAGAAATAGCAGGTTATTCGGGAGGCTGAGGCAGGAGAATGGCGTGAAACCGGGAGGCGGAGCTTGCAGTGAGCCAAGATCAAGTCACTGCCAGGACTGCGGGCGCTCGCCACCACAGCTGGCTAATTTGTTGTATTTTTAGTAGAGACGGGGTTTCACCGTGTTAGCCAGGATGGTCTTGATCTCCTCACCTCGTGATCCACCCACCTCGGCCTCCCAAAGTGCCGGGATCACAGGCATGAGCCACCGCACCTGGCCAGGAAATATATTTGAACATGGTATTCAGATTTCTAAATAGTAATAAAAATAATAAGTATATAAATAAACTAAAAAAAAAAAAAGAAATAGCAGGTTACGTGCAAGACTTATCACTCCACTGCAAGGCACGTCTTTAAAGGCTGCTGCCAGACGTTCAGGTACAGAGGCTGCACGCACCTGAGGGAGGCTGGAGGACCCACGTCCAGGCGCCTCCCCACCCAGCCCTGCTTCTCGGCTGTGACTATCATGCTGTACAAATGGCTAAAACAAAAAGGGTGGCCAGGCCCCAGCTCTGGGCAACGATGACTCAGAAAGAGAAACTCCCCTCACCCGAAAAGCAGAGGCGGCGGCTCTAACGACAGCAAAGTCCAACTTCACTTTCATCCTTTTTCACATGGCCAGCATTTCTTCACTACCAATTAACCAATCTGTTTGATCAAACCTTCCACCCATCAGTCAGCAACATTTGTGGCCTACTAAATTAATTGCGCTGAAAAGCAACCACTTTCCCTTTAACAAGCAAAGCGATCCCTGCTTCGAGGATGCAGCAGATGGCAGATGGGAAGGGAGAGAGACAGAAACCTGATAAGAGGGAGCTGATGACTTTATTCTTCCTCCCAGCCAAAGGTTTGTTCCGTCTCTGTTGGAACAACACATTTGTTCTGCCGCCTGAACTTGATTTAGGGGGCCAAGTGGACTTTTTCAAACTTGTTAGAGCCTTCAACTTATCGACTTAGGTCAGCGCGGCGGTCTCTATCTGCGGGCCGCAGTGCCTTTTCCATCTCCGATGTTCCAGAAAATTAGATTTTCCTTGTCCTAACTTCTTCCGATGGATTGGATTTTGAAAAATGCAGATCTGTCAAGAAGTCTATCCAAAATTGCCCTTCTGTTTGGGAAGTAAACTTCCATTTCTTGTTTCATAGACTGCCCTGAAACCTGCCCCATCCTAACCCAAAGGAACTTGCCAACAGCACCCAGGAGGAAGAGGAGGACGTGAATTAGGAAAACTGAGTCCTGTCTTCAAAGGGAAGCTGCCAAATCCTTCCTCCCCCTGGAGAGCCCCTCAGTGCCTGCATCAGAAACCCAGCTTCCAGGGCCCTGTGGAAATCGCCTGTTCCCTTGGAAGTCCTCCACCCAGGGGCAGATCACTTGAGCTCAGGAGTTTGAAAGTAGCCTGGGCAACATGGTGGGACCCCATCTCTACAAAAAATACAAAAAACAAAAAATTAGCTGGACATGGTGGTGTACACCTGTAGTCCTAGCTACTCAGGAGGCTTATGTGGAAAGATTGCTTGAGACCATGAGTTTGAGGCTGTAGTGAGCTATGATCGCACCACTGCACTCCAGCATGGGTGACAGAGCAAGACCATGTCTTAAACAAAAAATGATAATGAAAACGTAAAAAATCATCATGTTGTATACCATAAATATATACAACTTTTATTTGTCAATTTGTCACGAGACAGAGAGGGAGCCTCATGACGAACAGGTCCAGCACACTCCTCGTTTCTCCCCGACATCCTCCTGCCTGGTTCTGCGAGTTTCTTGGCATCATTCAATTCTCACGTCCTTTTTCTTTCTGCAGCTGGAGACAGAAACCTGGCTACACCGAAGCCGGGCTGATGGGCTTTCACAGCTGAAAATCTGTCTGAGGCTGGCTGGCTTCTGGTCTTTTTTATCAGGGCACCCACCTGTCCCCAGGGCTAGCTTTCTCTTTGCTCTGAGCTCCACACTCACTGGAAGCTCAATGTCCCCCAGTTTCTCTCCTTTTGGATACCAGGCATCGGTCTGGCATCTTCCTGCCTCATGCCCAGAGGAGGAAACGTTTCTTTCCCAGAAATCCAGAAAGCCATGAGCATCTCACTGACCCCATCCAGATCACAAGCCCCACCCAACCCATTCAATCACTGCAGCCCCAGAAATGAGATGAGCTTCAGGATGAGGCCGGTCCCCCTTGAGCCCCTATGCACCTGAGCCCAAGGAGGAGGAGTCTGGCATGGAGCTTCCAGCTGTGAGTGGAGGCTTTCGTGTTTAGACCCATCTGGGCTGAGTCATGTTTAAAATAAAGGTGTTGATAGCCAAAATACATAAGGAATGCAAACAAATCAATAGCAAGAAAACAATGTAATAAAAAAATTAGCAGAGGACCTGAACAGACATTTCTCAACACAGATATACAAATGGCCAACAGGTTTATGAAAAAGTGCTCAATATCACGAATCACCAGGGAAATGCAAATTCAAACCACAATGCGCTGTCATCGCACACTTGTTAGGACGGCTACTGTCAAAACGACGAGGATAACAAGCCTCGGTGAGGACGTGGAGAAAAGGGAAGCCTCCTCCTCCTCCTCCGCTGTTGCTGGGAAGATAAATTGGGATGAGCGTTATGGAAGATAGCATGGAGGTTCCTCAGAACATTAAAGGTAGAACTACCATACGATCCAGTGGTCCCACCTCTGGGCATCTATCCAGAGGAAATGAAGTCAGGATCTCAAAAAGATCCCTGCAGTCCCAAGTTCATTGCAGCACATTCTTCTCAACAGCTGAGATATGGAATCCACCTCAGTGTCCACTGGTGGGCGAACAGACAAATGAATTGTGGTCTACACACGTACACACAAGGGACTAGTAATCCACCATAAGAAAGGAAATCCTGGCATTTCAACAACATGGATGAAACTGGAGGACACGATACTAAATAAAACAAGCCAGGCCCAGAAAGACAGATACTGCACGATCTCACTTCTACGTGGAATCTAAAAACGTCAAACTCATAGAAGCAGAGAATAGAACAATGGTTGCCTGGGGCTGGGAGTGGGGAGAGGGGAGCTGTTGGTCAAAGGGGACAAAGTTTCAGTTCTAAGATGGGTGATTTCTGGGGATCTAAGGTACAGCTCAGAGACCAGGGGTAGCAACACTGTATGGTTAATTTGAAATCTGTAAAAGGAACGGACCATAAATGTTCTCACCTCTCACCACAAAAGGTAACAAGGTGAAGTGATGGAGATGTGAACTGACTTGATCTGGAGAATCATACGTATATAAAATCAACACATTGTTAGCTGGGTGCTGTGGCTCACGCCTGTAATCCCAGCACTTTGGGAGGCCAAGGTGCACAGATCACTTGAGCTCAGGAGTTTGAAAGCAGCCTGGGCAACATGATGGGACCCCATCTCTACAAAAAACAAAAATTAGCTGGGCATGGTGGTGTGCACCTGTAGTCCTAGCTACTCAGGAGGCTGAGGTGGGAGGATCACTAGAGGCCATGAGTTTGAGGCTGTAGTGGGCTATGATTGCACCACTGCACTCCAGCCTGGGTGACAGAGCGAGACCATGTCTTAAACAAAAAATGATAACAAAAATGTAAAAAATCATCATGTTGTATACCATAAATATATACATTTTTTATTTGTCAATTATACCTTCATAAAACCAAAAGTGACCCCAAAACACTGCACTGTGACCACCCCTGTGATGTTCCCAGGGCAGACAGCGCTCATTCATCTCATGCAGGCTGCAAGCAACCGTCTGATCGTGAAATCCACGCTGCTCTCACGCAGTGGTCCATGCACTGTGAGACACGCCTGGTGCCTGGTGGCTTCCCGACAGGGTTTGTTTAGATGAAAAACAAAGCGTGCCAAGGGCGACTCAATGGTGAACTAAAAAATGAGAGCGAAAGATGCCCTTCATTTTAAAAGATGAAGGGAGCTGTGTAGGCTTCCCGGGGAGTGCTCGCACCTACTTCCCCACCCGGCTGCAGGTGCCAGCTCCAGAACCCTCCCTGCTGCTTCTGGGTCTCCGGGCTCTTCCCTTTGCTGGTGGCTGGAGACTCACAGTGAAGCATGCTGAACCACTCCGCAAATCCCTCATCAGACACTCGGGCTAAGCCAGGCCCCACGTAGTGCACGATTGAGAGTGGTGAAATAAATGAGATTTCAAACACGACCAGGCCTCGATGAGCCCGCATAGCACAGTCACGTTGGAGCAGAGCCAGCCTGTTCTATGCATTTCCTCCCTGCAGTATTAGAATCGGTCTTTGGAAGGCACTGGGGGCCACCCTGGGGCAGGGATAGGGAAGGGCTCACCGCAACCCCACAGGAGTGAGACCCCCAGGCCCTGGAGGCAGTGAGGGGGTAGGAAAGCTTGGATCGAGGGAGAGGACCTGCCGAGCACCCCTGCAATCCCAGGCAAGCTCGCTTCTCTGCACTGGGCAGGCAAGAGCAAGCCGAGGATGGGTGGGAAATGCAGGCTGGAGAGGAGGGACTGCAGGCACTTTGGTGTCCCGTCCCACAAGCTCTAGGGGGCAGAGCTCGAGCTCTGTTCTGGAAGGGGTCATCATACGCTGCACAAAATTAATAACCACTCACATCCTCGGACATGGAGTAGCTGGAAGGAGTGACGTGTGCAAAGAGGAAGGAGAACGCTGGCCAAGCCATCAGAGATGACCACAGTAGGGTCTCACGAGGAGGGCCAGGCTCTAGCGAGAAAGTCACTCCCAGCTGGGCCTCAGCAAAGAAGGGGGTGCAGTCCTGATGGTGGGGACTGCAGGGGCAAGGGGTCCCCAATACGGACCAGCTGGAAGGTCCACCTGTGCACCCGGGGGCTGGCGGCTCCTCACTCTGCCTCCCAGGCAGGGCCCATGATCACCAAGCAGAATGGGCGCACACACTCACACATGCACACACACATGCACACACCACACCACTCACATCATGCCACACATATGCATACATCACAAAATGTACACATCGCACACATATACACACACACCACACACATGCACACACCATACACACACTGACATATGCATACATCACAAAATGGACACATTACACACATATACACACACACCACACACATGCACACACCACACACACACCGCACATATGCACACATCACAAAATGCACACATCACAAACATCCCACACGCATACACAACACACACATGCACACACCACACACACACCACCCACATGCACACACCACACATCACACACATGCACATACATATACACACCACACATGTGCACATCACAAATACATGCAGTCTCACACACAACACCCATGCAAACACATATATGCACAACACATGCACACATTACACACATGCAGGCATGTAAACACATACAGTACACATGTGCACGCACAATGACCTCACAGGCTCGGGCACAGGAGGAACAGGTGTGGATGCAGCCGGCTCCGCAGGAAGCCAGGGTGCTGTGCCATGCACTGGCCGCCCCGCCCTGGCGCGTCCCACACACTCCCACCCACTTTCAGATGTTTTGTTTTTTCAGGCTTGACAAGAACTTGAATCACTGAGTAAAACCGCAAAACCATTTCTCTGGCCCTTGAGATAGTTCGTCAATTTTTTTTTCAATTTCAGTTTAACATTTCTTGATGCAGCATATACATCCAACCCATAGGTCTTGGCCAGTTTTGAGTAAACCAATTAAAAGAAAATTAACACAAACACAAACTTTGCTTAATTGGTAACACCAAAGTGGTAAGACAGTTTTCTAGACTTTCCCTTGGTTACTAGTGAGGTGTAACATGTTTTGTCTATGTTTACTAAATATCTGAATCTGCTGTTCTGTAATTTTGCTGTTTTGTACTTTGGGCACTGTCCTAATTTGCATTGTTCTCACCAGTCTATATTACATCTTTATATGGAAAGGTGAGAAGTTCTTCCTCATTATTTGTAGAAATTATTTTCCCAATATGTTTGCCTTTTAATGTGAAACCTTTTTAATAAAATTTATTTCTAAAATATTTATTGAGTCAGATCCATCTTTTCCTTTCTGATTTCATTACTTTTTTTTCTGTTCAACAAGAACTTCTCCATGCCTATTCAAAGTTCAGATAAACACACATTGCTGGTGTGGGTGTGTGTGGGTGTGGGTGTGTGTTTAATGAGCTAATTTTAAACGTTTGATCCACTTGGAATTCAACTAACTACCCATCTCACCCAGAACATCTGAGCCTGAGTCACCGGAGGTTCGCTTCACTGTATGGATCTGATGGAAACGAGGAGGACCAGGACACCACCCGCCTCCACTGTGCAGTGGAGTGGGGTGGGGACACCTTGGGAAGCGTTAGGGCTGACCTGTGTCCCCGTCAAATTCCTATTTTGAAGCCCTACCCCCCAGTACCACAGAACGTGGCTGTATTTGGAGCCAGGGCCTTGGAAGTGGTGATTAAGGCAAAATGAGGTCCTTAGGGTGGGCTCCAATCTGAGGTGACTGGTGTCCCTGTGGGAAGAGGGAGCTAGGACGCAGACACGCAGAAGGAAAATCATGGGAAGATACAAAAAGGAGACAGGATCTGCAGGCCACAGAGCCAGGCCCCAGGAAAACCCAACCCTGCCAACACCTCCATCCCAGACTTCCAGCCCCCAGAACAGTGAGGAAACGACCTCCTGTTGTTTAAGCTGCGGGTACCCAACCCCGGGGCTGCAGACCCATGGCAGTGCATGGCCTGTTAGGAACCAGGCTGGACAGCAGGAAGGGGGCAGCTGGAGAGCCAGCATGGCCGCCTGAGCTCCGCCTCCTCTCAGATCAGCAGCATTAGATCCTCACAGGAGTGCAAACCCTACTGTGAACCGCGCATGGGAGGGATCCAAGGTGCACGCTCCTTATGAGAATCTAATTAATGCCTGATGATCTGAGGTGGAACAGTTTCAACCAGACACCAACCCCCACCCAACCCAGGTCCATAAAATAGTTATCCTCCACGAAACTGGTCCCTGGTGCCAAAAACGTTGGGGACCACTGGTTGAAGCCACCTGGTTTGTGGTACTTAGTATGGCAGCATGAGCTGAGTAGGACATGGAGCCTTGCCCTCCCGTCCTGGCTTGTGCAAGACGAACCCCCATCACCCACTCTAGCAAAGACCCCCAACCAGACAGTGGGCTGAAGACACTCAGCCTACCCACCCCAGCTGGCTCTGGGCTGGTTCCAGGTGGCACCATCTTGCAGCCCACATTCCCATGGGCTTTGGAGGGGGGCAGGTGACCTAAGCCATCCAACTGGCACGAACTTTGGAATTTTACAAGGCCACCCATTTCTGTAAGCCGCAGGAGAGCTGTCCTGCAAACAAATTCATCTTGCAGGGGACAGGGGAGCAGAGAGAGCAATGGAGAGGCCACCCTAGCTTCTGCCACACCTGGCCAGCCCCTGCCACACTTCTGCTCCATGTCCTTCTTCTCTTTAATAGATTTTTCAAATCCCTAAGGCTCCCAAGTAATGCATTCAATAGGACGAAACTGTCCTAACTCTTTCTGAAACATTGCTTAGTTCACCACTTAGACAGGGCCTGGCACTTGCTATATGTTCATGAAGCTTTTGTGGAATTAAAGGACAAGGGAATCTACAAATTAGTCTTTATACTGTTCAAATCCCCACTAAATAGAATAATTAAGTTCATGCATTTCCCTGAAATAGGAACACAAAAAGGTACTGACCACTTGGGGAAACTTTTCAAAGTTTTGTCTATAAACCATTTCTCTTCCTAAGTTTTTCCCTCCTTTTTTTGCCTTGCTTCCAGATCACTGTGTTCTCAACCCCATATCCACTGCTAAGTAAAATGCCTCAAATGAACATCTAGAGGAGGAGGGGGCCCCCAGGGCATCTGGAAACTCGAGGAAGACAGCTGAGCACCTCTATGCATACCTGCATGGTTCTGGAAACTCAAGGAAGACAGCTGAACACCTCTATGCACACCTGCATGGTTCTGGAAACTCGAGGAAGACAGCTGAACACCTCTATGCACACCTGCAAGGTCATCACAGTGAGGCGCCCCCATCCATGTCTCAGTGCCACAGCCTGCACACAAGCTCCTGCTGCACCCCTACAGGGACAGCCCCCTAGCCCCAGGACCCCAGCACTCAGCCAGCTGGCCTCAGGACCCAGCTCCAGAGAGATGAGAGGATCTCCTGGGCACCAGCCGAGCTGCACAGGGCCAGCCTCGCGCTCAGAAGCGCCCTGTGCTTGGCTCCATGCTCTGCCGTTGCCATATTGAAATTCAGTAATTTTTTAACAAGGGGCTCCAAATTTTCACTGTGTTCTGGGCCCGAAAACATGCAGTCAGTCCTGCTCCAACTGAGGTCTGTCAGGAAGTGGGAGGCCTCAGAGCACCTCTGCTGGACTTCCCATCAGATCCAGGCAGGAATCAATTCTCCTGCAAACCACAGGCTACGAGCTCTGCTTCCCATAGCCCAGCCCTTTGATCAGGGCTTAAGTAAATTCAGATGTACAGGAAGAGGGGCATTGAAGTAGCTGCAACAGGTTTCTGACAGCAAAGTCTAACCTCCAGAAATCTTCCTGCTCAGCCTCTCCTCCGCCTGCAATCATCAAATTCAGTTTTGACAGAAGGCCTTGGGAAGGTGACTGAATAGGTTCACATTAGCAAATGAAAACCACATCAGACAAGGAAACACACTAAGCATTTTGTCTGGATGGTGCCAAACAGTAAGCCCCGGTGCTCCTCATTTCCCATCACTCCCAGGCACAGGAAATTATGCCAAGGCAGAAAAGCAGCAGCCATTTCAGCAGAAAAATCCCACAGACTGCTGGCATTGTCTGACTTTTGCCAGAGTTTGCAGGTGGACAGAGATTAATTGTCGGCACAGCTTTCCTGCACAGTGCAATGAGAAGGAGGGTGTCACCGACTTCACCTCGCCCTGCCTTCTCCTCCCCACAAAAGACATCGGATCCCACTAATTCAATCAGCATGAAACTAAGTCCACTGCTCAGCGCTGCGGCTCATGGCAGCTTTGTGACAGCTTTGGTTAAGTATGTGCACTCACATAGTATTTAATATTAAAGAACTCATCTGCAGAACCCTTGAAAATTACACCACCCTGGCATGGTACAAATGTGTCAATGTATGCTACATACATTCAAAACCAAGAGGCTCACGTGGGGCCATAAAAAGACGAAAGGAATATTTGCATGCCCCCGCCCCCTGGGCAGTGAGGTTCAGCCCTGACACACTGGGCAGTTTCACACGTTCCTTGTACTTCTACAGTGATTCTGGTCATCTCACCTCCACAGGGAGAGCCGTGTTTCAGAAGCTCTCCATGCCTGGACTCGGCATGTGGCTGTTCAGTGGGCAGTCACCACATATGACAGCTCCTACGGTGACACCACTAGTGACACCCAGATATCTGTGAAGAGTACACTGGACAAATCAAGCCTGGCACATTTCCAGGCAGGATATGTGAGATCAGGCCACACTGACTTGTCCCCGTGGGTGGAGCCCGGCTGGCTCCACATCCCTTACACCTTCCCATGCCAGCACCTCACTCTTTTGGAAGGGAAGCAGTCCAGCCCTGCAGGACACCAGCAGACAGGCAGGCTACAGGCTCAGGACACCTAGGACCACCCAGGAAAGAAAACAAAAGCCCCTCTTCCTGATGTAGTTTCCCCAATATCCAGCCAATCAGCATACAAATCCCAAGAAGCCAGTAGCTACAGATTCCTGCCTGGGGCAGGTGGATGGGGCAGGGACTTCTTCGAGGTCCAGCCTGCCCAGCTAGGTTCAAGATTCAGGTTATAGTGACCTTTTCCTCATTTTAATAGTGAAAAACACACCCCTAGGCAGAGACCTAGTATGCGAATGATACGCGCAACGTGTGTTGGAGCATGTAGGTGCTGAGTGCCTGACACATGCAACGTGTGTTGGAGCATGCAGGTGCTGAGTGCCTAATGACACATGCAATGTGTTTTGGAGCATGTAGGTGCTGAGTGCCTAATGATACATGCAAGGCGTGTTGGAGCATGTAAGCTCTGAGTGCCTGATACATGCAATGTGTGTTGGAGCATGCAGGTGCTGAGTGCCTAATGATACATGCAAGGCGTGTTGGAGCATGTAGGTGCTGAGTGCAAGCTCCAACTGCAGATCCGCCTTTGCATCCCCGACCTCAGCAGTATTTCATGAATATTCACATACAGCTCCCATGAAAGGAATTCCTCCTAAGGCAGCAGCTGCTATCTCCCTCTGAGCCGCTGCTCTGTCTCTCGGAGTGGACTTTTGCTTTCCAATAAACTTCTTTGCTTACTCTCACTATGGACTGGCTCTCAAATTCTTTTGTATGGCAAAGTTAAGAACCTGAACTAGCCCTCCCACCTACAACATAGCCACACCAAGGAGGAAATGAGAAGTCCCGCCCAGCCAGGACACAGATGGCTCCCCAAACACGGCTCAGGAAAGAAGCCAGGCGTACAGGTGAAGTGGGGCTCTGTCGACACAAAGTTCGAAATCAGGCAACGCTGAGCTGTAGGTCTGCAGTGGATCCAGGTGGAAGGGTGTGAGGACCAGGGAGAGTGGACCGTGCCCCAGTGTTTGACTGGTCGGTGCTGGCCCCAAGGGTGTGTTTGGTTTGAGATGATACACCATCTGGCCACTCACAACTTGTGTGCTTTTGTGTATATGACAATGAAAAGTTTGTAAAAACTTAATGGCGGCTGGGTGCGGTGGCTCACGCTGTAATCCCAGCACTTTGGGAGGCTGAGGCAGGTGGATCACAAGTTCAGGAGTGTAAGACCAGCCTGGCCAAGATGGTAAACCCCATCTCTACTAAAAATACAAAAAATTAGCCAGGCATAGAGGCAGGCACCTGTAATGCCAGCTACTCAGGAGGCTGAGGCAGAGAATTGCTTGAACCTGGGAGGCGGAGGTTGCAGTGAGCCGAGATCGTGCCACTGTACTCCAGCCTGGGTGACAGAGCGAGACTCCGTTTAAAAAAAAAAGAAAAAGAAAGAAAAAAGAAAACTTACCGGCATCACTCAGTAGCAAATCAGCCATTTCTTGCAGAGTAAACTGCATTTTTAAAGGAATCTAGAATGTTTTACGTATAATATTCTGAGGTAATTTCTTGAGTCCAGATTCACAATCATCTATCTAATCATGCTTTCCAGCAACCTTTGGAAGACTTAAAATCAACAGATGAGATGAAACCCTAAGCAAGGAAGAAGAGATGGACAGAAGCCTTCAAAGTTTTCAAGAGCGTGATGGCCAGGATCTGAAACCCACAGCCTACTCCCATCTTGAACTCTGAACTGTACTTGAGGGCCTGGCTGTGCCATAAGAATATCAAAAGGCCTAGACAAAAGGTCAACGGAAGTGGTGCTATTGGCAGAAGGCTTACAAAGTCCAAGAGCAACTAGGGACTATATATTTATCACCCCTATCAGATCAATCCGTGGGCCGATCTTCACTCTAGAAGCCAAATATACAGATATAGATCATATTTTCAGTTATCTCTGAACTCCCACGGATCTCCTGGCGAGCCATTTGCCAAATCCATTTGTGATGTGGCAGCATCTTTCATGAAAATGACAAGCTCCAGATCAAGGTGGCTCCCTTCGATCTTGATGTTAACCCAGCCACTTAGGTGCACGTGAGCGGTGAGCTGGATGACATCTGGAAATGCACAAACTCATGGCCACCAAAGCCCTGGGAAGCTCTGAGACCAAGGGGAAGAGAGAGGTTCGTGAACCGAGGTCAAGAGAATTGAAAAGAATCAAGGGAGTTTTATTTTTAATAACTTAGGAATTGGTCCAGGGACTTGGAATGTCGTGAGGACCTCAGGCTGTTCAAAGTCTTGCTGCAAAAGTGTGGTCCCCACACCAGCAGCATCCATAGAGAAAAAGTGTTGGAAATGCAGACTCTCAGGCCCCACCTCCCCCGGGAGTGGGAATCCGCATTCAGCAGGATTTCCAGGGGGTTCACAGCACACTGATCACTAGATGCCTGAAGACTGTAAGGTCGCTGCATAAGATACGGCAGGTGCACTGGCCCTGCATCTCGAAAGCCACGCTGGGTGGAAGGTTTCTTCCCCCTCTGCCCCCAGACAAAGAAAAACAAAAATCACAAAACAAAAAGGCAGGTTTATAGATCCACCGAAACACACACTTACGGACAGTCAGGCTCAACATCAGAGATGACGCTGAAAAATACTCCCCACACACAATACAGGCCCAGAGCACACACCACACACACAGTGCATACACAACACACACAACACACTGCACATACACAACACACGCACAGAACACACACACATACAACACACATGCTGCATGCCCAACACAGGCAACACACTGTACACACACCCACGCACAGCACATGCACAAAGCACACACACACATACAACACATACACTGCATGTACAACACACGCAACATACTGCACAAACATCCCACACACAACACACGCACCGAACACACACACACACAATACACGTGCTGCATGCGCAACACAAAGGACACACTGTACACACATCCCCACACACAATACATGCATTGCACACACACACACAACCCCACACACACAACATGCACACTGCATGCAAAACACACAGCACACTGCACACACAGAGGCTCTAGTACATACATAGTCTAGAAATACATCGTCTCTAGTTGCTCCTGGACTTTATAAACCTCCTGCCAATAGCACCCCTTCTGCTGTCCTTTTCTCTAGGCCTCTTAATATTGTTATGGCACAGCCAGGCCCTCTAGTACAATTCAGAGTTCAAAACATACAAAACACACAGCATATGCACCATATACAACACAACAAACACAGCACATACACACACATTCACACACACACAACACGACCAAAGGCGTCCTGTCCTCCAGGGGCTCATCGTTTAGAGAAGCCAACCACGCAGACCATTATGAAGCAATACAATGTAATATGAAATAATAAAACTAGGACGCAGAAAACCAGTATCAGAATGAAGTAAAATAACAAAAACTGGCCACTTCAGTGATTACCTAGGAAGTCACTCCTATAACGACCACACCAAAGAACGGGGGGTTGGGGGGGTGCCGTCCACTATCTTCAATCCAAAATGCTGACTGCTGAGAACTGCGTTCGGAGGATGGGCAGAGAAAGACCTAAAACCAGGATTCGTCTTCATAGAAGCCTGGGGCTGTGAAGACAGTTTCCTGATCTGCAGCTGAGGAAAGGAATGCCTGGCCTTTTCCTTCCCAGGCCCCAGGACACGGGTTCCTTGAGGGTCCCATAGAACTGGGGACATCACCACCCAGAAAAACGTGTGAAATGAAGCCACTGGCAGGAGCCTATCCCTACGGCCGTGTTAACCTTCAGAAGAACAGCCCCAGGTCAACTCCGTTCCGAAGTAGCCTCTATTATTTAAGAGGAGGTGCACGTGTTGCCTAAGTAAACAAAACAGGATGGCACCGTGCCCATCGGACCTCCTGGGATCCAGGCTGCTGCTGAAGGCTCGCTTTCCAGCTTGCCCCACTGGACTTCCGTGGGCTCCTCCCACTGGTGCCTCCGTGTCCCGGGCCTGGGGGTGGGCACAGATGCACAGTGATGCTCCACATATCTCAGCCCAGCTCCTACCTCCTCCTCCCTGCTCCCCTGAAAAGAGCTACAGGGAAATTAAGCAATGGCGCTGGAGGTGAGAAGGCAGAGAGAAGAGGACTTCAGGAGAGCTGGCACCGGAGAGAGCAGACACCCCCCAAATCACAAGATGACCAGTTGGGGGCCCACCTGGATCCCTGTCCTGCTGCTGCAGCCTTGCTGGGAACCCAGGAGAAGCAGGAGGGTGAGGATGAGGCAGAGAAGGGGAAGAGGGGCAGCCAGAGGAGCTGGAAAAAAATGGCAAGAGCAGGGCCAGACGGGGCAGGGCGTGGATACGGCTGTGCCTCGAGCCCCTTGCTGTCCCCCACCCCTGCCCTGGCTCTTGCAGAGGACTCGTGGCCTTGACCAGCACCAGGCCAGGCACCTGGACCAGCAGCAGGAAGGCCACCCCAGCAGCAGCTCATGGCTAATATCGCCCTCCTTGACCCAGGCTGGTGACACATTCACCATCTCGCCCATCCTCACAAGAACGCCTGGGTACCACTCTCCACTCTTGTTTCACAGCTGAGAGAACAGGCATAGGAAGGGGAGCCACATGCTTTGGGTCTCAGGGTGTATCTGCTTCCTACTGTGGCCGTAACGTCACCACAAACCCCATGGCTTAATGTGAACACTTATATCTTGCAGGTCTGGAGGCTAGAAGTCTGATATGGGTTTCCCTGGGCCAAGAGCCAAGTGTCAGCCATGCTGGGGAGGCCCCAGGAGAGAATCCTTCCTTGTCTAGCCTCTGGAGGCACCTGTGTTATGGGCTCATGGCCTCTTTCACATCACTCCAACCTCTGCTTCCCTCCTCACATTTTCTCCTCCCAACCTTGACCCTCCGGCCTCCCTTTTGGAAGGGACCTTGGGGTTCTATGGCACCAACCAGGATAACCTCCCATCTCGGCATCCTTCACTTTCATCACATCTGCAGAGTCCCTTCTGCGGGGCAAGGTGAGACATTCAGAGGTGGAGAGATTAGGACTGGGGCATCTTTGGGGGTCCCTGTTCTACCTCCCATGCTCAGGGAACCGAAACAGGTGTGTCTCACACAGACCCAAATGCTGCAGCCATCCCTCCGGGCCATGCAGGACATGGGAGGCACCAACCAGTCTCAGGATGACTTGAGGGATGGAGGGGACAACAATGCCGATTCCCTGCCCCCACCCCCAACCTCAGTCAGACCCTCCCATTCTCCTGTGAAGAATGACGTTTGTGACAACAGACCCCCCCCAACCCAGGCCAAGGAAACACATACAGGAAACATCCTGGATGCTTTTGCTTTTCACCGTTCATCTGAAGTTAGGCGTTAAGCTTGTTCATCACTTTGGCTGGTTTAATTTTAGAAAGACCTGCTTGCAAAGTCTTGAAAACGCATAATGAATTGGCAGACAGCAAACACATCTGCACCACAGTGAGGATACGGACTGCACACACAGGAACGTGACAAGGTCCCCAGTGGCTAAGAAGATGCCCAAAGCAGCTCCCTGGCCCTCACACGGAAACCGGCCCTGTGGTGAGGGCTCGACCATGAGCTGCAGGTCACCGCCCAGACCTCGGCCTACTAAATGCTCTCTCTCCCCACAAAAGGGGCACCGTTTGTAGTGGAGTCTCCTTACTTTGTCAGTCGGATCTGACTTGCAAATTAAAACAATCTGCTTTTACCTTTGCATTAGCCTTTAAATACTTAAGTTTTAATTATACATAAGTCTACCTGGAGACGTTTTGGGCAACTTCCAATATTGTCAGTCAGCAACGGAAGTATGGCGTAAAAGCGCATGTAATTTCCAAACCCCCGGTTGTTAATGAAATCCCAAACATTCAGATTTTAATTGAACTAGATAAAGATTAAGAAGCTTAGCAGCAGCTGGCAATACGAATTAGTTCTCAGCAGAGTTTTATGTTGTACTCTAAATCATGGCTTTTGTAATCGCCCTCAATTGTCCTTTATCTTGCCAATGCAGATTCGATTCTCAGGGACCATCAGGCTTCCTGTCTCCCCACTGCCTGAAATATTTTGATGTGTAAAGTCTTAATAGTAATTTTAATAATATTATGATCTGTGCATATGATGTATATTCAATAAATCTTTACACTAATTAGAAGAAAAGTCGGGGCCTTTATGAAACCTATTTTTAAAGCTGAGTTTTATGGCCGGAGAATAATCGCTTGAAACGACTTAAAAAGCAGCAAAAACTCTCTGGAGGTCATATGACCAAGGCAAGAGGCCTCGCGAAGCATCGAGAATTCAACAGAAGGGTCTGCCCCAAATGTCAGCAAAATGCACACGCCCAGGCCAGTGAGTACCAGCAGCTGCCCATTTAAATAAAGGGGCAATGTGTTTTCAAACATGGCTGCTGTTTTCCCAAATGGCCAACATATGGGCAGGGCACCACCGCTGGCACCACTGACAAAATGTAAAGGCCCCAGCACTGTATCCCCTTGGTTCCTGCCTGACACAGCAGCCCTCAGGCATTTACCGCATCCATTGTGGAGACAGGCCAGGCTCAGCTCTCCTCCTTCACTTTCTAGTGACCACGGCAACCACCTTGCTAAACCGAGCCTCGCTCCTTCCATCTGTGAAGCGGGCTGAGGGCCATGGGCTTTGGCACCTTCACAGAGACACTGCAAATGGGGAGTTGGGCGCAGCCCCGGGCACACTGCGAGGTAAGAGTCGTGAGCTTTGAAGTTAATGGGATTAACCGTGGGGTGAGTCCACGGCTGCCCAGCAGCTCATGTGAGGAGGTGGGAGGGCCCTGCTGCCAGCTGCAGGGGCCGGGGGAGGGAGCAGCCGCCCATGGCTGGTGCTCCGGGCTTTGTACAGCTTGAACTGCTCCAAAAGGAAGGGTGAGGAGGAGGAGGTGGGTTTGTTTCCCAGGGTCCCTACCTCCTGGTGGCTCTGCCAGGAAGCCAATGTTTTTCCACCTAAACAGACAGTTGTCCTGGGAGTAGAAGAGACTGCCTCGCCCCTGACAGGGGACCCATGAGTGTCCTGGAGAAAGGGGACATCCCACCCAGAGGGCAGCAGGAAGGCTGGGTGTGGGGGCCAGGGGTCCTGTGTGGGCAGAACAGGGCAGGAGGAACACTGGACAGAGGGGACACAGACCCGGGAGACGGGTCCAAAGGGCCAGTGCAGGCCAGGCCGAAGAAGCGAAGACAGCAGCGAGGAAGAGAGCCCGGCAGGGCAGACGGGGGATGAGCAAGGGCTGTGGCCGCAGCCAGGGGAGCCCTGTGCCCAGGGAGAGCTGGCACTGTCCTCTTCACCCAGAGGCCGCCTGGCTGCAGAGAGTGCCCTGTGCCGGAGCCCAGCAGCAACCCACCCAGCCGAGACTCCCAGGTTCCCGGGAGCAGCTGAGGGCTCGGAGCCTCCACACGCACTGTTCCCTCTCCCAGAACATGCTGCCCCTCATGTGGCCCTTCTCCTGCTCATTTTTCAAGTGTTCCCTTAATATCCCTTTACCCGCCGATTGCCCCGGCCTCAGACCCACGCATCCCTGGCACCTGACCCCACTGCCTGGCTGTGGCACACCTGCCTCTCCCCTGGGATCTCACCACCTGCTTTAGCTGTCCACCCGCCCTCCCCATGCCACCGTAAGCTCCAAGCAGGCTGGACGTCTCTGTTTTTACACCAGTGCATGGCCAGTCAGCGTGCAGAAGAGTCTCTTCATGTTTGTTGGATGAAGAAATACACACGATTCCCTAAAGAGCCATTTTCAGTAATGTCCCTTGTGAGATCCAGCCCCAAACCTGGTCCCCCCTCTACACATCATTACAAATGGACACACTGGCAAAGGCTCTAACCCCACACACCTCCTGTAAGCGTCATGCCCCCGGGGAAGTGCTGGCGGCTTCTATGGCGTTACTTATGGCTTATAGTTTAGGGCCCTAACACTTTTATAGCCTGTGTTTTTTGGCGCTAGTCCTCCTCATCTGCATCTGGATGACGGTTTTATGACCTTACAGCAGAGCAGTGTGAAAGGCTTGAGAGATGACAGCCCGGCCTGCAGGGAGGCCTTTCAAGGGTGAGGCATGGGGTTCCAGGGTCCTGATATTAACCCCAGAGTTTCTGCAAGGAAGCAGCTCCTCCATCCACAAGGCAAGCTTGGAACAGAGAACTTTCAGCCCTAGCAGGAGTAACCTCCTTTTCAAAAAAGTCACTTCTGGGAGTTACTAAGAAGTCAGGTTACCAAGAAACATCTAAGTCAACATTTTTCTTCCAGCATATTTGCTTTCTGGGCTTTTCAAAATTGCCATTTTCAATGTGTCAGTTTCCCGTGGCTGCCATAACAAAGTATCACAAACCTGGAGGCTTAAAGCAATGGAAATGGATTCTGTCTGTTCTGGAGCCCAGGAGTTTGACGGAGATCAGAGTGTCTGCAGGGCCGTGCTCCCTCTGGGACCCATTGGGAGGAGCCCTCACCATCTGGGGCTGTGGCAGTCCCCGGGGCTCCTGTCTGCGGATGTATCACTCCCATCTCTGCTCCGTGATGAACGAATAAGCGAGGTTCTCCCCGGGGCCTCTGTCTAACACTGGATTCGGTTTCCTCTTCTTTTCTTATAAGAGCACGGGTCTTTGGATTTAGGGCCCACCCTGATCCACTCTGACTGTCTCTTAACTTGATTCCATCTACAAAGACCCCCCATTTTTTTTCCAGATATGATCACGCGCACAGGTTCTGGAGTTGGGATTCAGCAAAAGGCATTTTGGGAGATTCAATTCAACCCATAATGCTCAGTGATCTTCTGACTCAAAATACTGGTGCCAGGGTTCCAAATTGGCTGTTTTCAGAAATGAACTCTGTTCTTTTAGAGCATTTTTAGTTCCTGAGTTTGGCAAACCATTTTGTTTACCGCATACACAGACACACTAGTGCACTTGCTTTTGTGGTTACCATGAAAAAAAAAAAGACTCTCACCAGCGATACATTTCAGACCCCTTCGCAGCTTAACTTGGAAATGACTTTCTTCAGTCTGTGTTCTTTTAAGTTTATTTTTCTTTTTCTTTTTTTTTTTTGGCAAGAGAAAAGGGTGATGATTATAGTAGAATTAGAAGGTACGGTGGGTGCCAGAAGTCTCAGAGTGTGTCTCAGAAAAAAAATGTTATTGTTCAAAGGAAAAGTGGTAACCACAGAAAAACACAGAGTCCCAGGGCCTCAGGGTACCTGCAGCCCCTGCAGACGGGGTGTGTGGTTGTGCATGCCGTGTTCCTGAGGACCTGACGGGACGTGGCCCAGCAGAACCTTCCAGAAATCCAATCCAGGAGAGAGGAACGTGGGGAAGTGCGGGAGGAAGGGGTGTGGGGGAGAAGTGAGCCAGGCTTCCTGCTGAGTGGTGGGTCCTCAGCCCTTGGAGGGGCCTGCTGATTGTCTAGGAGAGTGGATCAATGAAGCCTGTGCACTTCCGTCTAATCCCCGAGAATTACACACACTCAATTTAATTGATCTCCCTGATGATGCAGAGCTGGTGGCCGGGATGCTTATAGCGGTCAGGACTGAGTCATCGTGCTGGTGTCCACGGTTAGGCAGCCGCTGACACAGGCCGGAAACCCGGCTCCCTGCCAGGTCAGCTCTGGCGCCCAATCGCACTCTTCACTTACTCCAAGCACCAGTAACAGGCTGCCCCAATGAATGCCAAAGTTGCTGAACCCGCCTGCACAAAGGCCACCTCGTGATAGCCAAAGCCTTCCTCGGGTGCCTGCGTGGGCCTCCTTGACACGGGATAACGGGCCCCCAGAGCTGACCTGAAACCCCAAAACCCAAAAGAAGGGTGAGGCATTTTGCGGTGGCGCAGATACCTCCACGGCCACAGGCGAGCACTGCCCGATTGTCATTCGCTCCACAGCGCCATAATATATTCACTCTGGTTCCCCACGGATTCCTGAAAAGTTCAGCCAAGGGCGCCTGCTCATTAGATGAAAGGAGCACGCTAAGACAATGGGAAGCCCCGGTAAAGGGGCTGACACGCGCTAATGTCTCTATCATACACGCGAGAGGGCAGGAAAGTGCGCTGCAAGGCCTCCAGAATCCAGCCTGCTCTAGGTGGCAGGACAGAGGAGCTTCTTGGTGCAATCGACAAATCTTTCTGAAGGGCCCACTGTGTGCCAGGCACCGCCCCGGCTTTGGAAAAACAGCTGCTGCCCAGCCCTCAGGAGTTGGGCTGTCAGTGGGCCACGCCCAGGGGCCCCAAGACACAGATGGACCATGGGGATTCGCCTCTGAGATATGTTCATGGTGAGCAAAACCTTCATCCAGGGTATTACTTTATACCAAATATAGGGTGTTCTTCACACCCTAAGGCCAGGACTTTTCCACACTTTTTTTTTCTGTTTTTTGAGATGGAGTTTCGCTCTTGTCGTCCAGGCTGGAGTACAATGGCGCGATCTCGGCTCCTCATTGCATCTTCCGCCTCCCGGGTTCAAGCGATTCTCCTGCCTCAGCCTCCCGAGTAGCTGGGATTACAGGCACATGCCACCGTGCGTGGCCAATTTTTGTATTTTTAGTAGAGACGGGGTTTTGCCACGTTGGCCAGGCTGGTCTCGAACTCCTGACCTCAGCTGATCCACCTGCCTTGGCCTCCCAAAGTGCTGGGATTACAGGCATGAGCCACCACTCCTTGCCTCCACACTTTTTAAGAGAGGGATCCTTGTTAGGAACCCCTAATACATGGTAAGTAAAGACAGAACTGCTCCTCTGAAGCTCAGGTGGAAGTCCTGGAGTCCTGGGGTCCCTCTCACTTAATTCAGCTCCCAGTTCTGTCGCTCAGAGCCAGCAGCTCCAGGAAGTCAGCTGACAGTAACCACTATGAAGAGACTTAAAGGCATCCATCGTCCCCCACCTACCCATCCACCCATTCTCCACCCCCGTCCCTCCTTCCACCTGACGCCACCTGCCCATCGTCCGTCCGTCACCCTTCCAGCTGCCGTGGCCTGAAACGCCCAGTTCAGGGACCTTCGGCCATGCCTGCTCTTTCCAGAATATCACCCCAGACGCCTGGGTCTGGCCTTCCAGAACACGCTTCTCAAACCTGGGACACCAGTTTCGTGTGGCATGGTGAACATTTTAAAATGAAATCGAACAGAATGGAAAAAAAGTACCTATTCTAATTGTATCGATAACATTTACGAGGCGGTAAATGCTGCTCTGCAAAACACTGATTTCTGTTTGTGTGTGGGGACGTTTCTGTGGGGAGGGAGGGTTTGGGGGGTATTTCCTGGCCCATAATTTTAAAGCATTTTTTTTCTATGAATCATGGTCAAAAAACTTTGAGATCCAGGGTCAGGCAGGCCCAGCCCTGCCTGAAGTGTGTATTCTGTGCAAGCATGGCCCGTGGCCTGCAGTGCTGAGAAAAGAGTCAGGCAGGTAGTAGATCGATCTCTCTCTCACACACACACACACACGCACGCATGCACACACACGCACCCACGCACACACACACACGCACCCACGCACACACACACACGCACACATGCACACACACATACACACACTCATTATTTTGACAACTCTAAGGTCTCTCTCTCACACACACACACGCACACACTCATACTTATTTCGACAACTCTAAAGTTCCAGCACATCCAACCCTTGATGTGGTGTGGATCATCTGGTCTACCTTGCTGCCTAGAAGCCGCTCTCCTTCTCGCAGGCCACTCCCCCTTGCCCCACCGTCCTGGCTCGGCCATTAACTACTCCCCACCCCTTCTCCGTCCTCCTGAAAACCACCTCCTGCAGCGGGGGTAGACCCTCCCACGTGTTCCCACGGCCTCCGCGATACCCATGGCACTTTCTCACTCTACAGCTGTCCACTGGTGTCAGCTCCCTTCAAAGCACCTTCCAGAGAGGGAGGCAGCTGCTTCCGGCCGGCCGGGGACCCCAGGACACACCCTGCTGGCCGCCCTGGGGAGTGAGTGAGTGGACACAGGCCGGGCAGCAGCTGGTGGGCACGAGGAGCTGGTAAGGGACAGGGGTCTGCCTGGCCACCGCCTCCTTCCCCGCTTTTCCCCAGCTGCCATTTATCCAGCTCAGCCTCTGCCCAGGCCACTCTGCTGACCAGGCTTCTGGCCACATTCTACAACCTCTGTTTCCTCACCGAGAAATATGAACCGCAGGATGACGCCCAGGGCCACTCGCAAGTCTGCAACTTCCTGGAGTTATTCGATACTGATAAGTATTGAAATCAGAGATACCAAAGGGAGTTTGCGGCCATTGCTACTGATTACTTCCACTCCGCAACAGTCGCAGTGTGTGTACATCCACAACTGCATCTCAGCATCACAGCCATGCCAGGTGACAGGGACAAATGTCGCAATCCCCTGGCAGACAACAGAGCGGGGTGTGAGCCTGAGGTCACACCCTTCGCCAGTGTGCTTTCGGGTGCTGGACTCCAGACTCCCTCAATACCGCATGGTCAGTGTTCTAACTCAAGGTATCCATAAAAATCACATGTAAAACATCAGTAAACATGTCCCAACCTCAGCAAAATTAAAAAATTTTCCAGGAAACAGGGACAGTGCTTTAAGTGCATTTTTAAAAACAAAGTATTCTTCCCCTCCCGTACAACAGCCTGATTCATCAAATAATCAATACATGCAAATGTGTTTATAATTACGCCACATTCTCCCATGACACTCCCTGCCTTCGACAAAGTCATCCCCAAAGGCTGTTTTCCACCAGGATATTGAGGGTGCAAGGCCAGACAGAGACTCCATCCAAGGGGACATTCTCGCGGGCTCACTTTCTTTTTCCTCAACAGCTCCACAGCCGTGTTTTTGGGGCAGAGGCCTGGGCCTGGTGGAGCTCGGGTGGGGTTTGGGATCAGTGGGTGACCCTGTGCCCGATGCACCAGCCAGGTTTAGAATCACTGCCCTGTGAACTCACACCGAGCGCCGTGACCAGATCGGGAGCTTTGGTCCAGCCTGGTGCCTGTCCTCAGGCCTCACACACAAGGGTCCCAGCTTTCAGCTCTGTTGTCAGGGGCTCAGCTTTCCCCAGGGCGGCCCAGAGGACATCAATGCCCACATCTCACAGGCTCCAGGCTGCTGGAGTGGGCGACAGGGGCCCTGCGTGTAGCGACACAGGCCAGGTGTAAGGCCTGGGGAAAGAGCAGTGTCCAGCATGTGTGGGGTCCCACAGTGGAATGAACCATGTTGTCCCCTGAAGATGGTGACCGTGGGCCAGTTCTGCAGCCTTTCCGGGCCACTCAGCCGTCCATTAAAGGGGCATAGGGTGGAGGGTGATGGGAAGAGCAGCTGTGTTTCCTCTGGGAGCTGTGAGTAGGATGGGCCGAGTCGGGGCCCTGCCCCGGGGGGATCTCAGTGCACTTTGACTGCTGCCCTCCCAGATGGCGAGACCACAGAGCTTAGGGCAGGGTGATGGCAGGTCATGAGACTTCACCCCCGTTGCCCCAGACCCACCTCAAAGACCTTTGGCCTTGGGCTCTAGCAGGTCAGCAGCCCTGGCCCCGGTGCAGACCCCAGCTCAGGGAACCAGGGCTGGTGTCACGGGCAGACCCCCCAGCCTCCAGGTCAGCCCATGATGCCGGCAGGATCAGGGAGTGCGGGGGTGGCTGGCCCGGCCAGTCTGACTGAAGCCACCACCACCCATGAGGACGTGGGTTCTCTGTGAAGGTCAGAGCCAGGCCAGCATCCTTGCGGACGCTCCACCCACACTGACCACCTGTCCTGCCGGGGCCTTCACCTGTCCCGGGGTCTCCACACTGTGAAACAGAAGGAAACGACCACAAAGACCCCCATGCTGACCCCCCAGCACCTCACCAGCTTCCCTGTGCCTACGGGCATGTCCAGACCACAAAGTGGACCCGCAAAACCCGGCACTGCCGAACAGTTCTCAAAAAACCACCTCCCACCCCAGGATGCCACCCTGGTGAGGGGCCAGGAAGAAGCAGGCACTCTGGGCACCTTCCTCTCCCCTCACTTCAATAACAATGGCTCTTTCTTGGCCTCAGCAAGAGCACCTCCAGGCTGAAGGGCTCATAATTTAGGAGGTCCTCACCTCCCTCCAAGAGGTGCTGTGCTCATTTGGCAGAGGAGAAAACCGAGGCTTGGAGAAAGAGGATTCTAACACAAGTCACACCCAGGGTCTCTAGGCTTTAAAAATGTGTCTCTCTGTCCCGCTGATGGGGACACATGCAAGGCTATTTCAGGGCTGGGACTTGACTTTCTTGGCACTGTTGTCCCCAGGACCAGTCCAGGCCTGGCGCTCAACAAGTGTTGGTTGAGTGACTGACCTTCCTTCCCCAGAAGTCCCCGCACGCCTGCCGGGCACCTGGGGCCTCTCCAGCCAGGGGTCGGAGCTGTAGTCACGTGACTCTGTGAACCCATGGGACCAGATACCGGGGTAACTGTGCACTAACCCTCACTCTGCACCTCCCTGTCCTACGGGTCCTCCTGCCACCCGTCCCAGGAGCTGTGAGACCACTCTCATCCACCCTCATCCTCCTCTCTGCATCCACACAGGCCAAGTCCCACTACGTGCATGTGGGGAGAGCTAGAACCCGCAGGCCAAGTCCTACTACGTTCATGTGGGGACAGCTAGAAGGAGCAAAAGTCTCCCTGTCTCTCTGAAGGAACCAGCCCTCCCTCCTAGGTCCCCACCATCCTGATGGGAGCTGCAGGGGATCTGCGGAAGTGGCTACACTCAGGGGAGCCCTGAGCCTCGGGGAGCGTGGGGACCACACCCAGCCACAGCCAGGCCCCTAGGCAGGTCGCCGCAGACCCCGGCAGCACACAGACTCAAAGGCCTGCTGACAGCATCTGAAACAGGCAGGCACTGCCTGCCTTGTGGGGCTTCCTCCCTCCTAGGGCACAGAGGCACCTCTGCATCTGGACTGCTGATACCAGAGGCTGCTCAGGGGCCAGTTTCCTGGGACTCAACTCCTTCATTGAACAGAGGTTGCTACAAAAACAAAAACAAAAACAAAAACAGCATTGCCCAAGTTTCTCTATTTTCTCGTGTTTCTGGCACCTCAAAGCAGACCTGTTAGGAAGAAATCTCCGCATAAGGGCGTGAGTGCGCTGTGCGTCTGCAGGTCAGCCCTGGCCGCACTTCCAAGGCTCAGTGCTGTTGGCAGCTGGGGCTGGGCCGTCCTCTGTGGTGGGGCCGTCTTGTGCCCACCAGCACCTTCTGCGGCAGCTCCAGCCTCCATCCACTGGACGCCAACAGCACCCCTCCCCAAGCTGTGACAACCAAAAACGTCTCCAGTAGTTGCCCAGTGCCCCTGGGGCTGGACTTGCCCCCTTTGAGAACCACTAGACTAGACCAGAGGATGGCAATGGAAGAAAAATCATACTAATAAAAAGAGCAGTGCCCACTCAAAAAGGACTGGGGTGGATGCGTTTCACATCCTTATCAACTCCACGAGGCAGGGACTATCTCAGTCCTTACTTACAGAAAAGGAAACTGGCTGCCTAATATTCCATGGTGTATATCTACCACATATTCTTCTCCAATCTGTCACTGATGGGCATTTCGGCTGATTCCATGTCTTTGCTCTTGTGAACAGTGCTGCCATGAATATTTGCGTGCATGTGTCTTTAGGGTAGAATGATTTACATTCCTCTGGGTATATATCCAGTAGTGGGATTGCTGGATCAAGTGGTAGTTCTGCTTTGAGCTATTTGAGGAATCACCATACTGCTTGCAGGGACATGGATGAAGCTGGAGGCCGTCATCCTTAGCAAACTTACGCAGGAACAGAAAACCGAATACCGCATGTTCTCACTTATAAGAGGGAGCTAAATGATAAGAACTGATGAACACAAAGAAAGAAACACCAGACACGGGGGGCTACTTGAGCAGGGAGGGTGGGAGGAGGGAGAGGAGCAGGAAAGACAACTATTGGGTATCGGGCTTAGGTCCTGGGAGATGAAATGATATGTATAATAAGCCCTTGTGACACGTGTTAACCTGTGTGACAAACCTTCACATGTACCCCCGAACCTAAAGGAAAAGTGGAAAAAAAAGATAATGGAAACCGAGTCTCCGAGGCCATAAGTCACTGGGATAGGGTCAGACTGGAAACCCCCGGTAACCTGGTGGCCTGGCGCGGGTGCCCGCATGTTTGGCCTTGTGGCACACTGCCTTAGGGAGGAACAAAGGCTCTCAGGGAGCTCCTGCCGACCGGCAGTCTTTGCAGCACCTTGCATTCTTAGCTATTTCACCCTACATGAAGGAGGCACTCCATTATCCCCCCTTACTCTGGAGGAGACTGAAGTCCAGAGAGGGTGAGAAGCTTGTCCGGGGTCACACAGCTAACGGGTACCTGTAAGATGTGACCTCCTGCCACAAGAGCAGGCCCAGGGCCCACACACCACGGTACTGTCTTGAGTTCTCGTTCTTTCCACAAGTCTTCACATGGCTGTGCCTTGTCACCGGATATGGGACCCGCCGGGGTGATCCTGTCTCCAGATCATTAACTTAATCACAACTGCAAAGACCCTTTTGTCCAAATAAAGACACTCACAGCTTCTGGGTGCACATATCTTTTGGAGGCCACCATTCAACTCACTACAAGGTGTGAGTCAGGCCAGTGAGACTCAGAGACAGGACTTGGGGGAGGATGACTGGAAAAGAGAGGTTCTCACTCGCAGGGACTGCCAAGGTGCAGGCAGGAAAGCCAAAAAGACAGAGCTGAGTGTGAGACAGGGGTTGGGGGACACACAGATGCCCCACGAGGGAAGATCTAGCTAGAGAATAAAGTCAAGAAAAACGAACAAACCAAACCCCAGAATGAGCCAAAAAAAGGCCAAGCCAAGAGATGGAAAGATACAGGCTCTTGATAACGGTGTTTGGACTCCTGGATCCAGCCATGCCTGAAGCTAACATCAGACCCTTAGATTTTTCAGGAATATGGCCCACTTTTATTGGTTTGGGTTATTAAGGCTCCTTTCTGTAACAGTTCCATTCCTAAACCTCAGAGGCTAGGAAGAGTAGCAGGTCCTTTCTCCCCCACATCACAGCCCACTGTGGGTGGCTGGGTCCTCTTCTCTCCAGTGACACAGAAATTGGGGCTGTCTTCATCTTACACCTGTGCCATCTTCTGGAGAAGGCACTCGTTTCAACTCTTCACCCCACATCCCCTTTGTGCCCATGCCATCTGCAAGGACCAGGGCAGGTAGTCAACATGTCACGCTGTCTGCCATGCCATCAATTTCCTCTGTGACTGGCATCTGTGGTGCTAAACCCAGCAAGTCTCATTGGATATGGGGATAAATCCAGCAAGTCTCATTGGATACGGGGATAAATCCAGCAAGTCTCATTGGATATCGGGATAAACCCAGCAAGTCTCATTGGATACGGGGATAAACCCAGCAAGTCTCATTGGATACGGGGATAAATCCAGCAAGTCTCATTGGATATCGGGATAAACCCAGCAAGTCTCATTGGATACGGGGATAAACCCAGCAAGTCTCATTGGATACGGGGATAAATCCAGCAAGTCTCATTGGATATCGGGATAAACCCAGCAAGTCTCATTGGATACGGGGATAAACCCAGCAAGTCTCATTGGATACGGGGATAAACCCAGCAAGTCTCATTGGATACGGGGATAAACCCAGCAAGTCTCATTGGATACGGGGATAAACCCAGCAAGTCTCATTGGATACGGGGATAAACCCAGCAAGTCTCATTGGATACGGGGATAAACCCAGCAAGTCTCATTGGATACGGGGATAAACCCAGCAAGTCTCGTTGGATACGGGGATAAACCCAGCAAGTCTCGTTGGATACGGGGATAAACCCAGCAAGTCTCGTTGGATACGGGGATAAACCCAGCAAGTCTCGTTGGATACGGGGATAAACCCAGCAAGTCTCGTTGGATACGGGGATAAACCCAGCAAGTCTCGTTGGATACGGGGATAAACCCAGCAAGTCTCGTTGGATACGGGGATAAACCCAGCAAGTCTCGTTGGATACGGGGATAAACCCAGCAAGTCTCGTTGGATACGGGGATAAACCCAGCAAGTCTCGTTGGATACGGGGATAAACCCAGCAAGTCTCGTTGGATACGGGGATAAACCCAGCAAGTCTCGTTGGATATGGGGATATCTTGGTGTCATATGCTGTTTTCCATGACATCACCAAGCAAGCCTCAAAGGGCTCTTTAATCCAAAGGCAGGGACTGCCACTGGCCTGTGGTCACACTCCCCAGGCACTCATGCCCCTGGGCACCCACACAGCACCAGAACAGAGATTGTTTCTCTCCCACAGCACTGCAGGCTGGCGACACCCCGTACCCCTTACTGTTGGCATGCGCTGGTGGCACGAGCAGGCAGAGAGTTTCAGAAACAGCCTCCCCCAGAGAAGAGAGGGCTTCAGGGCTAGAAGACTTAGCCTGGGGGCCAAATGACCCTGGGTCAGATCCTGGCTCAGATGTGGGACTCTGGGCTGGTCACTCCATCCTGTGAGCTTTGGTGTCCCTACCCATAGACTGAGGGAGCGTGCTGACAGCTGACAGTGCCAGGAGCTGGGAGCACGCCGCTCAGCACATGCCACTGTTCAGGCCAGGACAAGGCCCACCAAGCAATGGCAGGGTGCAGTGGGGCACCCCGTTCTCCTCTGCCCTCCCCATCACCCCAGAATCTTGCTCAGAGTGTCTGCAAATGGTACGTTTGGCCTTAGGGAAGAAACAACTTCTGCCTTCTAAAGAAGAGTGTGCTTCATAAACTGCTCTGTCATTCCAACTGCTTGAGAAAGAGAAGGAATTCCTAGCTTAAAAACATTTTTTTTCCTTCCCTAATAGGATCTCTATAAGCCACTTTCCTTTTAAGCCCCAGTTTACTTTAGAAGAGCGAAAGCCTATGACTTCCGCCTCAGAACATGATGATTTTATTGTTGCCTGAAGACAAGGAATACCCTTGAACCTCCCAACACAGATAAAAGCCAAACCTGCTTATATTTTTATTGTTTGGCCGCCCTGCTTTGTGGAGCAGCCGGCAACGTCAGCGCCGGGCAGGCGTGCTCGAATCGCTGGCACCTTCATGTGCTGTGAGGTCTGGAGCCGGCCGCGGCAGCCCAGCAAAGTTGTGCTTCTGACGGTAATGCTCCCTCTCCTTGCAGCAGGAGGGCTGCCTGGCCCCGTGGTAACCGCAGCTCTGGCCTGCCTGCTGAGACCACCATGGGCATCAGGGCCTGGCTGCACAGAGCTCATTCATCAGGAACTGCTCAGAGCCCCCAGCCCATGCTCAGGGGCTCTTGGCAGCACTGAGTGGGCCATGCCCTGAATGAGCAAAGCCTCTGACCACCTGCTTTCTCCAGACCCAGCCATCCATAAGACTGGCCTAAGTGCGGACAAAGGGTCACCCAGCAACCAATGGCCACCGCTTTGAACGCTGGCTGTCAAGGGCATTAGGTTGTCTGCCAAGAGCGAACAACATGATGTTTTCAGCTCTAACAGGTTACATAGTTCAACTTTGGGGGCCTATCCAGAAGATTGAGAAATCCTCATTTTCGTGGATCACTCAGAAAATACAGCCAATCCCATGAAAAGGGATTTTTTTTTCTGGGAAAATGTAACTGGATCCTGTGCCCAAAGACCTCTCCTGAGGAATGCGTTCTACTTGGTAAAAACAAAATCGTGAGAATAAAAACAGACCAGAGCCTTCTTTCACCAAGCAGATTTGGATAAATATAATTTTCCAAGGCTGATAACTGTTCTACCAAATCCTGTTGGCTGTCGTTTCCTTTCGTGCTGTGGAACTCATATTTCACTGAGATAACATAGCCCTCGTGCTGATTTCCACCACACTCTGGGGTGCAAGGAACCACCCATTTCCTAACAGAAGCAGCTTAATGCCACAGTGCCACCCGGACACTGGCCTTGTCCTCCCGGCTTCAGGCTCCTCTTCCACAGCAACCCCAGGAGGCTGGTCCCTGCACGCCTCTTATTCCCACAATGGATGCTTCCTGTGCGGGACTCACGCACAAGCCTCACTTAGGGGGAGTGGCTGGCAGGCAGGGATGCAGACACAGACTCTCTCTCCCCGCCTCCATGCTGAGTGCACCACCCCAGCAAGAGGCCCAGGGCCACATGGGGTAAGCAGGGTCTTCGGCAGCCTGGGATGCATGCCCGTGACGGTCCACCAAACTCCAGGCTCCCACCCCACCCCTGTGCCCAGGGAGGGAACAGAAGTCAATGGGGCATCCCTTGTGAATGCTACCCCACTGTAGAAAATGAATAGGGCTCAGCCACTCACAGGACCCCATAAGCACTCTTTTTTCTTCTTCTTGAGACAGGGTCTCGTTCTGTCACCCAGACTGGGGTGCAGTGGCATAATCACAGCTCACTGCAGCCTTGACCTCCTGGGCTGAAGTGATCCTGCCACCTCAGCCTCCTGAGAAGCTGGGATTACAGGTGTGCACCACCACACCCAGCTATGTTTTATATTAGTGTAGAGAC
The DNA here is from genome assembly GCF_000001405.40 of Homo sapiens. Lineage (NCBI taxonomy): Eukaryota > Metazoa > Chordata > Mammalia > Primates > Hominidae > Homo > Homo sapiens. Next base: position 61,287,304 of record NC_000020.11, on the reverse strand, counting down.
CAGGTCTCTCGATGTTGCCCAAGCTGGCCATGAGTGCCCCTATTCGTGCTTATTTTAAAGAAGATGTAGTGTGCACTGAGAGTAGACTGCCCGCCAGGCACCCCACAAAGTCACCAACACACAAGCTCCCCTCACTTCACCACATGACAAGGCTGCTGTGAGTCTCATCCTGGTTTTCAGACGAAGACACTGAGGCTCACAGAGGACCTGCAGCTTCAGGGCCAAGGAGCAGGGCACGGAGGGGACCTGGAGTCCGTGGCCATTGACTGTTCTGCACAGCTGGGGGATTCGTGTCCCACTGAGACACCTGTCCCACAAATTAAATGCTCCAGGAAGCACCATTGAGAAGGGTGACATCCAGTATGTTTAAGACAATCGGCTTCTCTGGAGTTAACTTGCCCATTCTTCCATCTGGCCTACTTGATATTAAACTTCAGGCAAATGCCAGTCACACAGAGACCAACAAACAAACAAACAAACAAAGTCCCAGAGGATGTCTGAGTGCTCACAGAATAGGAACAGATGCAACTTTGAAATTTGCCCATAAATAAGTAAAAATGAACTCGTCAGCTATTCGGGATTCTTCCCTGCAAGCTGGGCTGACAAACACAACTCTTCTCATTGTTTTATTTTCAGTTTTCAACGTCTTGTGAACCAGAGCAATACTCAGGGATGTTAAAAAGCTTTTACGCTGTCATATGTTTACTTGCACAAAGCTGCCGAGCAGGAGGTTTGCTTGTAATTTCACTCCTGAAGTAAAAGCATTAGCTGTTACTCTTGACTTCTGAACTGAAACCCGTACACGCCCCCTCCACACTAAGTAGCATGGAAAGAACATGCCTGATCCATGCCCTCCGCAGAAGCTGCGGTGGCTGGGTCTGGCAGGTTCCATGGGGTCACATGTGTGAAACAGCTGGACAAGTGAGCTTCGCAAAGCAAGTGGGTCCTCAAGTCCATATGACACAGGGAGGCAGCTCGTCAGCATTAACCCCAGTCCCAGCACACGCACTCCTCTGGACTTAGGTCTGGCTTTGAACAGAAGGCTCTCACCCTGCACTGCCTCCTGTCCAGCTAATCAAGCCGGGAAGAAAGCGGGGCCAGATCTGGGAGTCTGGGTTGCATCCCCTCTCAGTGTTCAGTGCAAAAGGGCATTGAGAAGGAGATATGAATGCTCACCTTGGCCAACTCACCATCAATCTGAGCACCATCTCCCTCTGATCCCTTGCTCCTCATTAGGATGGGCTGGCACATCCAGAGCGCAATACTTAACACATGGAATCTGGGGCACATTCATAGGAAGGGGGAAGGAAAAGAAGCCAGCACCAGGGCACTCACAGAGAGGGATCAGGTGTCCGGATCTGGGATGCCTCTGAGCCGCCTTTCCTGCCTGCTGAGGCCAGAGGTTGGTGTGGGTGCCCACGGCCATCCCCAGCCCCCTGGCCAGGTGAGCCGGGCAACATCACCAGAACCACGTGGGCTTTCAGGGGCGTCTGCGCCAGGTCTTCTAATGAGGCAGAACATTGACATTTGGGTTCCATGTCTGCAGAGTAATCCTTTCATTTCCTTATCTGGGATGAACAGAGCAAAAAGGAAGTGAGAAATTGGTTCATTCTTGACTATAGATTTGCAGTTGCAGATCATTAAATTGAAAACTGAATACACTATCCATCAATGGTTAATAATGTTTCATTTCCTTTATCTTTCATTATTATAGTCATCATTATGGTGCCATCATTATCTGCCCGGCAAAAAATGCTCCGTGGCAGGCTCGGAGGGGCCGCACAGGCCAGGCCTTTCAGCTGTTTTCTGAGTTTTGCTTCCCCTCTTTCCTTCTTCTCCATACCTGGGTGCTGTGGCTCACAGGCATGCGCCACGGCCTCGGACCCGTCCTGCCCCTGCTCTATGCTACACTCCTATGGCCAGTGTCAAGAGCAGGCAGCTGTGGGTTCGATGCCTGCCCCTGCTCTATGCTACACTCCTATGGCCAGTGTCAAGAGCAGGCAGCTGTGGGTTCGATGCCCAGCTCTGCTGCTTCGTGGCTTCGTAACCTTGACGATGTCACACGGGCTTTCTGGTCTGTTTTCCCACCTGTCAAATGGTGCCAATAACGCCAAACTTTATAATGCCACTAGGAGGGCCAAAGAGGCTGTTAGAGCCTTGGCTGTCGGCCAGGGGCCGTTTTCCTCTAAGTGCTGAAAACAAACAAACAAACAAACAAACAAAAAAAAAAAACAGGAAAGGCTGGGCTGAGCAGAGAGCAAAAATGGGGGCATAAAGTAGAGAAGCAGCAGCAAGGGGCTGTGTCCTTACAGAGCAGGGAGGGACAAACCACAGCTCAAGGCCCAATCTGGCTGCAGCCTGTTGTAAATAAAGTTTTATTGGCACACAGCCCCACCCATTCATGTACATATCTCCTAAGGCTGCTTTTCACCTACGTCACAGAGGTGAGTGGGTCCCGACATCTGGCCCGCCAAGCCTAAAATAATGACTATCTGGCCTTTGACAAAAAGTTTTATTGTTTGGTTCCAGGCCCTAGAAAGCCCCATTCCCTTTCAAAAACATTGCATTGGGGGCTTCAGCCAGTTTGGATGGGTTTTGCCTATTTATCAATATAACTAATGATCCTTGGATAAAACAGATTCCCTGAACCACCCACATCACCAGCACCTCTGTCCGGCGCACATGTTAAGCACATGCTAGGCATATGTTATAAGTATGTGTTGGGCATATGTTAAACACTTAGGGACAAACTCTAAGAAGGCACCAGGACTATACGAAACAAGTCACAAACAGCCCCGGAGACTGATGTGACCTCTGTGATGTGGCTGGACAGACCCAGAAGCTGTGTTTGTAGGTGGAAGAGAGATGTCCGATGCCCCAGTGAATCTCTGTGTTTGCACAAGGCCATTCCCACCACCCTCAGTAGAAAACGCAAACACAAACGTGATGCACAAAAAAAGAAAGGAGGAAAGCTAAGCAGATTTTTTTTTTGAGACGGAGTCTTGCTCTATTGCCCAGGCTGGAGTGCAGTGGTGCAATCTCAGCTCACTGCAAGCTATGCCTCCCGGGTTCAAGCATTCTCCTGCCTCAGCCTCCCAAGTAGCTGGGACTACAGGCACCCACCACTATGCCAGGCCAGTTTTTTTTTTTTTTTTGTATTTTTAGTAGAGATGGGTTTTCACCGTGTTAGCCAGGATGGTCTCGATCTCCTGACCTTGTGATCCACCCGCCTTGTCCTCCAAAGTGCTGGGATTACAGGTGTGAGCCACCGCGCCCGGCCAAAGCTAAGCAGATTTTTAAGTGCTCAGCCTCTCCACTAATTGAGTAAATGTGGGATTGATTGGGGCCACCTCACACCTGTCCACTTGGGAAGCACGTCCAAAGGAATGCCCACATGACAGAACTAGGGCCAGGGTGGCAGTGGGGACATGGTACAGCCAGTGTCCTTGCTGGGAATATAAATTGGCACCACCTTTCTGAAACATCGTTTAGATGTGTGGATCCAGGGCCACGTAACAGAGCTTCTGAACCAGAAATTCAGAATCCTGCTTCTAATGACCCATCACAAAGAAATGATGAGAGATGTGCTGTCTGGTTTACACAGATTTTCATCATGGCATCAGTCCCAGGAGGAGAGCACTGGAAATATCCTCCCATCCACTCACCACACACACACCACAGCACACACGTGCAAATGCACACACATCACACACACCACAGCACACACGTGCAAATGCACCTACATCACACACCACAGCACACGCGTGTAAATGCACCTACATCACACACCACAGCACACGCGTGCAAATGCACCTACATCACACACCACAGCACACGCGTGCAAACGCACACACATCACACACACCACAGCACACGCGTGCAAACGCACACACATCACACACGCCACAGCACACGCGTGCAAACGCACACACATCACACACGCCACAGCACGCGCGTGCAAACGCACACACGCCACAGCACGCGCGTGCAAACGCACGTACATCACACACGCCACAGCACGCGCGTGCAAACGCACGTACATCACACACGCCACAGCACGCGCGTGCAAACGCACGTACATCACACACGCCACAGCACGCGCGTGCAAACGCACGTACATCACACACGCCACAGCACGCGCGTGCAAACGCACGTACATCACACACGCCACAGCACGCGCGTGCAAACGCACGTACATCACACACGCCACAGCACGCGCGTGCAAACGCACGTACATCACACACGCCACAGCACGCGCGTGCAAACGCACGTACATCACACACGCCACAGCACGCGCGTGCAAACGCACGTACATCACACGCCACAGCACGCGCGTGCAAACGCACGTACATCACACGCCACAGCACACGCGTGCAAATGCACGTACATCACACACGCCACAGCACACGCGTGCAAATGCACGTACATCACACACACCACAGCACATGCGTGCAAATGCACATGCATCACACGCACACACGTGCACACCACAGCCATGCACCACTCTCATGCACTCCTTCACACATGCTTATCCGTGTGCATACACAGCACATCACATTTACATGCATGCTTGTGGGCATGCACACACACCAACTCACATGCACATCTGAACATCCCACAGCCACACACGTGTGCACAAGGCACCCACATATGTACATATGAACACATTACATGTGTACACACACACCATGCTCATCCAGTTGTGTGTGCAGGTACAAGTACAGATAGACATACACACACACACACACACACACACATGCACACACACCATGCCAAAGATTAAAAGTGGTTTGTTCAGAGGAGGGAAATGAAGTTACCCTTTTATTCTTTGTACTTTTCTGTTTTCTAAAGTCTTTAACAATAATTTTTTTGGCATTTTGAAAATACAGAATGTTTTATGAAAGTAAGAGGGATAGAGCCAAAGGTGAATTTCTTTTTTCTTTTTTGAGACTGAGTCTGACGCTGTCTCCCAGGCTGGAGTGCAGTGGCGCAATCTTGGCTCACTGAAACCTCCGTCTTCCAGGTTCAAATGATTCTCCTGCCTCAGCCTCCCAAGTAGGTGGGATTACAGATGCACACCATCACGCCTGGATAATTTTTACATTTTTAGTAGAGATGGGGTTTCACCATGTTGGCCAGGCTGGTCTCGAACTCCTGACCTCAAATGATCCACCCACCTCAGCCTCCCAAAGTGCTGGGATTACAGGCGTGAGCCACCATGCCCAGCCGTGAATTTCTTTTTAGGAGAAACCACAATATGCCATGCGTGCTTCCGAGGTGCATTCTTCCTTCTTCCAACGTGACCATGGCTGCTGACTGGCCCAACCCCCAGTGTGCTGCTGTTCTCTGGCCACTCCCTTCACATCGGTTTGGAATTTTCAAGCTAACATTCAAATAGATTCAGAATCATGGCCAGGACTTGCTAACTCTGCAGAGCCAGTGTGTTTTCTTTCGTGTCTAACATGTCTGCAATCATGTCAGATGGCAGACAAGACATGGTCATAACCCCTCATGATGAAAGCACAGGGATGGGGTGCGTCCCCTCCAGGGGAGGAGGTGGCGGGAATGCCCCTCTTTGGTTTGGTGTTTGCTTTGTGGTCAGCCTTGCCCCCCAACACTGAGGATTTATCCTGCCATCCTGGAGGCAGCAGCAAGTGCACGTGACTGCCTGACTTCTCCCTTGGGCCATGTATGGCTGCCGGGAGGCGGGGCTGGGACGGACCTCAGACCACCAGGAGCACTTGGTGTCAGTCTTTCTGGCTGCTGTCACAAAGCTCCTTCCCTTGGGCGGCCCACAAACAACAGACACTGGTTGCTCATGGCTCTGGAGGCTAGCAGTCCAAGGTCAAGGCGCCGGCAGGTTCCGTGTCTGGTGAGGGCCCAATTCCTGGTTCACGGATGGTGCCTTCCTGCTGTGTCTCCACACATGGGGGAAGGAGAAGCAGGCCTCTCTGGGGTCCCTTTTGTAAGGGCATTCATCCCACTCATGAGGGGTGCACCTTCGTGACCTACTCACCTCCCCACAGCCCCACCTGCTAACACCATCAGCTTGGCAGTGAGGATTTCAACACAGGAATCTGGGGAGAACTCCAACATTGAGACCACGGCCCTTGGTGAGAACCCGCTGGAGCCTCCCAGGCCATAAGCCCATGACAGAGCCAAGCACGGTCCTCTCCGTCTGGGCTGTCCCGAATTCCAGTGCCAGCTCTGACCCCAGCCAGGCGTTAGGCCCCATCTGCAGGCCATTTCTACCATTATGTCCCTCCTAGTTTCCTTTAATAACTCATAACTTAAATGGGAAACATTTAGTCACCCTGGAAAATGGAAAGCCAGCAGTGGAGACAAAAAGAGAAAGCAAAGCCACCCTAAAGAGGAACGCAGCAGGCAGCGGGCGGCAGGGTGAGCTGTTCCTGGACCCCGACACCTACTCTCCTTCACTCGGGGGAACAGGGAGGGTAGCGAGGTGAGAGCTGTTAGGGACTCAAGAGCATCGAAACCCCCCACCAGGGAGGCCGCTGTGGCCGGCGCTTCACACGCAGGGATGCTGCATAAGCCACGTTAGCCCAGGGGTGCTGGAACTGTGCTGCCCCCACATCCCCATCACTAGATGTCAGGGCCTCTGCTTTTATTTTAATTGGCTCCATTATTTCCCATAAGTCCGTGTATCTGAAAGGGAACTTTATATCACTACCCCAGCCTTGTGCTTATAAATAAACACAGTATTTTTCACAGCCGTGAAACCCTGGCTTTCTAGTTGGAGCCTGCCTTCCACAGGAAAAAGGAAGATTCGTGAGAGTGGGGACATCGGCCCCCACCGCCATGTTGGAAGAGAACTTACCAGGGCACCGTCTTCCAAGGCAGGGGCTGTGTGTGCCGCGGCCTACACCTGGCGTCCTCACACGCGTCACACGCCCCCGCCTTGGGAGGCGCCAGAGAGGGATTGGCTGCTTGGGTGGCTTCTGGCTCTAACAGCCTATGTTTGAACAAAAGGCAGTTCACATCCTCTCTTTCCACCTTCCTGGGCATCTCAGGTGAAAATATGCCATCATTCCCATGCAACTCCCCGCACCATCACCCTATGTGTACCCTGGCCCTGAATTCTCACCCTCCCATCCTGCTCAGAGAGCCCATCCCACACACAGCCCAGGGTCACCCCACCCAGCCTGGCAGACCCAATCAAGGCTGGCAGACGCAGACTCACAGCCCAGGGTGGGTGAGTTCCCAGTCCCACCTGGGAGGCCCCGCACTTCACAGCCATTCCCGCCTGCCCCACCCACACAGCTGCAGGCAACCCCACCGATGGAGTCAGCTAACACTGGGCCGGGTCTCCACTGCCTTGAGAAGGCCATCTCCTTGCAACCAACAGGCCCTGGTGAAGATGTCCCCTTTCCCTCCGAGTATCCGTATCTTCAAGCAGGGCAGGCTCACAGAAATCCTGGCATCTGTGCAATCACCCCGTTACTCACAACAGCCCCAGCCGGCAGGCAGCACCTGGCCGCCCACAGCTCAGCCTGCAGATGTGCTGTGCTTGGTGCACAGAACGTCACAAAATAAGGAACTTGCACATCGAGGTCCAGACTGCCCCATTTCTCGGAAATTGGAAGGATGGGCCATGTCTACGTTCCCGGGAAACAATGTCCTCTGCGCTTTCGTGGAGACCCCCAGTCCTGGCTTCACTGCTCCCTGCTGTCGAGGCCCATCCCTGGGGACACTGAGGGTGACCTGCTCTAGACAGAGGATGCAGGAGCCTTCCCCCACTCAGGAAGCCAGCGCCCATGGGTGACTGTGGGAAATGGAAGGCCCCGCCCCCACCCCTAGGAGCTGAGCCTCTTGCTGGAGAAAGAGGGTAACACAAACCCCAGGGCCAGTTCCCTAAAGCAGAGGTCCAGAGACGCAGGGGCTGCCAGGCCCCTCTGGGAAAAGGCCGAGGTTTCCTTGCTGCCTGGGAGGAGGCTCGGTAGGTGCTAACCAAAGAAAGGGAAGGAGGGCCAATGAGTTCTAGCCAAGTGGGTGGGAGGGAGTCCAGGAAGCCCCACTGGGGCAGGGTTATGGCCAGGTAGACAGCATGAGTGCCTCGCCGTGTCCCTCTGGAGCCTGGCTCTGCCCACCACGTAGAATGTTCCCAGATGCTCATTTAATAACATGCTTAATAAAAGGCTGTGACGGAGACTTTAATGGGGCAGCTCTCAGGAACGTCAGTCATGCCTACTTGGCTTCTCATCCCTCAAAATAGAGGCCTGTGGGGAGGATCTTAGAATAAGAGAGAAGGGAGCCACAAAGCCCCTCCACTCTCAGCACGCTGGTCCCAGCTCCCCTGGCAGATGCATCCACTTTCAGCTGCTCATAATGAACCCTGCTATGGCAAAGCCTCCAGAAGTCAATCATGAATCTCCCCAGTAAGAATACTTGCCATTGCCACCTATGAAGAGAAGTCCCTCAAATCAACTCCTCCCAGGTAAGTGGCACGGCCAGCCCAGGCAGGCCTGACTGCTGTGAGGCTGCTCTTCCTCTATCCACTGGGCTCCCACAGACTGGGGAGGGGGAGCCAGCAAAGTCTCAGCTCCTTGTTCTCGAGGGGAGAAAAGATCCTGCATGGACCACTCCCCTTCTCTCCCAAAGTCCCTGCCAAATGGCCTCTATTTCCCTTGCATTTTGAACATTCTCAGAACAATTATTGTAGACACTTCAGGGAGACTCTAAAGGGAAGCTGAGCCACTTCCCAAGGGCTGAGCACCAGGCGTAAGAGGGCCTCTGCCTCTCAGAGCAGAAGGGGCAGCTGCACCATGCAGCCAGATGGGCCACAGCCTGAGGTCGCCACGGACCGTGATAAAGGTGCATGTCCTCAGTCTGCAAACACATCATTTTAACATCTAGAGTCAGAACTTCCATGCCTGGCCACAACACCAGCACATCCATTCCTTATCTGAGGAGGCCTCAGGCTCATCAAAGCAGTGAAAGGAGATGAATCAATAAAAGGTTATCAGCCAAGCAGTTTGATTCCTGCACATTTAAGCACACAGGCACTTGCAGATCTTAGTTCCTGCAGGTCAATATAATTTTTACAGAGGTGCCCAATTCTCAGCAGTGAAATGATACAGGCAATGGAGTTACTCAGGGAAGGATGGCTGGCAGGAGAAGCAATGAGTCCATACTTTAAAAAATGAAGCAGGAGTCACAGGTGGGGCTCCTTGGCCCCCTGACCCCAAGACAGACAATTGCCTGGCTCACAGATGCCCGGAGCAGGCAAACTGCCACTGAGTGAAAGTTTATCAAATGGCAACAGACGTGCTTTTCACCTGGGCCATAACGCAGGCTCTGAATCTGAGATCAACGCCAGGGGCTGAGATGTGAGGGCCCATTAGGCCCGATCGGCACCCACCCTGCAGTTCCAAGTCGGAACCAGAGCTGGAAAAGCCGGCCCTCCCCTGCTCCATCAGAACGCTCATGAGCTACACCGCACAGAAAGCACAGGAAAGCGGAGGCCGTCCAGTGCTGAAACTCCCGACACAGTAATTGTCATTGTTATCCAATTATGCTCTGGATACCTGATGCCAACATGGCCCACAGAGGGGCAATTTCATTAGACTAAGACTCACTTGTCTTACTTTACTTTGATAACGGCTTAATAAATAAACCGAGCAAGCCCGAATACACAGGTGCAAAATAAAACATACTTTGGCTTTTTCATTTTATGCCCATCTTTTTCCAATTATAATCCTTTCATATTTCCTTGCTTGTCAGTTCCAGCCTTCCACCACTGCCACCCCCTCCACGAGGTGGGAGAAGGCTCCTCTCCTTTTCATTATGAAGATTCCCTCCTGGGAAGAAGGCTTCATGTGAGTGCACTGAGGTAGTTTTCTCTCTCCCCATTTCCATCATACACACCCCTCACACTTCTCTCGCTGCTATCTAACACATGCATACACACGCACACACAAAGTCACAACAAGGCCACAATTTAGGAAGACGCAGAAGAGAGTACAAAAACATTATATCATTATACACTTTAATAAAACTGAGACAAAAGAGGTGGAAATAATTCATCTTACTTAGCTCAGGTAGAGGGGAAGGGAGAGGACGCAAAAGAGGGCTCAGTGGAGGAGTAACTCTTAAATTCAGAAGCCCTGGAAGATTCCCACAGGGGAAATGGCAAGCCAGTCAGAGGTGGCAGCCAAAACAAAGGAACACATGAGGGAAGGGCTAGCAAGTTCTAGCAAGCTCAGCAGGCAGACCAGTGCTGGTGCCTAGAAGGGGGTGGGCGTGTGACAGGGAAAAAGGGACAGAGGCCTGGGGACCACTGCATGGAGGGCCTGGAATGGTGCACTTGGACTTTAATCTGCATAGAGCAGAGCCTTCAAAGCTTTTAGAGAACCTGAGAGTCTCTAGGATCCCCTGCTGAATGGGACAAAGATGACTACAACTACTTTGATATCCAGGAACCCACAGGTGTCTAGGAAGTAAAACCCCAATAACAGCAATGAACAATGTGATCCATTCATGAAAAGTGCAGCATCTTGCTGGCTCCTGTGCCTCCCTCTGCCCAACAGCCCCTGACCCCGTGGAGTTCTTAGAGCCACAGTGATGGAATCTCCACTGCCCAGGACCACCATTCTTGGCCTCCATGGATGTCCATCCCATCAAAACAGCTGACTTGGCCACAAGAGAAGCAGCAAAGCCAGTGAGAGAGTCACAGAACATCATCCCAAGAATGGCATAGGGATGCCAGGCACGGCCCTGTCATTCTCCTGGTGGGGACAGAAAGACAGCAGCGACATAGCATGGGATTTAGCCACTGCTCAAGTGCGGCCTCCTAATCCTCTCTTCTCACAACCCCAGGTAAACACCAAGATTAGCACCTTGATCAAAAAACACCCACCATAGAGCAAGCTACTTACATTGAGTCTAACCAAGTGCATCTAATCTCAAAGCTGGAGATCACTGAAAAGCAAAGGCATAAGCCCAACATTGCTATAAAACCCCTGGAAATATGTTGAGTTTGAAAGTGCAAATGTGCACTTCCGGTCTTAAGTTCTAGCTTAAGAGTTCAAACAGAAATGAGACTTCAATTTATACTCAGGAAAATAAAAATAGATTAATAAAATCCAAGTCAAGCTGCTAGAAGAGGTTTTTCTGTGCCAAAAGACAGGCACTGTGAGTTTTTCTAAACAGGTTATCACTTAAACATTGTAAAGCACTAGACTTATTTTTTAAATAGCAAAACTACAATTATCTCTGCACGTCCCGTATCACCGCTCTGCAGTGCTCCTGCATAACGAACCCGCTGTCAGTGATACTGATGGGATGAGAGTGTCGCTGATGTGCCAGGCGGCCAGCCTTATCAAAATCCAGCCACACTAATCCTTTTCCTTACATCAAAAATCAAATCACTTCCTAGAGAGAAGCTACAGTCTCACCAAGAGCAGTTCCACTGGGAGAAGGCAAGTTGAGATTAACAGTGCAATATGTTAGCAAATCAGTAGATAAGTGTTTGCTTCCACCCCCAGTGATACTCAGAATCCAGGATCCTTCAGAAAAGCACAGTCAGGTGTCCCGAACTGCACACAGTACTCCAAACTGCACATGATACGCCCCCAAACTGCGCACGGTACTCCCCCAAACTGCACACGGTACTCCCCCCAAACTGCGCATGGTACTCTCCCAAACTGCGCATGGTACTCCCCCAAACTGCGCATGGTACTCTCCCAAACTGCGCATGGTACTCCCCCAAACTGCGCAGGGTACTCCCCCAAACTGCGCAGGGTACTCCCCCAAACTGTGCATGGTACTCCCCCAAACTGCACACAGTACTCCAAACTGCACATGATACTCCCCCAAACTGTGCACGGTACTCCCCCAAACTGCACACGGTACTCCCCCAATACTCCCCCAAACTGTGCATGGTACTCCCCAAACTGCACACAGTACTCCCCCAAACTGCTTCACGGTACTCCCCCCAAACTGCGCACGGTACTCTCCCAAACTGCGCACGGTGCTCCCCCAAACTGCGCACGGTGCTCCCCCCAACTGCGCATGGTGCTCCCCCAAACTGCACACGGTATTCCCCCAAACTGCACACGGTACTCCCCCAAATTGCATACAGTACTCCCCCAAACTGCACATGGTACTTCCCCAAACTATGCATGGTACTCCAATACTCCCCCAAACTGCACACAGTACTCCCCAAAACTGCACACAGTACTCCCCCAGTACTCCCCCAAACTACACATGGTACTCCCCCAAACTGCACACGGTACTCCCCCAAACTGTGCATGGTGCTCTCCCTAACTGCGCATGGTGCTTCCCCAAACTGCACATAGTACTCCCCCAAACTGCATATGGTACTACCCCAAACTGCACATGGTACTCCTCCAAACTGTGCACAGTACTCCCCCAAACTGCACACAGTACTGCCCCAAACTGCACACAGTACTCTCCCAAACAACCGCATGCAGTAATCCCCCAAACTGCCCATGGTACTTCCCCAAACTGCACATGGTACTCCCCCAAACTGCACACAGTACTCCCCCAAACTGCACACAGTACTGCCCCAAACTGCACACAGTACTCCCCCAAACAACAGCACACAGTACTCCCCCAAACTGCCCATGGTACTTCCCCAAACTGCACTCGGTATTCCCCCAAACCGCACACGGTACTCCTGCAAACTGCACACCGTACTCCTCCAAACTGCACACGGTACTCCCCCAAGCTGCACACAGTACTCCCCCAAGCTGTGCACGGTACTCCCCCAAGTTGCACATGGTATTCCCCCAAACTGCACATGGTACTTCCCCAATACTCCCCCAAACTGCACACGGTACTCCCCTAAACTGCACATGGTCTTCCCCCAAACTGCACAAAGTACTCCCCCAAACTGCACATGGTACTCCCCCAAACTGCACACAGTACTCCCCCCAAACTGCACACGGTACTCCCCCAAACAACTGCATGCAGTAATCCCCCAAACTGCCCATGGTACTCCCCCAAACTGCACATAGTACTCCCCCAAACTGCATATGGTACTCCCCCAAACTGCACATGGTACTCCCCCAAACTGTACATGGTACTCTCCCAAACTGTGCATGGTGCTCCCCCAAACTGCACATGGTACTCCCCAAATTGCACACAGTACTCCCCCAAACTGCACATGGTACTTCCCCAAACTACGCATGGTACTCCAATACTCCCCCAAACTGCACACAGTACTCCCCAAAACTGCACACAGTACTCCCCCAGTACTTCCCCAAACTACACATGGTACTCCCCCAAACTGCACACGGTACTCCCCCAAACTGTGCATGGTGCTCTCCCAAACTGTGCATGGTACCCCCCAAAACTGCACATGGTACTCCCCCAAACTGCACACAATACTCCTCCAAACTGTACATGGTACTCCCCTAAAGGGTGCTTGGTACTCCCCCAAACTGCACACAATACTCCTCCAAACTGCACATGGTACTCCCCCAAACTGCACATAGTACTCCCCCAAACTGCATATGGTACTACCACAAACTGCACATGGTACTCCTCCAAACTGTGCACAGTACTCCCCCAAACTGCCCATGGTACTTCCCCAAAATGCCCATGGTACTTACCCAAACTGCACATGGTACTCCCCCAAACTGCACACAGTACTGCCCCAAACTGCACACAGTACTCCCCCAAAAAACTGCACGCAGTAATCCCCCAAACTGCCCATGGTACTTCCCCAAACTGCACTCGGTATTCCCCCAAACTGCACACGGTACTCCTCCAAACTGCACACGGTACTCCCCTAAACTGCACATGGTCCTCCCCCAAACTGCACGTGGTACTCCCCCAATACTCCCCCAAACTGCACATGGTCCTCCCCCAAACTGCACATGGTCCTCCCCCAAACTGCACATGGTACTCCCCCAATACTCCCCCAAACTGCACACGGTACTCCCCTAAACTGCACACGGTACTCCCCCAAACTGCACAAGGTACTCTCCCAAACTGCACATGGTATTCCCCCAAACTGCACATGGTACTTCCCCAATACTCCCCCAAACTGCACACGGTACTCCCCTAAACTGCACACTGTACTCCCCCAAACTGCACAAGGTACTCTCCCAAACTGCGCATGGTGCTCCCCCAAACTGCACATGGTACTCCCCCAATACTCCCCCAAACTGCACACGGTACTCCCCAAAACTGCACATGGTCCTCCCCCAAACTGCACGTGGTACTCCCCCAATACTCCCCCAAACTGCACATGGTCCTCCCCCAAACTGCACGTGGTCCTCCCCCAAACTGCACATGGTACTCCCCCAATACTCCCCCAAACTGCACACGGTACTCCCCAAAACTGCACATGGTACTCCCCCAATACTCCCCCAAACTGCACACGGTACTCCCCCAAACTGCACACGGTACTCCCCCAAACTGCACACGGTACTCTCCCAAACTGCGCATGGTACTCTCCCAAACTGCGTATGGTGCTCCCCCAAACTGCACATAGTACTCCCCCAAAATGTGCATGGTACTCCCCAAAACTGCACACAGTACTCCCCCAAACTACGCATGGTACTCCCCCAAACTGCACAGAGTACTCCCCCAAACAACTGCACACAGTAATCCTCCAAACTGCCCAGGGTACTTCCCCAAACTGTGCATAGTACTCCCTCAAACTGCCCATGGTATCCCCTAAACTGGGCATTTATCACCTCTGAGGGTGACCAGGAACTTCTGCAACAAACAATGCATTCATTGATGGTGCCATTTTCCAGCAACAAAAGTTTTGACCCATATGGCATTTAAGCAAGAAGGAAATAATATTATTTCAAAACTGATAAGGGAGAAATGCAATAAGACAATTCCTAGATAACTGCACGGAAGGGATGTCTTCCTGACAAAACAAGCACCTTTCAAAATGAGGAAATAATGTAATTTTCTGCCTGGCAGAGAGGAGCAGATAGACAGGGGGCGACTGCAGCCTCCCTATCTCAGAAGTAGCCCCTCCATTCCACTGGGGCTGGAGGAAGTGATTAATTAGTGCCTCCTTGAAGCCACAACCTTAGAAAGCCACTGGGGGACTTTTTATGTGCAAGTCGGAGATTGATATCCTTCCAGAATCCTCCTTTTAGAATCCAACAATGGGGCATGTCTCTGACAATCCTGAGTGCCAGCAGGCTGCAGCCTCGGGGCTGCCAAGAGGAGGAGGAGGAGGCCTGGCATGAAAAAACTCTTCTTGGGGCTTCTTTTGTAAAAGGAGGAAAAGCCATTAATGACACAATTTTAAGTGAAAGAAGGAAGCCACCAAGTACAAGAGCAGCGCCTTGCCTCCCGGTCCCCCGCTCTCTCTGGCCGTCCTCCATGCACACGGCTCCCTGCCCACCCTGCCCCCAATCAGCGAGCTGCCTTGTTTAAACATAGCACGTGCAAACCCATGTGGGTCAGCCCGGAGTCCCAGCCTATCCCCGAAAACAGAATCTTGGCACGTTGAGGGGAGAGCTCAGCGACACCTCGTTTTCATCTTTCCATTGCAAAAAGGCAAAACCAGGACCATGGCGTTGTGACAGAACCATCTCGTGAGGGGCACCTTCTCTCACTTGCCCAGGGTAAGGCACAACCTCCAGGTTGGTGGGGTGGAAAAATCAAATTCTGATGTTCAGTTCACGTGGCTTCACGCACCGCTGTAAGAAGAGGCCGGGGGAGAGCGTGGGAGATGTTTGGGATGTGAGCACAGACCTGAGAACCCCCAGGCCGGGGCCTCACGTTGTAGGATGCAAAGCCACGGCCTGTGGCTCCGTGCCAGCCCACAGGGCAATTTAATCCTCTGCTCACAAAGAAATGACAAAGACAGCCCGCTGTCCTCTCTGCTGTGCTGACTCAGCAGGGCTGGATGCTGAGGGCTGTCTTCTATCACTTAGGAAGAAGGAGCGCCATTGTCAATGGGCTGGATTTAATACAGCAGAGGATGCCAGCCCCAAAGGGCACTGGGAAATTAACTCACGATCAGCAATTATTTCGGAAGCCAGGCTCTCCACATTTGCTCTCGTCGCAGAACCTTTGCGCTGTCCCCTCAAACTTGCATCCCAAGTAAAGCAGATGAGATGGGGCCATGGGGGTAGAGATGCCGATAGGAAGAAGTCCTTATTCTCCCAGCCCCCCAGTCCATCCCTTTAAAACCCTGGAGAGTTCCAAAATCTTGACGTGCTGAAATTCCAACCCAAAAAGTGAAGACAGACCCATTCTAATGTCAGGGATTCTACCAAAAGCCTGTCACTGCCATCATATTTAGAAATGAGATTTTTAGAGAATATTGTGCTTATAGTATTTAACATTGCCCCGTAGGGTCCAAGTGTGTCAGGGCGGCTAGATCGACCGCAATAAAGATGTGCCTCAGAAAGTTTCCCAGACTATGAATCCAGAGGATGGTAAACGTTTAACCCAAAAACACCCCAGAGGAAGACAGGAAGACATCCTCACCACTCCAGAGCTGCCTCGACCTCCCCGCAAAGGTGCCATCACTCAACCATGACAAAAAAACACTTGAAGCTCACACTACCCCCACCCCACTACCATTTACGAAGGATACGAGACTTCAAAATGGATTTCAAAGGCCCCTGTAATTTTGGCAGCATGACATTTTATGTCTTATAAGCTATTTTTATTAGCCAGGATTGAAGAAAATTGACGTTTACCAGCCATTAACCTTTCAAGCACATAACTCTATTTTTTTTGCTCCACATGGAAGAGTATCTTACACGTCTGTGCGGGTCAGTCCTTAAGTGTCCAGCACCTTTAAGGAAAAAGTCATTGTGAATCCTCTCTCTTCTCAAGAAAACATAAGTTCTATAATTTTACGGACTCTTGATCACAATTTTATAGCCTTCGGCCCAGCACTGGTATTCCATTTTTATCTTAAAATATAAGAACTAGATAAAACAAGTTATATAATCCCTTCTTTGTATCTGAGGGAAGATGGAAAAGAATAAGATAACCTGAGAAGAAGCTGCAGGCTGCAGAAGGCCTATCCTCAGAACAACTTACTTCTAAACCCCATCAGTTCATCGCTGCCCAAGCATTAAATAGGATACGGCGTAATCCAATCATACCAACACCTGATTAATAAATAACGATAGCCGGTAACTTACGTTCACTGCCGCCTCTCTCCCCCATCAGCCTAACAGAGCTTTAAATAAGCCATTCTCCATAATTTATTTATTCAATTTTTAAAGCCTGCCTTTTGCCAAAAGATCTTGGGCCACACATAAGAAATGTAAAGACCATTAGGGGAGAAAGTATCTAAACAAAACCATAAAACCCATCAAATCAAGCCACCTTCTGATGGAAAAATGACTGCCGCAAAGGTCGGCCGGCCCTCTCCACATCTGGGGGCCAGATTCTGGAGGAGATTGGTCAGGGGAGCTTAAGGTCATCGTCAACAGCCGGGGCCATGTGGAAATGAGTACCACTGGCTCTGGAGGTCCGGTCATGCGTCGGGAACATGGAGTTGCTATCTGACAGTCTCCCCGCCGGGAGCCTCTGGAGCCTGGGGTTGGGAGAGCAACTCACCTTTCCCAAATATCAGCAGCCAGGCAGGTCACTTCACAGGGACCAGAAGAGGAGGAGGAGAGCAGGAGGGCAGCTCTGGCAGGACTGGGGTCTGCTTGGCGGAGCAGGGCCTGATGTGTTTACATTAATAAATAAGTATAATTAATTAAATAAATAATTATAACTAATAAATAATTAATAAATAAGAGCAAGCCAGCAAGCCTTGGTGTTTCCAGAGCCTGGTGCCTCCATACACAGGGACACGGATCACCCTGCTGGGTCTTCCAGGCCCTCATGAGATGGACCTGGCATCTCCCTCCTATGGAGGTAGGAAAGGTCACACAGGCCACAAAATGGTCCAGTGTCACAGAGCTGATGGCTAAGGATTAGAAATGTGGACTCTCCAGGCAACGGGGTATACCAGGTCTCCATGGGGGGCTGGTTCCAAGGTGATACAGAGGATGGGGTGGAGGGTTGGGCTCTGAAGGCTGCCCCCCATCAATCCTGGCTCCTCCAGGGCCACTAAGGTAGTGGCAGTGCCAAACTGTCCTATGTCAGCACCCCAACTCTGTGAAAGGAGGGTTAGTAACATGCCTCCTGCCTAGGGTGGTCATGCAGATGAACCCAGCTGGTACGGTGCAGCACCCGGCATGGGGAGGGCTCCATCAGTGGACCAGAACAACAGACAGTGGTGCTGTTAACCCCTCAAGTGGGGCCGAGCCCCAGGACCACCACAGGGCTTTCCATGGGGTTCTGATGCTCACCCAAGGTGTCTGCGCAACACTCCTCATCACATTTGCAGGATGCAGGAGTCAAACACCAGCGGCTGTCCCCACCCACAAATCGTCCAGAGCCTTGGTAATATCCCATTGTCTTAATCCATTGGTGTTGCTATAAAGGAACACCTGAGGCTGAGTAAGTGACACAGAAAAGAGGTTTATTTGGCGCATGGTTCTGCAGGCTGTACAGGAAGTATGGCACTGGCATCTGCTTCTGGGGAGGCCTCAGGAAGCTTCCACTCATGGCAGAAGGCAAAGGGCAGCCCATGTGTTGAGATCACATGGCAAGAATGGAAGCAAGAGCAATGAGAGGGAGGTGCCAGGCTCTTTCTATAAGGATGAGCTCTCCCAGGAACTAACAGAGTGGGAACTCACTCATTACCACAAGGGCAGCACCAAACCACTCATGAACACTCACCAGGCCCACCTCCAACAGCTGGGATCACATTTCAACAAGAGATTTGGAAGGGACAAATACTCAAACCATAGCACCCCCTGAAGAAAACAAGAAGACAGGAGAAAAGGTATCTTCCTCTTTCAAGTTCTCGCTGATGCAAGCCAACCCGGCATCAGGAAAAAGCAATTCAGCCCACTGACCTGTTGGCCTGGGCCTCCCCGTGTGCAGGTCCCACTCGGCTCCCACTGCCTGGCTTTGCCTCCTGGTTCTGGCTGAGATGCTCCGAGACATGAGCAGGACAAGGTCAAGCGCAGCCAGAGGTGCCTTCTCCTCTCCTCGGCCTGGAGCCCCTCCTCGGGATCCATGCTGGAGAGGTGGGTGGACCCGAGATGCTCTGGCATCCAGCTACATGCCACCCCCTGGGCCAGCCAGGCCCGCTCCCATTCCAGGCACTGGCTCTCCAGCTGCCCAACACAGAAAGAGAGATGGGAGGGCAGGCTGTGTGTCCCACAGCCACACATGTCGGAAGAAGACCCTTAGGGGTACAAAGAGCATTCCCCTGTCAAGTACAGGCCCAGACCCACGTCTGCAATCAGCCCGCTGCAACACAGGCTGCAAGAGGGACACGGATCTGCCCTGAAGCCAGACTCAGCAGCCGCTTTCCTGAGCTGTGTGCGAACCCTCAGCCAGGCTGCAGACACACAGCTGCTGGAAACACAGGACAGGAGACTCCTGCAGCCAGAAATAAAATATTTTTGCATTTCCACAGTAAAGCGGTTTTGGGCAGAGAAGAGGCATGTTCTAAAAACGCCAGAGAGTGCCCAGCTCCTCTCTGCATCCCTCCACATCTCATCAGCAGAGGGAGTGTGCCTCTCCTCTCTGTCTCTGTTGAACGATCCATTCCCCAACGCAGACCTTTAGATTAACAAAATATTTACAGTATATCTATGTGATATTATCTGAGCTATAATCCTTGTTAAGATTCCATTTGATAGAGGAAGATAATGGGTGGAGAACAAATGTTCCATATACATTTTAATTCCAATGAAATTGTTCCATGTCATGCTTTACAATATAAAATACCCCATTACTACACTAAAGTGCCTCATTTGCCTTTCTGGTGGGATGGAAACACCCAGCACTGTTTCAAGCCGCCCACCTGAGCTGCACTTTGAGATGCTGGTTACATTCGGCAGACACCTTCCCAGGTAACACGGTTTCTCTCAAGGGATGCAGCCCCTGGGGAATCGGAGGCTAAACATCCTCTAAGCCTGAAGCCCTGATGCTTTCGCAAAGATCGGATTCCCTGGGAGATGGAGAGAAACAGCAGAGTCCCAGGTCACAGTCCCAGGATTCCCAGTTCAGTGGGTGGATTCGTTCCCTGTGACTGCTGTAATAAATGACCATAAACTTGGTGGCTTCAGATAACAGAAAGGTATTCTTCTGCAGTTCTGGAAGCCAGAAGTCTGAAATCCCAGTGTCAACAGGGCTGCTCTCTCTCTCTGCAGATTCTAGGGGAGTGTCCTTCCTTGACCTTCCCACCTTCCAGGAACTCTAGGCATTCCTGGACTTGTGGTTGCATTGCTCCAATCTCTGCCTGTGACTTCACGGGGCCTCCCCCTCCAAGTCTGTGTCTTCTCTGTCTCTTGTCAAGACAGTTGTCCTTGGATTTACGGCCCACCCAGGTAATCCAGGATGATCTCATCTAGAGATTCTGAAACTGATTACATCTGCAAAGACCCTTTCTCCAAATAATGTTACATTTGGAGGCTCTGCGTGGATGGATCCTTTGTGGGCCACTGTCGGCACCCTCCAGTAGGTCTGGGATAGGACCCACGGGGCTGGCGAGTTTAGCAAGCACCCCCCAGGCAGGGAGTTCCTGGACCACAGTTGGACATCTTACCCCTCTGCTTTGCACAGGGAAACTGAGGTCCAGAGAAGGAAGGGCCCTCACCCAATTCATCCCTCTCCAGACTCCCCACCAGCATCTCTCTGCACCCTATCGGGGGCTGCAGCCTGCGTTTCTCCTTGGACCTTCCTGGAAGCGGAAGTCGGGGACTTCATACCTAGCAAACTCATGCACCAACCTTCCTTCTTGCTTTTCTAGGCACATCAATATAGATGGCATCTCAACTCACATTTGGGTGGCCAGAACAAACGCAAAGCAAAAAATGTCAACATTTCTCCAATACAGACACAGAAACCCAAGGGCACACTCCTGAAAAGAGGCCTGGAAAGCAAGCCTTTCTCCTCTGCCTTCTCCAGAGACAAAGAGAGCTAGGTCCTCCCCTGGGGAGAGACAGAGTGTCCAATACCCACACTCTGGGGCTGGAAATTCATTAAATCATACTCCATATGGAAAATGCACCCATTCCAGGAGAAAGCACACCTCTCAACACCTGCGGCTGTACCAGGGCCATCTTTCCTGGGCTGGGAAGCACCCAAACTCTCAAGGATCAGCTTCCTGTTAGCAAGGTGCGGGCGGCACTCTGGGGCCCTGTGGATATTTATCTGTCATGGAAGGCTTACCTTAATCCTCCCTAAATCCCCACATACTCTCAGCAGGAAAGCACAGTGAATCCAAACGAGGAAGAGTTAGAAGGGCCCAGATCGGAAGCTGCTATGGGCTTCCCAGGCAGTTCACCCTGTGGAGTTCCAAAGCAGCAAATCCCCACCTCAGGACCCACAAGGGACACTGCCCCTCTGAGTCCTAATTATAGCCACTGGATAAGGCAGGTGGCAGGAGCTCCTGGAGCCAGGCAGGACGGGCTGAGAACCAGTGGGCTGTGGCTAAGTGCTGGAGCATTCCTTCAGATAGACCTCCCTGACCCACAGCTCATGCCAGGTCACTCAATGGCTCCATGCCTCAGTTTCCTCAACAGTGAAGTGGAGATGCCACCCCGAACCACTGAGGTCTGTGTAAGATTGCGAGGTATGTGTAGGACTGAATGAAGGAACCATTGAGGTCCATGTAAGGCTGAAAGAAGGAACCACTAAGGTCCATGTAAGACTGAATGAAGGAGCCACTGAGGTCCGTGTAAGATTGAGTGAAGGAGCCACTGAGGTCCGTGTAAGATTGAATGAAGGAACCACTGAGATATGTGTAGGACTGAATGAAGGAGCCACTGAGGTCTGTGTAAGATTGAATGAAGGAACCACTGAAGTCCGTGTAGGACTGAATGAAGGAGCCAATGAGATATGTGTAAGATTGAATGAAGGAACCACTGAGATATGTGTAAGATTGAATGAAGGAGCCACTGAGATATGTGTAGGACTGAATGAAGGAGCCACTGGGGTATGTGTAAGATTGAATGAAGGAACCACTGAGGTACGTGTAGGACTGAATGAAGGAGCCACTGGGGTATGTGTAAGATTGAATGAAGGAGCCACTGAGATATGAGTAAGATTGAATGAAGGAGCCACTGAGGTATGTGTAAGATTGAATGAAGGAACCACTGAGTTATGTGTAGGACTGAATGAAGGAGCCACTGTATGTGTAAGATTGAATGAAGGAGCCACTGAGACATGTGTAAGATTGAATGAAGGAGCCACTGGGGTATGTGTAGGACTGAATGAAGGAGCCACTGGGGTATGTGTAGGACTGAATGAAGGAGCCACTGAGGTATGTGTAGGACTGAATGAAGGAGCCACTGGGGTATGTGTAGGACTGAATGAAGGAGCCACTGAGGTATGTGTAGGACTGAATGAAGGAGCCACTGGGGTATGTGTAGGACTGAATGAAGAAGCCACTGGGGTATGTGTAGGACTGAATGAAGGAGCCACTGGGGTATGTGTAGGACTGAATGAAGGAGCCACTGGGGTATGTCTAGGACTGAATGAAGGAGCCACTGGGGTATGTGTAGGACTGAATGAAGGAGCCACTGGGGTATGTGTAGGACTGAATGAAGGAGCCACTGAGATATGTGTAAGATTGAATGAAGGAGCCACTGAGGTATGTGTAAGATTGAATGAAGGAACCACTGAGATATGTGTAGGACTGAATGAAGGAGCCACTGTATGTGTAAGATTGAATGAAGGAACCACTGAGGTATGTATAAGATTGAATGAAGGAGCCACTGGGGTATGTGTAGGACCGAATGAAGGAGCCACTGAGGTATGTGTAGGACTGAATGAAGGAGCCACTGGGGTATGTGTAGGACTGAATGAAGGAGCCACTGGGGTATGTGTAGGACTGAATGAAGGAGCCACTGAGGTATGTGTAGGACTGAATGAAGGAGCCACTGAGATATGTGTAAGATTGAATGAAGGAGCCACTGAGATATGTGTAAGATTGAATGAAGGAACCACTGAGGTATGTGTAGGACTGAATGAAGGAACCACTGGGTTCTGCAGGGTTGAATGAAGGTCACCGCACAGTGTGGGACGCATAGCAAGTCCTTAGTGTGCGGAAGCCAGTGGGAAACTCCCACACACACCTGCTAGGATTGCTCTGTCGTCAGACACGCATGTGGTCAGCAGAATCACGACTCCCCAGAGATGTCCCCATCCTAATTCCGGAGGCTGTGAGCCTGGGATCTCACGTGGTAGTGGGGACTTGGCAGAGGTGACTGAATTAAGAGTCTTGCAACGGGAGATTATCCTGGGTTACTCAGGGAGGCCCAAGGTAATCACAGGGATTCTTACAAGTGGAAGAGAAGGATGTAGAGAGAGGTGGATGTGACCAGTGACCCTCAATGACCCTGGAGGACGGCACAGAGATGCTTCACGGCTGGCTCTGAAGACGGAGGAAGCGGCCAGGAGCCAAGGAGTGCAGGAGCCCTGAGGAGCTGGGAGGCACAAGGAGACAGATTCTCCCCAGGAGCCTCCAGAAGGAACCCACCCTGCAGACACCTTGATTTCAGCACAGGGACTGGAGCTGGACTTCTGACCTTCAGAACCACAAGATAATAACTTTGTGTTGTTTAAGCTGCTACATATGTGGGGATTTATACTGCAATAAGAAAATAATACAATTTGTAATCTAAGTAAATTCCTCCTGGAAAAGGCAGTGTGGGAGATAAAAACATACAGACAAAGTCCCCTGCCCATACCGAGTGATCTGGGGCATGCCTTCTAACTACCTTAGGCTGCAGGTCTCCTGACAGCGTTAAATGAGAAGACACATTGGCACATGGTAAGTCCCCCCAAACAACAGCTCCTCCCCTCCTTCCTGGCCCCTGATGTGGGGGTTGCCAGGAAAATGGCCTCGGGGAGCACATACTGGGTCAAAGATAATTAAATAGGGATTTTTGGTTGGTTTGTTCTCTTTTGTTTAAGAACTGAAAGCAGACACCAGCCAGAGACAATACCGGAGGCCACCAGGAGAGGGCAGCCCAGAGCCCGGGCAAAAAGGCACCAAAATTCTGAGCCTTTTGACGAAAAACCAAGGATTTTACCAGCCCAGCTTGCCAGACACCACAGTCCCACTCTGGGGACTGAAGGAGCCTGCAAATGCCATGAGGTTTTACAAGAACACACCGGGGAGAACTTTACCGCCCTTGACGGAAAGAAGCTTCATTCGGCTTATGGTATTTTTTATAGTGGAATTCACTTGGAGGAGAAATTACTTCTTCAAAAAGTCAGAATAATAGGCACACTTTTTGAAAAGATGAATGCTTGCTTGCTCTCTCTCTCTCTCTCTCTCAGTTCATGATTAGTCCTGGCATCTACTTAACCCAGCTTTCAAAGAAAAAAGAAAGGAAGGAAAGGAGGAAGGGAGGGAGGGAGAGAGCAAGGGAGAGAGGGTGGAAGGAAGGGAGGGAGGGAGGGGAAGGGGAGGGAAGGGGAGAGGGAAGAGAGGAAAGGAGGGAAGGAGGGAGGGAGGAGAGAGGGAAGGAGGAAGGAGGGTGGGAGGTAAGGAGGTAAGGAGGAAAAAGCCCTTTCCTTTATCCACCTCCATTTGCAACATAAGAGAAGTCACAAAATTTCCACATTTTGAAATTAGTGTCATGGAGCACACAATACAGGGATGCACACACCAAATACACTTCCTTTGAACTTGGTTATGAATTTCATTGTGATTTTTTAACACTGCAGGGTAGAATTAGAAAAATCATTATTTCTGAAACAAAGAAGCCACAGGTCTTGGAAGCTTACACCAACCCAGTCGCCACGCAGTCCCAGAGTGGAAGTGACCCTGCGCCCAGGAAGGCCACCCCTGGAGGCAAAAGCGTGCAAAGGGGCTTCGCCGCAAGGGGTTTTGGCAGAAAACGGGAACCCACGTGAACCTCGGAAAGCACCACATCTTCAGACTGTTTCAAGTTATACCAAGCACCTTGCTCTCTCTCAGCTTAGAGTACGAGATCTCTGCAGACACCCAGGACCCCGACATGGGCAGAAAGGCCACGGCAGCCTCAGGACCAGCTCTCACGGCATCAGCTCAAGAGAGGCCGTCAGGGAGCCCCGCCCCGGCTGGCCAGCTGCACAGTCGTGGCACTTTCTCTCAATCTGTAACCGGCCTCACTAAGGTTCCTGGTGCCCCATGTCACAACGTGAGTGTTGACAACAATGGATCCGTGCATAAACCCAGCTCAGATGGAACGTGCTCAGGGCTTCCAGGACCAGCCGGACTCTTCTCTCTGCTCCCTCTCTGCCCGGCTTCCCCAGCGCTGGCAGAGTCTAAAATCCGAGAGAGAGCTCGGCTCTGGGACTGCTCGCTGCATGCTCAGAATTGAAAGCTCCCACTGGCATCACAGAAGCCGCGGGCTCTTCTAATCCCAGGGCTGGTTTTGCAAACCCCCGGTGTCGAGAGTTTAGACCCACTTCAGTTGAGCCTTATACATGAGCAACTGCAACCAAGCACTTTCTGACACACTGAGGGCCTCTGTTTACTGCACATACCTGTGTGCCTGGTCACTGCTGGTCTTATGGCTGTGGCCCTGAACATCTGGGTCCGATCCTGTCTGCACGTGACAGTGGTGCTCTAAAACCATCTTCTTTAACATTAATTTGGAGATAGGAATGAGCTAAGTGCCTAGGACTGCACAAAGAGGGAAAACAGAGCAAATCTCCTACCCTTAGGCCAATCTCCAGAACTCACCGATCATCAGTTACTGATCCATAAAATGAGAACAATTTTACCTCCCTGGAAGGGCTTTTGTGAAAGTTAAATGAGATATCGTATACCAAGGACTGGACAGAACATAATGTTATTATATTATAATTCTGCAAAGCCTCATGCTCCCTCATCTGAAGACTCATTAAAACACATATTTCTCAAACGCAAAACCTGAATCTTTAAGTCACAGCGTCAGTGAGTTCACACATCCTCATTTCTGTAGCTGGTGCATGCACTGCCTTCTACAATGAAGGGGGTCTGCTTAGTGGCAGTGAGCATAGAGAAGCAGCGGTTAGGAATCTTGCAGGGTGGGAATCCTGATCCACTGACTTAGGAATCACTGACTTAGGAATCACTGACTAAGGAACCACTGACTTAGGAATCTGGGGCAGGTGTGGCCACCTCCTTGAGCCTAGATTCCTCCTGGGTAGCAGCAGGGCCACTGACCACAGCTCCCTCTTGCGATGGAAGGCAGAGCTGTGAGAAGCAGCTGCACACAGGGGCAAGTGGCTGTGCAGAGCCCGGGGCGGCAGTGTTCTGCCTCGCTTTATTTCTAACCAGGGCTACCAGGACCCTCTCTCAGAGTGGGATTTGGCCTGCAGATGATGCACCATGCAGCGCTTTCTGTGCTTTATTCCTGGGCCGCTCCTACCTTTTATCTGATAGCAACCACTTTCTAAAGACAGGATATATACTTCCCTTTCTGAACCTCTTAACCCTGGGACCAGACAAAACTATAAGAGGGAAAAGCTGCTGGAAACCTCAAACAATAACGGCCCCTTGAAAAGGCAAGGACCACCCCCAGAGATGGCCAAAGAGATCCCACGGTCTCCCTCATGGGCTCTGCGTGCCCATTTTTGGGGATCCCTGAAGTGACCACCCATGGAGGCAGTGGGGGTCTGGGTGCTCAGAAAGAAGTAGTCCTCTGACTTTGACAGCAAGAAAGTCTGGGCTTTGAGCTCACCCAAGCCACCAGTGGGGTCTGAGTCCCACCCAGCCTTCACATAATTCTGCTTCGCTACAGAGACCAAGGTTCCCTAGAACCAGTAGATATTGTGACCAGAGGCAAAACCCCCAATACATAACTCCTGACTTCCTGGAGAAGCATCACTATGAGATCCAGCAAAGAGTTTACATTCTCTGGTGGGGGTTCAGATAGTCCCGGCTTAATATATCTAAGGGTTCTTTCATCTCCTGGGCATAAGACAGCGTGGAGTAGTGACTGTTCATTTATTCAACAAACAGTTACCAAGTATTCATGACATGCTCTCTGCAATCCAGTGTGCTAGGTGCAGACATCAATTCACAAAAGGAGCAGAGGAGGGCCTTTAAAGCAAGAGCAAGTGGCCAAGGTCCAAGGAACACTGGAGGGTAGAGGGAGCCTGAAAACCTAGGCTCAGGACAGAGTTTGACTTTGCTAGTGTGCAGTTTTCCTAAGTCAGGGAATGCACGAGGCTGCATGTGACAACAAAACCAAGCGTGGTGTTTTGACCTTATTTTTCTCACCACTCAGGAGACAATGAGTCCAGGGCTCTGCCATTGTTTGAGGATGCCTTCTGGGACCCAATTTGTGTTCCACCATCCTCAAACTCACAAAATGGCTGCTTTCCCTCAGCCATCACATCTGAGTTCCAGGTAGGAGGAAGAAGTAAGAGCAAAGGGTGGAAGGCATGGCCAGCTCAGTTTGTTCCTTGTTATCAAGAATAAAAACAGCTTTCCCCAAAGCCTAACCTAATAGACTAACCTAATTAGATACCGGTGACCAGAAAGAAGCCACATTGCCACATTGGTGTAAATGAGTCTAGAGGTGTATTAAACAGGGCACATTGTCAGCCAATGGACTAGCACAGATGAGGTTTGTTGGCAAGGGAGAGAGAGAGAGAGAATCAATACTGGACAGGCAACTTCCAGTGTCTAATAATTCCAGGCATATGTGGTTGGCTTATCATTAGTGCCACTTATGGGAATATTCATAGCAGCTCCCTGTCTGCTGTGAGTTAACCAAAGCGACTCGGAAACACGAACAGTGTCAGTATTTTCCGGCTCATTCATTACTTTATTTGACTAATACTGACTTCACAGCCACCATGCATTAGGCCGGTGCTGGACATCGGCTATGCAGGGAGATGGGATGACATTCTTGCCTGTGTATCTAGCATGTGTCTGCCCTGGAAGAGTTGCCTATCTATGCAGAGGTGGTTCAAACCAAACTGCATGGGCAAAGAGCCTATCTTCAACCTACTTGTAAAGACAAGATAATAGTACTTCTGGCCATGCAGTGTGGCAGAAATGGCAGATTCTTAGATATGGATTCCAGACACTGCATCTGATCTCTCTTCAACCATGCCTCTGTCTGAATGCCTTTGTATGCAAATGAGTCATTCACTCATTCAGCAATTCACTGTCTGTCAACTCTGCTTCGGGTACAGCACTGGGCACTGGGGAAGGTCTACTCAGCATCCATCCCTCCTTCTTCCTTCCTAAAACAAAGCCCCAATTCTGTTCTGAGACGAGCAATTTGGACACCTACCATGTGATGGATTATAATGGATCTAAGACACACATGACAATGCAATTCTCTGCATTCCCAGTGCTCCACCCCCATCAGTTTAGCTAAGAGTGGCCTGTGACCTAGTCAATGAAAACTTCTGCAGGGATTCTGAGAAAGTGTTTGTCTTCCTGGTACAGGGAAGAAATGCAGATGGTGCTACTATCTGCACCTTCTTCTGCTCTGAACTCAGAAGCAACGACTGGAACCACAGCAGCCAGTTTGCAGTGACGAGGCACTAAATGACACACTAAAGATGGCAGAATGGAAGAAGAGGATTAGGCAGGCACATGACCGTGTCCCTTGTCTGCTGTTCCAGCATGTGACCACCTATGTCTGCACTCACGGTTATGTAAGAAAAATTTACTCCCATTTATTTAAGATTATGTGAATTGGGTTTTATTCTGTTGGCCAAGAACATCCTGAAATGATATAAATAGAAATAAGAATGACAGAGCTCTTACCCTCAGAAACCAGAGAGTTTAAGTAAGAGAGATGATTGGCCAGATAATGTAAGTTCTCCAGTAAGGAGGCAGAGGGTGGTACGAGGGTACACAAGATGGTCCTAAACTAACTGAGAAACGGGGAGAGGCAAGGCTTTGCTGAGGACGTCACGTTAAGTCATTAGAAACATGCTCCTCTTTCTTTTTTTTTTTTCTTTTTTTTTTTTTTTTGAGACGGAGTCTCGTTCTTTTGCCCAGGCTGGAGTGCAGTGGCGCGATCTCGACTCACTGCAAGCTCCGCCTCCTGGTTTCATGCCATTCTCCTGCCTCAGCCTCTCACGTAGCTGGGACTACAGGCTCCCGCCACCGCGCCCGGCTAATTTTTTTGTATTTTTAGTAGAGACGGGGTTTCACCATGTTAGCCAGGATGGTCTCCATCTCCTGACCTCGTGATCCACCCGCCTCGGCCTCCCAAAGTGCTGGGATTACAGGCGTGAGCCACCGCACCCAGCCAAGCTCCTCTTTCTATACTCTGTGGCCCATAGTGTACCCATGTTAATCTGAGGATGCCAGGCTCCGCCCCATCCCCAGTGAACAGCGTTTCCACTCACCTGTTCCCGCTTCGTTGCAGGATAGAGGGGAGATACGACCCGGGAGCCCTCGGTTCCCACTATGCCACCTAGGACTCTCCCGCCTCTACGAGTTATGAATCGGGTCTGGGTGTGCCTAGACTCCGCCCACCACGCGGGAGAGCAATGCAGGTCACCGTACCAGGCTGCAGCTTCCGGGCGGGCTGGCCATTAATTATTAACAAAGCAGAGAAAAAGATACCAGCTTAGCCATCACCCCAGACTAAACTACGGTTTAGAGAACACTGCATTTTAGCCTAAGGCAAACGGCTTCACCGTCCTATTTTAGATACGGCCATGCATCAGTGATCAGGGCCATAAGTGAATTATCCTAAAAACAAAAGTACAGCATAAGAGTATATGCAATTGCATTCAAATGCTCTCCAGAAAAAGCGCAGGCAGGGGACACAGGAGCGGCGTCTCGGAAGGCTCCGATCAGCAGCGAAGTCCCGCATTTCCATACTTCGCGGCTCCGCTTCTCGGAAGGTTCGTAATACATAGTATTTGCTACCCTATTGGGGAAAACTATTTCCAGCCTAATTAGCATGAAATTTTTAGAATGCAAATGCTTTTCATTTAGACATAAAACAAAATGCCACGACATTTCTTCCATCCATTTATCATAAACAAGTTAATTACCGTGTAACAAATCGCTCCTGCTGGAATCTGTATGTTTGGGGCTGCTGTGAGCTGACTCAGGCAAAGAGAAGGAGCCACGGAGCAGTCGCTGATAGCTCATGGCCTACTCAGAGGAACATGGCCACTCTGTGAAGCTTCACTCGTCAAATTAAGGTTAAGCTCTCTCCGCTGGAATAACTCAATTATAAGTAGTCATTATCTGTTTAACTTGATTCCTACCAGAATAACAGAAACACCACACTTCCTGTTTCCTCTTCACACAGGCCTCCTCACTGTGGTCTTGTAGTTTCAAAGTACTCTGCGTACAGAGAGAAATGTCACTGTGCCCTCGTTTCAGTGCCTGTCAGCCTTAGCTCTTGCCTCCATATGTGCAAAATTATTTGTAAGATATAAAACATCTCTTTCTTCCTGAGACTCTACACCTTCAGAAGAACGAGTGGAAGAAAACAGTGAGAAGGGGACCCACACAGGCGCAGGAGAAGCAATGCGACTACAGCCCCTAGAGGAGGGTCAGAGAGGACCCAGCATGCTCAGGTGCTTGGGAGATTCTCTGCAATGCTTCCCTGAACCAGCCCTGGGCTGGGCTGCACACGTAAGTCAACGGGCACTTGGAAAATGAGTCCACACAATGTCTGAGCTGGTCCAGATTCACCCAGGGGCATGTGACTCTTGGCCCCCCACGAGGCGAACACCACCTGGGCACAGGGGCCAGGCCGACATCCGGCCAGTGATCTAGGCTTTCCCACCACACTGATCAAGAGCACAGCACGGTTTGGCCTGGACCACTGGAGCAGATATCCCCACACAACACACCATGAAAGGGAAGAGATCCTTGTTTGAAATCTCACGCTGCGTTGTAGAAAGCATGAGAATTTGTCATTCTCTTCTGTAGTAAGCAGTATTTATTAATAAAAAGAGAGGCATTTTTCTGAAGTGCCTGAGTAAAATGGATACTCCAAGGTCTTATCATATTTGGCCACATAATCAGAGAACTTAAGGATGCCAGTTTCAGCACAGCAGGACATGCACACAGCAGACTGCAGTCAGTGCCCCACGAGTTATAAGAGACCGTCCAACGCACTGAGAGTGAAGGATCCCCTCAGGCCTTCTCTGGGAGTCCACTGAGATTCTCAGTAAACCAAACGATCCTGAAAATGGCCTACCCGTTCTAACTCCAAAGTGACATACACAGTGCAATTAACAGAGTAGCTCTTGAAAGCTCTTTACTATGTATGCCCTGTTAGATTGCACATCTATTCTGCTCCTAGGCCGACTGCCTAGAGATTTTTTATTTTTTTGATGATTAATGAGTCAGTAGTATCACAGTTTAGATAAAAAAACTAAGTCAGAAAACTTGGATTCGGTGCAAAATAAAAATCCTATCCACATAACCAGGAATCAACAAGGCACGTCAACAAGTTCTGTCTTGAAGGGCGAGGATCTGAAAAATCACTTCACTATAAGCGTGAGCGAGTTCACGCACATGCATGCACACACACACATACACAGGAACCGCTGTCAGTTCTGGAGGGAAAAGTTTACATTCCCTGGGACACAAAACCGGTAGGGCAGTCAACAGTCCTGAATGTGGAAATTTAGCTTCGATACTTTATCAAAAGTCCTCTTCCTCTATCGCTTTGAAATCAATTCAAAGGCTGCCACTTCCAGGAAACTGATGCAGAGAGGAAAGGCTCACAGCCAAGGTGCTCATGGCACAGAACTGATTTATGTCCCCTCCTATGCAAATATAAAGTCTAATTAGTTTGTCTTGAAAGGGAAACAGACCAATAAGCAGGATGATCTACTGTCATCTGAGTTTTGAAGCTGTCTCTGACTTTCCCATCACAAGTGTGGATATAATCCTGCAATTACGATAAAGCTAATTGGTAGTTCCCTCCTGCATGTGTGTTTTCGTGTTGTCAGTGGGGCAGTAATGAAAATGAATGCCACATTTGTGAACAGACCGTCTGTGGGCTTATTTACCGCATTTCCAACAACATCGTCTGCTTTATCATACATTTCAAAGCAGGGATAATTTAAGTATCCAGAACTTCATGCATAAAAATACTTGGTAAGAAGGTCTCTCTCTGCACACTATTTGGGTGATGTTACATCCGAATTACAGTTTGCTGCCCAGGAAATGATTCACTTCACTCAAAAATGACCGGGGTTCTGAATCATTCACCTGTTATGCAAAACGCCTTTCAGGTCAACCAATTTGCACCTCGTGGACTTCACCACCATCATTTCACAGAGAGCACAAAGATGAGGCAAGCCTTGCCTCTCCCATCTACATGTTTCCCCAAGGAAAAGCATGGCAGCAATTCACTCCCACCCCTCCACACCCCGCCTTACCTTGAAGTAGCTTTTCCCCTTCTAGAATATTTTGGGAGATTAATGCCGTGTAATCATCTTCAGAGAACCCAGCCTTGCAGGTCTCTCTAGTTGTAAGATCCTCATTATGGGCCTGAGAACACAAAGGGGAGAGTGTAAAACAATAAGTTCACAGAAATTTAATCCAACCAACATTCATCCAGGGCCTGCTGTGTAAAAGGTCTCTGGCTAAGAGAGAAAGGCTGGCAGGCCACCGTCTCCACCCAGACGCGATACCCCGTCTGCTCCTCTGCTCTCTGGGGACTTTAGGGAGCACTCTCCAGGCTACAGACCAGGAGCATCCTTCCCCAGCCCCACACACAGCAGGCAGGGAGTGAAGGACGGACTGTTGGGGAAGCCAGGCCGGCCAGGGCCTTATTGGCAGAGGAGACGCCTGAGAAATGACCAAAAGGCAGAGACAGAAGACTTCAGCCGCTGCTCCCGAAGCCACTAAGGGCAGGGAGGCCAAAGTGTGGGCGGCTCTGCTCAGACCATTCGCGCTTTAGGCCCACCGCTCTGCGCTCTTGGTAAGGCGGAGGAGGCAGCTTCTTGTCTCCTCTCCAGGTCACCGGGAGGGAGGAGAAAGAGGAGAGAAAGGAAGAAGATTCTCTAGGACTAGGTCCGGAGCCGGTCGAAGAAGGCAGCTCTGCGGGAGGCTGCCGGTGGCTGGGGTGAGGAGGCAGTGGGGGCGCTTCCACCTTCTAGTCTTCAGCCCGCATTTTCACCCTCGGAGCCCCCATCTCCAGCCCAGGCAGGGAGACGGCTCCCCTAACTGACCGGAAAGGGGGTCTCCTCCTGTCCTCCGGAGCTCGCTCGCCTTTCCTGCTCAGTGGGGAAGTCTAGAGCCCATGGCACAGGGCCAGGGAAGGATGGGGTGGACGACAGGGCCCTCCGACCAAGCTTCTGGGAGGGGGCGTGACAGGCAGGAGGAGGTGGTGGAGGGAGAGGCAGTGTGTGCAAGCGGGAAGCCAGCCCCGCTGAAGGAGCAGGAGCACAGCGGTGCTTGGCTCCCCGGCGAGCGCAGGAAGCCTCGGGTGCAGCCCGCACCGGGCAGTGGCGCCTCCCGCCCGCCGCCTCCTCCAGCTCCGCGCGCTGCCGTCGCCCGCCCATGCTTCGACTCCGGAGGCCGCCCCCAGCCCGGAGCTCCAGGCTTCCCGACGCCGGCACCGCGGAGGGCGCCCCTCTACCCCCAGCACCGAGGGAGGAGAGCGGGACGCAGGGTCATTCCTTACGAAAAGCTCTAAACCGCGGCTTTCTTCATCGGCCACGAAGCTCCAAATCGCACCCGCAGCCCGGTGGGAGGCTCAACTCGCCCAGGAAAGTTTCCGCCCGCCCGAAGCGTGTGCCCAGCGCGTCCCCCAGCGCCCCGCGGCCTCGGAGCGGGCCTCCCGCCGCTGGCACTTGTTTATTTCCGAGGTTACAACAGCGCTGCCCGGGAGAAGGCAGCGAGGCCGATCGGCCACGAGAGGGGGTTCCTGCAACTCCCGCCGCCCCTCCGCCTCCGCCCAGGGGCGCCCCCGGAGCCGCCGCGCTCTCTGCCCCCGCGGGCCGCGCACCTCGCCAGGCGCAGAGCAAAGCTGGCAATCCGGCCCGCGGGGCTCTGCAGAGGCAGCGGGAGACCCGCTCGCCCTCCCGGGGCGCCCTCCCGCGCCGCGCCCGCCCGGCGTCCGGCTTCCCGGCCCAAGCCCGGCCCAGCTCCCAGCCCCCGGGGCCCCGCCGGACACGCAGGCTCCAGCCCCGCCGAGGGCTCGGGGGTGAGAGTGCCCCGCAGTCCTACCCCGCCGCCCACCCGCAGCGCGGGTCCTGCCGGCACCCACAGAACTGAGCGGCGCCGCTAGACGGACCCCCAGGCCTTGGGCAGGAGAGGTCGGGCAGGCGCCCCGCACTCGCGGATCCCTGGCCCGCAGCCGCCGGGCGCCCCACGCCTTCAGCCACGGCCGGGGCTGGGCTCGGCAACTCCCGCGGCGCGCGGCTCCCGGGCGATGGAGGGCGCGCCGGCTCCGCCAGTGGAAGCCTGCCCCATGCAGGCAAGCCGAGCTCCGGGTAGCGGCTACGGGCTTTGGGCGTTCGAGGGAGGCTCGGCGGGTCCGGTGCAGGCGGAGCTCCCCGGGTCCTCCACCGAGCCCCACTCCCACCCTGCTCCGCCGCTCCCCGCTGCCCAGGCGGCTTCCCGCTCCTGCCGACCGCAGGCAGCTTCGCCGAGCGCGGGCGCCGGGCTGGATGCAGCGGGGAGCGCGGCGGGGGAGCCCGGGAGAGCCCCGCCGGGTGTGTGAGCGCCCCGCGGGATCCGGGGACGACCTCCCGCTGCCCGGGGCTTCCGAACGGCGGGGGCGGGAGGCGGCAACTTACCCGGAGCGCGCCGGAGAGCGAGAGCAGCAGAAGGAGCACGCCGGCGCCCGCGGTCATCTTCCCCGCCGCCCGCCCGGTGCCCGGCACCGGGAGCCCGCTCCCTGCCGCCGCCGCCGCCGCCGCCGCCGAGACCACCGCCGCCGCTCCGATCGCCGCCGCCGCCGCCGCTCCCCCGCGCCTGCCCGGAGCCTCCAGCCCCGCTGCGCCCGCCGCGCTCGCCGCCCCGGCTCCGGGAGCCAGGCCAAGTCCGGCCGGCGGCGCGTTCCCTCGGGCCGGTGCGTCCGCCGGCCTCGCAGCCGCCCGCGCCTCTGTTCCGCGCGCTCGGAGCTGCAGGTGAAGCCGCGGCCGCCCCGCCGAGGCCCCGCCCCGCCGCCCGGCCCCTGCGCTCGCTCTGCCGACGCGGGCCTTAAAGGCGCAGAGCCCGCGCCCGCGCCCCCCGCGCCGCACCAGCCCAGCCTCTGCCCTCCTGGACGTCTGGAGCCGCCCGGTTGCGGCCGAAGAGGCCAAGGACGCTCGTTTTCCAGGGGAAAAAGGCGCGGGTGTGGAGACTGAAGACAGCGCTGGGGTTTCCGCCCCCACACCCGGGGCACCCTTTCTGGATGGGGCGGTCCCGCCGCGGTCTTAGTCCGACTTCCCGCCCGGGCCCGCGGTGGGAGTGTGCACTTCCATTCTGTCCTTTTATTTTTCAGGTGTCTCCTTGCTAACTCCCCTGACCCGGGCTTGAACCCAGGTCGGGCAGCTCAGGGGTGAGAGTTTCCACCTGGAGCAGATGAGCAGAGGGCCACGCTGAGATTTCAGCCTGTGGGGCTTTGCAGACCCTCCCGCTCCTAGGAAAACTCAAAGCCCTGGCCTGGGCTAGGGATGTACCCTAGGATTGGGGACGGTAGTAATTCCTGTGTGTGCATCAAAACACCCTGTTAGGCCTCAGAAGCCAAGAAAGAAATTAGAAGCTCCAAGAAAGAAAGAAGTGCCCAGACAGGAGCTGTCAGGAGTGTCTGCGCCGACAGGCTGGGCCAGCTCCAGCTCCCTTTGCCCTGCATGGGTGATGGCTGAACTGGGGGGCACTTCTTTAAGGGTTATCAGGTAAAATATATGTACAGGTCGGACAGTGAGTAAATGTTTCTGCACTTTTCCTTTTGGCTTGGAGATTTAAAGAAACGCGGTTTTGTTTGTTCAGATACATCGAATTTTCTTTGTCTGGGGTTTCAGGGACTCTGTGTCCAGAATACATTAGTTCTGGTTTAAGAAATAGGTTGCAAAGGAGAGGGTGGAAGATTGAGTGACACTGTTGAGCTCCAAGATCAGAGTCCACTTGGGCAAGCCAGTAGAGAAAGCTACAGAGCAGCCGCTTCCCTCTCTCCCTCCCAGAACCCCCACCCTTGGGGGCAGGGTGGTCTCCCGGTTAGAGCTCTGCCTTACGCTTAAGGAAACCAGATTTTAGATAACCCCAGAGGACCAGAGTAAGCACTACATCCGAGAGCACAAGGCGAGATTCGGTTTTGCAACTTAACTATGGAACTAGTCAGGAGACACAAAATCTGCCCCAGCCTGGACTCCTATCAGTTATGGCCTTGTCCCACTCCCCACCTAGCCGAAGAAGGAGAGGTTACCAGTTGACATGGCTGGAGGTTTAGACTCACTCGAAGGTCCTGCGTAGCCAGTGAGGTTTCATGAACAGATCCATCCAAAATCCTCATGGACAGAGAATTCCATTCCTCGGCCATGTGCCCGTCCTTTGGGAAGACGCCCCCTCTGCTTTCCTCCTTATTCAAGGTGCTTCACCACTGCTCGAGCGACATCAGAAGCTGTCCAAGACTGCTTTAGACACCAAGACAGCTCTCTTGTCTTGTGTCCCTGGTCTATTTTCTTAAAATATCTGTCGCTGGGGATACACCTTTGTCTGCAGGAGGCCTGAGCATTATGCGAGTTATTTCTTTGGAGAGGCATCACAGACCCCCGCATTTGCTCCAACGTGCTCTGCGAAACTGTTGAAGCGCTGAGGAGCGCGCCAATTTGAAAAAGAAAAGGTATGAGTGTGTGGCAGGGAGACTGGGGTCCAGGAGCAGGTGGGTCCTGAACTCCAAACACTGTGTTAAGCACATCTCCCTCTACTACTGAATGAATCTTGAGTCTACTGCAGCGTGATTTCCAGAAAGGGTAGAGTTTGACAATAGCCTGTCCTTACAAGGTGCTAGCTATGTGCCAGGGACATGTGTAGGAGCTTTATGTAAAGTTGCTCTTGGAGTCCTTCTAACTCCACTATACAGTCAGGCAGAGGAGGGTGCAGAGGGCAGGCACGGGGAAAGCTGCAGTGCCAGCATTCTCACCCAGAGCTGGGACCCTGGCACACGCAGCATGGCCCCAACTTTGTTCAAAGAAACCTTCTTACACAGCTGTAATGTCTTACGGGAACTCGCATTTTCCGAAATACATAGTTTCAGAAACACTGCAGTAACTGACAGGAGTCCAGTAGAGAGCATTGGTTTATCAGACTTACTCTGAATGCAGCAGCAAAGATTGCTGAGACAGAAAAGAAAAATATGACCTAAAATACAAAGCAGTGCCTCCAAAGAATGGTCTTCAGCCTGTCACTCTGAGTGTGGTCCCCAGACCAGCAGCATCAAGATCCCCCAGGAGCTTGTTAAAAATGCAGAAACTCAGGCCTTACCCCAGACCTGCTACATTGATTCTGAATGCTGATGGGATTCCCCGCCACGCCCACCTCTGGTCTGCAATCATCTGCAACAAAATCACAGAGAAACTCATGAAAAATGCCAGTTCCTAGGCTCCACCTGAAATCCATGGAC